>NC_000001.11:120288534-121023233 GCF_000001405.40 Homo sapiens | reverse complement strand
TCAAATATGTTTTCCAGGTTGCTTACTTTTCTTCTTCTCTCTCAGGAATGCCAATAAGTCATAGGTTTGATCGCTTTACATAACCCCATAATTCTCAAAAGCTTTGTTCATTTTTAAAAATTCATTTTTCTTTACTTTTGTCTGACTAGGTGAATTTGAAAGACCAACCTTCAAGCTCTGAAATTCATTCTTCTGCTTGTCTAGTCTATTATTAAAGCTTTCAATGTATTTTGAAATTCCTTTAGTGAATTTCTCAATTATAGAAGTTCTATTTGTATTTTGCTTAATATAGTTTTCTTGTCTTTCATATTCTGTATTGTTTTTCTGATTTCTTTGCATTGGACTTCAACTTTTTCTTGGATCTCATTGAGTTCCCTTGCAATCCGTATTTGGAATTCTTATCTGTCATTTCCAACATTTCAGTCTGGCTAGGATCCATTGCTAGAAACTAGTGTGATCCTTTGGAAGTGTGTAAATACTCTGGGTACACTGGAGTTATTGCACTGATTCTTTCTCATCCGAGGAAGCTGTTGCTTCTTAGTTTTGAATTTGGTATTGTTTGGATGAGGATTTTTAATTTTTTTATTCTTTTTTTCCCTTGATGGTATGACTGTGGTGTATGTTGTGTATGATTGTTTGGCTTCATTTCTGGGTGCTTTCAGGGAGCCCTAGCTTTGTATGGGTTTCTTGGTTGTGGATAGCTTCTGAGCAGTAGCTTTCTCAGATGCTGCTTGTTGTGGTGATGTATTGGAAGTAAAAGCTAACACACTAACCCTTGTTGGGGGCTGAGGGTACGGAATTCTCAGGAAACTTATCTCATGGACTAGCACTAAGCCCTTTGGTAGCAGGGTTTTTGAATTCAGTGGTCCAGTTTAGGATGCAGTTCAGTAGATGGTGCTTAAGAGTCAGGGCTGTTACGTAGGCTGGTGTCCAGTGGAAAAACCTGCCCTGACAGGATGGTGGGAAAGAGATCATGTCGGGGTGTGCTGAGGTCTCAGGGGAAGGGGCAGAGGTGCACTAGCTCCTCCTCCTGAGTAGGCAAGAATGTGATCCGCTTCCCTATCATGCCCTGTCACAGAGCTCACAACCTTCATTTTATAAAGACTTTGTCCTTTGGTTCCTGGCTGTGGTGCAGCTGAAGTCTGTGGATATGCCACTCTGACAGCTACCACTAAAATGGGGTTTAGGGCAGAGCCTCTTCCCCGAGTCCAGGGCAGGCAACTCCATGGTCTGTCCTCCATTGCCAGGGCACTGCAGCTCTGTATAGGGAGGGAGAGTTGCGCCCGTCCTTCCTGAAAGCCCAAGCAGCACAGGCTCACTTTCAGCCTGGGTGGTGCCACCATGAATAACGTGCATAATTTTCTCTCCTGGTGCACACTCACTGGGTCCTGGAGAAAAGAACCACTGCTATGTCTGCAGCCATATACGGGGTAGGAGAGAGATGATCCCTGCTTTTCCTGCTTTTCCACTCCTGTTCCTGGGTGTCAATGCTGCCCCCTTCTGCGATTGGTGCCATGCCAGTGTTTTCTTTGTCCCTAGGAGGGCTTTGGGACAGTGAGCAAACAACTGTTCTGATAAACGCAATTTAACCCGCGACCCTTGGCTTGCTCAGGTCGTGGGGTTGGGCCGCCTTTGCGCTTTTCCTTTGGATCTGCCCTTCTTCTGGGTTTGTTCTCTCGAGCTAGGGGAAGGCCTGGGTCCCCTCTCTTTGGCTCCTCTTGCCGTATCAGAAACCTCACACTCCTTCCTTTTCCAGAGAAGCTTCAGAGTGCTTTGTTGGGTTTGCTGGAACTCGGCAGGGCGCAAGTATGTGAGGATGCGCGCTGTGAGTCTCTGTTTCCTCCGCTGTGACGGCTCTTCCCGCTCCTGTAGGAAAAGGCAATGCCCCTTTTGTCTTGTCTATGTGGGACTCCAAAGGGTCCAGACGAGACAGAAAGGGGGCGAATCCTCTCAGAGTGGGCAGGGGAGGAGATACAATATGGGAATGGGGCGGTAGAGGGGTGGGATTTCATGAAATTTCCTGATTTAAGGCGATCATGAAGTAGGCCTCTTTGGGAGCTTGGCCCTCCAGTCGCTGGTAAGGGTAACAGCCCACCAGTCTCTGGTGAGGTCCAGTCGCGTCCCCCGACTGCATTTAGAGCCAAAAGCAGAACGAGGCCGGCGCTGCGGCCTGGCGTCCAGTGACCCAGCGGTCTGCATATTCTGCAGGGTGGAAGCACTTGGACTTCAGGTGTGAAGGCAATGCGGTCACCACCGCAGTAAGAAAAGCAACTAGGGAAAATGGCACCTTCTTCTCCCAACTTTTTTTTGAGACTCTCGCTCTGTCGTCTAGGCTGGAGTGCAGTGGTGCGATCTCGGATTTGGAAACTATAATAGAAACGGCTGATCTAAGATTTTCATGGTTATATTTTGCCGTGCAGGTTCCGCCTGTGGTTTCCGTAGTGTAGTGGTTATCACGTTCGCCTCACACGCGAAAGGTCCCCGGTTCGAAACCGGGCGGAAACATAAGTTTTTTTTTTTTTTTTTTTTTTTTGTTAGCCCTTAAATTTAGTGAGTTTACTCGAGGTTGGAAAACAGAAAAGTAGTTGAACCTGTGACTACATTTTAGACCTCATCAATCTATACAGATTGTCGACCAGGCTACAATTTCCACTGGTCTGCCAGGAAGAGGACGTCACAGCAGGCCTGCTTAATATTAACTTTGGTTCCAGCAATTCCTTAAGGTTCTCTTCATTCTCTTTATCGCCTGAATTTTCACAGGCAGACACCGAAAGTGGATGACATGTTAGCGCATTTCCTAAGGGTCCAGCTTGGCTTCGCTTTACTCTGATACAGTTGCAGATCTGGCTGATTTGCGAGACAACAAAAACAAAATGTTTTTTAAAAACGTTCCAAATCTGCATCTGGAACTCATGGAGTCAATATTCCGAAATCACACGAATTATGTACATACATTTGCATGCATACCCCTTCCCCAAATAATCCTCAGAAAACCGGTAAGCGTCCAAACTACTCTCCGGAGGCTTAGGTAATCAACAATTTAATAAATACAATTGTTAATGTATGGTGTACAGATCCTGTATTGCCCACCCTTCTCTATTGCTTTGTCCCCGCGCGCCCTCTGTTTTGCCTAAATGGGTTCCAGGCCATAGCCACCGACTCTCGCTTTGCCTTCTGGCCTCTCGGCAGTGCGCTTCAGCACCATTGCGCCAGGTGACGCTGCTGAGAACAGCTGAGTGGCCGGCACTAGTGCAGCTGGAAGCCAAGGCCCAGAATTCTCAGGAATCTGCACTTTACCCAGGCGAAAAGCCCAAGGGCTCTCCCCACAGCTTCCCAACATCCTTCTACAGAGTTTTTAAATATTAGACTTATTAACCTGTAGAGGTGGAGAGAATCAAAGAAATCACAAGGTATCTCTGAGGGAAAAAGAAGAGCACCAGCAGTAAATCACTTAAGAGTATTGAACCAGCAAGCCAGGGATAGGAGAATGGAATGGAAACTGACAGGATGACTGCAGAGGATGGTACTGAGGGTGGATGCGAACCACTACTTACTATTAATATATTGAGCCAAGCACACTAATGGGGGCATAACCAAAATACTTAATAGGGCACTCTTTTACCCACCATGTGTTTTACAATATAGTTGCTAAAGGATGTATCACCCTACTGGTTCTAGAAGCTTCTGGAGCCAAGGAGCCAGAGCATGAGAGCATAAAAATCCTGTCAATTGAAGCCTTGGGCTCTACACTGCTAAGCCTGGCCCAGAGGCTGGATTGCAAATGCAGGTGCTAGTGTAATGGAATGGATGTTTGTGTTCCCTTCATATTATATATTGAAGCCTTAACCCCCAATGTGAAGGTATTTTGGAGGTAGGGCCTTTGGGAGGTAATCAGGTTTAGATGAGGTCATGACCATGGGATCTCCATGATGAGATCAGTGTCATTATAAGAAACAGAAGAAAGACGAAAGTGCTCTCTTTCTCTCCACCATGCGAAGACAGAAGGAGAATGTAGCAGTCTGCAAGCCAGGGAGAGAGCCCTCACCAAGGAGGTGAATCAGCTGGCAGTTTGATCTTGGACTTCTCAGCCTCTCAAACTGTGAGAAAGAAATTCCTCGTGTTTAAGCCACCCAGTCTGTGGTATTTTGTTATGGAAGCCTGAGTTAAGACAGCTGGTTCACTGGGGAATCCACTGGTGTGAACCTGTGAAAAGTTTGTGACATGTGAAGTAGTTTGCTGCTCCTGGATTTGAGTATTGGCAAGAGCTGTTAGAATGATGAGCATAGAGGGAAGAAGGGTACAGAGAATATGGTATTAATCATTGTACTGAAGAAATAAAGGGACATTATATGGCTCTAGGCTGAAGTTATGTGCAGATTTAAGCTGTGGAAGGGTCACTCAGCATACAGTGTGGCAAGTGAGTGGTGCATACTACACTGGCTGTAGGGAGTCCAGTTTTTTTTTGTTTGTTTTTGTTTTGTTTTTTTTTGAGGTGGAGTCTTGCTTTTTCACCCAGGCTGGAGTGCAGTTGTGTGGTCTTGGCTCATTGCAACCTCTGCCTCCTGGGTTCAAGCGATTCTCCTGCTTCAGCCTCCCGAGTAGCTGGGACTACAGATGGGTGCCACCACGCCTGGCTAATTTTTTTTTTTTTTTTGTAGTTTTAGTAGAGATGGGGTTTCACCATGTTAGTCAGGATGGTCTCAATCTTCTGACTTCGTGATCCGCCTGCCTTGGCCTCCCAAAGTGCTGGGGTTACAGGCTTGAGCCACCGCACCCGGCCAGGAGTCCAGTTTTTTGTCTGCTTATGTTAATGGATGCAAGAGCCGATAGATGGAAAAGTGTGGTAATAAAGTGGCAGTAAGCTTGTGGAGTATCCAATAAACTTAAACGCTATTTTTTTGAATTGAACTGAAATTGTTGTGTTATGAAAATGAGAGAGTTTATCCAAAGAAAGATCTGGCTTGGCAAATAGGATAGATGGTGGTGAGGATAAGTGTGCTAGGCAGGGCTAGAAACAGGTTTTAGTGATCATTGAAACACCCAGGGCAGTGCACTACTCTTTGGGAGATGCTGTGCTTGAGTCTGATCATTGGGTTTTGAGGTAGAGGGTGGTACATATTGCTGACAGGGAACTCACCGGTGTGTTGAGTTTTAGCATCTGTGACTCTGAGATGCATATGAGGCCTTTGTAAATTTAGAAGTTGAGAGTAGAAAGTACAGGTTTGTATTTTAGAAGGAGATTTGGGAATAAATATAGCTCTGGTTGATATAGATAATATGTTAAGGTTTGTTGGCCAGAGCTGGTGTGTGTCTTGGGTGTTGGGCAAAGAACAGAGAACAGTCAAAGCTCTGTGAGGTCAATGTGAAGGGTGATTTCCTTGTTGGGCTCAAGTTTATGACCCAGCCTGGACCTAGCTTGGCTTCTCAGCTAGAGAAGAAGCATGATTCCATGTCACAGCTCCTGTCTTTGAAAAAGTCATAATGACTCGCAGACCCAACATGTGGGGCAAACTCTCTGAATTTTTCTCTTCAGTTTAATCTCTCCAGGGAAAATTGAGAAAAGAAATCTCTCTACTATTTGAACTTCATCAAAAGACTAATATGTTAATATTTTGACCATCAATATTTCCTTAAACTAGTCTACTCCTTACATAGCTAATACATCAAAGCATATTAACTTAGGAAATTGGATTCTCTCTAACAATGAAATATTGACTGCAGGCATTATTAATCTTTTTATATCACATTTCCTTTAAATGCTTTATACATCTTCAAGCAGACAAATAACAGTATTATGGTTACAAGACTGATCATTACTCTTTTGCCAAAAAAACCAGCGACAAAAGACTAACTCAGTGGACCAACCTTTGTTTCTTCATTATCTCTACCTTGATTCTGTCCTTTTATTTCCTCTTTCCTCTAATTCTAATTCTGCTTCTGCTTCTTATTTCCTCCCTGGATTAGAACTTTACTTACCTAAGCTACCAGTTAGGTTACCTTCTCAGAACCACTAAGGCAGCAGTTTGACGTTGACAATTGAAGATTTAGGATTAGAAAAAAGAAACATGAATGAATTTGTGACGTTTTATTATAGGGGTATGTAATGCAGGTAGAAAGACCTTTTTCAGAGTTAAGAGTTTGATCCGACAAATTAGCTATTTTGATATTTATAACTTTGTTTAGTAAAAGTTTCCTATAAAAACATTTGGTTTGGATGTCTTTGTTAGCTTTGAGTCGACACTTGAAAAGGCCACTTGGAAGTTTCTAAGTCTTTCTGGATACTCTTTTTGATAATTCTCCCAGGGTTGCTAGAGAGAGGCACTGGTGGTTCAGTGGTAGAATTCTCGCCTCCCACGCGGGAGACCCGGGTTCAATTCCCGGTCAAGATAAGAGGTATTTTTGCTCTTCACTATGGCTCTTTACCCTTCTGCCCTGCAGAATTACACTGCATAACCTAATAGTGCATTTAAGGGCTTGGCCACCACAAGGTAAACTGACAACAACGCTGACCAAAGTAGCAGCAAAAGATATTCAGGAGACTAACCCGGGACCCACGCAGTTGTTGGACTCAACAAACCGCTAAGCAAAGTGGCAAGCACGTAGTGTTTCTGGTGAGTCACTGCAGTTTTGATATTGGTACCTGTTACTTTCATCTGTTCTCTGGGCGGATTCCTGCAAACCCAAGAACCATCAGTTTCCTGATTCGTGTGCTGGACCTTGGGCTTACCGCTGAGCCACTACGGAGAGGAACAAGAAATGAAGCTCCCGGAGGGAGAGAAGCTGCGGGCGGGGCAATCACCTCGGAGGTCCAAGAGGCCTCAGCGGCCCAAAGAAAGGGGAGGTGTGTGCGGGAGAATCTCAATGGAGATGAGGAGAGCAGCGGTGACTGGTCCTTGCGCAGAGTGGTCCTTGCACAGAGGTAGCCAATGGACCCTCGAGGCTGTACCCCAGACACCGCGAACCGAATTTGCTAACATCTTCAGCCACCGTGGCCTCCGCGTGTTTTGTGGGCCCATCGGTGTTCAGTGAGGGATTCCGTGTGTCTGGCAATGTGTGTCAACAGGTGTTGGCCTGAAATTTGGCCGGGCACGGTGGCTCACGCCTGTAATCCCAGCACTTTGTGAGGCCGAGGCGGATGGATCGCTTGAGGTCAAGAGTTCAAGACCAGCCTGGCTAACATGGTGAAATCCCGTCTCTACTAAAAATACAAAAATCAGCCGAATGTGGTGGCGTGCACCTGCTATTCCAGCTACTTGAGAGGCTGAGGCAGGAGAATCGCTTGAACCCGGGAGGCGGAGGTTGCAGTGAGCCAAGATCGCGCTACTGCACTCCAGCCTGGGCGACAGAGCAACTCCGTCAAAAAAAAAAAAAAAAAAAATGGAGCGAAAGAAGGGAGAGGTGTCGATGGGACAACGAGACTTCCCAGGAGGCTTGTTGTAGAGGCAGTGGCCAGGTCCTGAGAGATGAGATGTTTTTTAAATTATGTAGCGGAATGGGGAGAGAGTAACGGAGAAGCGCATGAAAGAGAGAAAAGCACGAAAATCTGCAGACGTTCGAGAATAAAGCAGAGAAAATAGTATGAGTGTTTTTACATAAAAAAATATAAGAAGTACAATGGTTGTCAGCAGGCTTTTTGGTCGTGTAGTGGTCAATACTTGTAGCTGTGGTTGCCGCAACCTGGGTTCTAATCTGAGTCACAGTAGTGTTTTCTCTCCTGCGATTGTAGCTAAAAGACCTGTCGTTTGCTTTGCCTTTAATCCTAGCAGCCTCCAGAGAGCGGAGTAAACCGCTGGCCCGGAAGGGCGCCAGCTTCTGGAGTTTAGTCCACAGTGCGTAAACTAGGGGGCGGCCTGGCCAAAATGAAAACTCGGACATGCTCTTTGTCTCACAATGGAGCAGAAAAAATTCCCATAGGTGAAGATGCCGCCTCTCAAGGGCCCTTTGTCTGTAGCTTCCACTGATGAAATAATACGGTTATAGTCTCATCTGGTAGAGAAAACGGCTGTATCAGTGGGATTTTTTAAAAACACAAAACGAGAACGAGCTTTTAATGAGTTTACAATAAAATCTAAACTAGTTGTCATGGTCTACACTGGCTTGCCTCCATTCCCCATCCGCTAATTTTTATGAGAACAGTAAATTATTACTATTACTATTATTTTTGAGATGTAGTCTTGTTCTGTCACCCAGGCTGGAGTGCCATGGCTCAATCTCGGCTCACTGCAACGTCCCGTTTCCCGGGTTCAAGCAATGAGAACAGTAAATAAACTACAGTTCACATAAAGTGCACAAATCTTTAGTGCAGTTCGTTTATTTTTGATGAATGTAATCACCACCCAGCTCAAGTTATAGAAAATTGCCATCATCTGAGAAAGGCCTGTTAGAGCCCCTTTCCAGGCAATTCCCACCCTGTGTCCTCTTAGTTAATCACTATTCTGATGTCTATTCCCATAGGTTACAATTGCCTGTTCTTAAAGTTCACATGAGTGAATGGACATATCTTTTGTATCTGGCCTTTTTTCTGCAGGTATGTTCATTATACTCATGAGATATATCCACGTAGTTTCATAGATCACTTCTCAATTTTGGTGTTATTGAATTCTTGTGATGAATATTCTTCTACAGGTCTTTTTGTGCACTTGAGATTCATGGAAGTACTTCAATTGCTGGGTCACGACCTGAGTACAAGTTTAACATTAGTATAAATTGCCAGTCTTCTAGAATGTTTTTTCACCAGCAATGACAGTTGAAGTGGCACCAAATTCTTGTCAGCATTTGGTGTACTAACTTTTTAAAATGTAGCTATGCTCTCAGACCAAACTGGCCAACATGGCGAAACCCCGTCTCTACTGAAAATACAAAAATTAGCCAGGCATGGTGGCATGCACCTGTAGTCCCAGCTACTCAGGAGGGGGAGGTTGCAGTGACTCAAGATCGCACCAATCGCACCATTGCACTCCAGCTTGGGTGAGAGAGACCCTGTCTCAGAAAAAAAAAAAAAAGTAGCCACACACTGTTGATTGGTTAGTGGTATCTCAGTGTGGAATTAATTTGTACTTGCCTAATGAGCAATACTATGAAGCATATTTTCTTATGGCTTCCAGCATATAAGAAATTCTCCTTTGCAAAGGCCTATTCGAATATTTTGCCCGATTTTATTTGGCTTAGCTCTATATTACTGATTTATGAAAGTTCTCTTATATATTCAGGAGTTGAGTCATTTTTCAAATAAATATATTGCAAATGACTTCTCCCAGTCAGTGACTTGACTGACAACTGAAAGCTGTCAACTGAAAAATCACACAATTTATAAATTTAGAAAGGAGATTTTATTTTTTTATAAAGGGTTACAGCCTGCAAGTGGCCATTCTGACAGACTGGGAGGCATAGCTTCCTGCTGAAACCCGAAAAGTAAGTTTCCAGGGAGGGGAGGGCGAATAGTGATTTACGTTGATCTGGTTGGCCACATATACATATTCAACAGGGAATAGGGGGAGCTCTGAATATTTGTGAAGGGATCCTGCTGCATGCATGCTGAGTAAACATGCCTGTTACATGCAACCCATGTTCACTTTGGGGTGGAGACAACATTTAAATACATTATAATTAGGCCCTATGCTTCAAAAGGTGAAGCAGGGACACAAAGGCAATCAAGTGCATAGCTTCTGTAAACTGTCCAGAACCAGCCCACGGCCAGTGGTCTCTTACCAAGAGAAAACTACTGAAATCAGTCTCTTGTCCAATCAAAGCAGTAGTTATGGCTTGTGTAGGGAGGGCTCAGTCAGTTTATGGTAATAGGTGAGCTGCAAGTGCTTCAGCATTGCTTATCTCAAGGCCAGTGCTTGTTTAGCTAGAGAAAAAAAGGAAGAAGAAAAAAAAACTGGCAATTAGAACATAGTGCCTACTGCCACACACATACCACCAAATCCTGCACTCCAAGCTTCTCCTTCTGCACCCTGGACTCCCAACCTCCAGTTAGACAATCCACATCTTCCCACACCTGCCTCAGGCTCCATCAGGCCACTGTGCCTCCCATAGCAACCAGGCCAGGGGGGATCTTGATTCCTATTACGTTTCTGAAGAAGGTGGTCAGGGGGTGTGGAGGATGTAGGTGGGAGGGGGTGAGGTTGAGGGCAGAAGTACACTGTGGTCTTCTGTCTTCTACCTCATTGGCCCAGGTGCTGCTCTCCCTCTGGTTGTCTGCTTTCAGCCCTTCGTGGGAAATCAGGTCTGCACCCTGATCTTCCTGACTCTCATTTTGTGAGGAACCTGAACGGATGAGACGTCGCTCTTGTCCCACAGGTTCTGTCCAAAAGGTGCCCTCCTCTCTACTTGCTCGGGGGCCTGCCCACTGAGCTCTGGCACTCAGGCTGGGATGCCGCCCAGTACAGAGGCTCTGCAGCCCTGCAGGGGTCTGACTGTTCCACACCAGCAGGATACAGGCCACAGGGCATGCTGTGGTGGAAAAGCATTCAGAGGTGTGGGCTGAAGGCTTCTCTTTCCACAGTCCCTTTGAAGATCCCATGGAAGTAAGCACCCCTTTGAGGAACAAGGTGGCCCAAGGCCTGGCTTCACATGCAGGCTCTTGTGTCCCAGTGGGTCCTCTCTGTGCCTGGTATAGCCGACTGCTTCACACATCTTACCCGGTTTCCTCTCCTCCACCACCCAAGCTCCTCCTCGACCCCCTTGCTCAGCTGTCCTTAGGACAGCAAGATCCCCAGCCCTTGGAAAAGCCCCATCTCCAGTGCTTGGGGAGGGAGTTGGGTTCAGGTCTTCTAACCACAGAAGAACAGAGAACCTGAGGCAGGAGGGAATCCCTTCCCTTGCTGGGTCTCTTGGCACAGCCCATCTAGGGGTCTGGGTCAGGGTCCAGGTATCCTCTACCCTCCTTGAGGACCTGAGTTTTCAGGTCCCCGGGGTTTGTCAACGTAGAGTCTTTCCCACTGTTCATCTGGGAACTGTAGGAATATCCCATGGGGCCCTCTCTTACTCATTAGAGACACCCAGAAAGTACTCCTGCAGAATCTGGGTGCAGTGTACCAGACCACAATAATTCTAATTACAGGATGTGGAGGTCAGATACGTTTTGTGACTATTTTCTCTCTGTCTGTGGCTTGCTTGCCTTTTCACTTTCTTAGTGGTATCTTTTGATGAGAAGGTATGGCTAATGTTGATGAAGTCTAATTTATCATGTCTTTTATATATATTTTTTCAGTGTCCTACTTGTTGGTAGGCTAATCTTTACCTACAGAGTATCCTTGAAATGCTTTATATCTTTAACTTTTAAGTTTTGGTGTATAATGCACCTCAAATTACTTTTGTATGTAGTGTGAGGGAGAATAACATTGTTGGTCTCCCCCACCTCCATATGAAAGTCCATTAATTGAAATGATTTATTTTCTTCTATTGAACTGCTTTCATTGAAAGCTCATTTATTGACTGTATGGCTGTGGATCAGTTTCAGGTCTCTTAACTCAGTCTGTTTATCTATTTGTCCCTCCTGATGCCTTGTCTATAATAGCTTATAGTAAGCCTTGAAGTCAGATAGTACAAGTCCTTGTTCTTTTGCACACATTGCAATAACTGAGTCTGGATTTAGTCCCATTAGTCTGAGTGGGACTAATGCCACTATAAAAGGGACCCCAGGGAGCTCTCTCTGCTCCCTGAGGATACAATGAGAAGGTGGCAGTCTACAACCAGAAAAAAGTCCCTCATCATAACCCTACCATGTTGGCACCTTGATCTCGGACTTCCAACCTCCAGAACTGTGAGAAATAAATTTCTGTTGTGAATTAGCCACCCGGTTTACATAGTTATGGAAGCCCGAACTAAGACAGAGATGGAATCCCATGGAGGGTCTCTAATTTGCTGAGCTGGTCATCAGGTGGGATGTTGCAAGTTAGAAACAAGAAGAGCTGACATTTTGTGCATATGAAAGAAGATAGTGGACAGGCCCATTGTCGTCGGCTTTGTCCGCCTTGGCGAACTGGAGACGGAAGCTAGATTCACCTTCGACAGCCACGGGAGGACCGGGAGGACCTCCAGAGGAGGTTAGGTCGACCTCATGGTAACTTTAGATCCTGAAAACTCACAGGATTTTTCTTGTCTTCCCTTTGATCTCTCTTCCGCCTACTCAACAGGACAGGACTCACCGCCTTTCTTTCCCGTCAGAAAGGGATCCCTTCCGGACAGGACAGAAGTGAGCAGATGGTTTCCCCTACGTGTCTTTCCGGGCCTGGGCGTCTCAGGAGCTCAGGCTGACCTGAGACCTAACTCCTGGCAAGTGGGACCAGCAGGAGCCTGGAAGAGCGCGCGCACCGGGGTGGAGGTTGGGCGCCGGGGGTGGAGAACCGCAGTCAAATCCTCTTCTTCCCCGCGCACCGCGCATCTGCCCCCGGGGATGCCGAACGAATTGGCCCATAAAGCTTCTCTGCAACGGAAAGAAGCCTGAAGCTCCAGGAGGTGCGAGAGGAGCCTCGTTGAGCGAGCCCAGCCCTCTGCCCGGCTGGCCCTGGTCAACAGGCTCGGAAGAGGCCGATTTGGAGGACAGAATGGAAGAAAAGACCTAAAGGTTTCGAATCTCATGATGTGGAGATGTTAAAGCCTAAATCCTAAGGTCCGACTGTGAGGGGGAGCGAGGGTGTCTCGAGCTGGATCCACCCTTGAGCCTTCACCTGGAGAGTCCTCTGCACAAGTTCAGAGAGAAGGACTACGCGCAGCAATGGTTCTCAACAGGGGGCAACTTCGCCCTCACATGCCTCTCCCAACCCCGCTGGGACACTAGGCCGCGGCTGGGGGAAGCGGGAGGGAGAATGTTATCCCCCTGGCATGTGTCTAGTCAGCGGAGGAGACAGATGCTGCTAAACACCTTGCAATCCACGGCGGGAGGGCCCTTCCCCCACCCCGAAGTAGCCATTCGGCAGAGGTGGAGAAACTCGCGTGTAGATCAATGCCCACGCACTTGGCCGACGGAAATCACGAATTGGTGACCAATTGGATCTTGGATCTGAGGAAAAAGCTCCAGCTTCAGAGGGAACTCTCGAAGTTTTGCCCAGAGCAAACGGAGGGGTTGCGTTGCCATCGCCTAAAATGGGAAAATGGCAGGCGTCACAGGTTGCAGGGGAAGGTTGGAGACCAGTTGAGTGCCCCGGAGCCTTCCTGGAAAGAGTTTCCTATCCAGCCCGTCTCGGTTTCCGCATCCGTCTGATTCCTTATGATGTTGAGGGTGCCGGGGTCTGGGTCCTTTATGATGCAGAGGGTGCCCCCGTCTCACCTCGGGCGCCTCCCCGCTCCCGCCTCCTCCTGGCAACCTGGTGGGCGGCTCCGGACGCGGCGACCCGCGACCATCTTGTCAGTTGCTGCCGCCTCGCAAAGGGCATCTCTAGGCCAGTGGTGAGCTGCGGCCGCGTGGCCGCAACTCGCTCCAGTACTCAGGACTCCCTCGTGGAGCCCTTGGTGTGTCGCCTGCAGGTTCTTTTTTTGAAGAAAGCAGGGAGTGAACGGCCTTGTGAGACGACTCCAGGAGCAAAGAGCGACTCTCACAAGACCCAAGTCCTCCTAGAGCACAGGAAAGTGTCGCTTCAGGTCGAAGAAGGGAGAGAAAGCAGCTTTCCGCATCTGCATGGTTGTCTAGTGGCTAGGATTCGGTGCTGAAAGCGTCACGGCCCGGGTTCGATTCCCGGTCAGGGAATTGTTTTGCACTGGCCGCCCTCCCGCAGAAATCTTCCTTTACTACGCTGTCAGCCGGCCTGCTCCAAGGGTCAGATGTAGAACAGCCTCCTCAGCGAGGGGCAAACCCGGGCAAAGGAGGGCAAGTCGTGGTGGGCCACCTCTCACGTTTATCTCCGTGTCTGTCATCCGCAGAAGCGGCTTTAGAGAGCGACTGAGCGTCTCGCTCAGGTGTACACAGCCGTGCAGAGAGGCCAGTCCCCGTGGAGCTGCACTTAATAAGCTCACCCTCTTTGCCGTCGCCGCCCCGGAGGTGCCTATCGGGCTGAGCTGTGAATAACTAAGAGAGAGGCCAAGCCAAGTCATGGCGTTTGTGCGTGCCCTGGACATGGGCACCGGTCAGTCAGCGGAGCCTCCTCACCTCCGTTCGCAGCTAACATGCTCGTTAGGCCTTCGGAAGAGGCGACCGGAGGCGATGCCCGCGAATTTGGGAGGGGAGTGAGCGGCGGGTGAGGTCCTCAAGGGCGGTCCCTTTTGCTGATTGAGCGGTAGAGGGAGGCGATGTTCGCTGACCCAACAAAGACAGCAGGTGGAGTAGGCACAAACGGAAAACTGTTGCCGGTGCCCTAAGCAGAATGCAGGTGTAAAAATCAGCACTAGGACGTCAAAGCGATGGTACCACAGTCAAATCCCACAATGTCTACACTCTACCAAGCACTTGCTCACGCTCCCCCTTTTCCATTCAGTATTCCCAAGAGGGGTTCGGAAGAACCCCGCGTCCACTGTAAGCTCAGGGGAGAGCGGGAGCCAGGGAGGTGAAGTGCACAGACTGGACAGAGGCGGCGGGCAGAACCGCGGGGGTGAGAGGGCGCGTGGTTGCGGGGCGGGAGCCGCTGCTGAAAGGCGGCCTGGGTTGTCGTGTGGGGTGACTGTCGGTGGAATCTTTGGCAGAGAGTGGTTTGGAAGAATGGCGAGGGGGGCAGTGGGTAGGGTGGTGACCCTGAGCGTCCGGCCAGGGCGAGGACGCTGTGCTGTCCCTGTAGGGCATGCGCTCATTCCCACTTACCTGGCAGGAAAGAGACCGTGGTCACGAAGGGGGTTCTCCCAGAGTGAAGCTTCTTCATCGCACTCTAGAGTTGCTGATCTCTGTGATTTCTTCAATGTGGGAAACGGTGTTTGTGCTAGAAGAGGGCTGCGCTCTCTACCTAACATAAACGGGGTTCAAAACTGACATCGCCTAACGCCTACCCGAAAACGTTTACGTGGCTTCCTTGTCTCTTTGTTTTTTCTGTCCTAAAGTCGCCTTATCCTCACACCCCCTCATTTTTTTCTTCCACACTCGAGAGTGTCTCTCCGTCTCATTAAAAGCTCCACCAAATATTTGAAATATCTCAACCAGAAAGGCTGCAATGAATACAGTATTTCATTTGTGGAAGCTACAGACCAGCTAGGTTGAGAGTTGCTTGATATTTTCTGCTAAACCGTGAGGCATAGAGCACTTGGAAGGTTTCTCTTTTGGCCTTTGTTTGTGTACTATTGGGTTTCCTTCTTTTCCCCAGACCGTATGGCGCTGTGGGGCCAGCGGTAAAACCTGCTTTCTGGCTGCAGATAAAGGCCGCAGCTGGTGCAGGAATTAAAGGCAAACCAAAAGACACGTGGGTTCGCCCCAGTGGGTCCAAGATAGAGTCTGACTGTACCAGGATTCAGATTAGAACAGAGGTTGCTGCAGGCACAAGGCAGGGTACTAACCACTATAGAATCCCAATGCGCCCCACACCTACTGCCCGTCGTTTTGCTTCCCCACCCCTCTTTTATTTATTTATGCATTTTTTTTGAGAGACAGAATTTCGCTTTGTCGCCCAGGCTGGAGGGCAGTGGCGCGATCTCGGCTCACTGCCACCTCTGCCTCTCAGGTTCAAGCGATTCTCCTGCCTCAGCCTCCTGAGTAGCTGGGACTACAAGCGTCGCCACCACACCCAGCTAATTTTTGTAGTTTTAGTAGAGACGGGCTTTCACCATGTTGGCCCGGCTGGTCTCGAACTCCTGACTTCAAGTGAGTGATCCACCCACCTCGGCCTCCCAAAGTGCTGGGATTACAGGCGTGAGCCACTGCGCCCGGTCCCCCGATTTTTTTTTTAATGTAAAAACATTTATGCGATTTTTACGTGTTTATTCTTGGGCAGCTACAGGTTCTTGTGATTTTCCCTCACGTCTTCTCCAGTCCATTCTGATACGTGTCCCATCTTCTCTGCATCCAGCCGGTGCCCTCTGCACCGGCATCCTGGGCTGTCCCATTGTCTCGTCCTGGTCTCCCCTGCTTCTCCCTCCTTCTTTTCAGGTTTTCCCTTTTGACTCCCCTGCCTCTTTCCCGCTCCCGCCCCACCAACCCCATCTACTGAAGCCGAGTTGAGTGAGGGGATAGCAAGCGGAGTAGATGATTGCCTGAAGGCGGCGCAAAAAAACAGAAAGAGCTACCATGAGAGCCGTCGGGGCGTTCAGCTTCCCTTGGGCCCTACTAGGCTCAGGCTGGGGTCGCAGATCCAGGCATTTCCAGAGGCACTAGCTTCTGAAGCAGGCGAGGGTTAACGGAGGGTGAAGGCCATTCGGCCGCCCTTCTGGTTTCAGAGTCAGGCAATGCAAGCGTTTCTAACGTGGAACAACACGATTAGTCGACTCAGCCTCTCCGGTTTTCCGAAGCTTTGTAGTCTGCACAGTTGTCCTGCAGAAAGCGAATGGCAACCCCTAGAGTTTAGTGATTGCTTAATCTATGTTGAGATGAAAGCGACCAACTGAGGTTATCTCCGTGGAGCAATTGGTTAGCGCGTTCGGCCGTTAACCGGAAAGTTGGTGGTTCGAGCCTACCCAGGGACGTGCTTTTAAATGTTGGTTAGTTGTGGTCAGGCGCGGTGGCTCACGCCTATTAATCCCAACACTTTGAGAGGCCGACGTAGGGGAAGCCTCGCCTGAGCTCAGTTCAAGACCAGTGAGAATCCCATCTCATTAAAAAAAAAAAAAATTGCAGTTGTTTCTCCTCAGGCCTATCACTGTATTTAAAAAGTGAGATATTGTTCCCTTGTGTCTTGTGCATCCTATGAGTACACAAAGCAAAAGGTCCCCCTCCAAGCCTCCTATAAAATAAGATCCCTCCAGATCAAACTAGGTTCCATATAGGCTGGAGTGCAGTGGAACAATCTTGGCTCACTGCAACCTCTGCTTCCCGGGTTCAAGCGATTCTCCTGACTCAGACTCCTGAGTAGCAGAGATTACAGGCGTGGGCCACCACACCGTACTAATTTTTGTATTTTTAGTAGAGAGAGGGGTTCACCATATTGGCCAAGCTGGTCTCAAACACCTGACCTCAAGTGATCTGCCTGCCTCAGCTTCCCAAAGTGCTGGGATTACAGGCGTGAGCCACCACGCCCAGCTAAACAGTCAGATGTTAAAATTATATATTCGTCTATTAGATGTCATGTCTAGTTTTTTTTTTTTTTTTTTTTTTTTTTTTTTTGTACAACCAGATTTTCATCCGATGTCAGTTTCGTTCTGCCTGGAGGACTCCTTCAACTTTTTTTTTTTTTTTTTGTGGTAATGGCTGGTGGTAGTGAATTTTCAGCTTTTGTAGAATTTCACATTGACTTTTCCCCTCAGTGCGGTTTTTTTTTTTTTTTAGAGGGAGTCTTGCTCTGTCGCCCAGGCTGGGGTGCAGTGGCACCATCTCGGCTCACTGCAAGCTCCGCCTCCCGGGTTCATGCCATTCTCCTGCCTCAGGTTCCCGATTAGCTGGGACTACAGGCGCCCGCCACCATGTCCAGCTAATTTATATATATATATATATATATATATATATATATATATATATATATATATATATATATATTTTTTTTTTTTTTTGTAAAGACGGGGGTCTCACTGTTTTAGCCAGGATGGGCTCTATCTCTGGACATCGTGATCCACCCGCCTCAGCCTCCCAAAGTGCTGGGATTACAGGCCTGAGCCACGGCGCCCGGCGGCTTTGTGTTTCATAATCTTTTTTTCTGCAGTGTCTAATCTTCTGTTAATTGCATCCAGTGAATTTATTATCTCAGATGTTGTAGTTTTTAATCTCCAAAGTTTGATTCTGACCATTTTTATATGTTTGATACCTCTGCTTAATTCTTTGGACCCATAGAATATTGACATAATAACGGTTTTAAAGTCCTCTGTTTTCTTTTCTTTCTTTCTTTTTTTTTTAAGACGTAGTCTCACTCTTGTTGCCTAGGCTGGAGTGCAATGGCACAATCTCAGCTCACCGCAACATCTACCTCTTGGGATTAAGCAATTCTCCTGCCTCAGCCTCCCGAGGAGCTGGGATTACAGGCATGCACCACCACGCCTGGCTAATTTTTGTATTTTTACTGGAGACGGGGTTTCATCATGTTGATGATGAAAGGTCCCAAACCTGAGACCTTTCACATGTGAAGCGAACATGTAATCACTACACTACAGAAACCCCTCACAGTTCCTGGCACAAGACATATTCCTGAAATGTTACCATCTGCTGTTTTTAACTACTAGGGTTTCCAATATAACAAATTCGACTGCTTTTCAAAATTTGAGTGATAAATACGCCAGGAAACACAATCCCTCAGGCAGACAGGCTGAACCCTCATTTACGGTTCCACGCCTAGCCCCGAAGCCAAGACCCTAGGGACCCCCAATCTGGCTTCGGGATCCCGCATCTCATGCAGGGTTTCCAGGAACTGAGTGCCCGTGTGTGGGATTCTCCCTGCTGACTCTCTGGCTCCCAGAAGCTTCAGGAGCTGGTGGAGCCATGAGTGTCCCGTGCCACACAGGAGTGTGAACGCCGCCCCTGCAGGGCTGCTGACTGCCCCTCGGGGGCCCTTTCCCCGGCGCTGGCCATTAGGGCTCTTGGCTCTTGACAGGCGATCATGCTTCGGGTCCTCCCAGGAACCATAGGACCCTCCCTGCCTGCTCTTCCACCAGGCTGAAGGGCCTGACCCGCACGCTCTTTCCTTGCTAGCCCTTTGGCCTCAGCACCTCGAATCTTCCAGAGGGCATCCTTCACTGCCACTCTCGCTGAGTCTATTCGATTCAATGTAAGCTATATTTATCCACACGTTGAAGTTTTAGCAGGTACTATAGCAAAGGCTGTGTCTCAAGGCATTTCACTCTTTGAAAATATAGAGCATCCAACCCAGGCCAAACTGTGCTTCTTGGCCTGCACTGAATTCGTTTGAAGACCAGGGCATGAAGTTCATAAAACACAAGGGTTTCAGAGCCATCACCACTGAAGGACACAGGAGCAGCCTATTCAGATTTCATGATCACAGGATCTCCACCTCCATCTTGAGATTTTTTTTAAAGGAAGTTTTATTGCATTCTTTCATAATACTTGAAACTTTTTATTTGCATTTTTGATGTTCCTACTCAACAGATCTTGAAGTGAATTGTAACAAAGAGGTAAGGGCAGTTTTCAGAGAAAGGCAGTGTCTGTGAACTTTTCAAGTTTGTCTCACAGCAAAAGATCAACAGGCAGAATTTCCTTTTGCTGAAAGATGTTAATGTGGTTTCTAAGGTGTTCCTTAGACATGAGTGTAAAAACAAATTTGGGGAAGAAAGTGCCATTTTCTCCAGCAGTTGCTTTTCTTACTGCAGTGGTTACCATGTTTCCTTCACATCCAAAGTTCAAATGCTCCCACCCTGGGGAAAGTGACAAAATGTTCGTTGGATGCCAGGCTGCAGTGTCCAGCTTTGTTCTGCTTTGGCTCAGACTGGAGACTGGGACTGGACTGGACTATGTCTCCCTCACTAGAGACTGGGAGCCCAGTTCCAGATGAGGCAGGCATCATGGTAACTTTTGATTAGGCAATTTTGTGACATCTTTTTCTGCTTTCTTCCCTCTGAAATCTCTCTCTCTCCCTCCCCAGTGACCCAGAGGAGAGGATTCACTGTCTTTCTGACTCAGAACATTCTGGGGTCCTTCCTGGACAGAAAAAAAAAAGGCAATTGCCCTTTAACCTACAGGAGCAGAAAGGGCTGCAGGTAACTGGAGACCCACAAACTCACTTCGTGGGCCACTGCACATCTGTGCCTTGTGGGATCCTAGCATACCCAAAACTGTGCGGCTTGAAGCTTCTCTGCCCGCTGAACAGGAAGTATGGGGTTCCTGACTCTTCAAGAAGAGCCACACAGAGAGGTCTTAAGCATGCCTCTGGACCTTGAACACAGGCCAGAAAGAGGCTTGAAGGTGAGGGCAGAGTCAAGAAAGGGTGGAAAGAGAGGCCAACCCACTCTCCCAAGGGTACCTTCTTCAGGACAGTGATTTACTCTAATTTAGTGATCAGGAAAGGAGAGGATTGTGTAGAGCAACGTCCGTACTTGAAAACATGAATTCCTACCTAGATGTGGAGTCCGAGTAAAATATCGGCATCAAAAAGAACTCTGGTTGGCTGGGCAAGGTGTCTCATGCCTGTAGTCCCAGCACTTTGGGAAGCCTAGGCAGGCTGATCCCTTGAGCTCAGGAGTTTGAGACCATTCTGGGCAAAATGGCAAAACCCTGCCTCTGTGGTGGCACACCTTTGGTCCCAGCTACACCAGAGGCTGACGTGGGAGAATCACTTGAGCCCGGATGTTCGAGGCTGCAGTGAGCCGTGATCATGCTACTGCACTCCAGCCTGAGTGACAGAGCAATACCCTATCTTCAAACAATCAACAACCTGTGATTTTTTTTTCTCTGCGTATTGCAAGGATGAGAACAAAGAGCTCCAACTAAGATAGAAACGGTACAGATGCGAAAGGATTTAGGGGGAAACCTCTGGTGTTCTGTCAGGGACCACTGGCCTTGCTTGAAAGAAATTTCATCCAGGCTGTCTGGTTTCCTGCATGTGTCTCAGGCCTGCTGTTGGTGGTCCCAGGGGCTGAGTGCTTAGCCCCTTCTCAGCTTGGGTGCCTCCCCTTTTGCCTTCTCCCAGCAACCTGGTCCACTGCCATGGTTCCTGTGGCCATCTCTCCAGAGCCATGCTGTCACCTCGAAAAGGGGCATCTCTAGATCAATTTTTTTTCACTAAATTGGAATATGAATATATTTATTAGCATGCTCACAAAATAAATGACACATTAATTAGCACTCTCCTCATATGATAAAGAATACATATGACCCACACTGTGGCAGGAAACAGGGGTAAGGGCTATCAGAGCTGGGACTAAGTGTCCACTGAAGAAATCTTGATTCACCGGAGAGAAGTTGTTTCCTTGGATTCCATCATCTCTGCTCTAGCTACCAGCCAGGTCTCCACAACCTTCCCAGAATCCTTCATTCCAGCACCAGTTCATGTTCTTTGCCCTGGCCACTCCTGACTCTTTCAAGACCTGAGTCCACTTTCCCATGTCTCACTCACCCACCTCTGAAATCTTGCAGCACATCTCTTTGGTATGCTGCTGCCTGGCCACCATTGGGGGCACAATTGTCAGGTGGAGGAAGAACATACATACCGAAAGCAAAGAGCAGGGATACATTAGTAAATGGCACTTGGACATAAACTAAACAACCTCACAGAATACATGCTTCCTCCCAAAATGATACATAATCCCCTAGAAGCAAAGGAAACCCTTCGGTCAACATGTATGAATGATTCTGTATGCCAGGCACAGGGGATATATAGTGGGTGGTGTTTACTTCCATTGTGCCCTGCACACAGCAGAAAGTTAGTGACTGGAAGCCTGGAAGCTAGAACCAGGTCTATATCCCCACTCCCATCAGGTTCTCCTGGCCCTTCCTGCCTTTGATGGTGCCACCACTCTACTTCCTCTGTTCTGAACATTTGTTCATTTTTCAATAGAGAGTTTAAGAGGATGCAGGATGGCAGAGAAAGGGTGGGCATGGAGAAGGGGGAAAACAACCCTGTAAAACAGAACAAAAACTATACAAAACCCCAGAAACCAGATTTAGTACTATAATATTTTATAGCAATAGAAAGTAGCTGAGAATAACCTCAGGGGGAGGAGTCAGCAGAGATTGTGCAGCAGAGGCCACGGGTTTAGACGCCACAGGTTTAGACTAGGAGCCTTTCAACGGACTGCTGAATGGACTGGATCAGCTGTGAGCCTTCTTTGATGGTGACAGAACAGGTGATGACAGGACTGGAGACCCCACAGGCCCGCCCCAGGGCCCGCCTGGAGTGCGCAAACATTCCAGGCAGGCCCAGCACATTCTTCTCTTCACACAGCAGTGGGAGTGCAGAATGCTCTCTTGCAGCGTGGTGTCTGCAGCCACCACAATGAACTCACAGATGCCTCTGTTGAGGGTTTTGATGGCCTCATTGGTTCCTGTCTGAAGCTGCTTGTGGTTCCAGTGGCTCCGCACTTCTCAAGGAGCACAGCGTACTTCAGAATCTCTAGATCAGTTTTGACTTGTGCATCTGGAGGGCTTCGTGAGCATTGCAGACAGGTTCACCTTTTGGAGAAACCTTTGGAAGGCAAGAGGAATGAAAAGTGCTTGCTGTTGTTTCCCTGGTGGTCTAGTGGCTAGGATTCGGCGCTTTCACCGCCTGCAGCTCGAGTTCGATTCCTGGTCAGGGAATACATGCTTTGTAAGGTCTCCAAAAGCGGGCGATCTTAGCCCTTGTTACTGGAACTTGCGATGTGCCCCAAAGCCCACTGCAGGAGAGTTTCTGTAGTCTTGGGTGCCAGAAAACTCTGGTGAAGAAGGGGAGTTAATGGTGACCCTCTCCCTGTTTCTCATGCTCCTGATCGAAAATCTTGTTACCTACTCTTTTCTCCCTTGGGCACCCTAGCACTCCTGTTCTTTTCATATCTCCATTTCTCATACAGCAGTACTGACTTCAGAGGTCGACTAAGCAGCTTGCTCAAGGTTATACAGCCATGCATTGATCCAACCTGGGTGGGGCTCCTGTCCTATTTGCTGGGTTGCCATTACTGACAGAATGAGATCTGCATCTGGTAATGGCTTCTTGCTGCTTTCAGAGTAACTCTCCCACAGATAACGACTATAAACTAGAAAAATTTATTTCATATATATATTATATAATTTGAAGGTGCTGGAAGACTGAACAAAAGCAGGCGGACATATGGAAGAATGGCAGGTAGTGAGTATCCCATTTTGCAAACTTTCAGCAGAGGGCTGTTAACTGAAAAACCATACAATTTGTGAGCTTACAGAGGAGAATTTATTTCTTCTAAAGGGTTACAGCATGTAAGGTGGTCATCCTGACAGGCTGGGAATCGCGGGAAGCCCAGAAGCAGGCACTTTGAGGGAGGGAGGGGCAAGACAGGAATTTAAGTTGAATGGGTGGGCCTAAAATACATATTCAACAAGTTATAGGAGGATTTATGAATATTTGTGAAGGGGTCCTGATGCATGCTTATTGAACAAACATTCACGTAATATACAAACTTGTTCACCTTGTTATGGATACTTAGCATTTAAATGCATTACAATTAGGCCCTATACACAAAGGTCTTTTCAGGACACAAAGGCACTCAAATGCACAGATACTGTAAAACTGACAGAACCAGTCCATGGTCGCTGGTCTTCTCATCAGAAGAAAGTTACTGAAATCAGTCTCTTGTCAGTCAAGGCTGTAGTTATGGCTTGTGGAACAGCGGGGTTCGGTATCTGGTGAGGGGTGAGCAGCAAGTGCTTCAACACTCCCTATTCTCAAGGCCAGTGCTTGTTTAGCTGCTAGAGAAAATCCTTGTGGCAGTTAGAACATAGTTTATTCTTTGCATATATGGGGTGTGTGAGTTAATCCTTGCCCGGAATGGTCCTAAGTCCTATTTATAATTTGGTGTCTTATTGCCATAAAGAGTCTGTTCCGTCAGTCTTATGATCTCTGTGATAACATTAATGTTGGTCAGTTTTGTCTAAATTGCAAAAGGGTGGGAATATAATGAGGCTTGTCTGGCCTCCCGTTCCTTCTTGGCCTGGGACTCAGTTTATAAGGTTTGCCTAGGGTCCCGTTGGCCAGTAGGGTGTCCATTTAGTCAGTTGGGGGACTCAGGATTTTATTTTTCGTTTATAGAACAAACTTTGCTCCCCCTTACTTGGATTAGCTAAATTACAATACAAAACCAAACTGTCTTCCTAGATTAAAGGAACAGAGGACAAAGTTTTAGACAACCACAGCAGTTGGAACATCAAGGGGTTAGGTGGAATCTCAGAAAAGAAACAGCACAGTAGGGTGACTACAGCTACCAGCAGTATATTGTACATTTCAAAGGAGCTAAGAAGAGAGAATTTGAAATGTTCCCAACACAAAGAAATGATAAAATGTCTGAGATGATGGATATCCTAAACATCCTGATTTGATCATTACACATCGTAGGCATATATCAAAATATCATATGTACTCCTATAAACATGTATAATTATTCTGTACCAATTTTTGTATTTTTGGTAGAGATGGAGTTTCACTATGTTAGGCAGGCTGGTATCAAACTCCTGACCTCAAGTGATCCACCAGCCTGGGCCTCCCAAACTGCTGGGATTATAGGTGTGAGCCACTGTGCCCAGATGAATAGTTTTATTGTATGCATTGTGGTGATGATTTTTTTGTTTTTTGAGATGGAGTCTTGCTCTGTTGCCCAAGCTGGAGTGCAGTGGTGCGATCTCCACTCACTGCAAGCTCTGCCTCCCGGGTTCACGCCATTCTCCTGCCTCAGCCTCCCAAGTAGCTGGGACTACAGGCGCCCACCACCACGCCTGGCTAATCTTTTTTTTGTATGTTTTTAGTAGAGACAGGGTTTCACCGTGTTAGCCAGGATGGTCTCAATCTCCTGACCTCGTGATCCACCCACCTCGGCCTCCAAAAGTGCTGGGATTACAGGCGTGAGCCACCGCACCCGGCCTGTGGTGATGATTTAATGTGTCCATACTTATTTCCAATCTCAGCAAATTGTGTTCATTACATATGTACAGCTTTTAGTATACCAGGCATACATCAATAAATTGTTTTAAGAAAAAAATAAAGAAAATAAGAAAATATAGTTATTATAATTGTTCTGCGGTGAATAGATGCCAAATAGAGACAAATACAAAATCTAAGAAAACACAGAATATTTGTTGATAGATTCGTACAATAATATTCATGCACAGCAGCCTTCTTCATAATAGTCCAAACTAGAAATAACCAAATTGTCCATCAACAGTGGTGTATTCACATATTGGATAACACTCACCAGTTACACCCAAATAAACTAGATACATATAATAATATGGATACATTTCAAAGATGTGAAAAAAACGCTAACACAAAAAGTGAATTTATATGAATTTCAAGAAGAGAGCAACATAATCTATGGTGATAAACATCAGAATAGTGATAAACCAAGGGGAGAAGGGTGGGATTACCTGGAAAGGGACTCTTGGACCTTTTTAAATATTTTTTATTTTTTGAATTTGAAAAAATTTTTATAGGGATGGGGATCTTGCCATGTTGCCCAGGCTGGTCTCAAATTGCTGGGCTCAGTCAATCTTTCCACTTCAGCCTCCCAAGTGCTGGGATTACAAGCATGAGCTACCGTGCCTGGCATCCACAGACATTTTTGGGATGATGGAAATTTTCTATAACTTGATCTGGGTGATGATTTCATTTGTCAATATTTAATAACCTGTCCTAGTTAATATATTTGAATTTTACACTGTGTGAATTACATTTCAATAGTCTGCTCTTTAGCATAAACATGGGGGGTGGGGGATGGAAGATGGAGACAAGCCAGTGTAGACCATGGCAAGGAGTTTGGATTTTATTTTAAACTCAGTAAAAGCTCACTTTCATCCCCCCTCACCCCCCACAAAATCCCTCCTAATATCTCAAACAGAAGAACAGCTATGACTCACAATTTCATTAGTGGAAACTGCAGGCAAGCCTCTTTGAGAAGAGGCATTTCACCTTGTGTGGTGGTTCAATGCATGCCCAGATGTAAGGCACCTCCAAAGTTCCCAATGACCTAGTGCAGGTGTGTTTTTGATGGCCCTGGCTGTATCATGCTGGCAATTCAGTGGTAAGCCTTGTTCTCTAGTCACAAATAAGGGTTGCAGCCATTGTAAGGAACAGTAAAAACCAGTTATGACCACACCACTGCATTAGTGGAAGCTACCAACATGGCGGTTTGAAAGGTGACATTTTACCCTTTGGGATATTTTCTGCTCAATGGTGAGACATAGGGCATGTCCTGGGCCCTAGGTATGTGCAATGTGGGGTCTCCTTTTTGCCTGACAGGAGTCAGTGGTAAACCCTACTAAAGGACTCAGTCAGTGCACGGATTGAAAACAAACCAAAAGACAGCTCAGTTTCTCCCCAAAAAGATGCCACACACTGCCATTTTGGATTGGAATCAAGGTTCTGCATTCACAACACAAAGTGCCAATCACTATACCACCGTGGCATGCCATAAACTTGCTGGCAGATGCTGAGTTTTCTTTAACACTTTCGATGTAAACATATTCACAATATTTTGTTCTTGCATCACTTGCTTTCTGACAGGTTGAGTGGTAAGAAGCACAAATTCCTATATTCTGTTCTTTCCAAAAATGTTTAGTTTGATCAGAATGCAGGATGTTGAACAAGATAACTAGCCTATCCACTTCAAAAACTTAGCAACAAGGACAAAGAAATGGAGGGACAGCTCTAGGTAAGTAAAGTGCAATTGAGGAACTTTACTTGGAACCTAGGCAAGCAACATCAGTACCACAAGTCACTTCTCTCTCTCTCAAATAAATATTATATATACACATACATATATATATTACATGTGTATATAATATATAATACACACACACACACACACACACACACAGAGTTTAATTAAGCAAAGAAGAATTCCTGAATCAGAAATTTCCAGAACCAGAATAGGTTCAGAGAGGTTCCAGTGCTACCATGTGGTAGAAGAAGATTTATGGATGGAAAAGGGAAAGTGACTTACAGAAAACAGAAGTGAGGTACAAAAATAATCGGATTGGCTACAGCTCTGAGTTTGTCTTATTTGAACCCAGTTTGAACAGTTGGCCACCTTTGATTGGCTAAAACTCAGTCATTGGCTCAAGAGTAGGTTACAGGTTGTTTACACATCGAGTTAGGTTACAGTTCACTACATATGGAGAAACCTTTAATATATGGATAGAGGCAGCTTCCAGCTAATGATATGTATATATCTTTAAGATATTGATGCATATAAATATTATTAAATTAAAACATTTATGCATATGTAATGTGCATGTGTGTTATATATACACATACATACACACATGCACACACTATGTATGCATAAATATCTATATACATGCACATATATGTGTATAGATGTGACATTTTCTAAACAGAAAATTTTTATCTGGACTATATATTAGATAATGTTATTGAATAAATGTTAATATCCTTAGGTTTGATAATTGAATTGTATTATAATTATATAGGATAATGTCCTTAATCTCATGAAATACATGCTGAACTATTTAGGGATGAAGTGGAGTTTTTTTGGTCTGCATTTACTATGAAATATGAATGTGTGTGTAGGTGTGTGTAGACAGAGAAAAAAGGTAAAGGAATGTTAACTGTTGAACTTGGGTGAATGGTGTAGAGGAGTTCTTTTTTTTTCAATTTTTCTATAGGTTTGAAGTCTTTCAAAGTAAATGATTGTGGAGGAAAATGTAAAACATGGGAGACTGTGAAGAGCTGGCTGAATTCTAGGCTAAAATTTGGCTCTCTCTGGGTCTTGGCCTTGCCGGAGGGGGTGACGGATCTCAGTACCTCTCACTGCTAGAAGAAAGTGTAGGTTGCCAGCCTGGTGTACAAACCTATCTAAAGGATCCCCTCCTGTTACCCAGGATATGGGTGAAGTGTCTTCTTAGTCCTTCTTACATGAATCAGCCTTCTAGCCTGGAAGTCTGGTAGGTAAGTTTGAGGCTAATTTGTATGTTTCAAAGCTTCTGAAGAAGATGTCCCACTTTTACATTGGATTGCAAAAGACAAGTCAGTGTGTGTGAAGAATTTATTTTCAGAAAAAGAAATCCAAAGGAGAGTAAGTTAGTTGAAATCTAACAGTCCCATTGGAGTATACTGTTTTTACTTGTTGGTCCTTCAGAAATCTCAAGGGTGGGAATTTGGCCTATACAGGAAGATTTTTCCAGATGATGAGTAAACAGCAAACTTTCAAGATCATTCTTTGGCAGAGATTCTACTGAGGCAGGAAAGTGGCAGGACTTATTTTGCGGTTGTGGCCCAGTTGATCAGAGCAGGATCTGGTCCAAACAGGGTGCAGTAAAGAAGCTGACCAAAACCAGCAGATGGAGACAAAAGCTACCTCTAGTTGCCCTCACTGCTCATTAGCATAAAGACACTCCTACCAGTGCCATGACAGTTTATAAATGCCATGTCAACTTGCCATGGCAATGGCCAGGAAGTTACCTTATATGCTTCTGGAAACTCCTCATCCCTTTTCCAAAAAGTTCTGAATAACCCACTTCCTAATTAGCATCTAATTAAAAGCATCTAAATAAATACAGCTAGCTAGCAACCCACACACTGCCCATGGGTTAACCTTCCTCCACGAGAAGCAGTACCAGTTTAACAAAAGTTGCTTTCTTTCACCGCTGGGTTGCCCTTGAATTCTTACCTGGGCAAAGCCAAGAACTCTCCTGGGCTAAGCCCCAATTTTGGGGTTGTCCTTCCTTGCATCATCTGGTGACCACAAAGACAAAACAAGATGGGACAGGACATGATATAACACAGGACAGGACAGGACAGAGTCAAGAACTGTTTAAGGCAGGACACTTGGTAGTGAAAAGTCCCTTACTGTGCTGACCCTGAGATGCCAAAGTCACATTGTTCAGTGGCCCCTAACTTGGCCTTTGGGGTTCACCATTGCCTCCCCTGCAGTTTCAGCATTCAGTGTGGGGACCATCACTGGCTGATACTTGGGTACTCTGGGTTTTTGGCATTTCGTTGTGGTGAGAGTTCCACTGTCACTGTTGGCCTCTCCCTGGATGCTCTGGGGTTTTCAGCATTGACATTCCCTATAGGATTGTGGATTAGAGCTCCTTCCCTGGAGGAGTGTGGATGTCATCTTCTCCGCCCTTAAATTAAAAGATTACAATTTTCCATAACAGCCAGTTGTGGGCCCCCTCCTACGTGACTTTGCTCAAGCCCATATTGAACTCTTGGTCACAGGGACCAGGGGTTCCTGGACCCCTGGCCCAAGTGACAACTACCCATAGTGGCAGACAAGCAGCAGCCACCCAAACATTTTGCCCAAATATTTTTCCTCAGTCTCCGTGGCTGCTGGGTAGATTTTCTGGCACCTCAGTCTGGACAACGCTGTTCATGCTTTCCCTTCCTCCCTTCCATGATCACCTTGTTTCTTTTAACCCCTCTTTGCCCAAACTAAAATGCTTTCTTCACTCTGTGGAATTCAGACCCATCATTTTACTTCGCATTCATATTTCATAATCTACTTTCATAACACTTTGCTAACTGTACTTACATCTTCTCTGCAGGAGGTGGGAATTTGAAAGGGAAAGTAACTGAGCTTTTGCTAGACTTAGAAAAACTTCTGGGTGTAGTAGAGATCCTTGTTAGACATGGGGACAAAGGCGAGCATCCCAAAGGACTCCCCACTAGGGTGTCTTTAAGGCAATTGGAGCAAATTCAAATGAGATGGCTCAAAGAAAAAGAAACAATTTTCTTGGGAGAACAAGAAATTTGGCCTGAAACTTGTTCTTTACATTATCATACTATTTTACAATTGGACTTATTCAGTAAAAAGGAAGGAAAATGGGGAGAAGTTCCTTACGTACAGGCTTCTATGGCCCCCTACCAGGATTCTGACTTAAGAGTCAACTGCAGGATGTGTCTGGCTCATGTTACTTCCAGGCACCAAGAAACCGCGTGGGATATCCTCGATGCTCCCTTCCTAGCGGCACCCCCTGGAGGGCCCATGCCCTCTCCAGGGTCTTCTCAGTCCCCCAGTTCTGCGAGGGGTCCTGCCAGTTCTCCAGTGTGGGATTTCACCCCAATGTCATCAGAAAACCCTCCCTTTTATTTAGCTAGCTCCAGCCTGTATCCCCCACTGCCCAAGGAAGTAAGCCCAACCAGAACCACCAGGAGTGGAGCTCTCTATCAGCCCCTCAAATTGAATCTGTGTCCATTGCTGGAGTTAGCTGGCAGAGATAGGGGAACAATCAGAGTATATGTGCCATTTCCTTTGTCCAAATTGGCTTTCTTCAAGGAGAAGTATGGCTGGTTTTTGAAGGATCCAGGGAAGTTTATAGAGGAGTTTGTCAGGTTGATGATGTCCTTTGATTTAACTTGGCACAACTTGCAAATATTATTGTCCTCTTCCTGTATTAAGGAGAAGAGAGGGATTCTGGGTACTGGCCTGTGAATATGCAGTTAGAGTAGCTGCTCATATCCAAGGCCATACCATTTATGTAGGGGGAGATGCAGTTCCACATAGAGACCCTCAGTGGGATTACCAGAAGGGTTCCCAAGAACTTGAACATAGAAATCACATGCTAACTTGTTTAATAGAAAGTATGAAAAGGTGTGTGATTAAGCCAGTTAATTGTGACAAGGATAGAGAAGTAACTCAGTGGAAGGATGAAAATCCCATTCTGTTTTAGGGCTGCTTGGTTGGGGCACTCAGGAAATATACTAATGTAGACCCAGACAACCCGGAAGGGCGGGCTCTTCTGGGCATGCGTTGTATTACTCAATCTATCCTTGACATTAGGAGGAAGTTACAAAAGGCAGGAATGGGACCCCAAACTCCATGAGCCAACTCTTAAACATGGCCTTTGGAGTTTACAACAATAGGGACAAGGCAGAGGAAAAGGATAAAACCAAAAGAAATAGCCAAAAAATGCAATTGTTTGCAGCTGCTTTCAGCCTCCTACTGCTTTTGAGCTGCCCATCCTGAGAAAGTGTTGCAAGAGTGGCTTTGGGATGCCCAGACAAAAGCCAGCTCATCATCCCCTAGGCTGGAATCAGTGTGCCTTCTGTAAGCAAGAGGGCCACTGGAGGAAAGACTGCCTCAGTCTCCAAACGGAGTCTGAGCTTCTCGGACCCCTAATGGCTAAGAGAACAGAGGACTGACAGGGCCCAAGATTCCCTACAGCTTCCACCAGACACCTTGCCATCTCTACAGAAGAGCCTCAGGTAATTCTTGACATGGCGGGTAAAAATATTGAGTTATTGGATATGCGAGCCGCCTTCTCAGTTCTGATCTAGTCCTTGGGGCCACTGTCTTCCCACTCCTGTACTGTAATGAGGATTGATGACCAGCTAAAAGCTAGGAGATTCACCCATTCCTTTAGTTGCACTGTGGGGAACCATGTTTTTCCACAGATTTTTGCTTAGTCTTGAGTGCCTTATTCCTTTACTGGGAAGAGACTTACTTTCCCAATAACAGGCTGCAGTTCAATTTGGAGCACCTCAAGAGAAGGCCACAGGCTGGGAAGGGACACTTCTCCTAGCTCTAAGTTCATGTCTTAACACAGATAAAGAAAAGACGTTCCTTCCATCAAATATTACTTCTCAAGTAGACCCGTCTGCTTGTGACATGGTAGTTCCTGGAAGAACTGCAAATGTTCTCCCAGTCCAGGTTATTTTGAAACCCAGTGTTAATTATCTATGGGAAAAAAAATATCCTTTTAAGTGTGGTGGCCCATGCTTTTAATCTCTGCACTTTCGGAGGCCAAGGTGGGCATATCACTGGAAGCTAGGAGTTTGAGACCAGCCTGGCCAACAAGGCAAAACCCCATCTCTACTAAAAACACAAAAATTAGCTAGGTATGGTGGTGTACATCTGCAATCCCAACTACTCAGAAGGCTGTGGCAGGAGAATTGCTTGAACCCGGAAGGCAGAGGTAGCAGTGAGCCTTGCACCGCCGCACTCCAGCCTGGATAACAGAGCAAGACTCTGACTCAAAAAAAAAAAAAAAAAGAAAAATCCAGTATCCTTTTAGACCTTTGGCTCCAAGGGGCATCCATCCCCTGATAATGAAGTATGGATTATTACAATCCTATCAGTCCCAACGTAACACCCCCATTTTTCCTGTTAATAAGCCAAACGGGGAATATAGATTTGTTCAGGATCTTAGGGCAGTTAATGAGGCATTAGTTCCAGTCACCCAATAGTTCCTAATCTTTATACAATAATAACTCAAGTCCCTGAAGATGCTTATTGGTTCATAGTATTAAATTTAAAAGATGTTTTCTTTCACACACCTTTACACCTGGACACCCAATACATTTTTGCATTTGAATGGACTAATCCAGACACTCATGCTGCATCTCAGCTTACCTGGACTGTCCTGTCCCCAAGGTTTTAGGACAATCCCCATCTGTTTGGCAATGCATTGGCAAAAGAGGTATGGGAACTACAGTTAATTAATGGATCCCTCTTACCATATGTGTATCACCTATTAATTTCCAGCCCTACTAGGGGAAGACTCTGAGAAACATACAACTTCAAGTCCTTAATTTTGAAACAAAACAAGGGTATCAGGTATCCCCCCGAAAGGCCCAAATTTCTGTCCAAAGGGTCACGTATTTGGGACACATTCTCACTCCTGGGACCAGGATCTTGACCCAGGGATGAAAAGAGACCATCCTGGCACTCCAGGTCCCTCAAATTCCTTTTTGAGAATAGCTGGATTCTGCTGGGTTTGGATTCCCAGGTTTGGGCTCATAGCAAAACCACTCTACGAACCTCCAAAAGTGAGTGGTCATAAGCCTTTGAATTGCAATGGAGCCTGTCAAAAGGCATTCTTAGCCTTAAAAGAAAACCCAGGGACAGCCCCTGCTTCAAGACTCTCAAACTTAGAAAAACCTTTCATCCTCTATGTGGATGAATAACAAGGGACAGCTTTGGATGTTCTAACTCGAAGGGTCAGGAATTGCCTCAGACCAGTGGCTTATTTCTCTAAACAGCTAGACCAGGTGGCAGCTGAGTGACCAGGAAGCTTGAGATCTGTGGCTACCATCACTCTATTGGTAGAAGAAGCCAGTAAGTTTACCTTGGGACAACAAGTAGATGCCATACCACCCCCGCCCCCCACCACCCCATGAAGTACAGTACAGAAGGTCCTAGAGGCAAAAGTATACCAATGGCTAATAGGGGGCCAGTTACTTAAATATCAGGCTCTTCTGCTTGACACCCCAGATGTTACCCTTAAAGTATGCTGATTTTTAAACCCTGCTACTCTGTTGCTGGACCTCACATCCCAAGAAACAGATCCCCAACTCATTGACTCCTGGGTGGAAACCATGGAAGAGATCTACTCTAGAAGGTCCAACCTTGAAGACAAGCCCTTGTCTAACCCCAGTGTTGAGTGGTTTAGAGATGGAAATAGCTTTATTCATGAGGGAGTAAGAAAGGAAGGTTAGCTAACAAGAAGTCATTGAGGCCAAGGGTTTACCTTCTCAGAATTCTGCTCAAAAAGCAGAATTAGCTGCTCTAATCAGGACCTTCCAACTGTGAAAAGACTTAAGCCTGGGTTGGATGGCTCACGACTGTAATCCCAGCACTTTGGCAGGCCGAGGTGGGTGGATCATCTGATGTTGGGAGTTCGAGACCAGCCTGGCCAACATGGCGAAACCCTGTCTCTACTAAAAATACAAAAATTATCCGGGTATGGTGGTGGGCACCTGTAATCCCAGCTACACGGGAGGGTGGGGCACGAGAATCACTTGAAACTGAGAGGCAGAGTTTGCAGTGAGCCAAGATCATGCCACTGCACTCCAGCCTGGGCGACAGAGGAAGACTCCGTTTCAAAAAAGAAAAAAAAAACCCTCAAGAGTCAATGTGTTTACTGACTCTAAGTATGGTTTCCGGGTGCTTCAGGCTCATGCAACCATAGGGAAGGAAAGGGGACTATCAAGAGCCAAGGGATCCCCCATACAACTTTACTCAGATCTTGGAACTTTTAGATGCCGTCCAATTCCCAAAGAAATAACAAGTATTCACTGCAGGGGACACCAGAAGGAAGACACTGTTCTTATTAGAGGAAATTCCCTTTTGGAAAGAGCAGCTAAGGCCACAGCTAAGGAAACCCTGGTATTTCAGGCTGCTGCGCTACTACCAGGTCATCCATGTCAGTGGAACCATAGTATACACCCAAGGAAATTAAAGGGACTGAGTAAAAGGCTTCCAGTAAGACCCCTCTAGATGCTTGCTAGAAAAGAACAAACTCTATTCCTGAGGCTGACAAATGGGAAGTAATTTAACATTTTCATGATTCCTCACATTTGGGACAGGATTTTCCATTCAAATTAGTTTCCTAAATATTCTTGGGGAAGGGACTGTTCTAAACTATAAAAAGATTTACCAATCAGGAAGCCACCCCATACCCCGCTCCCTGCTTAAACTTGTACAACACCACGGAACATACCATAGTGAAGACTGGCAGACAGATTTAACCCAGATGCCACCTTACAGGGGACTACAATATTTGCAAGTATTTATAAACACTTTCACCAGGTGGATAGAAGCTTTCCCCACAAGGACAAGAAAAGTATTGGAAGTGTCTAAATTCTTACTTAAAGAAATCATCCCAAGATTTGGATTACCAAAATGTTTGCAAGGGGATAACTGACCTCCCTTCCCAGCTAAGGTGACCCAGTGAGGTAATGCCTCAGCCTTAAGCATTACCTATCTTCACTCTTCATGGAGATCTCAATCTTCAGATAACATAGAAAGCCAGTTGTGACATTAGCAAAACTCTTTCAGGAGACCTCAGAGGCCTGAGTTTTCCTCCTACTCATAGCCCTTTTGCATATGAGGATGGCTCCAAAGAGAACTTTAAAGCTTAGTCCATTTGAAATGACTTATGGAAGGCCTCCGTCTTTTTTTTAACTTGATCAACACCACAGTTTAATTGTAAACGTGTCATATGTGTCAATGATCAAATTGACAACACTTTATAGATTTCATTGTATAATATTAACATCCTAACAGAAAAAGATCCACTGTACTCATTTACAGTTTGGTATTTTAAAATCCTTAAATACAAATTGTATTTGAAACACTGAACACAAAAAAGAAACTTGAATGCCAGAGAAAACTGAAAACATCAAGTAAAAGAAACCAATATTCTGCCCCCCCAAAAAAATATAAAATCATCTGATTACATAATTTAAAAAAGAAATAAAGGAAATCAGATGATCTTATTTTTTAATGATATAAAGTTGCGTTTCTTCAAACCCATTTTAGATGTGAAATGTACCATTTTAAGTTATATGTCTTTTTTGGTATGTGTTCTTCTTTTCCTCTTGGTTTCTAAAGAATGTTTTCCAGGATTTAAATTACATTAAAGAAGTCGGGAAAGAAAGGAAGGAATGTGGTAAAAAGCCAAATTAAATTAACTATTTGGAAAATAATTGGATATAAATTTTTCATGAATCTTCTTTGGCAAGTAACAAAGTCTGCACTTTAAATTTACCTTTTTGTTGAAATGGATCAATACTTGTAAGATTTAAGACATTACATGAGTTAATGTATAAGTAAAAGGAAGCCAAATTCACAAAGCAAAGTGCAAACATGAACTTTTCACATTTTTGCTAAAAGCTCTAAAAATGCACTCTCCCTCCTTGAGAGTATGAGAGGTCTTTAGCTCAGAATCAGATGATTACTCTTGCCTCATTCAACACAAGAAACCAGAGGGGACCCCATGGTTTTTCAGTACTTTCCCTAAAATTCATGATTACCATTAGGTTCCATTTCTTCCTCCTTTATCTCTCAAAAGAAATATAGCAGCAAATCACTCCCATATTTTAAGCTTTAAATTCACCAACAACTGGGCTCACTGCCAACAAATACAAATGTTCAATTCTTTATTAGTGTACGTGTCATTACAGTTGGTTTAGATGGTTAATATAGGAATACAGAAAATAACTACAGTTCATTCAAACAAAGGAAATTAAAATGAGATTAAAGAGCCCTGATTAAAAAAAAATACAACTTTCAGCTGAAAAACTGTAAAAGTTACATACACACATACCTAATGGCACTAGGAATGTACAATATCAATTATTGGAAAAATAAGTGAGTGACTCACAGTCATAAGAAATAATTTAATATTAGTATTTTTCTTTTATAGACAAACATAACATACACATGGTTTCTACCTTTTATAAGGCAAAGTAGAAAACTAACCGTTACTGCATTTACCTCAAACACAGCACTGACTGTGCCACAGATAACATGGTCCAAAATATTCAATTCTATACATAGGCCATGGTAGTGGATGTGTGGTTAAGTTTTAGGAAAGGCATATATTTCCAGAAGTAAGTATGTTAAATACACAAATGTCTATAAATAACAAAAAGTTATCAGCAAAAACGCTTAGGTTATAACATTCCCAAACGTTCTAACATTTTAAGTGTTTTAGATATGAGTTGTCTGACCAGTTCATTTGGTTACAGTTTTAAACTAGCAAACCATTGCCCTATAAGAGGAGCTAAACTAAACTGTAACACTACACAAACTTCCCAAGGAAGGTAACTTGAAAAGTCTAAAAAGTGATTCCAATTATTCTAATTAACATTTGAGATGCTAAAAGAATCAATGACTCAAGAAACACTTTGAAGTAATTCCATTTTTCTTTATCATTTTCTAAAAATGTATTCACATAAATTTAAGATCCAGATTGCTTAAGAGTATGTCTTCAAAGTAGGTTAATCACTAAAGCATTCTGATCCAAAGACATAGTCTTAATGCTTCTAATATGTAATTCTAACCTAAAATCACAATCCTTGGTTTGAAAACATCAAAGGTAAGAAACAAAAAAATAAATCAGGATGAAAATGTGCAGCAGCTATAGCTACAAGAGTGGAAAATAAATTCTACTTTTTCCATAAAGACTCTGTGAAAATATAAAGCCCAAAGTCAGTGACAACAGAAGTCCACATATAAATGGTGTTTAAAAATAGAAAGTTTTCTAAAGCTTCTCATGAGATGTCAACGAATAGTCATAATCTGAATTAAGACCTTATAAATCAAGGTTAAGTTATACATAACCATGATGATTTACATACCTTCTACAATGTCCAACTGACATACATAATTTAGATACCCATAGGAATTCATAATGCCCTATCATATCATCTCCCAATACTGGATGTTTACTGTTTTATAGTTTTACTACTTTAAGTACCAAGAAGCATTTTCAGAGGAAGAGTTCCATCTCTTCCCTTGATCCCCCAAAGTATAGGTAACAAAATATAAAGTTAAACAAGATTGATGTTTGATAAACTAACATATAAAATTATCATTGCAATTTTCACAGTGACTGCTTTTAAACATAACAGTCATCATAAAGCCTATAAAGTATATACTTAGTTTTATAAAAGAAATGCAGATTGTCTCAAGGTAAAAAATACAGTGCTGTATGCTAAAAAGCACTTTGTTGCAATAAGATGTGCAATAAGGAGCAAAACTTCAGAAAACATGAATATGTTCCCCAAACTTTTAATATTAGTAAAGCAAGAATTGCTCCGCAGCAGCAGGATGCTTTTTAGTGGCTGACACTATAAAGCTAACGTTAAGAAAGAAAAAAGGCAGAAAGTGTGAGCAGCAAATGGTGTAACCAAATTATTGCAAATGGAGATTAGCAATAAGTGAGGAAGGTGACCATCCACTCCGTTCTGATAAGACACCATCTTTAAATATTAAATTTTTTGCAGGAAGTGGAACACCCATGTCAGCATACGATGACTGTGAAAGCAAACTTGAAAAACTGGGCTCTGTGTGAATATCCAATGTTGAAGCACCTTCCTGGAATGAGTGAACAAAGTTAAGGACTTGCAGAGAGAGTTTTCTACTGGAATGTAAGAGGTTTTGAAGGCTCTCTTTTCTGCAAAGGCCATGTGTAGCAATTTTCCTATAAACTTTCCGGTTTAATTCGGAACTGAACAGCGGAATTCCAAAGCACAGCTCGAGAGGAACCCAATCTGCTTCTGTTGTGGCACCAGAGGTTTGCTTTGTTGCTGAATCTATAGTTGCTTCTTCAATGACCATTTCAAATGACTCTGTACTCCCATTTAACATCTGAGCCAGAAGCCAAATCAGGTTTTCCTCTCTCATCAGAAGCATCACTGAGTTTTCTATTTGCAAGTTGGCTGGAAGCATTCAACATGGTGACATATCCGCAGAGATGTTGTAAGTCCACTCTGTTCCTTAGTATCTGCAATGCTTTATGAACACCCATATTGACACGAGTCTCCTTGTAGTTCTGTTTCATCAAATGGAAATGGGACATGGACAGTTTCTCCTATCCCATGCAGACCATGCCCCTGAATTAAAACTGCAGAATGTGTTAAAGCATCATTCAACATCGTGAGCACATTTGAGGTAGGAACTACTCCAGGATCGTGACCCCAAGATGTTATTAGCAATCGATCGTAACTCTGAAATATATCTGGCAGTTTTCGAGGTCTTGTACCTTTGGATAATAAAAGGGATGGTGGTCCTTGTCCAGTGATATGATAAACATAAATGTACTGTTTAAACCAGACAGAGCTGACTTCTGGGATAGCTGGTCCAATATGCTGAGGGGTGCAGCTGCTGACAGGCCGGATTTCATTGGTGAGGGGAGCCATGGAAACAAGCAGTGTGTAATTTTCTGCTGCCAGTTGCAGGGTCCAGACCAAGAAGGCTTTCACAGCATAAGAGATCCAGAGGAAAACCATAATTGGGTTGGTCTGGCTGTGCAGTTTGCACAACTAGATCTTTGTTATGATGCAGAAACAGTATTGTGTTTCTCAGAGTAAGCGCATGATCAAAATATCTCTGTGCTTCTCTTTCACCAGTGCTCTGAACTGGTGAAAGATTTCCCATCATTAAGAAGGCAGTAAGAGTGGAGTCAAACAGGAATGCGATGTGCTTCGTGTGTCCTGCAGACAGACTCAGGCTTCTTACACTGGCTGTGTCAGCTGGATCTTCTTGACTATTTGTATCAGTGTCAGTTGCCGATGAAGCTTCTTGTACAGGCCTCCTACTTTCCCCTCCACCCCATGACAAGAGCATCTTCTATGGATCTAAGGTACTCTTTAATCTGTTTATGGATGGAACATTCTTCCATGATGAATGAAGTTGATCCAAATTTATTACTTGTCCCTTCTTATGGGCAAAGCCCAATCAGCAATACATTGAAACAGCATTCTTAACCAGGGATAAGTCAATCTCAAGGACATTTGCAAGCTCTGCCACATTTGTGTGCTCATCTACTGAAACAAATATCTTATAGAGTAGAGTTTCAAAATAATCAAAATAAGCACTCGATTCATTACAAAACCTTCAAGGGGTGCAACTGCTATATAACTGTCATCAGACATTGGTACATCCAGATAAATAAATCCTTTTTTATACAAACTATGTACTACATTGTAATCTAGTGATCCAGAGAGTTGAGGGCCTGAATCAACGATCTTATCAGTAGCACATTTCTCAGGCCAAGTGCATATCTTGATGTCATCTTCTGTGATATATCCAGCCTGCACCACCCACCATGCCTCTATGGCAATTTCCACTGGCTTTATTGGTAGAAGATCACCGGCTGTTTTCCTTCTGAAGAATTTTTTTGATGATCTACACTGAATCATAAGATCAATATACTGGTTTCTTCCTATGCCAAGAAGCCTTAGACAGTCAGCAGCAGTAAAATTGTGCCCACTGTTCATAATATTCTCCATAATCCCAGTGTAATATGAAAATGGTGTTATGCTCAAGCCCTTCACCATAATATCCAATAGACGGTAAGGGTACAGCATGAGATGATCTCGGCTGTAGTTTAGCAGTTCCTCATAGTATCCGCGTTCATCTTTCTTGACATGTTTAAGTTATTTCTGTATCGTAACTGATTGCAGATACTGTACAGGACAACCTGATTTTCATATTCTCTCTGTGAATTTCCAAGACGGCTGGGATTTTCTTTCTCCTCTGCCACTCTGAACAGCAAGACCAATACTTCCTGTATTTCCTCCTCCTCAGCCTACTTGATGTGAAGACAAAGATGAAGACCTCCATGATGAGCTATCTCCACTTAATGACTGCCTCACGTTGGCCGGCAACTTGTTCCAGGGGTAGTTGTGCCGGATGTGGAACTCCACGTCTATGTTCACCATGCCGCCGCCAGGGCCTGCGGCGGGGGCCGCGACCGCGACCCACCCGCAGCCCGGCGCCTCACACTGCAGAGGCCCTGGCTGCCCCATGACCTGGGCTCCCACGGGCTTAACTGACCTGGGACAGTTAAGCGCGGCCCGGGCCAACCGAGCACTGGGTCGCCTGAGCAGCTCGGAAGGCCCTTTTTAACTTTAGACCTTCTGTTTGATGAAGAGACACATAGATTATCAACTTAGGCCAGGTTCAAAAGGCCCTTCAATCATATGGAAATGAAACGTAACCTCCCACAAGGAAAAGGATTAACTCCCCCATTCAACCAGGAGACTTAGTCTTACTAAAAACTTAGAAAGAAGGATCCCCCAAGAATCAATTACAACCAAAATAGAAAGGGCCCCTATCAGGCATTATTAAGCACTCCCACTGCTGTTAAACTCCAAAGTTAATTTTTTTTTTTTTTTTTTTTGATGAAGTCTTGCTCTGTCGCCCAGGCTGGAGTACAATGGCTCGATCTCGGCTCACTGCAACCTCCACCTTCTGGGTTCAAGCAATCCTCCTGTCTCAGCCTCCTGAGTAGCTGGGATTACAGGCACGTGCCACCATGCTTGGCTAATTTTTTTTTTGTGTGTGTGTATTTTTAGTAAAGATGAGGTTTCATTATGTTGGCCAAGCTGGTCTTGAACTCCTGACCTTGTAAAATGCCTGCCTCAGCCTCCCAAAGTGCTGGGATTACAGGCATGAGCCACTGTGCCCAGCCTCAAAGATTCTTATGAGTCCTCACAGATGTCAGAGGAAGATGCCATGACCTATACTTGCAAACTCCCAGAAGACTTAAAGCTATTGTTTTGCAAATGCACAGATAAATATTAATAACATGATGCTGTGGATGAGCATGAAAGTTTTTCTCTTACTCCTAATTATAATGTTTTCTCTCTTACCGCTTTGCCCTGCTGATTGAATTCAATAAAGGAATCTCTACCAGCAGACACTTGATTTTTACCCTTCCTAGGACCTTTAACAGATATCTTGTTATTACTAATCTTTGGTCCTTGCTTGTTTAACCTCCTTGTAAAGTTTGTGTCTTCTAGATTACAATAATTCCATGTAAAGACGATGCTGGCACAAGGCTTTCAATCCATCCCCTCTTCTGACCCAGAAAATAAAGACATCCTGCCTTTGGGTCTTTTAGAACAGGTATCCAGAGATTTTACTTCTCCAGTGCTAGACAGGGTCTATGCCCATAACATCAGCAGGAAGCAGTTACAGAAGATGAACCTCCACCCTTCTGCAAGCCCCTTAAGATTAAGGAGGAGTATATAATCTCTGATGGGGAAATGAGGTAGGAGACCAGAAGGACCATTGAACAGAGCAGGATCTGGTCAAAACAGGGTGCAGTGAAGAAGCCTGCTGAAACCAGCAGATGATGATGAAAGTGACCTCTAGTTGCTCTCACTGCTTATGAGCATAAAGACACTACCACTGGGACCATGGCCAGTTTACAAATGTCATGGCAACACACCTTGGCAATGGCCTGGAAGTTACTTTATATGGTTCTGGAAACTCCCTGCCCCTTTTCCAGGAAGTTCTGAATAACCTACCTCTTAATTGGCATGTAATTAAAAGTGGGTCTAAATACAACTAGCTAGCAGCCCACAGGCACCAACTCTGGGCACATTGCCTATGGGTTAGCCCTGCTCTGCAAGTAGCAGCACCAGTTCAATAAAAGTTGCTTGCTTTCACCAGCGGCTTGCCCTTGAATTCTTTCCTTGGCAAAGCCAAGGAAACTACAGTCTGGGAGAAATTTCTCAGGCTACAAACCAGTTTTGAGGCTCGCCTGCCCTGCGTCACTATCATTGTTTCCTTGGGTTTCCCAGGAATGTACATGTGTGAGACTGCTGCCCTGCTTATAGATCTGTTTCCCTGCAGGAAACAGGAGTATCTTGCCTGGGGCTTCCAGAGTTGGAGATACATGTAGTTTCACTACTGAGTGCTAACATTTAATTTTGGAATCAAGTGATGCATTCAGACTGGCTGCTATCATTCTGTGGTATACATGTAGTGAACACATTTGTGACTGAGTTTCCTGCTTTTAGCTGGAGCAAGAAAGTTTTGTAATTGTGATTTGTACAAAAAAATCATAGGCAAGAGAATGTGTGTAAAATAAACTTTATTGTCAGAGGTTTCTAAAGGCTTATCCTTCAAGGAAAGTGGACATATGCTGAAGAGCTGATAAACAGTCTACAGCAGTGTTATTCTAACTTAATCTTGATTCCAAGTCCTTGCCATTTTCCTCTAGCTGCTGTTGACTCCAGTTATATATAGGTTGGGGGAAAGGGGATTATTTATGGATCTAGGCATCATTGTCTCTTGGGCAGTTATCACATTTGCAGACTGAAGGGATGTGATTTCTACAATCAAACTGTCCATTTGGAATACAAATCTGGAGTGGCTATAAAATTTGCTTTTCAGAGATGGAGCTTTCAGATTTGGACTTTCAATTGTTCTGTTGTTTTAGTTTTTCTCATCAACTGGGGAACTGTTTGTGACTAAGCTTTGTTAAAAGTAGAGAAGAACTTTCCATAGTTCCAACATTAGTTGCTACTTGAAACAAACAAAAACACACACGCACATACAACGAAACAATAATCTTTGGTGAGGTCTTGCTGATACCTAACTGAGGCTAGAGTGAGAGCTAAGTGGTGATACAGGCCAGGTGCAAACTGAGTGCAGCTAAGTGGATAATCTCTGGTAGTGAACTACAGTCTAGAAGAAGATAGTAATAATAGATTGAAAAGAAAGTCTCCTGAAATGAACTAGCTGGCCTGTGGTGTAGGACACAGGACCCCAGCCACCTTATGGTTCTAAAAGCCTTGCTCAAAGCCGCTGCAGATGAGTTAGCTAGGTCTCTACCACATCCATAATACTCCTCTGGAGAGAAATAAAGGTCTTTCACACCTCCCAGGAAGGGATTTGCTTAGCCTCAAATGTGCACATTCAGAAATAGCTTGTCATAAGAAAGAGAGGATAGTTTGCAGAGAAATAACCCTTCTAAGTCCACATCCTATTCCTTTTAAATAAGAGAGTGGTGCCAAGGGAAGAGCCCTAGAATGTCAAAGCCAACAGGGTGCTCAGATACCACCCAAGTACAGTTCCATCTTTGGCCATAAGGAGACAATGGTGTCAAGAGGCTAAGGCCATATGATCTGTAGGTGAAAAACCCAGGATGAGAATCAAGGCCTCAAACCTTTTCCACTACATCACAGATTTAGGAGCAGTTAGAGGGAAGGCTTCAATCTGGAGAACACTAACAGGTTTTAGAGATTATTGGGTCATGGTGGCTGGGACAGAAATAAGGATTCACAGAAAGATGTTTATAGTCAATGTTCTTTTACAGTAAATGTTCTTTTGGGATTTTCCTTGATAAAAAGGCTGAGCAAAAGTGAAAAAAAAATTTCTTTCTTTCTTACTTTCTTTCTTTGTCTTTTTCTTTCTTTCTTTGTTTTTTTTTTTTTTGAGACAGTTTTGCTCTTGTTGCCCAGGCTGGAGTGCAATGGTACAATCTTGGCTCACCACAACCTCCACCCCCAGGGTTCAAGCAATTCTCCTGCCTCATCCTCCCAAGTAGCTGTGATTACAGGCAGGTACCACCACGCACAGCTAATTTAAAAAAAAATTTTTTTTTTTTTTATTTTTAGTAGAGACAGGGTTCCTCCATGTTGGTCCGGCTGGTCTCAAACTCCCGACCTCAGGTGATCCTCCCAAGGTGCTGGGATTACAGGTGCGAGCCACCACGCCTGGCCAAAATTAAAAATTTTCTAATTGCAATTCTGAACAACTTATGGGTTGTGAAATCAATATAGTGGACTGCTTACTACTACAGGCTTTATTTAAATACTAGGAAGGGTGGATTACACATAATAAAAGATTTTTTAAAAACTGATCACAAAGAATTGTGTATTTCTCACTGCATCTTGTGGTCAGAAAAGTTTGAGAAACTGCTCCACATAGGCAAATTATAGGTTCAATCTATCCGTCTACCTCTTTTTCTCTTCTCTTTTTTTCCATGCTATGCAAACAAGACCATGGAGAGAGGAAGGCAAATTCCATCAATGGGTGGGGTTAAGCCTTTTCTATGAGGTAGCTGCACATTTGGGACACTCCTATGCTGGCGACTTGACATTCTAGTAGATAGATTGTCCTTTTCATCTTTAGCTACATGTTAAAATTACTTGGGAGCATTTTAAGACTACTAGTGTCTTCCACCCACCTGGAAGCATTTAAATCAGAATCTCTATGTGTAGAGTCCAGGCACTTGTGTTAGTTAAAACCTTACTAGGCTTTATAATATGACAGAATGGTTTAAAGCTACTGAGTAGACCTACCCTATTTCCCACCATTTTCTTTCTTTCTCTTTCACCATAGGCTTCTTTCCCATGAGAAAGTAAAGATTTTAGTCTCTCTTTTCACAGTCCGAAGTAAATCACTATCTTTCTCAACTGGACTTCCAAGGCAAAGATTTCTCTCCATTTACCTATCTGGATTTTTACAAAGTTGGCCTCTGGATTCCCTTTTCCCAAAGCTAATTCACCACAAACGCACCCCTCAAGTCAAGGAGCTGGGCTTTCATACACCTGCACCTGTCAATCATGGGTAAATACTTTGCAGGCAGGGTTGCATGTGGGATTGACATAAACTACCAGGTATTGCCAGCTCTGAGCCTCAGGCAAGCTTGTGACTAAGTGACTCCAGTAGTCTGAGGACAGTCCTTACTCAGAAGGGTCTTTGGAAGCAAAAGCAAACATAGGCATGAGAGGGTAAAAAAAAAAAATCCCATGTGATTTTGGCTTATACCTAACAGAACTTGTGCAAGAATGGATATTAAGGTGGGTATTGTACACAGCAGAGCTTAGTAAATACCAAGTCTGCAGTTTAAGGGATAGGCTGAAGAGATTTTGCAGGTTTGTAAACATTTTTGCCAATTTGAACATACTTTTGTTTGCGTTTGGTTTTTCTCCTCAGTGGTAAGAGCTAGGCACGATAAGGTAGCTAGTATATTATAATTTCAATCAATAAATTTTTATTTTGCCAAGGACCAAGATGAACTACGACGATTTCAATTATTTAGTACTTTATTTTCATAAGTTTGAAAATTAGGACTTTTGCTCTTTTTTGGCTCACGGCATCTTTTTGGATTTCACACTTTCTCAAAGGCCAGTAACTTAGAATCTAAATTATGATTGCTTATTCTTTCAGTATTCTAGGGGAAAGTTGATTTAATCTTGACAAAATGTATTCAATTAAAATAATTGTTCTCTTAAATCTTTTCTGTCTTTCTTTTCTTTTTTTTTTTCTTTTTTTTTTTGAGATGGAATCATGCTCTGTCACTCAGGCTAGAATGCAGTGGCGCAAATTTGGCTCGCTGCAACGTCTGCCTCCTGGGTTGAAATGATTCTCCTGCCTCAGCCTCCTGAGTAGCTGGGACTACAGGTGCATGCCACCACGCCCAGCTAAGTTTTGTATTTTTATTAGAGATGGGGTTTCACCCTGTTGTTCTGTTAAATCTTTTCACCTTTTAAGTTTGTCCTTCTCTTCTCCAATTTGCAAGAGTGGGGTGTGGCTCGCACCGAAATACTGTATTTCTTAGAGCTACTTATTCCTGGAGCCTGGCAGTCTGGGGGCCTGGAGGGGGTGTGTCTAGAAAGCAGCCCTCTCTAAGTTGAGAATAGCTATGAGAATTGTGGGTTATAAGGTTTTGAGCAGCTCTGGCCTCCCCGTCCTCTTTTATTTCTACAGTGGAGTGTGGCAAGAGAAGGGACCCATCTGAGAGTGACTTCATATTGTGGCCTTTCACCACTTACCTCTGGAAATTTGATTCAGGCAAGTCGGGAGAGTCTCCGGTATTCTTCTCTGAGAACTCTGTTTTCATTATACAGCTGGACAATGGAATCTATGATTTGCCTGTAGAGGTTAGAGGTGCATCCTGTTCCAGGAAATTATTACAATTTATGCAAGTTATACACGTTTGCTTAAGAGAATGCTTTCTGCACATTTCATGTTCTTCCTCTCTATCTTAGCCTAGGGAGAAAACCGTGGAGGGCTGGAACGTTAGTGTGATGGGGTGGAAGCTTAATTTTCACATGATTCTCAACAAATGCCAGCACATCACATGTATTATCATGTCCAATGGCTGCAATATGAAGGAGGCTTTTCCAAAATAGTTACGGCTTTGGTATGGGAAGGGACCTGCTTATGGTTCTTCTGGCCCAGCACAATGTTATGAAATGATGGCCTCTGTGTGAGAACAATCTAAGAGGAGGGGGGTTGGAGAGAACCACCTTGGGGTGGTAGAATGAAGAGTCACCAAGACATAAGGGAAGCTGATGAGGATGGCAGTAGAGGAGACTCATTCTGCTATGTGAGGTGCTCAGAAACCTGGGTTCTACTGAATGCCAATCACATAAGAAGCAGAGAGACAGCAGGCAGTGTACAGCAGCAGACAGAAGACAGCAGACAGCTTAGGAATCACAAGAATGATTTTAGAAGTAGATACCTCTAAGATGAAGGCATATCTTTAAGCCTATTTATTTACCTATAAATAGGAATGATAGTAGCTGCCCTGCCTCTCTAGCTGGGACATTTGTAATGAATAAGTGAAGTAAAGTATGTCAAAGTGTTTGAAATCTATAAAACTCTGCCCCAGTCACACGCCTTTAGAAAAATACATATTGCCAGAAGCAGGCTGACTTGGGCCTCTCCTACCATTTTCTTCATCAAAGCTGCTGTGATGACGTTCTAGCTTTTCTCACAGGCAGTTGTTGATGAAAAGGGTCTCCTTCAGGTGCTGCCACTGGCTCTGGATCTCATCTTCTGCAGCCATTCCACCAGGACATGGAATGAGATGGGAAGTGAAGATGCTGATCACTAAAGGGATAGTCAGGGGCCTCTCGTCAAGATCCCTGCCTTTCACCATTCTTTTGCCAACTTCATCTTCTCATCAGGGAACATAAGGCAACTTTCTTTAAGAGCTTTTAAGGTTTCAAAGAAAGCATGGCCAAGTGCTAAGCAAACTCCACAGGGATGCCTCCCACATGGAGATATGGGAAGTATAAGGCAGGTTGACAGGAGGTGGGAAAACACTGAAGGTCTCTGAGTAGGGCTTTTCTAGCACTAGAAAAGGTATGACCACTTCCTTGAGATGACTTATAGGTACTAGGGAATATCTTCCTCTCTACAAAATATCTCTCCTGAACATATTTTGTTTTTGTTGTTGTTTTTTGACAGAGTCTCATTCTGTCACCCAAGCTGGAGTGCAGAGGCACCATCTTGGCTCAGTGCAACCTCCGTCTCCCAGGTTCAAAGGATTCTCATGCCTCAGCCTCCCAAGTGACTGAGACTACAGGCGTGCACCACTATGCTTGGCTAATTTTTGCATTTTTAGTAGAGACAGGGTTTCAGCATGTTGGCCGGGCTGGTCTTGAACTCCTGATCTCAAGTGATCCACCCACCTAGGCCTCCCAAAGGGCTGGGATTATAGGTGTGGGCCACCATGCCCGGCCCTGAACATCTTTAACAGATGGTAAAGACCTTCTTCTGCACCATTACTGTGAAATTGGAAAGAGAAATAAGGATGCCTTTGTCAGAAGATGGTATGACTAATTAAAGCCACAAACTTACACCCATCACTGACAGAATGACAAGCCTAATATGGTTTATATTACTGTGAAAGCTCAATGAGTGAATTAATATAATCTCTTTTTATTGCATAGAAGAGTATATAAAGCATATAGTCTCCTAACAATCCAAACTTTTGCCCCCAAAGTAAAGTCAAACATTCAAGTAAGGGAGAGGAGATATAGGTCAAGGTTTTAATCTATACACACACCAGAGAGGCTACCAAACCAAAGGGCTCTTATATACCTAATGAAGCTCCAATGGCTAGCGTGGAGTTATTCTGGGAAGAGGGCATGCTGGCGGCATTGCTCTTAGATTCAGCCTTTTCTCCAGCAGATAGCCTCATTGTTTATTTAGATGGAATTACAACACTGAGACGAAACTAACAGACATCTTAAAAATACCTTGGTGCTGCACAAAGATTGAGAACCCTGGCTATTTACCAAAGGGTTGCCAAGATCAAAGTCTTGTCTTTATGGAAATCCCCTGATATTCCAGTAGTCAGATGGAACCTTATGGGAAAGCAAGCATCTGAGGGGAGATGGAGACTGGAGCTTGAAACCCAGGAACCATTATAATTGCACCTCCAAACATATGGACAAGCCTGCCAACATTCTTGGGATGGCTAGAACAGCTTGGGAAAGCTGTTCAGGAACTATAATTATCAAGAGTATTTCAGGAAGGCTGGGTGCAGTGGCTCACATCTGTAATCCCAGCACTTTGGGAGGCAGGGGTGGGTGAATTGCTTGAGCTCAGGAGTTTGAGGCCAGCCTGGGCAAAAAGGCAAGAACCCATCTCTACCAAAAAGGCAAAAAAAATAGCCAGGAGTAGTGGCATGCATCTGTGTTTTCAGCTACTCAGGAGGCTGAGGTGGGAGGGTCATTTGACCCTGGGTTTTAGGTTGTGGTGAGCCAAGATCATGCCACTGCACTCTAGCCTGGGTGACAGAACAAGAGACCCTGTCTCAAAAAATATATATATTTCAGGAAAGATGAGATGTCCCATTTTAAAGAAGAAGATCTGTTAAACAGATTTGTACATGCGCGGCAGTAGTGGCAGAGAGTCTGCCATAATCTCTTCACTCTCTCCATTCTGGCCTGCTTTGAGTATACCGGCTTGCAGATGCCGGTCTGGACCAGAGGGACTGAGGTGAGGACAGGAACAGAGCAAATTACCTGACACACCAGGGACCTGTACTTGAGAGTTGATCCCAGAGCTGTGTTCAGCCTAATCACTTTTTTAAAGTGAATGTTTAGGGCCTGCCTGCAGAGAATAACATCTCTCAGTTTAGACAGAGGTGGTGAGCATGTAGAATGTAGGAGCTACTGAGAGATTGATGGAGCTTTATTTTTCTTATCAAAGGAGCACTTACTGGCTGTTTCCACAGCCGAGGGGCCTTCCTGTGCATCAAAGAGGAAGGCATTGCTGCTGGGAAGCTGGTGGGAGTCATGGCAGCTGGAATGAGTCAAATACTGTTCATCTAGTGAGTACTCCAGGACTTCATCCATTTCTTCCTCCTGGACTTCCCTCTTGAGCCAGGTGAAGTAGGCAAGACAAGGGATTAAACCAAGGCAGCCTGGAACCACATAGCTAGTTCTGATCTGAAGCTCATGGAAGAGGCACCAAAACCAAAGGGACCATCACATCAAAGAGGAAGTATACAGTCCACTTTTGACTGGGAGTAAAGTGTGCCTAGAGTTAGTATAGAAGTGAAAAAAGCAAGTGATCAGTGCATTGACCTCATAACACACAGATAAGGCAGCAGACTCAACAACTACTCTACAATACGCTCACGGCACACAGGACACACAGTGACCCATACTGTCGGCTTCAAAATGCTGTGTTTAAATTTTATTTAATATGATGTGGAGTGGTCCACTGAATACTGGCTCTTGAGACAACACAACCTCCCACGGCTTTTGCAGATTTTAGACCCCTAGCTCTAAATACTTGGTATGGTTTCAATTTATTTTTCAAGGTAAATTTCTGGCTATAAAATATCTGCCAACATAATTCAGGACAACTGTGCAGAAACCAGATAGGCATCTCACTTTGGTTTGTAACCCTATAGGTTTTAAAGATACAGAAACCAGGGATCCCTGGTTAGTTTACTTTTCGGTAAGACTGACTGGTTAACTAAGTGTGAGAAATTACTAGGAACTAGGAACCAATACAAAAACTGCAAAGAGAACAGAGAACCATTTTTAAAAGGACACATTGTATAATCAGTCAACAAAAAAAGGAACAATCAGCAGTTTCTGCTTTTTCTAGATCTGGGACCTTTAACCTCTTGAGTCCTTGCTTCTGGAATTCTCTCTAGATTTGGTCAGTCCATTATCAGCCCCTTCATCATGTAGAGTTACCTGGGAGCCAGTGGCTTTTGCCTGTCTTCATTTTTCTTACCATTGTGATTTTCTGCAAACCAAAATTAGAAAGAGCTAGTCAGAAATTAAGCAGGTCCCATTTCACACATTGCACACATGGGCCCTATATGATCAGGGACATAACAGCTTACATGTATGTTCAGAATGCTCTGTGAGAATTATTGCAGGAGGCCTCAGGTTGTGTCTTTAGAGAAGTGGCCTGGCAGGCTTGCCTTAGCCCACTGGACAGGGTGTTCCTGATATGGTGAATCATCACCAGACGTCAGCTGCCTGAAGCAGAGCAAAAAGTTTTAAATGCCTTTTGTTCCCCAGCTCAAAGAATACTTGCCTGGCTGCCCTTTGGACTTCTCCAGTTGTAACCTTCCTTCCTGCTACAGGCTGGTTGCCAGACCACGACTGTTTGTCCCATTGCTACTCACACACAGAACCTGCTCCAGTCTCTGAGAGGACAAATAGCCCTGTCCTACCTCTACTCCAAAACCAGAGGACTGCCCAGGTGCCTTCAAGTCTGTCCCTGTTGTGCTTCCTCAGATGTTGTTGGGGGTAATTCTTTTTTTTCTTCTCAGTTTGTTAGTGAGCATTGGGGTTGATTCTGTGAAAAATATTCCAGTATAAATCAACTTTTCTAACACCAGCTTCTACTATATACAGTGCCTGAACTAACCCCAAAAGATTTGGACGGTTTATTGGGACCCAAAAATAAAAAAATAAATAACCCTGAAAGAGAAATACACTCATGAACATTAAGATACTACTTCAACTGATCTGTACAGCAGCCTTGGAATTATGATTTGACCCACTTTACAAATGGGGAAACAGAAATTCAAGAAGGATCAATCACTTGCACAAAGTTAGTAAATACAGTGCTGAGACTAGAGCCTAGGTAATGCTGATTCTTAGCCCATGGGTCTTCCCATTCTAACAAGCTGCCTTCTGTCATACTGTTCTTTCTGACCACAAAGATGGAATGGAGACTTCTGCTTCTGGCCAATTTGGAGTAATGGGGACCTGATTTGTCCTCCACCTTAAACAACTGAGAAACTGGAAAAAGTATTTTAAACTCTATCTTCAACATTGGATATAGTGCAGTACTATAATAAATAAAAGAGGTGAGCCCTATGATTGCTCCAGTTTGCTGCCTGAGATTGTCAACTGTAGAGCAGGGAGGGAGGACCCAGGCAGAGCCTGGTAGTAACTTTGAAGAAGACAGGGTGGCTAGACATCACAGGACAGACTAGAGAATAGGTTGCTGCACAGATAGAATGCCTTGGATATCTGTCTTCAATCTTCAGCTAAGTACTGATTAGTACATGTATTTGAGGAAATTATGCAAAGCAGGGCAAAGAACTTCCCAAAAGGAATAATCTCTGTAGCTCACACATAGCTTGCAACACTTGGTGTTTCCATCAGCTAGTGTGAAAATCCCTTTTAATAGAGGGAGCATTGGTTAGAACAGGAGTCCCCAACCCCCAGCACTGGTCCATGGCCTGTTAGGAATGGGACCGCACAGCAGGAGGTGAGCAGCCAGCGAGAAAGCATTACCGCCTGAGCTCAGCCTCCTGTCAGATCAACGATGGCATTAGATTAGCATCGGAGCACAAACCCTATTGTGAACTGTACATGCCAGGGATCTAGGTTGCATGCTCCTTATGAGACTCTAACTAGTGCCTGATGATCTGAGGTGGAACAGTTTCATACTGAAACCACCCAATTCCCAACCCCTACCACCCCACCCCCACCTTGTCTGTGGAAAAATTGTCTTTCGTGCAACCAGTCCCTGGTGCCAAATCTGTGGGAGATCACTGGCTTAGAATCTTCAAAAGAGTATTGCCCCCAATGTAAACTATGGACTTTGTGTGATAATGACATGTCAATGTAAGTTCATCAACTGTAACAAATGTGCCATTCTGGAGAGAGATGTTGATAGTCTAGGAGGCTATGCATGTGTGGAGGCAGGGGGTATATGGGAACTTTCTGTACTTCCTGCTCAATTTTGCTGTGAATCTGAAACTACTCTAAAAAATAAGGTCTATTTTCTTAAAGGTCATTTTGCCTCCATAGTGGGAAAAAAAATAGCAGTTGACTAATAGCTGCTCTTATGCTGCCTGAAAAAAATTAAAAAGCCAGCTTGGAGAGATGAAAATTGTTTTTAAGTAACTTTATTGTATACCAAAACAAAGCTCAAAGAATTTTAACACAAAATGCAAAAAAATCCAGCACCCAATAAGTTACAATGCTCAATGTCTAACCCCAAATAAAATAATGTTAGGAATGCAGAGAAACAGAAAACTGTAATCCATGATAAGAAGGGGGAAAAAAATCAATCTACTTAAACTGACTTAGAAAGGACACATCAGGTGAGAATTAAAAAACAATAAAAAGGACACAGATGAGAGAATCTGTAGATAAGCACATTGAAACAAATATAACTGTATACCTTGTATTAAAGAAGCTAGGCCAGTGTGGTGGCTCATGCTTGTAATCCCAGCACTTTGCCAGGCCAATGTGGGTCACATGAGGTCAGGAGTTTGAGATCGGCCTGGCCAATGTGGTGAAACCCCGTCTCTCTGAAAAATATGAAAATTAGCTGGGTGTGGAGGCATGTGCCGGTAATTCCAGCTACTCAGGAGGCTGAGGCACAGGAATCACTTGAATTTAGGAGGTGAATGTTGCAGTGAGCCAAAATCTCACCACTGCACTTCAGCCTGGGCAACAGAGCGAGACTCTGTCTCAAAAAATAGAATAAAATAAAATAAAGAAGCTAGAGGAAAATATGAAATGATGAAGAGTTACATAGAAGAACTTAAAAAAAGACATAAATTAAATTTAGATGAAAAATAAAGTCTGAGATGAAAATACACTGGATAGGATTAACAGCAGATTAGATGCTGCTGAAGAAAGATTAATCAATTCCAAGACATGGAAATAGAAAGAAACAGAGAGAAAGAAAAGATACAACAAAAATGAACAGACCATTAGTCAGCTGTGGTAAAATTTCAAAGCAGCTAATATAAATATAACTGGAGTCTTTGAAGGAGAAGATAGAGAGAAAGAATAGAATATACATTATATATATTTGATGTATATATGCCAAATATAATATATTGTATATGCCATAGGTAAGACTATGTATGTCATTATTATTCAAATTTGATGAGAACTATAAGCATGCAGATGCAAGAAACTAAATAAAGTAGAACAATATGTAAAAGAGAAAACTATACAAGGTCTTATCTTAATCAAACTGCTTCAAACGAGTGATAAATAGAAAATCTCAAAAGCATCCAGAGAAAAAAGACATATTATGTACAGAGAAACAGAAATAAGAATTATGGCAGACTTCTTGTTGGAACAGTGTAAGCCAGAAGACAGTGGAATATCACTTTTCAAACACTTTTTTAAAACAAAAACTGTCAACTAGAATCCTACATCCAGTGAAAACATCTTCCAGAAATGAAGGTGAGTTCTTATGCTCATCAAGATGAAGTAATCCACTATACTCTACCTCTCTTACTGATTGAAACTAAGAACTCTCAGGCCAGGCACAGTGGCTCATATCTGTAATCCCAGCACTTTGGGAGGCCAAAGCAGGTGGATTACTTCAGCTCAGTAGTTCAAGACCAGCCTGGACAACATGGAGAAACCCTATCTCTACAAAAAATACAAACATTAGCCAGGTGTGGTGGCACACACCTGTAGTCCCAGCTACTTGGGAGGCTGAGGTGGGAAGATTGCTTGAGCCCAGGAGGCACAGATTGCAGTCAGCCAAGATCATGTCACTGCACTCCAGCTTGGGTAAGAGAGCAAGACTCTGTCTCAAAATAAAAAACAAAACTTAGAATTCTAGAAAGAATATGAAAAGTGATTACCTGAGTGCTCTAAAGAGAAAACAATAGAATGCAGATTAAGGACCATAGTCAAAACTAAAATAAAATCTATAATGGAGATAAGTTTGCATTTTTTCTCCCCACTTTGGGGCACTTGGGAGGAGCTAAGGGTCTTCAGAGCCTGTAGCCAACTTACCTGTGGCAAGTTTTCTGACAAGGATCTCTGTCAGCTGGCTTCCTTGTACCATTTGCTCACAGAATCTCTGTCTCTGGTAGTAGGCAATGTCAGTGTTCCTGAGAAGGCCCTCAAAAGACTTGACTGTGTTCTTCACATGCTGGGTGAAAAGGTAGCAGACACCTCTCCCTTCCTGTATCTTCTGTTGTAAGTGGGTCAGTTCTTCAGCCTGAGCCTGAATTAAGGGATCATGTATCCTAAGGTGGGAAAGAAGAGTAAAATGTATGAGGGAATGTAGTGAATAATAGGTTATAGAAGTTTCAGAGGAGAGATCTCTTAGAATCCCTGTAAGGAACTCCCAAGTTGAATTCTTTTTTTCTTTTTTTTTGAGACAGGGTCTCACTCTGTTGCCCAAGCTGGAGTGCAGTGATGTGATCTCGGTTCACTGCAACCTCCGCCTCTGACTCCGCCTCCCAGGTTCAAGCAATTCTCTTGCCTCAGCCTTCCAAGTAGCTGGGACTACAGATGCCCACCACCATGCCAGGATAATTTATATATTTTTTGTAGAGATGGGGTTTTGCTATGTTGGCCAGGCTAGTCTTGAACTCCTGACCTGAAATGATTCATGCACCTCAGTGTCCCAAACTGCTGGGATTACAGGCATGAGCCACTGCACCTGGCCCAAGATGAATTCTTGTACAAGTTGTGTGACTTGCCTGTGGCAGAAGGAATGAAGAAGCAGCCTTGGGTTTGTCTGTTATTTTACTAAATTTCCTTTAAAAAGATGCCCCTTTGGTTCCCCACTTTAGCCCATGTACCTTTTCATATGCAGTAACTGGCAGAAAAAAAAAAAAAAAAAAAGCCAAGTTCAAAACTGTTGGGCCGGTATCTCTAGTATTAATTGAAAGTTAAAAAGAAAAATCAGTGAAAAGGTCAAGAGGGGCAGTATTCTTCTGAATGACATGAAGATAGACTATAATCAGTAAGAAGGCAGTTAAAACTAAAGTTCTGGCCGGGCACAGTGGCTCATGCCTGTAATCTCAGCACTTTGGGAGGCCAAGGCAGGCAGATCACCTTAGGTCAGGAGTTTTGAGACCAGCCTGGCCAACATGGCGAAACCCCATCTCTACTAAAAATACAAAAATTAGCTGGTGTGGTGGTGTGCACCTATACTCTCAACTGCTGGGGAGGCTGACCTAGGAGGATCACTTGAACCTGGGAGGTTGAGGTTGCAGTGAGCTGAGATCACACCACTGCACTCTAGCCTGGGCAACAGGGTAAGACTCCATCTCAAAAAAAGAAAAAAAGTAAAGTTCTGAGTAGTAATTTCATTACTCTGTGCGGATTTATTTTTTTTCTAATTATTGTTTAAATATTTCTCATGGTAATATGGTTTGGCTCTGTGTCCCCACTCAAATCTCATGTCGGATTGTAATCCAACCAGGGACCTGCTGGATAGTGACTGGATCATGGTGGTGGATTTCCCCCTTGCTGTTCTCATGATAGTGAGTGAGTTCTCATGAGGTCTGGTCGTTTGAAAGTGTGCACCTCCCTCTTTGCTCTCTCTCTCTCTCCTGCTCTGGCCATGTGAAGACCATGCCTTCTTCCCCTTTGACTTCTGCAATGATTGTAAGTTTTCTGAGGCCTGCCCAGAAGCAGAAGCCTGTACAGCCCACAGAACCATGAGCCAATTAAACCTCTTTTCTTTATAAATCACCAATCTCAGATATATGTTTATAGCAGTGTCAGAGTGGACTAATACACATGGGTTCCAATGTAGAGTGTGAGCTCTGTGAGTCTAAAGATAGTGCTACCTATTACCCAACTTACAGCACCCGGTAGTATGTACCCATACAAGTAGTTATTCAGTTAATGTTTAGAACCATGTAATCCCAGAGCTAGACTGAACATTTACAGTCATCTAACCCATCTAATGCTTGAATTTTCTCCCCACCAGTCTTCTAAGTAGTTATCTGCAGGTCCTCTTTCAAACTCTATTTCTTAGAGTTACTAGAAAGTGTCAGAGGAAGTAAAGACACATACTGGGGAGAAACAGGGGCTCCAGACCTATCCCACCTTCAATCAAATATCTCTGCTTTGGTGAGTTTTACAAATTTGAGCTTCTATGATTTCATTTCAACAAAGGATTAAAAGAAGTTTCGAATGCGACAATCTACCTTATGTCTGAAACCCTCTAAGGATAGTCAATGCTGGTCCTGAGCGAATTAATAATTCATTTTCCACACAACAGCTGCTCAATCATCTATCTACCCAACAGCCCTACCAGTTAATACTCCACCTAGTATAATACTTTTTTAAAAAGTTTGGAGGAGAAACATTGTTATCATGAAAGGCACTTTGGAAAGTTTGAAAATATCTCTTATAGAAAATATTAATGACAATCACCACATCTATAAATGGGGACAAATATAATAATTACAGAAAATAGTTGTTCAGAGTTTTATATGTGTTAGAGATGGTTCTAACTACTTGCAATTGTGCATTTAATCTTCATAACCCTCTAAGTAGATACTGTCAGTATTTGCATTTTATAAATGAGGTAGCCTAGTTTAATGACACGCAGAAAAGTGAAGTAAATTTGACCAAGGACACACAAATAGAAGCCACATTGCTAGTATTCCAATGCAGACAGCTGTCTCCATTTTACTAATATGCTATTTAATGGAAAACCCTAGAGACCTAACTAGACCATAACCTCATTGTGTCTTAGTCTAGTTCTGTGCCTGAGTCATACATTTCTGCCCTTCTCCTTGCACAAATTTGCTCTTTGTTCTACCAGCCTGAGCTGCCCTACTTCAAACAGTATTTATGCACTTCCCACAGAGGTACCTCCTTACCGGAGCCTTGCAGCTGACCTCGGCAATTCGGCCAGCTCCCTCTCCTGAAACTGCACCTCCTCCTCCAGCACAGATTCTATAAGGTCTTTGCACTCTTCACACTCTGAGAAAAGATAGACATGCCTGCATCATGGAAGGCTGGCCATGCTGCTGTGGTCACTGCCTGCAGGGCAGGAGGCAGGGTCTATCTCAAGGATAAAAGTATCCCCAGTACGAGGCTTTACGCTGGGATTTCCATATCTGTATTCCTCAGTCTCTCAACTACTCCCTGTTTTAGAGATGAGGAAAGAAAAGCCTGATAAAGTCACTTGACAAGATGATTCAGCTGGAATGAGGCAGTCAGAATTCACATCCCCTGAGGTCTGACGCCACATGTTTTTCTTTTCTTTTTTTTTTTTTTTTTGAGATGGAATCTCACTTTTTTGCCCAGGCTGGAGGGCAGTGGCACAATCTCGGCTCACTGCACCTCTGACTCCCGGGTTATTCTCCTGCCTCAGCCTCCCAAGTAGCTGAGATTACAAGTGTGTCCCACCATACCCTGCTAGTTTTTGTATTTTCAGTAGAGACAGGGCTTCACCATGTTGGCCAGGCTGCTCTCAAACTCCTGACTGCAAATGATCCACCCACCTTGGCTTCCCAAAGTACTGGGATTGCAGTAAGTGAGCCAATGCACCCAGCCATGACTTCAAATCTTAAGGCCAATTTACCAAGCCTTACAGCCTCTTAAGTAAAACATGAACATAAGGGCATGAAATAATGACTTCCTGTGTGTTTGGGAAGATACTAAGAATGGTAGGACTGATGGTCCTCCTGTGTCAGGAGTTTCAATAATCCCAAAATATTTCAAAGATTTAAACATTTATCTGTATACAGCTGTGTAAAACTGTATATAGAGGAGAAAGATCCAAATGATATGTGCCCAAAAGCTAATAGGTGGTGTTTTAAAGGGAGAACCAACACATAGTGTTTGTCATGGTACTGTTGCAGTAGGTTTTTAAGAATTATCATCATATGATCATCACCACCATCCAAAGAGGTAGTTCCTACTCTATTACCATTACAGATGAGAAAACTGAGGCACAGTGATGATAAGTTAGATTTGAACCCAGGAAATTTGGCCCCAGGGTATATGCTTTTTAATCACTGCACAATAATACCTTTATACTAGGGTCTTAGGTAATATCTTTCTTCTTCTCTAGCTTGAGAAATTTTTTTCCTACAATTATAATGAGTGAAGGTTTTTTTTTTAAACTAGTTTTTCCACACACCAAAGCTCATCTTTTCACTTCTTTAATAAGTGGGCTTTTGGTTTTACTTTTCTATGACAGTAAGTTAGACAGCAACTTTTAGCCACCCCCCACACAATGATGTATTTTAAAATAATTGTAGAAATTGGAAAACAAACTCAATTTCTATGTTAACCAGAATCCTCTTCTAATATCCCTGTTCCTCTCATGCCCTTGTTCCCATGTTTCCTTGTCATTACAGCTTCCCTTCCCTGACTATTAGTAACAGGTTTGGGATTTTACAGTGGATTTAAAAATGTGAGAGCTAACTGTGGAGAGGAAGGGGCCAGCCCCTAACCTGGCCTGGCCTTCTATTGAGAATGGCAGTCTGTTCCACTTGGCCTTGTTCTCATTTTGGCCATATGTCTCATAGCTCTGATCCTGGATGTCCACCTGCAGTTGCTTGCTGTCTGTAAAGTTGATACTCAGAGAGAGACAGAAAGGGTGTTACAAAGTCTCTGATTTTTCTGGAAATACCCTCAATCTAACCAGAGCATGAGGAATGGCTTATCTGAACTTTTGTGGGAAGAGAATCTTGATCCAGGTATCATAAAGACTTTTTTCCATGTCTGCTATTGAAGTTCACATCTCCACATATCTGTGACTCAGTTGAGAATAGCTAGTTTTAAGTTCCTTCAAGGCAGATAGGGTATACTATTACTTCTATCACCCCTGATGCTGTTGGCACAGTGCTTTGCAAATGGGCGCTCTTAAAAAAGTTTAAATCGAATCCTGAGATGTTTTAACCAACAGTGATGTTACATGTTTGTGGAATCTGATATTCATTGCTGAGAGGGGAAAGACAGTTTCATGCCTAAACCAAGGTTTTAGTCTCTATTCCTCACTACACTCACCCTGCAAACTTTACACCTTTGTGCCTCAGTTTTTCTGTCCTTGGCAAATTGAGAGTAAAAGGCCCACTTCTACCTTTCTGGGAGTGTAGTTAGCATAAAATTAATTTTGATAGAGAATAAAGTCCGCAGTGTTTCATTTCACAGAGGAAAGATGGGCAATCATTTATCACTTTGGTGACCATGCCCCTTTGGGACCTACTACATTTCTGCAGGTGATTGGCCAGGCAGTAGGCAGTAGCTTTGGATGTCAGGAATTTCTCTGTGAGGTCTTGGAAGTTCTGTTTGCACTTTTCCAGTTCAGAGCGCAAGTACTGATTGGTTTCCAGGATGCTCATTTCTGCCCTTGGACCAAAACAAGTGGTGGCAGATACTGCCATGCTGAAGCTTGTGGTGGAAGTAGAATCAGAACCCAGACAAATAATAAATTAAAAACAAATGCATGGATTATGGTAATGGTTGCACTACTTGGGTAAATTACTAAAAATTATTCAACTGTACAATTATAATGGGTAAATTTTATAGTATGTAAATTATACCTCAATAAAGTTTCTTTACATTAAACAAAGGATTTAAATGAGTCAAAAGAAAGCAGATCTGATTCATAACTTACTTTTGGGATAAATTTCATCAGCATCCCGCAACTCTGAGAATCCTTAGCCACAAAAACAAGACAAAGGTATCTAAGCTTAGACTCTAAGGTACTGTCTGTGGTTCAGGCTCTGATAGGAATGCCAGAGGTAAGACCCAGTGCCAGGTAATGGTCTGGAGTCACAATCAGAATTAGAAGGTGGGGGTGTCATGGAATGTTAGGATCTCTGCCTTCCAGGTGTCTAGGCCATGTGGAAACACAGGTCTCTTCTGAAGGTCACCACCAATGGAGACCACTGCCTCAGCAAGTCAATCTCAGTATTTGTATACCCTTGTGACAATACCACAGGCCTATCTCTTTCTAAAATTCAACCATATTTTCATTGTTTATTATTGCAAATGCATAGAAAACATCAAGGAATACATATTTCCCCAAGTTCTATCGCTGTCTTAATTACTATCATGAATTCATTTTCTTCCTAATGAAAAATTTAACACTTTTAGATAGTCTTGGTGTTCTTCTTTGGTTCTCCAGATTTCCACATCATTTATATTATAAGAAAAAAATCCTGAATATTCCTCTCAGTGTGTGAATAATTGACTTATATCGATTTAGAGGCCAGGTGCAGTGGTTCACACCTGTAATCCCACCACTTTGGGAGACCAGGGTTGTTGGATCACTTGAGCTCAGGAGTTTGAGACCAACCTGGGCAGCACGACGAAACCCTGCCTCTACAAAAAAATTTAAAAAATTAGCCAGGCATGGGGCTAGGCACGGTGGCTCATGCCTGTAATCCCAGCACTTTGGGAGGCTAAGGCAGGCAGATCATGAGGTCAGGAGATCGAGACCATCCTGGCTAACACGGTGAAACCTCGTCTCTACTAAAAATACAAAACATTAGCCGGGTGTGGTGGCAGGTGCCTGTAGTCTCAGCTACTTGGGAGGCTGAGGCAGGATAATGGTGTGAACCCAGGAGGCAGAGCTTGCAGTGAGACATGATTGCTCACTGCAAGCTTGGGTCCAGGTGTTTTTTGCTGTAGTGAACCAAGATCATGCCACGGCACTCCATTCTGGATGACAAAGTGAGACCCTGTCTCAAAAAATAAAAACAAAATAAATAATAAAAGGATTTTGGTCAATATCTTAATATACTTCTTGCTGCAAACCAATGTTATACTGACATATTTCCCCCACTGGGGAAGCATGTTAGTTTTTTGTTTTTTTTTTTGCTTTTTTTTAATAGAAAGGGTCTAGCTCTGCTGCTCAACCTGGAGTGCAATGACATGATCACAGCTCACTGCAGCCTCAAACTCCGAGGCTTAAGTGATCCTCCTGCCTCAGCCTCCTGAATAGCCGGGACTGTAGGCACATGTCATCACACTCAGCTATTGTGTGTGTGTGTGTGTTTTTTTGTGTGTGTGTTTGTGTAGATGGGGTCTCACTATGTTGCCCAGGTGGGTCTCAAACTCCTGGGCCCAAGTTATTCTCACACTTTGGCCTCCCAAAACATTGGAATTATAGGCATAAGCCACCACACCTGGCCCATGCTGGCTTTTCACTTAACTTGAGGACAAGCTTGATATTCATAACTCCTAACCCCACTCTCCTCTTCTATGTGTGGTTTGCTTAGTGTTATAATCTCTGTATACATATTTTGTGCTTGTCACTTATGATTTTCATTCTAACTCCACATGCTTTCTTTCCAATTTGTCACAATTGCTGAAATAATTTATGTATATCTCTTTAAATACATGTAGTTGCCACCTAATTTGGAATGACTTATAAACTGTTACTATTTTATGTGTTTGAAGCAGTTTTTATGGAACACTAATGATTTGCATTGGCCTGAGGATATATTCTCAGACAAAGCATGGTAAAAATCAAGTTAATGAGTCTGTGGTGGTTGGCGGTGATCAACAGTTTTCCTGTGCAATGGGGTTTAGTGGGATAGAAACTGAGGTTTTAAAGACAGGCATAGATAGGCAGAAGAGAAGTCATCCCCTGATGTAACTCTTCACTTCCTATGTATCAATTCCTCCCTGGTTTTTTGAGACTGAGATAGGGAGACTCTTATGGAATATCTGTCCTTTCCCTTCAGCTGCCTGACTTTCCTGGGCTACTGGCCTACACATGTGTAATCATGGTCACCTCCACATTCATGACAAACAGAAGGAAGCAGGACCAACAAACTGCATACCCTACATGCTAACCTGAAACTATAGTGTGTGATAGTATTAGTTTATGAGATATATCAGAAGTTATATGATTTTAGTCCTTTTAAATTTATTAAGATTTATTTTAAAGGCTAGCATATGGTCTATTCTATAGAACATCCTGTGTGTACTTGAGAGGAAGTGTATTCTGTTTTTGTTGAGTGGAGTATTCTATAGATGTCTGGTAGGTTATGTTGTTTAAATCTTTTATTTCTTTATTGATCTTCTGTGTAGTTGCTGTATCCACTATTGAAAGTTGTGGTATTAAAGTCTCCATCTACTATTGTTAAATTGTCTATTTCTCCCTTCAATTCTGTCACTTTTTGCTTCCTGTGTTTTGAGGCTCTATTAGATGCATGTGTATTTATAATTGTACTCTCTTCCTGATGGATTAACCCTTTTATCATTACAAAATAGCCCTCATTGTCTTCAGTAACTTTTTTTGTCTTAAAGTCTCTTGTTTATTTTGTCTGGTATTAGGATAGTTGCTACTGAAACACCAGAGGTTTGATTTAAGTCTTGCTGTTCACTGCACAGAAAGCCAATCACTGAGTCAACTAGCTTTGCTAGGAAAGAAGGCTTTCATCAGGTACTACAACTTAGGAGATGGGAGATCAGTCTCAAATCCATCTTCCTGACCAATGAAAATTCAGGGTTTAGATAGCAGGGAAGAAATGGAACTACATACAGGAAAACAGGAATTAGGGAGAGGTAAGAAAGAGGAATTGGTCAACAGGAAGCAGGTGGTCACTTAGGCAATTTTGATGGGATAAGGGGTCTGACATTTCATTGTCCAGATGTGGTACTCTGGTAAATTTCAGTTCTTTGATACTATCTGGAGGGCCCAACGCTTGGTTTCCTGAGAAAGGAACTCAGATAATACAAATGTAACTTTCTCAAATTTCAAGACTGAAAGGGTCAATTTCTATGTTTATTCAAAAGAAACCGTAAACATCAGTTCTATGGGACAATTGGGTTGGTTTAAAAGTCACTTCAGCTTTCTTATGGTTGCTAATTACATAATTATATTACATTGTATGGCAAAGGGATTTTGCAGATACAATTAACCTTAAAATGGGGAGATTATAAAGGTTGACTAATCTAATAACATGGGCCTTTAAAGTCTGGATCTAGAGGTCAGAGGTCAGCAAACTAGGAAGTCAGAGAGATCCAAAACGTGTTAGTGATTCAATGAGGAAGAAACTCTTCATTGCTGACTTTGAAGATGGTGAGAGTCACAAATAAATAAAGTCCTCAGTCCAACAACTTCATAATTAGTGCTACCTGCAAATATGGGCTAACAATATTTTTAAATGCATTTACAATATGTGGTGAACAGATTCACATTGTCTCTGCCTACTCTTCTCTTTTGCTTTGTCCCTGCATGCTACTATGTCTGTCTAGATGGGGGGACACAAACATCAGGGCTTTGTGCAGACTTCTTTCCTTTCCTGGAATGCTATGGCTCTCTAGAGCCAGATAACACTGCTGAAGGTGGCTGAGTACAGGCAACTGATGGTGTTAGAAGCCACAGGCCCTTGATTAATCCAGGCTCTAATCTTCACCCACCTCAAAGTCCTAAGAGTCCTCCTTATAGCTTCCTATCAGATTTATACAGATTATTACCCACAAACCTTGCTCTTCCTTGGACCCCTAAGGCCAGGGCTTCTAATATCTTCATCATTTTTGAGGTATCTAATAACTCTTCTTTCTGGAGTTTCAGTTACTTCATCCCCACTGCTGAGTGAAAAGTTACCAGATGACTAGCACAAAGTCTCATATGCAAATCAGGGCTAAACAGCGAGTGGATGATATTTTGTCTAGATCAGCCATGGGTATTGTCAAATGTGACAAGAATATTATTTCTAAAAGTTCCACACTACAGAAACACACTAGAACTTACTTCCCACATTAAAAGACAACCTGGAGGAGTGGCTATTACATCTCAGGCCAAGCATTAATCTTTCCAGGATTACAACTTGGCTCCCAAAGTTGCCAAGCTATTGCTTAGACAAATTATTTAATCTGTGTTATACCAAAATTATTTCCAGGCCCCCACAATTTGCACCTGGCTGCTATACTTCTATGAAGACTAGAATTACCTATGAGTAAGAGTCCAAAATAAGCTTTCTAAATCAATTCAGACCTGTCTCACATACTTTTTGGTTTACAATTGATAACCATGAAGGAATTCTGAGTGGAGGTGCCCTGACCTTTGACAAATCTCCTATCTGTACTTGGTACCAGCTTGAGCTATTTTTATTGCTCAAACCAATAGGAAAATTTGCTGAGGCCTCAGAGATCCACCCCCTCCAGAGAATCCCTGATTTCCCAAAATTTGATCGAGATCTAAGGTTTATTTTGCTGTACAACTCATTTTCTGGAGTTTTACTTGCTTCCAACAATGAAGGCAACTTTTCCTGCTTCCATGATGATGGAGAGCAGGCAATTCCTTTCTGGGGTTTCAGTTCACTTCTAACAGGGAAGGAGGGAAGGAGAGTTTGAGTTTTTTCCTGCTTCTAGGATGGTACAGAGCAGTCTTCAGCCTGGGCCCTATTCCTAGGTAAGTAACTGAACCTGTGTTTTGTCTTGAAATTCTCCTAAATGATTAAAGTTATGATTAACAACCAGGCTGAGGCAAGAGAATGGCGTGAACCCGGGAGGTGGAGCTTGCAGTGAGCCGAGATCGCGCCACTGCACTCCAGCCTGGGCGACAGAGCGAGACTCTGTCTCAAAAAAAATAAAAAATAAAAAAATAAAAAAGATTAACAACCAACTGATCATAATTTCTTCTTACCGTTAGAGTGCTAAGCAATCATATAAATTGTGCGATCATTAATTTTCTGAACTGTTTTTTGTTTTCTGTTTGTTTTTATTGTTGTTTCCTTCTTTTCCCCATTGGGTTTGACCAGTTCTATCTGACTTGATCAAATCCAAAGGAATGTTCCAAATTATGGGGACAAGACCTCTGAATTGGATAAATCTCTGCAGAAAAATAAATAAATAAATAATAAAAATTTAAAAAGAGGGAGAGCAGGGAAAGAAAAATAAATAAATAAATAAATAAATAAATAAGCAGCCATCACGAAAATAAAGGTTTTCATTGGGCACGGTGGCTCACGCCTGTAATCCCAGCACTTTGGGAGGCCAAGGCAGGCGGATCATGATGTCACGAAATTGAGACCATCTTGACAAACACAGTGAAACTCTACTAAAAATACATCTGTACTAAAAATACAAAAAAATTAGCTGGGCATAGTGGCTGGCACCTGTAGTCCCATTTACTCAGGAGGCTGAGGCAGAAGAATGGTGTGAACCCAGGAGGTGGAGCTTGCAGTGAGCCCTGATCACACCACTGCATTCCAGCCTGGACAGCAGAGCAAGACTCCTTCTCAAAAAAAAAAAAAAAAAAAAAAAAAAAGAGAGAGAGAGAAAATAAAGGTTTTGACTACCAGAGGGGCTTTATTTATATAACAAGGCCACCTTTGCTAGCCAAACCAAACTAAAAAAGCAATGGTTGTCACCTCGTACCCCAGGCTGCAGTTCAGTAGCTAAGGTTCTGCCCCTTTTTTCACCATGACAACCTGGGTTTGGTTCCTAAATCAATTTCTTTCCAGTTTGATATTTATGTTACTTTTGAACTTTTTTTTTCCAGGGAGCTTTCTTAGCAGGATCATTGCTGGCTTTCACCCCAGCTGTTACAGAACAGCTTGACTGAATTCAAAATCCAGAAGCTCAGAGTGTATCCTGGGAAGATGGTGGAATGAGAAGCACCTGGAATCTAGACAACAACTGCACAGGCAGGATCTGTCTGATGTAAATATTTCAGAGCTCTGGAGCCTACTGATGGCTTGCAACTTCTGGAGGAAGGCCCAGTTGGTAAATTGTAGGTAATTTCAGTCAATTTCAGCCCTTAGCACAATAGCAGCTACCCAACACTACCCCCAAAGCAGTCATCTTGTGTTCCTACAGTAAGTTACAAGCTGCTAGCCCGTTTCTTAGAACCTCTCATTTCCTTTCCATCGTGGAAATCTATCCTCAAGGAAACACTTCTCAGTGTTCCATCTGCTATTCTACTACCCCTCAGGGATTGCTCAGGCCCCTCCCTTTCCTACACATCAAGCTAGGGGATTTGCCCCCGCCCAGGACTGGCAAATTGACTTTACTCATATGCCTCGAGACAGGAAACTAAAATACCTCTTGGTCTGGGTAGACACTTTCACTGGATGGGTAAAGGCTTTTCCCACAGGGTCAGAGAAGGCCACCACGGTCATTTCTTCCCTTTTGTCAGACATCATTCATCAGTTTAGCCTTCCCACCTCTATACAGTGCGATAGCGGACCGGCCTTTATTAGTCAAATCACCCGAGCAGTTTCTCAGGCTCTTGGTATTCAGTGAAACCTTCATATCCCTTACGGTCCTCAATCTTTAGGAAAGGTAAAACGGACTAATGGTCTTTTAAAAACACACCTCACCAAGCTCAGCCACCAACTTAAAAAGGACTGGACAATACTTTTACCACTTGCCTTCTCAGAATTCGGGCCTGTCCTCAGAATGCTACAGGGTACAGCCCATTTAAGCTCCTGTATAGATGTTCCTTTTTATTAGGCCCCAGTCTCATTCCAGACACCAGACCAACTTGGACTGTGCCCCCAAAAACTTGTCATCACTACTATCTTCTGTCTAGTCATACTTCTATTCACCGTTCTCAACTACTCATAAATGCTCTGCTCTTGTTTAAACTGGCGGTTTACTCTGTTTCTCCAAGCCATCACAGCTTATATCTCCTGGTGCTGTCCCCAGATTTGCCACTCTTAACTCCCTCTTAAAGTAAATAAATAATCTTTGATGGCAGGGCTATGCTGAACCCCCTTGGGCACTCTCTAATTGGATGTCCTGGGTCCTCCCAATTCTTAGTCCTTTAATACCTGTTTTTCTCCTTGTCTTATTCCGTTCTTTTTTCAATTCATACAAAACCGTATCCAGGCCATCACCAATAATTCTATATGACAAATGCTCCTTCTAACAACCCCACAATATCACCCCTTACCACAAAATCTTCCTTCAGCTTAACCTCTCCCGCTCTAGGTTCCCACACCTCCCCTAATCCCGCTCAAAGTGGCCCTGAGAAACATCGTCCATTATCACTCCATACCATCCCCAAAAATTTTCATCGCCCCAACACTTCAACACTATTTTGTTTTATTTTTCTTATTAATATAAGAAGACAGGAATGTCAAGCCTCTGAGACCAAGCTAAGCCATTATATCCCCTGTGACCTGCAAGTAGACATCAAGATGGCCTGAAATAACTGAAGAATCACAAAAGAAGTGAAATTTAAATGGCCTGTTCTGATGACATTCCACAACAAAAGAAGTGAAAATGGCTGGTCCTTGCCTTAACTGATGACATTGCCTTGTGAAATTCCTTCTCCTGGCTCATCCTGGCTCAGAAAGCTCCCCCACTGAGCACCTTGTGAACCCATCCCTGCCCGCCATAGAAGAGCCCCCTTTGACTGTAATTTTCCTTTATCTACCTAAATCCTATAAAATGGCCCCACCCCTATTTCCCTTCCCTGACTCTTTTCAGACTCAGCCCGCCTGCACCCAGGTGAAATAAACAGCCTTGTTGCTCAAACAAAGCCTGTTTGGTGGTCTCTTCACATGGACGTGAGTGAAACACACAATGGGATGCAGAGGCTTATATACCGTCTCAAGTTAACAGAATGAATAAAGGCTCAAAGCATGGCCAAAACCAGGTACCATTAGAGTCAGAGGTATATCCATTTATTGTGGGCAAGACAGGTTATGGGAGGGAGAGAAGAGGAGGCCTGGCTAGCAAAGGTGATCTTAATATGTAAATGAAACCTTACAGGCAGCAGCTCTCAGAAAGAATAAGCTCTGAAAGTTTCTTTCAGACCTTTACAGCTGTCAGACTCTCAGTTAATCTTTCCTAGATCTGGGCAAGGAAAGACTTGGCTGCATCAATGCAGATTCCCTACAGATGCAAATCTCCCCAACGAAAGACAACTTTGCAGGGCTACTTCTGCAGCTGGCTTTCTGAACAGACATCTCAAAATATGTCAAAGAAATGTATTTTGGGGTAAAATATTTTTAATTCCTTCACATCTACAGCCTGATGCACCTGCCGTTTCAACGTACCATTGTTGGTGGCAATTCCATTCTTTCCTACAATTAAGCCAAAAGAACAGATTCTCCTTGAGGCTAGTCTTTTTCTCACAGCACACATACAATTTCTCAGAAAAATTCTGTCTCCTGTTTGGTTAATTACAGACTTTAACCTGCCCAATCTTTCTCTTTCTTGGTCTTTGAATTTTGGCAAAGGAGTCTCCTGATACAGGCGGGATTGATTCTACTGACGAGTCTCAAAACCGTCAGACATTTAAGAGCCTTAATCTTGGGGTGGAGGTTTGGGCCACCCTTGAACATTTTCTTTGAGACTACCGGACCAAATCAGCCTGGCCAGGCCTGTCTTCAAGGCCCAGGGGCAGGACCAGGTAGGTCCTCCCGACGCTTCTTGAAGCTTCTCCCGCGTGTCGGCAGCCACCCTCCTCTTCCGTGTGACCTGCAGAGAAGCTTCAGGGGGCATTTATTCAATTTTCTAGGAGCCCACGAGGCGCAGGTGAGCGGTGACGCTGTGGTTCCCACCGCACCGCCGCGCTCCTTGGTCCTCTCGCTGTCTCCGGCGGGCAGTAATGTTCCAGGTGAGCTTGGGCTCCTAAGACACCAGGCAGGGAGGGACCAGTGGGGAAGGGCACCGGCCCCTTAGGTCCTTCGCAGTAGGGATCCGAAAAAGGTCTTGAAGAAATAGAAAGGGAGAGTTGGAAGTAGATCAAAGGGAAAGAAAGAAATCCTAGGAGATTTTCTATCTGAAGGCACCATGAAGAGACACTCCCTCTTCTGGGCCGGGTCCTCAGGTCGCTGGTGAACCGAGTTCCGATCTACGTTGGCGATCAAACCAGTTGACTTTGGCTTGACTCCTAGTGAAGAAGCCACGCTTTGTCCTCCCCTGTTTAGCTCTTGATCCTGAAGCACTTGATTAGGGCTTTGAATTCCAGGGATGCAAATGAGAAGTTTGTTTTTAATGCACTTCCTTGAAGTAAGAGTATTTGAAAGTATTTTTGCGAAGAAAAACATTTCCTTTTGCACTGAAGACATTCAGATGTGAGGAAGATCACTCAGCTGGGGAAAGCAAATGCTGTTGAGAATGTCTCACAAACACAAATTACATGTCAGCAGGTAGGTTTGACCCTCAGGTTGGGCACATTTTAAGTGCACTGTTGGTGGAATTTAAGATGAATCTAGGACATTCATGATTAATATTTTTAGTTTTTTAGGAAAATTTAATATTTTAAATTTAAATACACATTCTGAAAATTACATAACCAGCACAAGAAACCGGCTTTATGCCATTTTCACAAGCACATGAAAGATGATACTTTAAATGGCAATGCTTCATAAATGGCAACATTTTTAAAGTACTAGAGAAAAAAATTAACCTAGAATTCTATGCAAAAATAAAATTTCAAAACTGTGAGTGAAATAAGGACATTGAAAAACATACAAAAACTAAAAGAATTCACCAACCCACGCTACAAGAAATCTTAAGAGTCCTCCAGGCAGAAGCAAAAGGATCCCAGATAAAAATCTGGACCTATACAAAAACAAATATTGGAAATGGCATTTAGAAAGCATGTACTACACATTTTCTTATAATTTAAATCTTTTTAAAAATATTTGACATAATAAATGAAGGTAATGATAATCACAAAACTTATAATGCATAAAGTAAAAATACGTAACACTAGGATAAAGGCCAGAAAGGGAGGTATAATTACACTTGAAAGCAGAATGTGATAAATTAAAGATGTATCCCAGAAACCCTAAAGCTGCCACTGAAATAAGAGAAGGGTTATAGCTAATAAAGCAACAAAGGAAAGAAAACGGAATTAAATAAAAGCTATGTAAACACTATGCTGGAACAACTGCTCTCCAGGCCTCCACCCTATAGAAATACACCAGTGGCCAATGAGAAGTGTACAAGAATGATGACTGCAGCATCGTTTGTAATCATAAAATAATAGAACCAATGTAATTTTAAAGATACATAAAAAGGGTTTTATTTATTTAACAAACAGACAATTGAACAAACAAACAATGGAAGCAAGTCATTTGCCAAAAGGAACACAGAGGGTCATGATGATCTACTCCTCCAAGGATTTCAGGGTTCCCAGACGCCTAGTTTTCTGTCTAGTTCTGGAAGATGTTATTCTTGGGGAGCAATAGGTCCTCGAGTTTGGGGCTCTTTCAGGTTCTCTCTCCATTTCCCCATTCTGCTACAATAGATAAACAAACAAAAACAATTCTCACTTCCAGAAGATCCCGCCTGTACGTCTGCACGAGCCCTTCAGGAGGTCTGGATGTCTGGTTCACAACTCCCCTGCTTCTTTTCCAGCTTTTGCTTTCCCTTCCCCCGCTCCCGCCCTACCGCCCCACGACCCGACCACCGCCCAGCTGAGCCCCAGAGGCTCCACAGCGCAGAAGGTGCACCGGAGGTCGTGTCAGTTGCCCGCCCCGCGGGGTGCCAAGAAATCAACGCTTTGTAAAAAGAACTTCCCCGTGGAAAAAAATCTCTTGATTTCCACTCTCACCTCTCTTCAAAGGACTAAAAGCTAAAGGCGACAAGGGATTCATTCGACAAGTCCTAGTCGTGCGCCCTTGTGAGTGCCAGACCCTGCTCCCTGCCAGGGGACCCACGAGCGACCCTCACCACCATCCCTGCCCTGGTGGAGCCCCGGGCGGAACACAGGATCCGAAGATGGCAGCGGAAGCTCCGCAGCAGCCCAACAGCGACTGGGCAGGGTGGATACAGGCTCCTTCACTGGGTGAAGGCGGCACAAAGAACCGGAAGAACCATCCCGGGAGCCCACCGGGCGTTCAGCTTCCCTTGGGACCCCAGGCGTCTCGGGCTGGGTCGCCGACCGGGGCGTTTCTGGGGTCTCTCCCTCTGGCTCCAGAATCTCCTAACGCGCAGGTGTCCAACGTGACCAGCGCGATTCACCGCTCTAATATCTCTGGTTTTCCAAGAACTTGCTCAGTCGTCCTGCCAGGCGGGCCCTGGGAATAGAAGGGACAGAGGAAGTTTAGTGAGTGCGCCCTTCCTATATGGCCCAGTGGAGTTAGCAGTGCTTGTCTCTGTGGTGCAATCGGTTAGCGCGTTCCGCTGTTAACCGAAAGCTTGGTGGTTCGAGCCCACCCAGGGATGCTTATTGGAACTTTTAAAGCATGCACGTATTGTCAATCACTACATAAATGGGGAAGAATTAGCCACTAATTTATGACTGATCCATGTCAAGGGCCAGCCAGCTCCCCGACCAGATTCTTAATCGGGTATCTCCTGAAACGGCGGGTTTACACCTGTGTAACTCAGGAATCCTGAAACAGAGACCTAGGAACCCACTTCTGGTGTGATAAAATTCTAATTCAGTCGATTATACGCTTAAATGAGTAACTTACTTGTCTCCGTTTTTTCATATTTTAGTAATAGGAGTCCAGTAGTATCTCCAGGATGTGCCTGGATTTACTGATTGGTCTATCAATAATGTGACCAGTGGAATCATTCATCATCATAGTGATCCTCTCCATCATTTTTGAAAACAGTATTTTTCCTCAGTTTGTGCATTATTTATTTAACCCTTTTCAAAATGTTTTTGTTAGCCAGGCATGGTGGCATGTGCCTGTAATCCCAGGTACTTGGGATTCTGAGGCAGGAGAATCATTTGAACCTGGGAGGTGGAGGCTGCAGTGGAGGCTGCACCAGTGGAGGCTGCACCGCTACACTCCCGCCTGGGCAACAGAGCGAGACTCCATCTCAAAAAAAATAAAAATAAAAAAATAAAGTTTTTGAGATGAGGTAGGTTTCATTGTTTTAGGATTACAAAGAATGCTGCAGCCACCTTTCTTGTACACATATCTTTGGTCATTGTGGAAATGTCTACACCGCAGATATTTCTATAGTGTAGGGAAGTTGATGCACTATTGCTACATTATAGGGTTTACATGATGCTTCTAATTTGAGTACATTCCGCAAATGTATCTTTCACGGGAGCCGTACCAAATAATATTCCAGTAGCAATATTTATAGGAGGAAAAATGTGCAGAAGTGCAATTGAGCTTCGTGCCTCTCCATGGGGCCCATGTTCATAAAATGGTGGCATTAGCAATCATCTGAGAGTGGAGGAGTTTGTGGCCCTCTGACATCAAAAGCTGAAGCAGAGGACATGAAAACCCTCACTGTACATCCTCTGTAGTCTGGCCAGAATCATTCCTAGGTCAGTGGTCTCTTATCAGGAGGGAATGCTGCTTGCTTGTTTTGTCAAAACCACAAAAGGGAGGGAAAGTTTCAGGCCATTGGTTGATAACAGTGGAGAGGCAAGTCTTTCCAAAGGGCTGGTTTGTTAACCCTTAGGAAAAAAAATCCTAATTCTTACCAGATGGTTCCATGAAGTTCCAGGCTTTTGGTGTCCCAAACAAAGAACTGTACATGACACACATAAAGCAGCAAAGCAAAGCAAAAGTTTATTAAGCACAGTAACACTCTCAGAGTGGGGAGAGTCTGGGAGATGAGATCAGTATTAGTTTGGTGTACTTTGGGTCTTTTTATGTGTGTTTTTTTCTTCTCTTCACAGGGATGCCTAATCTTTAGCCAGTGTTTGTCTTTTGATTGACAGGTGCTTAGTTACTTTGGCCCTTGTGTGCTTGCACGTTGCCTCCATCCCATAATTTTAAGTACATGCATGATATGTAGTCCATATGCATGAGTTTTAATGAGCTGATTATCATATGAAGTCATGTTAAGCATACTTTTTCTCTCTAATGCACATGCCTGTCTCTGAGGAGCTGCTCCTTTACTGGTTTGGATCTTGCAGGCCATGGGGTCCTTGCTTGCTGTTTTTTGTTTTTTTGTTGGTTTTGTTTTGTTTTGTTTTGAGACAGAGTCTGTCTCTGTTGCCCAGTCTGGAGTGCAGTGGCACAATCTCGGCTACCTACAACCTTCTCCTCCCGGGTTCAAGTGATTCTCCCACTTCAGCCTCCCAAGTAGTTGGGACCACATGCGCACACCACCAACCCCGGCTAATTTTTTTGTATTTTAAGTAGAGATGGGGTTTTACCATATTGGCCAGGCTGGTCTCAAACTCCTGACCTCAGGTGGTCCACCCACTTTGGCCTCCCAAAGTCCTGGGATTACAGGTTTGAGCCACCAAGCCTGATCAAAAAAAGATTTTTTAAAATTATTCTTTTAGGCCAGTCGAGGTGGCTCATGCCTGTAATCCCAGCACTTTGGGAGGCCGAGGTGGGCTGATCACGAGGTCAGGAGTTTGAGACTAGCCTGGCCAACATGGTGAAACCCCATCTCTACTAAAAATACAAAAATTACCCGGGCATGGTGTCTGGTGCCTGTAATCCCAGCTACTCGGGATGCTGAGGCAGGAGAATCACTTGAAACCAAAAGGTGAAGGTTGCAGTGAGCAGAGATTGCACCATTGCAGTTCAGCCCGGGCAAAAGAGCAAAACTCTGTCTCAAAAAATAAAATAAATAAAATAAAATAAAAAATAAAATAAAATAAAATAAAAATAAAATAAAATAAATAAAATAAAATAAACAATAAAATAAAAATTATTCTTTTAGCCGGGCGTGGTGGCTCACGCCTGTAATGCCGGCACTTTGGGAGGCCCAGGAGGGCGGATCACGAGGTCAAGAGATAGAGACCATCCTGGACAACTTGGTGAAACCCCTTCTCTACTAAAAATACAAAAATTAGCCGGGCGTGGTGGCAGGCGCATGTAATCCCAGCTACTCAGGAGGCTGAGGCAGGAGAATCGCTGGAATCCGGGAGGCGGAGGCTGCAGTGAGCCGAGATGACGCCACTGTACTCCAGCCTGGCAAAAGAGCGAGACTCGTCTGAAACAAACAAACAAAAATATTCTTTTAAACTTGTGTCATGGCCGGGCGCGGTGGCTCACGCCTGTAATCCCAGCACTTTGGGAGGCCGAGGCAGGCAGATCATGAGGTCAGGAGATCCAGATCATCCTGGCTAACACGGTGAAACCCCGTCTCTACTAAAAATACAAAAAATTAGCCGGGCGTGGTGGCGGGTGCCTGTAGTCCCAGCTACTAGGGAGGCTGAGGCAGGACAATGGCTAAACCAGGGAAGCAGAGCTTGTAGTGAGCCGAGATGTCGCCACTGCACTCCAGCCTGGGCGACAGAGCAAGACTCCGTCTCAGAAAGAAAAAAAGAAAGAAAGAAAGAAAGAAAAATGAGGAAGCTACTGATAGTCCAGTATGGTATACTGTGACAGATTGAAAAAAAAAGTGGTTATATTTTGCAGCTTCTCTCATCAAGAGAGTCTATTTCTCCTCTCTTTGAATCTTGGATTGGCTATATGACTTGCTTTGGGCAAATGTTGGTGCCTTCGCAAACCTGGCAGAAGAGAGGCTTGCACATGGGAGGATTACCTGCTTTTTTCTTCACTTGAAATCCTGAGGCCATGATCTGAAGATCCCCCAAAGCTAGCCTGCTAGAGAGATCACATGAAGAAAAAGATCCATGCATCCCACTTTTTCCAACCAATCCACCTATACCCCAGATGTGTGAGGCCATCCTAGACCATCCAGCCCCAAATGAACCAGCTTGGACTAGAAGAATTTCCAAGCCAACTCACAGAATCACTAAAAATAATAAATTATTGTTATTCTTTTTTTATTTTTTAAGAGACGAGATCTCAGTCTGTAGCCCAGGCTGGAGTGCAGTGGCATGATCTCGGCTCACTGCAACCTCGGCCTCCCGGGTTCATGCCATTCTCCTGCCTCAGCCTCCCTAGTAGCTGGGACTACAGGCACCTGCCACCACGCCTGGCTAATTTTTGTATTTTTAGTAGAGACGGGGTTTCACCGTGTTAGCCAGGATCGTCTCAAACTCCTGACCTCGTGACCTGCCCGCCTTGGCCTCCCAAAGTGCTGGGATTACAGGTGTTAGCCACCACGCCCAGCCAATTATTGTTATTCTAAGTCAATAAGCTTGGGATGGTTTATTATACAGCAGAAGTGTATCAAAAGGGTGATGGTAGTTGCAGGAAATAAATATATACCTTTAATTGTATATGCATAAACATCTTTGGAATGATACCTCCAAAATACAAATTCCCATATTGAAAGAGCACACTCAGTACCCAGCATGGTGGATGGAAATATATCATGAAGTTTCAAACTAATAGGAAGAGGTAGAAGATTCTATAGGCTTTTGGGAGGGGAGATGGGAGAAGAGTTTAAGGCAAATAACAAAGAATCAGAGCGGCATCCATCTTCTCTATGGTGCTGATGTGCTCCAGTGTATAACCATCAGGAACAAACCTATAGTCAAACCTGAGTATATTGGCTCATTGCAACACAGGAGACAGCAAACACTATGGGGAAATTGTGGGGCAATTCTTCCTTTGGGAATCTCGGTATTTTTATCTAGAAAGTGGGAGAAGTGGTTGCAAGACTAAACACATAATTGGTAAAGAATCAACAGTCAATACAAAAGTTAGCCAAGTATGGTTGGGCATGCCTGTAATCCCAGCTACTTGAGAGGCTGAGGGAAGAGAATCACTTGAACGCAGGAGGTGGAGGTTGCAGTGAGCTGAGATGACGCCCCTGCACTCCAGCCTGGGCAACAGAGACTGTCTCAAAAAAAAAAAAAAAAAAAAACTGGCCTGGTGCAGTGGCTCACGCCTATAATCCCAACACTTTGGGAAGCTGAGCGGGGCGGGGGTGGATCACAAGGTCAGGAGTTCCAGACCAGCCTGGCCAATATGGTGAAACCCAGTCTCTACTAAAAATACAAAAATTAGCTGGGTGTGGTGGCAGGTGCCTGTAGTCTCAGCTACTCGGAAGGTTGAGGCAGGAGAATTGCTTGAACCCAGGAGGCAGAGGTTGCAGTGAGCTGAGATTGTGCCACTGCACTCCAGCCTGGTGACAGAGCAAGACTCCATCACAAAAAAATAAAAAATAAAATCATTAACCGTCACTATTAGTAGCTGGGATGTTTGATCATATTATGGTTTGAACAGTGTTCTTTTTATGTTCAAATATGATTGTGAAATAGTATTTCTTTCAGTTTAGTGAGAGGGTAACTTTGTCTGATATTGGTGTTGTGAAATTTTTCGTTTTAACCATAGAACACCATGGCCTAGGTGTTTGTCAGACCAGCTCTAGCTCAGAGCAGAAAAGGCTTACCTTTTTCTTTCTCAGAAATGACTATGGAAAACAGTAAACAACAAGGGCCGGGAGCCATGGCTCAGGCCTGTAATCCCAGCACTTTGCAAAGCCAAGGGAGGCGGATCACTTGAGGTCAGGAGTTTGAAACTGTAGCAGGAGTCATAGACAAAATCCCTCAGACACCCGATTGTGGAATGTAAGAGCTTTTTTCAGCTGGGACCATCGGTAGACTCACATCCTAGAAACCGAGCTCCCCAAATAAGTAATTCTTGTCCCTTTTAAGGGCCCACAACTCTAAAGGGGCTGTGTTGGGGGGGTCATGATCAACTGAGCAAGCAAGGGGTACGTGACTGGGGGCTGCATGTACTGGTAATCAGAATGAAACAGGACAGAAAAGGGAATTTCATAATGCTTTTTTATACAATGTCTGGAATTTATAGACAGCACAATCGGTGAGGTCAGCGGTTGAATTTTAACAACCAGGCCCGAAATGTGGCACCCAGTTGTCTGAGCGTGATTTTCACTTCTGCCCATTCTTTCAACCTCCACTTTTTCAGCAAACAAGAAATTAAGTGTAAGACAATATGAGGAGTGGTCGCTCTCAAAACCAGCTTGGCCAACATGGTGAAACCCCATCTCTACTAAAAATAAAAAAATTAGCCGGACATGGTGGCAGGCACCTGTAGTCCCAGCTACTGGGGAGGCTGAGGCAGGAGAATCGCTTGAACCTGGGAGGTGGAGATTGAAAGTGAGCCAAGATCCCACCACCGCACTCCAGCCTGGGCGACAGAGCGAGGCGAGACTCTGTCACACACAAAAAAAGCAGTGCCTTCAAAAATCTCAGAGAGAAATTATTTCCACCTATCTTTTTGTATCTCTATCTAGTAAAATATCAATTAATTTTATGGGTATAAAAGACATTTTCAGACATGCAGTGTCTCAAAAAGTTTATTTCTAAGGTAACCACTTTATAGGAGGTTTTGGAGGATATGCATCATCAAAAGGAAGAAGTGAGTGAGGAATGAACCCCCTTGAGATCCATGAAGCAGGGGATCTAACAAGAGAGAGGCGATGGAAATCCCAAGATGGTGCAGTAAAGAGAGATATTATGATAACAGCTGTGGGATAAGCCTGAAGAGCAAGTCATCCAGAATGGAACATATAGAAATGTGCCAGGAAAAATTTCTTTCTTTCTTTCTTTTTTATTTTTTATTTATTTTTATTTTTTGAGAAGGAGTCTCGTTCTTTTGCCCAGGCTGGAGTGCAATGGCGTGATCTCGGCTCACTGCAACCTCTGCCTCCCGGGTTCAAGTGATTCTCCTGCCTCAGCTTCCCAAGTAGCTGGGAGTACAGGCGCCCGCCACCATGCCTGACTAATTTTTATATTTTTATTAAAGACGGAGTTTCACCACGCTGGCCAGGCTGGTCTCGAACTCCTGACCTCAGGTGATCCACCTGCCTGGGCCTCTCAAAGTGCTGGGATTACAGGCGTGAGCCACCGTGCCCGGCTGCTCTTTTTTATAGACGAAGAAATTGAGGTACAGAAAATCCAGTAACGTTTTAAAAGTCACGTCATGAATGAACCAAGATTTCAACCCAGAAATTGAGGCTTCACTACAAGTGAAGACTGGGGTTTTCTTGTTTTCAATTATTGGGAGTTTTGGATTTCCAGGAATGTGCAATTGTAAAAACCCAGCTTCAAGAGGTGATGAAATAGGTGCAGTGGCTCTGGCGTAAGCTCTGAAGCCCCAGGCTCAGGCTCTATTGAAAAATTACTTTTGCTGAAATATTCCTGTTTTTAGGAACTTCCATGGAACTTGAGCCTTCACGCAGCATATTTTGGCATCTGATTCAAAGCTAATAGAGGTCCGGAGGATTCCCAGGATTAAAGTCTTTAAACAGAAACTGTGAATCTTGCCTAAGCAAAAGGTGCCATCCCTGGATGGGCTTGCACCACCAACCTTTCAGTTAACAGTCAAACGCGCTAACCGATTGCGCCACAGAGACTCTAATGGCTTGTGTCTTAAACTCATTTGCTGATACCAGAAATGGCTTTTTAACCTCTGGCTGCAGATAATCTCATATATTTGATGCCTGTCCAATCCCGCGCACTCCAGAAACCCAGAATACGGGAGACAATGAAGCCAAGAGTCGAGTCTTTGGGCACTTTGGACGTTCTACCCGGGCAGAGTCAGCTGGGGGACTCCAACGGCCAAAGGGCCACCTGCTCCTCACCGTCTGCTCTTCACTGCTTCCCCCGCCTGCTCTTCACCCTCTCAAAAGTCGCTGGCCCCTCTACAGGTGACAACTGCAGCTTCTCCGGCGAAAGCCACTCGCTTTCCCATTCTTAGCCCCGCTCACACCTTGCGCTCACAGTCATTTCCGCCAGGCCTGGGCCAGCGGACGCGCGCGTGGGAAGGACCAGAACCCGTGGTGTCCTCACTGCGTCCCCCTCGGGCCCTCAGAGGTGGGATCCACAGGAAAGGGACCTGGAGTTTGCACAGGCTGCAGCCCTTCGCCCAGAGCCACCCTAGCACCTAGTAGGTGCCCAATAAATGCTCAGTGAAGGAAGGCATTCCACCGCAGGGTTTTAGGAGAACCATGAATTCCTGGATGAACATTAAGCGTTTAGTCCTACTAGGAAGTCTGGAATATAGAGACTTGAACTGTTTCTCAAAGGCAGCTGTTCTTGTATCCCCAGAGCCGGTTTAGAATCCAGCAAAGGCCCCTGCCCGGTGTATCCCACCTCTGGAGACCCGAGGATAGTGCGGTGGGGAGCACCGCGGGTTCTGGTCTTTCCCACGCTCACGTCCACTGGCCCAGGCCCAAAGGAAATGGCTGTGAGAGCAAGATGTGAAGATAGTTACAAATACCAGCTAGGGCCAGTGACAGTTGCAGAAATGAGGACTTGTAATAGTTAGGAGTATTTCTTCATTATTTTGAGATGAATACATTTGGTTATATATTAACCAATACTTTTCTTGAGAATTCTCATCTTCCATCATCCTCGCTATCATATTCATTAATAGTTAACTTTTAGAAATCTCAATATTTAGGTTACAGGATAGCAAATATGGAATGTGATCTAGCTAAAAAAGGAGTGAACATCATTCAAAGACAAATAAAAGACTTTATCCTGTTGGGGAAAGGGTTGGCATATTTTCACTGAATGAGAAAAAGTATGATTTTCCTATTGTCTTTATTTGAACCTTAAGTATGGCTTTACAAGGAGGAAAAAGGAGGAAGAAGAAGAGAAAGAAGAGGATGAGGAAGAGGAGGAAAAGAGAAGGAGGAGGAGGAAGGTGCACATTGATGCCACTTTGAGAAGAAGTGGACTGTGGTGGATTTGTAATGTATCAGTTTTGCCAAGCTGAATGCACATTTCCCAGATTTGCCATCTTTAGATAGCTCTAGGTTAGCCTGGGCAACAGGAGACACTTGGAAGATAGAATTCAAGTGGCTGTTACACGCTTTTGTATACTGGGAAGGGCGTTGTTACAGCTCAGGCATGATCTTCATCTTCCCTGACCCTTGGACTGGTGGGTGTTTTGCTTCTTGATCTAACATTAAGGTTAGAAGTTGCAGGATCCCAGCTGGGTTTTGTTACATCCAATCTGGTTTAAGTTCCCATATTATTAGGAAAGCTTTAGGGTGCTTCAGGAAAACGCTTTTCAAAAAATCAGATTTGGAAAATATCAAATGGAATTACAGGCAATAAGCATAACCCAGTGGAAACATGAATCAAACCCTCTAGAGCAGGGTTGTCTAAATTTTGGGTTCCTTGGGCCACACTGGGAAAAAAAAAAAAAGACATTTGTCTTGGGCCCAGCATAATATACACTAACTGCAACTGAACCGTGCGTGTAAAGCTTGTAAACAAAATCTGTCTGTAAAGTCTGTAAACAGGCCAGGCGCGGTGGCTCAGGCCTGTAATCCCAACATTTTGGGTGGCCGAGGCGGGCGGATAACTTGAGGTCAGGAGTTTAAGACCAGCCTGGCCAACATGGTAAAACCCTGTCTCTACCAAAAATTCAAAAAATTAGCCGGGCCTAATTTTTTAGTGGCCTGCGCTTGTAATCTCAGTTACTTAGGAGATCGAGTATTCTCTGGCTGAGGCAGGAGAATAGCTTGAAGGCAGGAGGCAGAGGTTGCAGTAAGCCGGGATCCCGCCATGCACTCCAGTGGACTGTTTGCTGTTAATAAATGTTTACAATGGGCTCCCGTAGGGAAAAGAAAAGCTTAGTTTTATTTCTATAGAACAAAAAAAAAAGTTAAGAGATTAGTAGAGACGGGTCCACCATATTTGACCACACTGACATCAAACTCCAGAGCTCGAGCGGTATTAACATAAAGTTATCAATGCATCTCACAGACTACTGAGATTACAAGCGTGAGAACCAACCACTACCTGGCAAAATCTTTACTTTGAAAGTAAGTTACAGATGGGAACAAAGACCTGTTTATTAGTTTATACTAACGCCTTGTATATGCTTCCACAGCAAACAAAATCCACTTTTAAAACGACAACAACCCAGGGAAAAACACAGACACAGTTCCCCACTGCCACAAATTATGTAATCAAGATTCCCACATTCGGGGAAATCACAGGGGTCAGCACATCCACAGTAAAACTGCTAAGCCTTGCTCTGGAAAAACCACCTTCGTGATCATAACATTTCTTCTGCCAGATAAACATAAGTATAAGCTCACGCCCCTCCGCCCCGCCGCAGCCTCATATGCCTCACCCTTTACACGCAAGGTCACTTGCGTCACGCGCATCCAGGAGCCATCCTAGCCCTAACACACAGCTGCGACTCTCCGGTCCGACCAGAGGTCCCAGACTTACTCCCACGGCACGGGAACTCTTTCGTGGCGAAGCAGCAGGTGGCGAAGCAGCAGCCCCTGCGCTGCCTCATCTACATAGAAATCGCCCTCTCCGTGATGTCACCGACAACGCCTTCTGGATCCCCGTCTGCTCTTCCGCCTCACCCAACGCCCCTCAGCGGAGCAACCAGCTGTCGGAGCCGGCGGGAGAAGTGACTTATGCCTGTCCCTTCTTTCTCTCCTGTCCCCGCCCCTCGTCTCCCGCAATGAAGCGAGTATTTAATCTGTGTCCTGTGGAAGTCCCATTTGGCGGCCAGCTGGAAGCCCGTGCACCCTTCTTCAAATAATGGCTTTCAATGAGCAGACTAGAACGTTTAGGATTACAAAGGAAACCGATTCCTTTCAAACTTGGTTATCTTTGTGATGTGGCACTGTGTGCATATCTTCGTTAAAACGCATTGAAGGCCACTGCACTCCACCCTGGGCGACAGGAGGTGACTGTGTCTCGAAAAAACCAAAAACACTCCCCCCTCACCCCAAAGCATTAGACGTCAAGGCTGGCAGGGATGTCTGTTCTCTTGAAAGTTCAATATCAAAATACTTGGAAATTAAACTAAAATAGTAGAAGCAAGAACAAAAATTAAGTTGAAGATAATATCAAGAATATTTCCCACAAACCAAAATAAGAATGTAAAAACAGGAGAGAAAAGTTCAGGAAGATAGACGTCCAAGGTCCATATGATTAGCATGCGTATCAGAAAGAGGATAGAAAAAAATCAGTACAATAATTCAAAACACTTTCCATACCAATGGATTGAAACTACAGTGAATTTAAAGTATTGAATTGATATTGAACTTTCAAGAGAACAGACTTCCCTGCCAGCCTTGATGTCTAATGCTTTGGGGTGAGGGGGGAGTGTTTTTGGTTTTTTTGAGACACAGTCACCTCTTGTCGCCCAGGGTGGAGTGCAGTGGCCTTCAATGCGTTTTAACGAAGATATGCACACAGTGCCACATCACAAAGATAACCAGGTTTGAAAGGAATCGGTTTCCTTTGCAATCCTAAATGTTCTAGTCTGCTCATTGAAAGCCATTATTTGAAGGAGGGTGCACGGGCTTCCAGCTGGCTGCCAAAGGGGACCTCCACAGGACACAGATTAAGTACCCGCTTCATTGCGGGAGATGAGGGGCGGGGACAGGAGGGAAAGAAGAGAGAGGCATAAGTCACTTCCCCGCTGGCTCTGGCAGAGGTTTGGTCCCCTGAGTGCTCCTTTCTTGTAAGCAGTTCTTGTTTCATATTTTCACTATCTCTGACACTATTAACTGTACAATTTTTTTTCTTCTGTACACAAAAAAAGTTTGTTTCAATAGTGAAGTATGAGTCAGGGTGGTGGCTCATGCCTATAATCCCAGCACTTTGGGAGGCCAAGGCGGGCAGTTCACCTGAGGTTAGGAGTTCAAGATCAGCCTGGCCAACATGGTGAAACCCTGTCTCTACTAAAAATACAAAAATTAGCCAGGTGTGGTGGTGGGCACCTGTAATCCCAGCTATTTGGGAGGCTGAGGCAGCAGAATTGCTTGAACGCAGGAGGCGGTGGTTGCAGTGAGCCGAGATTGCACCACTGCACTCCAGCCTGGGCAACAGAGCAAGACTCCATCTCAAAAAAAAAAAAAAAAAAAAGTGATGTATCTTCTACAGTATACTCTTCCAACTTATCAGATTCTGTCATTGACATACGATGTTGCATCAATACTTGTGTAAGGGGTTTAACACTACTACTATATATAATATATGTAATATATTTTATATATATATGTATATATATATATAACACTAAGGTTTATTAAAACAACTCTCAGTAAACAGATGCCCCTGATGTTCCAACAAAATAACCTACTATTATTAGAAACCAAATAAACTCCTCCTCCTATGAGGAAGAAAGTAAACAACTTCTGGCTTGGCGCGGTGGCTCACGCCTGTAATCCCAGCACTTTGGGAGGCTGAAGCGGGTGCTCATGATCACCTGAGTTTAGGAGTTCAAGACCAGCCTGGCCAACATGGTGAAACCCCGTCTCTATTAAAAATACAAAAATTACAGCGCGCCTATAATCCCAGCTACTCGGGAGGCTGAGGCAGGAGAATCACTTGAACCTGGGGGGCAGAGGTTGCAGTGAGCCGAGATCACCCCACTGCACTGCAGCCTGGGCAACAGAGCAAAACTCCGTCTAAAAAAAAAAAAAGTAAACAATTCTGGAACAGTTTGAAAAAGCAATTTAAGTGAAAATGAAACCAAAAAGGGTAAAAAGAAAAAGGAGGGAATTGTAGGAAATAACCTATATGTGATTATCTATTTTCAATTCTAAGTGGCTTGGTATAGGTTTAGGCAGGCTACCTGGAAAGAAAGAAATAAAGAAGCAGAATGTACTGAGCCACCCCCTCCACCTTCCTTCTTTCCCTTTCACCCAGTGGCCAGGCATCTATCGGTGGGGGCTCCCTCATCTACCCCTTCCCCACTCCACAAAGAAATTTAGTTTAAGCTAGCTTGCAACATAGATAATTGTACCCTTTCTTATCAGCTAAGTGCAGCCACTAGAGCTGTAAGTCAAATGTTTGAAAAATCCTGAGAGTCATAATGCATCGTGTGCTGCAATAAAATGCAGCAGAAAGACCCTAAAGAATGTACTTGAAGAACAATCAATAGGTGATGTCTAGGAAGATTGTGGAAGGCTAGTACTCAGCCTATGAGGAACTGAGGGAGGGACCTGTGCACTAGGGCGTAAATTGCTTGTTGAAACTGTGCTGGGTGTGCCTGCATGCCAGACACCCGATCTTGCAAGACCGTCATTAAAAGTCTCACTTTCGCTGTTCTCTGGGTCTCTGAGTTCATTGTTTGGGTTTAGATGGGTGAATTTGTTTCTCACAAATTTGATTGGATTGAAGGATGAGAGTATTGATCCTGGGCGTATCTGTGAGGGTGTTGCCAAAGGAGATTAACATTTGAGTCAATGGGCTGGGGAAAGCAGACCCACCCTAAATCTGGTGGGCACAATATAATCCACTGCCCATGAATATAAAGCAGGCAGAAAAACATGAAAAGGCAAGACTGGCCTATCCTGCCAGCCTACATCTTTCTCCTGTGCTGGATGCTTCCTGCCCTGGAACATCAGACTCCAAGTTCTTCAGTTTTGAGACTTGAACTGACTTTCCTGCTCCTTAAGCTTGCAGGCAGCCTATTGCGGGACATTGTGATTGTGTAAGTTAATACTTAATAAACTCCTGGCTGGGTGTGATGGTTCACACCTGTAATCCCAGCTCTCAGAGATGCAGAGGCGGGAGGATAGCTTGAGCCCAGGAGTTGGAGACCTGCCTGGGCAATATAGCAAGACCCTGTTTTCCACAAAAAGTAAGAAAAAAAAGTAAGTGTAATACTTAATAAACTCCTTTGTATATCTATCCTATTAATTCTGTCTCTCTAGAGAACCCTGACTAATACAGAGTCACATAAAAATATGAGCCTCAGGCCAGGCACAGTGGGTCACGCCTGTAATCCCAGCACTTTGGGAGGCCAAAGCGGGTGGATCCTGATCACCTGAGGTTAGGAGTTCGAGACCAGCCTGACCAACATGGAGAAACCCCGTCTCTACTAAAAATACACAATTAACCAGGTATGGTGGCACATGCCTGTAATCCCAGCTACTCCGAAGACTGAGGCAGGAGAATCACTTGAACCTGGCAGGCAGAGGTTGCGGTGAGCTGAGATCACGCCATTGCACTCCAGCCTGGGCAACAAAAGCAAAACTCTGTCTCAAAAAAAAAAAAAAAGCCTCAAAGAAGGCCGTATGGTTGAAGTTTATATGCAGCACATAAAGGACTAACTAGGCTTGGAGTTCTTAGGGGGTGGTGGCCACAGGTTATGGGAGGTTGAGGGGAGGAAAGACATGGTGAGCAAAGGCTGTGTTGTGATGCAGATGTGATGCAGATGAAGTCTCTCAAGAAGCAGCCCTCCACCAGATGTGGTGGCTCATGCCTGTAATCCCAGCACTTTGGGAGGCTGAGGTGGGCAGATTATTTGAGGTCAGGAGTTCAAGACCAGCCTGGCCAACATGGCAAACCCCATCTCTACTAAAAATACAGGCCGGGCTCGGTGGCTCATGCCTGTAATCCCAGCACTTTGGGAGGCCAAGGCAGGTGGATCATGAGGTCAAGAGATCAAGACCATCCTGGCTAACACAGTGAAACCCCGTCTCTACTAAAAATACAAAAAAATTAGCCAGGCGTGGTGGCGGGCACCTGTAGTCCCAGCTACTAGGGAGGCTGAGGCAGGAGAATGGCATGAACCTGGGAGGCAGAGTTTGCAGTGAGCTGAGATGGCACCACTGCACTCCAGCCTGGGCGAAAGAGCAAGACTCTGTCTAAAATAAATAAATAAATAAATAAGTAATAAATTAATTAATTAACCTGGTGTGGTGGTGGGCACCTGTAATCCCAGCTGCTCGGGAGGCTGAGGCATGAGAATGGCTTGAACCTGGGAGGCAGAGGTTGCAGTGAGCCAAGATTGCACCACTGCACACTCCAGCCTGGGTGTCAGAGTAAGACCCCGTTTCAAAAAAAAAAAGTTTCCTGTCAGACCTTTAAAAGCATGAGATCTTTTGTTTCCTTTTCCTGTGAGTTAATCTTACCTGGATCCAGATAAAGCAGATAAGAAGGTCTCAGAGAAAGCCATTTGCAGTTGATGTTTACTTCCTCTACACATGCTAATCTCCCTGACAAAAGGACAGCTTTTCATAGGTATTTCTGTGACTGTGTTGCCTATTGCACTGCCTACATGACTTACCTGGACCCCTACCCAGATGTTGTTGGCCATTGCAGTGCCTATGTGACATGGCTGAATTCTTACTCACCTTTAACTCTGCTTATTTTTAAGAAACAGGATGTCTGTGGTCAGAAGTTTCTTCTTGGGACTAAACCAGCTGAAGCTGGTGAAATCCATGATGGCAGCTTACGCAACCTCTGAAAAACATCTAGCTTTATTATAATCCAATTTCCATGCTAAATAGCACTCCCATCAGTGCATGACAGTTGACAATCACTGTGACAATGAACGGAAGAGACCAAGAAAGGACAGAAATGAGGTGACTCCTTGATTCTAGGAAAATCTCCATCCCTTACTAAGAAAAGCATGAATATTCCTCACCTTGCTCATTCCCTTCATTAAAGATCCTCTATATTTGTAACTTCCTGGTTCTCAGTAGCTGAGAAGGTGATTTGCAAGCTATACTACTTCTCCAATTCCATGCTATGCTCCTACTTCTCCAATGCCATTGAATAGAGCCTGCACTGCTTGACGCTCACTCTTGGTTTCATACATTGGCTTTGCAATAATAAACAGGAAAGAGTCCCTTTTTGGGGTGAGACCCCTCAGTAACATCTGCAGCCCCTCTAAATAGCCATCTCAAATTATACCAAAGGAGTGTATTTTGGGGTGGCATATTTTGGGCTTCCCACATGGCTAAGCCAACATATAGCATTCTTGCTGAACGCAGGGTGATCAGACATCACCTAGCAGATGGTGAAGGATGAGGAGCCCTATTAGATATTATGAGTGATCAGCTATTGAAGATGGGGAATTCTGGCTAAATTGACTGAGAAGGATTCTTGCTGAGATTGAACAATGCAGAGAGGAACACAGAAGCTCAATAGTTGAGGCCTAGTGAGAAGAGGACTCAGAAGAGCCTGATTAGTTTGGCCAAGGAGATGTCAACCTGAAATAAATGAAAGGTTCAGAATTCAGCGTTAAAATGTTTATTCATTCTGCTTGTGGGAACTAATGGTAAAAATTAAAAAAGAGTTTATTCAAACAAAAATCTGGGAATAGCCAATCAGGGCACACAGACTCCAGAGAAATGGGGTCAGTGCTGCAAAGTCAAAAGTGAAGTTCTTGCTTACATAGAAAGAAAAAAAATTAATAGGATCACAACATTTTCTATATAAGGCTGCTTTAAGAGTTACAACAAATTAATTAGTTGCAGAATTTTTTTTTTTTTTTTTTGTTATTGTTGTTGTTCTGAGATGGAGTCTCACTCTGTTGCTAAGGCTGGAGTGCAATGGCATGATCTTGGCTCACTGCAACCTCTGCCTCTTGGTTTCAAGTGATTCTCCTGTCTCAGCCTCCTGAATATCTGGGATTACAGGTGCCCACCACCATGCCCAGGTAATTTTTTGTATTTTTACTAGAGATGGGATTTCACCATGTGAACCAGGCTGGTCTCAAACTCCTGACCTCAAGTGATCCACCCACCTCAGCCTCCCAAAGTGCTGGGATTACAGGCATGAGCCCCACTGTGCCCAACCTTTTTCTCTTTCCATACTACTTGTTTTCTTTCTTTATAGCTGGCTCACATTTCCTTTCCAATTTAAAGGAGTGTATTTAACATTGCATCTTAAGACAATGCAATAGCCATGAAGTCTTTATGAGAGCAAGGTAAGAAGGAAGTTAATCTATAATGAAAGTCAGCAGTGCAGAGGGAAGCAATCTTCCCTGGCACCCTTCAATAATTTGTATAACATGTTAGAAAACAATGCGTGTGGCTGGGTGCAGTGGCTCATGCCTGTAATCCCAGCACTTTGGGAGGCTGAGGCAGGTGGATCATGAGGTCAGGAGATGGAGACCATCCTGGCTAACATGGTGAAACCCCATCTCTACTAAAATACAAAAAATTACCTGGGCGTGATGGTGTGCGCCTATAGTCCCAGCTACTCGGGAGGCTGAGGCAGGAGAATGGCATGAACCCAGGAGGCCAAGGTTGCAGTGAGCCGAGATCATGCCACTGCACTCCAGCCTGGCCCACAGAGCAAGACTCCATCTCAAAAAAAAACAAACAAACAAACAAAAAAAAAACCAACAATGTATGTAAGGAAGAAGGCCAATCTATAATCAGAGAAACAAAGGTTACAACTGCCTAGTTTACAGGTGCCTCTCATGTGACTTAGGCTCCATACTCACATTTTCTTCTTTTTTTTTTTTTTGAGACAGAGTTTTACTCTTGTTGCCCAGGCTGGAGTGCAATGGTGCAATCTCAGCTCACTGCAACCTCTGCCTCCCAGGTTCAAGTGATTCTCCTGCCTCAGCCTCCCAAGTAGCTGGGATTACAGGCATGCGCCACCACACCTGGTTAATTTTGTATTTTTAGTAGGGATGGGCTTTTTCCATGTTAGTCAGGCTGGTCTCGAACTCCTGATCTCAGGTGATCTGCCTGCCTTGGGCCTCCCAAAGTACTGGGATTACAGGTGTGAGCCATGGTGCCTGGCCCATACTCACATTTTTTTAAGGCTCACAGTAATTTGGAATTCCAACAACTTACATTTTAAATTACTTATTTTCACAGAAAGAATCTTTGTCAGTTGTAACTCGCTTATTTCTCCAAAGACCATAGTCCTGTCCAGTGATCCTCCCCAAGACAATAGCTCTCTCTAGTAACTATAGCTTTCCTTTCCCATTTCAATTTCCACTCCAATTGACTGAATTGTGAACACCAACTCCCACACTTAAATGTTGAAGCCCTAACCCCCAGTGTGATGGTTTATGCAGCTGGGGCCTTTGAGAGGTAATCAGGTTTAAAAGAGGTTATGAGAGTGGGGTCCTCATGCTGAGATTAATGCCATTATAAGAAGAGACACTAGAAAGCTTGCTCATCCGCCTTCCCCATGGTGCACAAAGAAATGGTCACATGGGCACACAGTGAAACTACAGCCACTTACAGGCCGTAGGAAGAGATCTTAGAAAGAAATCCGCTTTGCTAGCACCTTTATCTTGGACTTCCCAACTTCTAGAAGTGTGAGAAACACATTTCTATAGTTTAAGCCACTTGGTATATGGTATTTTGTTATGGCAACCTGAACAGACTTATACAACAATTAAGTCCTAGAGGCAATACAACTTCTCTGCTGATTCCAGATTCTGAGCGCCTCTCAGTCCTTTGTTGGGTTATTTTGATCCTGTCCATATATTTAGAAATATTCTCTTCATAAAACTCTCTGTAGGCTGGGTGCAGTGGCTCATGCCTGCAATCCCAGCACTTTGGGAGGCCGAGGCGGGCAGATCATGAGGTCAAGAGATCGAGACCATCCTGGTCAACACAGTGAAACCCCGTCTCTACTAAAAATACAAAAAATTAGCCAGGTGTGGTGGCGGGTGCCTGTAGTCCCAGCTACTCCAGAGGCTGAGGCAGGAGAATGGCGTGAACCCAGGAGTCGGAGCTTGCAGTGAGCCGAGATCATGCCACTGCACTCCAGCCTGGGGGACAGAGCGAGACTCCATCTCAAAAAAGAAAAAAACCTCTCTTTAAATCACACATTCGAGTGTGCCCTTTGTTTCTCATCAAAGCCAAGACTGATTTGAGATGATTTCTTAAGGTCAGGTTAATGTCCTAATCCAGTTGTGCTGCTATAACAAAATACCACAGAGTGAGTAACTTATAAACAACAAAAATTTATTGCTCACAGTTATGGAGGATGGTCAGTCTAAGATCAAGTTGCCAGCAGGTTCAGTGTCTAGTGAAGGCCCATTCCTCTGTCATCCAGGCTGAAGTGCAGTGTTGCAAGCTTGGGTCACTGCAACCTTCACCTCCCAGGCTCAAGTAATCCTCCCACCTCAGCCTCCTGAGTAGCTGGGCCACAGGTGCTCACCACCATGCCTGGCTAATTTTTTTTTTTTTTTTTTTTTTTTTGGTAGAAATGGGGTTTCACCATGTTTCCCAGGCTGGTCTCAAACTCTTGGACTCAGGCAATCTGTCAGCCTCCTAAAGGAGTGCTGGGATTACAGGCATGAGCCACCGTGCCCACCCCCCAAATTCTACTAATATATGTGCATAATTAAATAGTTACCAGCCATCATTTTCTGATACTTTGGCAATTGGTTGAAAGAGTTTATCTAAAGACCTGGAATCCATAGAAGGCAGTCTCTGTGTTAAGGGGTTGTTCTTATTATGCAGATGAAGCCTCCAGGTAGCAGGCTTCAGAGAGAATTGATTGTAAATGTTTCTTATCAGACTTAAAAAGGTGCCTAGATTAGGGAAAAGACCTGGAAAGGGATTCCCTGTAGCATGTAGACTTTCCCCACAAGAGACAACTTTGTAGGGACATTTCAAAATATGATAACAAATATATTTTAGGGTAAAATATTTTTATTTCTTTCAGGGCCTGCTATCTGTCATGTAATGCTACACTAGAGTCAGGCTGGAATTTGGTGTCTTATTGCTACAAAAAGTCTTAAGATCTCTGTTGTAATGCCAGTTGTGCCTGGTCGGATGTGCTGGTCAGTTGTGCCTGAATTCCAAAGGAAGGAGGGTATAATGAGGCCTATCTGACCCCTACTTCCCATCATGGTCTGAACCAGTTTTTCAGGTTAACTTTGGAATGACCCTGGCTGAGAGGAGGGGTGCATTCAAATAGTTGAGGGGCTTGGAATTTTATTTGTGGTTTACACTATAGAAAGTATTTTTCCAGTATTACCTGGACAATGTGTCTCCCTGTCAGTATCCAGGGAATGGCACCTGGATCAAGCATTTAGTGTTCAGTTGCTACACTCTCACCTAATCCCTCATTTTCAATATTTTGCCATGTTTTCCAGTGACCCAACTGGCCACCATGTCACAGACTTTATGGTCTCCAAGGGAGACCCCTCCGTTTTATGTTTTGTGATTTGAGCAACAGACTGGAATCTACTTGAAATTTGCAAATGGTCTTTGACTTGGGCTTTCCAATTTTGCTCTACTTCACAGTGTTTTCTGGGTTATATACAAGGGAGATGATCCAGTCATTTGTTAAGCGCCTCAAATAAGACATGCCCTAGATGTTTTTTTGTTTGTTTGTTTGTTTTGGGATGGGACATGGAATTTACACCTAAAATAATCAGCGTCTGAAAGGACGTCCCCTCTCTGGATATGGAAAAGGAAGAACTGCAGGAGTTGTATGCAGCTGCCTTGCAATCCCATGGGAAACAATGCTAGCTCACAGGAAGGCAAAAGCTGACTGTTGAAAAGAAACCAAGTCCTCGAAGACATTGTTAGGCCCCAAACCAATCAACCCAGAAACCCATTTACCACTGAATCTAGAGTTAAATAAGCAAGAAAATCCCCTTTTATTTAATCCAGTCTGAGTTGGGTATTCTGTCATTAGCAAATGAAGGCATCCTGACATGTGGGAATATCAAGACACACAAGCTCTTGTGCAGTTTTCCATGCATGGGGACAGTGCCCTGGCATTCCAGAAATCCTGGCTTACTTATCACCACTCTCTAATCAACTGCAAATAACATTTTAAAACTAAGTGCAAAGAGAATGATCAGGAATATCATAAAATCTGCATTTATTTAAAAAAAAAAAAGGAGCTTACAGTGAAGTAGTCTCAAGCAATTGCTTTCTTTTTTTTTTTCTTTTTTTTCTTTTATTATTATACTTTAAGTTTTAGGGTACATGTGCACATTGTGCAGGTTAGTTACATATGTATACATGTGCCATGCTGGTGCGTTGCACCCACTAACTCGTCATCTAGCATTAGGTATATCTCCCAATGCTATCCCTCCCTCCTCCCCCCAACCCACAACAGTCCTCAGAGTGTGATGTTCCCCTTCCTGTGTCCATGTGATCTCATTGTTCAATTCCCACCTATGAGTGAGAATATGTGGTGTTTGGTTTTTTGTTCTTGCGATAGTTTACTGAGAATGATGATTTCCAATTTCATCCATGTCCCTACAAAGGACATGAACTCATCATTTTTTATGGCTGCATAGTATTCCATGGGGTATATGTGCCACATTTTCTTAATCCAGTCTATCATTGTTGGACATTTGGGTTGGTTCCAAGTCTTTGCTATTGTGAATAGTGCCGCAATAAACATACGTGTGCATGTGTCTTTATAGCAGCATGATTTATAGTCCTTTGGGTATATACTTCGCAAAAGAAGACATTTATGCAGCCAAAAAACACATGAAAAAATGCTCATCATCACTGGCCATCAGAGAAATGCAAATCATAACCACAATGAGATACCATCTCACACCGGTTGGAATGGCAATCATTAAAAAGTCAGGAAACAACAGGTTCTGGAGAGGATGTGGAGAAATAGGAACACTTTTACACTGTTGGTGGGACTGTAAACTAGTTCAACCATTGTGGAAGTCAGTGTGGCGATTCCTCAGGGATCTAGAACTAGAAATACCATTTGAGCCAGCCATCCCATTACTGGGTATATACCCAAAGGACTATAAAGCAACTGCTTTCTAAGTGGGATGGCTGAAGCAAGAGACCTTAAATCACTTGACTGTCTTCACAAAACAGAACTGAAGCAGAACCAGAAGTCCCCTGATAGCCTTTCAGGGACACCACCTACAAATACACCGTAATCCCTCATACTCCACACGCCACTTCAGGGAAAGGGACATGAGGCAGGAATACAAATATATACCATCTGTGACACTTCCTAAGCTCCTGGCTTCAGAGTAGCCATCCTGATAATTATTTTTTAAAGTCCACATTATAAATGTGCAAGTTAAGTGAGTTATGGAAATCATTCCAGATACTGGTTCACCAGTAACATCAGTTTAGCCCTAAATATTGTCATAAGTTCTCTGATAGGCTCATGTGATTTAAGCTGGTGCTCTGTCAAGACTAGACTTAGGCGTTTTATCCTTTTTATGACATTATGTATGTTGAAGAGAATATATGAATATATATAAAACCTTCATTATCACATTATTCTCAATCCAGCATTTTCTCAGCCCCTGATTTTCATGTTAGTTCAGCATTCTTACATCTTTACAGATTTTCATCTAAGACTACATTTCTATTGTTTTATATAATCAGCCCCCCTAAGATCAACATGTCCACATTTTTTGGCAAAGACAAAGCCTACTGATTTCAGGATCATTATTTTCCTTTTTCAAAAGCACAAACCCAAACTGAGAAATAAATCAAGAGAAATTCTCCTTTTTTCTATGCTAATTTAGAAGTAGAGTCTTTATTTCTTTTCAAACCCAAAGAGAATCAGACATACAATATGAATTTATCTACTTTCGCTTGCTCAGACTGAGAGGAAAGATTAATATTTTCAGGCTGTTAGTCAAAACTGTTCATTCAAATATTATTTAATAAAATCCAAGAACCAGCTAAAAAGTCGCTTAAGCTAAGAAACCTTCACCAGCCTCATGGGAAATTGTGTACAGTTTTCCACTAGAATAGCCTATAAATGCTTACTGAAAATGTCTAAGTTCATATCTTGGTAACTAACATTTTAATTCAATCTGCAGAATAATATATGCTTCTTTAGTGCTAAGATATGAATATTAGAGGCATTCTTTCTTAAAATTTCTATTTAGTTATACTTTCACAAATAACTATATAATATTAAAATTCTGCATGTGGCATAAAACATATTTTAATGGAGAAGGTAATGTGTAGGGAGTTTATTTCTGTTTGCTATTAGAACTTGTGTTTATTCTTGGTTAAAAAAACTGCAGATTACAACATAGAAAAAAACAAAAGTATGTTGTATATCTCTTACAGTAGAAGATAAAGAGTAGTTCTAAATTTAGAAAGGAAAAATAAATATACACAGTGAAAATATGTGTCAGTGAGATGTTAATCAAAGATCAACTATTGCTGAGACCAGCAATATTAAATCCCTGCACAATTACTCATATTATAATGAGAATTTTAAAAAGAAAATATGAACACATAACATAATGAAGGCAGAAGTCACTCTCATCCTTCATCTTTGTATTCCCAATTCAGGAAGCTGGTATAGTATCTTCATTATAATTACTATTCAACAAACATTTGTAAAATGAATGAATAAGGAATGAATGATGAGAAAAATGATAAACATCTCCCTCTGTCTCCTGGGAGTTAACTGCACTACTTTCTTTTAAATTTAATTAATCCTCAATGTCCTTGTAAAATAGCCAAAGGGAAAATGTATTTACATTACTCTAAATATTGATGCAATCTACAAAAAGTGTTAAACAACTTCCTCAAAGTAAATAAAATGTTCACAATCCAGCTAGGATAAAAGGATTTAAATCATTTCCTAGGTAGAGGGCTTTCAATTAGAGCCCCTGCTGCATTAACCATGGGAACTCATCTCACTCTCTTCATGATGGAGCCCTGAGTGTTGCTGCTAATCTGTACTCTACCATTCTAATGCTTTTAAGGTTCCTTTTCAGCCCTTCCTCCTCGTAATCCACAAATACTGAGACCAAGGCATTTTTTGGGTCAGTCCTAATTTCAAGCATTCTATCCTGCCCTCCCCAAATGAACTCACACTTATTAGACCATATGTTCCTATATTAGTTCAGGAAGGGGGAAAAAATGTTAATCACACTTGTATATAAGAGATCATAGAAAAACAGTTTACTAACCTGTGAAAATACCATTCATTCTCTGTTTACCTCTGGTCCACAGCTAAGCAATCAGCAGGATATAAATGTACCCTATGTTCACTATTCAGTATTCATAAGTATACTACTTATGAATTGGAAATCTGACACAACATTTACATGACCTAATTTTGAAAATTTAAAATAGTGTAAGGCCCCTAGGCTTAATTTTACAGGGGAAAGATTAAAGGGACACAAGCAAACATATATTCTCTCTCTGTGCTGTGGGACACTGGTAATTTTTTGACTTAAAATATTTGATACTTAAAATGCCAAACTTCTACATTTCTGCAGTAACAAGGCAGTTATCATATTGAATACCATTTCTTTCTCTCCAGTAAGTAGAGTTAATATTAGCACATGAACTGAAAATATTAAGTGATTATAAAAACGTCCAAATAAATTCATTAAAATTTAGCTTGGCAAAATGTTAGTTTCATGTTCTTGGTAGAAGTCCTTTTATATTTATATTCAAATGAAATGAACAATTTACAAGCAAAGGAAATGGCATCAAATATTTCACACCCTGCCTCCCAAGGTGTATTGATTCATGCTTTTTGCTCAGATCTAGGTTTCTCCACTCAGGAAAAGAGGAGAATGTACCCATACTTGGGAAAACAAGTTTCCGATGGCACAGCTTTGATCAAACAGCAAAATTCTATCCATCTATGTATTGCCATCTGACAGTATGACAAATGGTCCCATGTGCGATATTCACACTGCATTGCAGTCAAACCTGTAAGTCAAAGGATATGAAATAATAGTAACTATACATTAAGCACAGAAGAAAATGAAACAAACAAAAAGGTTTTAAACCAACCAAAAATATGTCTTATTTTGGATGTTCTATATGTTCTTACATTCTCTCAGGTCTTTTGTGTCATTATGAACACAATTCTAACAAGCTTGATTATTTTATTTCCATTCACATATTACAGGCAACAAGCTGAAAAAGTAGAACGGGGTGTAGAGAGACAGGACAAAGTACAGATTAGGGCTTGAAGTGCCCCTGACCAGTCGACAGCAACCACATGGAATAATGACTCATGTGCATTAATGATCACACTAAATGATATTTGTTTTTTTACCTAGTCCTTCAACTGACAGCTTAAAGAACTTCAGGTTGTTCTGATTCTTGAGCCTCCTCTACAGCTTCAGAGAGGACTTTCATTTTATTTTGGATCAAATGCTCCACAACTAGTTGAAACTGGAATTAAATTTTATATGAAGTTCCTAGATGATTTAAAGCTGTAAGAAGAAGAATAATGAATCATAAGAAAACTTGCTGCTACAGATATCAAAAAGGAATGTTACCATCCCTCATGCTAATCCTTTTCATTTTAAATAAACAGGATCTAAAAAAAATAATGCTGGGAAGTCCTAACCACATCAAGAATGCCTCAGATCAGTGACCCAGGGAACCTTCCAGAATGGATGAAATAGACCCAAAGCTGAATTCACCTAATTTTAGGGCCAAAAACCCAAAAAACAAAACAAGACCAAAAAAATCTTCAGATACTGGGAGAACAAATCTCAATTGCTCAATTGTATCTTATGAAAACAATTTTTCAAAATAAAACAAGAGATATTTAAGATTCATTAAGTTCTTGTCATTTCAAATTTTAAGAAAAATATTTTCTAATGGAATTACATATATTTATATGATTCTTCTAGTTATATCCATGGTAATAAATACTCTTTTCAGTTGGAAATAAAACCCATTTGTGCTATATTATTAGGGAAAATATCTACATAAATTAGTTTTTAATTTAACTAAAGTCTATCTTTTGAATTCATAAGCATAAAATTTTAACCACTTGCAAAATTTATAACACACTTAAGGTAGTCAGATGCCTTGTCAAGTAGTTTAACAAAAGTGATTTTCACCTGTTTGTTTTAATAACAGTGCATCGATTTTATGAAAATCAGGCATGCCCTCGGGTCCTAACAAAGTATACGAAGCTGAATGGATCTATGCCAAATATGCCAGATTTTACTTTCTGAGTCTGATTTTATACTTCTGTCCTCTTTCTTACCACATGGCTTCCAGTATCACTTACAGACTAACCCTTCAAAAGGAGAAGGCTAAGTTACTAACATTTGGAAGGCTTATGAAAGTGAAGCATAGTTATGAGCCAGCAATGTTTTTATTTAGGGAATGTGTGCAAACCATACACTTAAGCAAGCTCTGGGGAATGAGAGTTGGGGGGAATCAACTCTTTTATTTGCTAATTGGTATTTCCTTTAAAAGATAGAGTTCTTCCAGATTTTAACTGTGTTAATAGTTACTCTAGAAAAATTGGAGATTTGTGTGCATATATTTTATGTTGTAAACAGACACATACCCAGAGACACTGAGAGAGACAGACAGACAGTAAACAGAGGAGCACTAACCACAAACGGTTTACAAATGACCTCTGTGCTCATTCACCTGTCTGTTCCCCACCTTGCCTTTTATAGCAACTATAGCAACAGCCATGAGAGTCATTGTGGAAAGAAATAAAATAAAATTAAAAAATCCTGGAAGCTTGTAAAGAATGTGAGCAAAGGGGAGGAAGTTGTGAAAAAAATGAATAAAGGGCACCGATCCAGAGTATTGAAGAAGGCAGAGTGGAGAGCCTAGTAATGAGTATCTGGTACCCCAGTATCCTCTCCCACAGAATCTGTACAGCTCTCCGTTTATGACAGTTTAAACTTAATTTAAATTATCAAACAGACACTTTCCTCAAACATATAAATGATGAGGCAGTTCATTCAGGCTGTATGTATAAAGTTGTTCCAGCCACCTTTTTCTAATGGCTTCTCTATATCTTTTACATGGAGACAATGAGAGATTTGCTTAGGACAATTTGACTGTAATTTAGAAGTAGGAAATGGGAAGTATTTGTATCTTCTTTGCCTAACTCACATTAGTTACTCAAGTAAGCATTTCTTCCGTTATTGCATTTTCCTGATTACAAGTTTTATGTTTTCTCTAAAACACATATCAAAAGAAATGTCCTAAGCACTATGCAGGGGGAAGCCATGACATTTATCCACCACTGTCAGCAAAAACATGAACTTAGCCCTCAACAGAATATTTCACTTCATTCTAGTGTCACCTCTGCGTCACCTGCACTGGAGTCACCACTTGCCTGTTGGGTAAGACCAGGATGCACCGCTGAAATAAAAAGGGGTCAGACAATACAAGAAAAGCCAGTAGAAATTGCCAAATGTATCAGAATACACACAGGCTTTCTAAGGATATGGCCCAAGAGGAAGGCTCTAGAGCCCACCCTGAAACAGGATTTTTGACTTCACAGATAAATTATTTAATTTTCAATAACACAATTCAATTAAAGAAAGGGAAATACAAGGCTAAACAAATAAGAAATGAAGACAAAAACCCAACCTTTCAAATCTAAAGAAAATAATCTGTTTTAAAGACACAGATGAAGATCAGGAACCCAAAACAGAAGAAAGGAAAGGCAATTAACGCTGGCATCTGATAACAACGAAAAGTATGGAGTCTGGAGAATCGCTAGACTCTAAAAATTATAAAGGTTTAGACTTGGACTTTGTACACTGAAGAAAAGAAAACTGCATGCATTTATACTGACCAATGTACACTATTGCTGCTTTTTAACTTTTGTGTATATGTAGGGTAGATTTTTTTTTAAGTGAAAGCAAGCTTATTAAGAAAGTAAAAGAATAAAAAGGTGGCTTCTCCATAGGCAGAAAACTAGCGTAGTTTTTTTATTAGAAATTGTTATTCAATAATAGTACATGTTACAAATAAATACCATTTTAAACTGAAAAAATTGTAGACTTTCAAATCAGTTAGGGTGGTCACCCTAAAAAAGGGCATTTTTTCCCCTTAGTCTCCTTGTTCATGTTGCTCACAACAAGAAATGGGCTAATGCTATGAATAATAATAACAAACACTGCCTTCTGTCAGGCCCTGTGCTGAATACCGTCTGCATATGTATAGGAAAGGGTTAACTCAGCAGGTCTTGTTTGCCCAGACTCTGTACATTTCCAAGAAAGGTCTGCCTTTAGGACTGGTCCTTGGCCAGCTCCTGGAGAATGAGCTCTCAGCTTTTAGAAAATTCTATCTGCTAAGAATAGTTTTGCATGTCTCAGGTCTTGGGCCACAAAATATCAGTTTAATCAGATGGTTTATGTTAACAAGTATGATTTATGGCAAACATAGATCTCTAATCTCCATTTCTCTCTCATATATCTATATTTATCTATCCATATATATGTACCTATATATATCAAATATGAAGATATGTTTATAGCAATTGCATATAAATAGAGAGATAGTATGTAGTAGGAAGAGAGACATAGATATTATTCTTCATTTTAGAATGTTATCTTGGTATGTTTAAAAGGAAAAACTTAAGATGTGTTGCAATTGCAGTATGAGTTTCAGGTATGTACATGTTATGTGTGTGTGTGAGAGACACACACAAACACATTTCAAACATGTTTTATGTTTAAGCTCAATATTCAAACACAGAAATATAACATCTATTCTTAATATGTTTTATGTAAGTACAGCAGCAGCATTATTAAATACTGTATTTCTATGGTGATTGAAAATTAGTAGGCAGAGAATTTTTGTAATGGTTCTTAATAATTTTTGTAATAGTAAATGATTACTTTTTGTTTAGTATAGTTTTATAATCTATACATGAATAAAGTGGATATTTCTATTCATATAGAAATGTGATTTACTCTCATGTACTTATCTACATGCTAAAACCATAAGTTATCAATTTTAGTTCTGTGCCAAGGCACTTTTACTGAATAAAAATAATCAGCTAATTTTATATTTTCCTGATTCAAATTTATATGCCCGTGTAATGTTCCGGGGTTTTTTTTTTTAATTTCTGTAAATCAGAATATTCAGATGTTGAAAAAGTCTTTGCCTTCAGATTTAAAAGATACCTTTGAAATGTAGCATATCCCAAAATGCAACCCAGAGGCTGGCAATGTCAACATTTTTCTGTTTTAAAAAACCTCTTATGAAAACTATTGCCATACTAAATTTTTTACTTGCTGATGACTTACAGCTGGAAAGGATTCTGTACATATAAGACATCAAATATTGAGGATACTGGAACTTTTAAATTAATGGCAAAGAAAGTCAACAAAGGAAGTTCATATGAAATCAAACTAGTAATATGATTACAAAAAAAAAAGTTTAAAATTTTTCTTGGCCCCAGTCTTATCATTTCTGAGCCAAATACAATTCTATCGAAATCACCTGAAACTGAAATCACCATTCTAGGCTGGTTTTCCCATAAAGATGGACTGCTCCAAAAAGAGGAATCAAGAAAGAATTTGGCTCACAGTGAATTATTCACTTTGTCTTAGTTAAGTAAAAATAAAATCTGACTGTTAACTACAGAAATCATTTCAAATTCTGTGGTGATAATAAAGTAATGACCACTTTTCAGCTGGAGGGACTAACTTCTTTTTTTTTTTTGCTGCATATATAGCTGTGGTACATTTTAATGTGAAATGATGACTGCATCAGCTTATATCCATGGAGCAGATTTTAGCATTCAGCTTGGGTCTCCCAGTCAATATCTACGAGTCTCTTCTTAAGGAGATCGATGACACAGATACATACAGACTAACAAATGTGATACCAATAATCAAGAATTCACTCAGTTAAGATTTTGCCCACTGATTTCCACACAAGAAACCTAGAATTTACTAGATTCTTGTGCCTGTGAGGCTCCACTCATTTCCCTGAATCACAAAAGCTACAGAGTATTTAGATAGAAATATACCTACTCTTAACATGAACCATTTTAAATATATGTATTACTGTGTCCACAGGAGTACACTTTAAAGCAGGGACTTCACTCTTCAATCTCTCCAATCACGTGTTACCTAAAGTGGCATGTGGTTCCCTAAAGCTTAATAACTGACATTGCCTTAAAAAAGGGGTTTGCTTCCCGACTAATGTGGAAAAAGTCTGAAAAATGATTTTAAATCTTTCACTAAATTTCTCATTTGGTCACGTGGAGGAAAATGATTTCACCAAATAGATACTCTCATTAATTTTTTAATGTAATTTATCAAAGAAATGAAATATTTAGATAAATTCCAGATTTCCCCCACCATGAGCTTCTCCGAAAGTATACTCCATCACAGACTGCTCACTAAGAAGCTCTACTGCAGTCAAAGTGACCGAATTTAAGGGGACATAATGACTACTTCTGCTACACAGAAACATTATCCATCTCTAACACTTCCCTATGAGATGGAAGACGGACTTCTAATCAGGTACCAGAGAGGGCTCTGCCAACTTCAGGGCTTTGATGAATAAGAATGGTTGAGAGCGCTCATCATAAATGAATTCAGTATAACTGAGTGAGAAAGTGAGAGAACCAGAGAAATAAATCCTCATGTAGAAAATTTAGGGGTATGAAATGCCAAATGCCAGTTAACCAAAGCTTTCTTTGTCATAAAGCAACTTCTATAAAAATTGCTGAAAATAAATTCTTCATGGCTCAATGTGAATCAGTAATTTCCATCTCTATTACACTGTTGTTTACCCAAAAACTATTTTTAATGACTAAGACTCAGAGTTTGCCAGAGTGTTTTCCACAAAACAACTGTTTTGAGATACTCCAGATCTGTAATCAAGTAAGTCTGAAAAACCCCAAATACCTCACTCACCTCTTGGATATGCATAAAGCACACTAATATATAACGTTCTAAAAAGCCAATCATTAAAACCGTTTTATATTGTTTAAGCATTTCCTAGACATATTTGGCTACAAATCTAACATCTAATTAAACAGTTTGGGAAATGCCATCACATAATGTAGGAATATTACTAGTCATTTAAGAAACTAGAAAATATTTACTATATTCTAGGCAGTTGGCTAGCAGTTGGAGTTCTAGTCTCTAAACAAAATACTGACTTATTTCTGTGACTTTTTTCTTTTAAGCAGCTCTGTGCTTCACAATTTTTTTTTCCTGGTTTGTTTTCCACTTTTGTCTGTACTTTATTCCTTCACAGATGTGAAAGGCTAACAAATGTAAACTAGTTATATGAATCAGCCTCTGCCTCAGTTCTACACTTCAAATACAGTATATACTCTATCAACAATTCTTGGATAATAACAACCTGTACTTGTTTTACAAACAATAAAACAGGCCGGGCACCGTGGCTGGCTCACGCCCATAATCCCAACACTTTGGGAGACCGAGGTGGGCCGATCACCTGAGGCCAATATGGTGAATTCTCGTCTCGACTAAAAATACAAAATAATTAGCTGGCCGTGGTGGTGTGTGCCTGTAATCCCAGTTACTTGAGAGACTGAGACAAGAGAATCGCTTGAACCCAGGGGGCAGAGGTTGCAGTGAGCCAAGATCTCACCAACTGCACTCCAGCCTGGGCAACAAGAGCGAAAACTCCATCTTAAAAATAAAATAAATAATAAAACAATGATGAAAACACAACTAACTACAGCACTTCAGAGTTAGTTGACAAATCCACCTTTTCAATCTACATTTCAAAATGTTCAGAAAGACACCATCCTAGGGGAAGTCAACCAGCAGCAACCTCTCTGCTAATTTTTGTACACAGAAACTTGACCTGACTGCACAAAAGTTTCAATAGATGTCTCCCTCTAAAATTAATATTGAATGATTTGTCATCTTCCATTTAATACCAAAAGGGTATCAGCCACAAACTGAAATATCACTCATATGCAAATAAATAACATTCAAGACTTTTGTCGTTGTGGTTATTAATCTTGTAATGGATGGACATAAATCTATTCACATTCTCATCCTATCCTCAAATTTCACTATTCTCTCCTCTCATTCTTACTTTGTTCTACTCATATTCTCACTCTATCCTCCTATGCATAAAATATTATGTATCCTAATGAACAGAGATACCATTCGTGGGCAAGGAAAAAACACAATGAACTGCTCTTTATAATAAAAACCATGATCTTGACACAGATGTTATCAATCAATAAACTTTACACAGCTTTACACTAAATTAATACAAACTGCTGATGAGTGGGTGGGGGGTGGTCACTAAGCAAACAGAAGCATGTAGGTGTTAGGAAGCATGAGAAACATATATCAGTGGGTAGGGAAGGCAGCTCTCAAAGGCCAAGAATATAAGTTTTAGGTCTATATGGAAAAAGCTGTGGTCACATTCGAAGGCTTCTGAACAGAAGAATGATTAATTTCATGCTTAAAGAGTTCAGGTGTAAATAAACTGGATGGGTAAGAAACTCAAAATCAAGAATTTTAAGACACTGGGTTAAGGTGATTGAGCTAAGTCAAAGCCAACAGGGCATGGGCTAAATATTGACATGGGATGGGATGAAGAGGCCAACAATGTTTCAAAGCAGAGGTTGCCGGAGCTTCAGGAACCAGAAGAGGAAGACTTGAGGTGAAATCTGAAACAGCAATCCCCATACCTGTCTCAAAAGATGTGATACTGACTAGGAAAAGGCTGGAGAGAGAAGCTTCTTTTAAAGAGGTAATAAGGGATTGTTTTGATGTGCTGGGTTGAGGTGAAAATGACAAATATTCAGGTGGAAGTGTCCAGCATTCAAGTAGGATAACTTGGAACAGAAAGCCCAAATTATGTCATGGTGAAATGAGGATAATGTCTTATTAATAAAAACACGTCTTACTAGTCTTTCCTGGGGAACATGAAAGATAGAATTTCAGAAATTTAGAGAATGAAAAAGGAAAGATTACAAGGCAATAAGTTGATTAAAATAGACTAAACTAATCAGTGGCAGCTATCTTAAAGCAAGATATATCTTCTACAGCACGATCTACCCAAATGCAAATCTGGGCAGAGAAATACAAAATATTTTTAGGACTGACAAAATTTCAGCTATATGTCTTTTTAAAAATGCTGCAGAGAGAAATTTAGATGGATTGGACAAATATTTGCATAAGGATTCCACAGCCAACGTACACAATTTTCCAACTACTATGGTTAGCACTGGGCTCAGGCACTACCTTTGCCAACCAGCAGATTTTCAGTATTGCCCCTGGCAGACATCCCATTAGCAATCTCTCCCCATTCCCAAACATTCCCAACTATTCTAGTCATGCCAATTCAACCAATGTCCCTTAAGCCTTACATAAACATTGACTTACACCGAAATGTATCCTATGGCTCTTACTAACTGTAACTTACTTAAATCACCCAAGCCTCTGTTTTCCCTGCTATAAAATGTAAAATAGCTGACAAAATACCTATTTGTATTTTTTGGAAACACGGGATAAAGCAAGGCAAGCAAAAAGAACAGCAGAGACAATGCTTAATAAATATCCTAGTAGGATCACCTTAATCCATGAAGAAAATGGAGTTTAATTTTTTTAATACAAAAAAACTCAATGAAGTTATACTTACGTTAAATTGGTGGTTATTTTAGGTCAGTGGTTTTAAAACTCAACAATGAAACTGTTTTCAAAAAGAGTTGTTATACAGAACAGAAAAAAGCAGCCACAATTTTAAAAAAGATATGAAGACCCAGATTCTCACTAACTCATTCAGCTCCCTTCATACTCCCTCCCCACAGCCACCCCAGCTCCTGAGGCAGGTTCCCAGGGCTCCAAGGAACATACTTTTAAAAAATCAGTATTTTGAATACATAATAAGTGATGTAACTTAAAAGTATGGTGAGAAAGTCCCATTGCCAAGAGAAACATGTTAATTTTTTATTTAAAAAATCATCACTCTTTTCATTGTGACATCTTGAAGAACGCTGAATGGCTTCAAAATAACTGCATATGCCAAGATTTCTGGAGTGGGCACGTTTGATCTTCTTTCATAATGAAAACTGACAAACATTTTTAAGGGCATAGTATTGTTTCTTCACTCTCCCCCCTCCTCACCCCTGCACACACATACATTTCTCCTTCCTGGGGAACTCCAAAGAAAACAAAGGCCCTTTAGCAATCAAGTAGATTGTCTCTCTTGATGGCATCCCATGAGTTATGGAATTACATACTGCAGGCCCAGGTGGATTAGGGCCCCTAGAAAGTTTGCTTGATCAACAGAGTGCTGTTGATTTTTTCAACTGAATTAATTACTCTTGGAGTCCAAACTCTCCAGTGTGCCACAGTCCTCATCACTTCCTGTATCTTAAATATTGCATTATCTGTCCCCTAAAAGTATTTGAACATGTGACCCAGAGAAGAGGACTTACAACTTGACTAGGCAACTTCTGTCACACTGGATTCATATGAAATTCCACTGCAAGTGACATCACCAGATTGGGGACCCTGAAGTGTTTGAGTATCTTCTCCACATCTGGTCATTTAGGCTAAGAAATTCCTTCTTGTCTACCAGGTCTTTTAGCATTCATTTTGTAAGTCATTCAACACCTACTTACTGAGAAGGAATACTGGGCTAGACAGTGTGCTAGGGGCTGGGGAAACCGCAATGCATAGGAGAGAATTCCCATCTCCAAGAGGCTCACAGTCAAACAGACATAAATAGGTGATTACAATATACACTAACAACATAGTTTTAGAAACAACTAGCAGAATTATATAGACGAAGATGCCAGGAAAGGCTTCTCAGAGAATCTGGCTTGGCAAATATCTCAACAAAGAGGGCTGAGCAGGGATGAGCCGAAGGAGAGGATGGAAAGTAGGTTGTGGGTGAGTTTTCCAGGCAGCATGTGCAAAGGTCCAGGAGAAAGAGGAAGGAGCCTGTACTTGGAGGAATATTCGATTACTATTATCAGTGTCACACTTGCTATTCATCTAGACAGAAGCTCCTGAAACAAAAAGGATACACTTCAAAAGATGCCAATATATCCATGACCACACAAAAGAGTGTCTAGTCATATAATAAAGGGTGTACATATGCAGGCAACTCACATCCTGCCAAATATTAAATTTCTAATTTTATTATAATTTCTAATAAAACATTAGATTTATTATTATACAGAGTCATACTCCTTGATTGGGAAACTCTCAACTCAATAAACATTCTTTAGTCTCATGTCTTTTCTAAAGGAAAGAAATTAATGTTATATTCTTGGGTGAAAAAAATGTGAGGTCTCAAAAGAGTATAATACAATTTGGGGATGCATATATATTTTACATGTATATAGACACATAAAAATCTAAAAGCATAAATTTTAATATGTTAACAGAAGACAGAAGTCATGTATTTTTTACTTTCTTCTTTTTGGCATATCTCTTTTTCTAACTTTTTTTTTTCTTTTTACAAAAAACAATTGTTATTTGTGTACTTTTAAAACCTCACAGTAATATTTTCACACTACCTTCTTGGCTGAAAGTTCACACTCGGAATTCCAGAGCAGTCCATGGCCAGGCCCACTGGGCTCCCCTTGCTCTCTCCTTGGCTTTGGTAACCACTGGCCCCAGGGACTCAGCCTGCTTTCCTATCCATCCCCTCAGTAGCTGTCACCATGCAGGTTACCCCTTCTGTTTCTTCTACCACTAACTCCATGTCTGACTGCAAGTGAAAGGAACAGAAGCCCAAACCTTTGGGTTTTAAGGAGTTTATTGCTAATCTGTAAAACAGAAAGAGACAGGAGATAAGCATGACAAAATATAGGGAAGAAATGACTTTTGCCTAAACTTCCCAATTGTGTACAATTGAAGCCTCTGCTTTATAGCTCTTAGCACACCTCTCAAATAAGAAGGCAGTACTGGGAAGGCTCTGAACCTGTGGCAGAACCACTGATAGCTGTGGAGCTATTCCAAGGAGTCTGGGAATCAGGGGGATTATCAAGATCATTGTTAGAATAAATTAATCTTACTGTATATATAGCAGAAGTTTTCAAGCATATGTAAATGCTACTAATAACCAAATAATTACACCTTGTTTTTCTTTAAACTGTAACTCTCAAGTATGTCTCTACATAATTTTTTGATTGGTAGTGTCTGCATGCTCAAAAAGCTTGAAAACACTACTGGAGAAGAAGGTCTCGGGAGTGTGATGAAATACGTTTACATGGCAGCTTCATCATTTAATTGGTGAAAGTGACTATGTGTCTTAAACTCTCTGAGCCTCAGTTTGCACATCCAAAAGCAAGGATATAATTCCATGAACCTTTCCACCTCAAGTCCACAAGGCAGAATAGCAAGATGTTAACTGCCACTCTGAGGACCACCAAATAAAAGGACAATTTATTAGGCCACTTGCCAGCATGGACACAATCGACTCTTGGCATTTCTTATTATCCACAGAAAAATTAAAAGTATAAATATAGAACAAAATTATCGTGTTTTTTTTAATAGTAACATGTAAGATCAATCTTTGTCTTTAAAATACCGTGTATCTCATTCTCGGAAAGCGTCAAAATGAAAATGGTATAGTAAGTTTTATCTACAACTTGAATTAAAATTATTCTTGAAATATGTTCTGAATGGTTAGATGAAATGGTAATTAAATACAAATAGAGATAATCATATACTCTCTCTCCATAAGGCTCCCACCTCCTTCAATGAAGTCTAGTTCACCTAAAATGACACTATTAACATTAATTCAATATTATAAGTTGATAAGCACATTAAATCAAAACACAGCAAGATTATTTTAAGAGTCTGACTGAAATGTCAGGATGAGAAATAGATTAATAAATATTGGCTTCTAATGTCGGTAATGAAAACAAACACGTTATTTTCAGAAAATAAAAGGTCTTCGTCATTAGGTACAAATCATAAAGGGATTATCTACGGTTACTACACTGTAACAACTTTTTACATATTGTATTATAGAACAAGCTTTTGAGAAGACAAAGCAACACATCAGCAGTTTAACCAATTGTCTTTCTCTTTTAACAGGCTGGTCTACATTAGATTAGATATAAAAGGCCCAGGTATTACTTGTGTTCGATCTTAGCCACATGGCTGAGAAACATCCAGGTACATTTAAATCAGTGACAAAAGAAAACATTATCCCTTAGTAAAATTACATAAAATAGGAAACATCTCTTACTTTAAGAGCAACGATGGTACTTGTTCCTATGGTGAAAACTGATGTTATCTCGATTAGTTAATTATTCATCCCAACACCTGGTCTTGCTTCCTTTTCCACCTCTAGCTATGTTAACACTAGAGTTCAGTAATTTGTTGATAAAGAATCTTAACTGCAGTATCTAACAGATCTTAGTGATTAAGCATATGACTTACCCTTTGTACAGATAAGTAAACTGAGGCCAAAAGAACTGAGGTATCTTATTAAAAATCAGAGAGCTAGTTAGTTGAAAAGTCCACCTGTCCTTCCTTTCCACATGTCTCACCAGAAAAACAGCAATGGTGAAAAGTCAACTCTGTTTTTAATGGGCCACTTTGTATATTTTAACTGTTAAAATAATCCAAGAAGATAGTAGTCATATACGAAGATCCTTTAGATATAATGTGTAGGACCAGCATTAATTTAATCAACCAAGTCTCCTCTCATTGAATTGTTAATTCATAATTACAAAGATGACATTACAGTAAATTAAGAAATACTGTAATTTCATTCTCTCCAAAAAGTATACATTGAAGTTTGGTGAATACTGTTATATTTTCAACTAGTAAATCAGTGTGCCAATTCTGGGTCTTAGGCATATTGTATATACTGGAATGATATTCACTTTAATTAAATTTGTTTTGAGATGTAGAATGTAATACAGATCCTACGTGTTTTTAAAAGTTCACATCAATTTCAAGCTTTTAAAAATGTATGTACACAAGAAAGCTTCTTTTGCAATTTATATGTTTACAAATGTTGCCATTAGCTAAGCTATATTTTGGAATGTGATCAAACAATATTGAATGTCAAGTCTTAACAGCAGGGCTGGTCTAAGGAATTCCCTCTAAGCTAAATCTGATCCTTTCATATGTGGCTACTGCTCTTTTAAACTACTGTATCCCTAAAGGGCTAAAAGGAAGAAAATCCTAACTTAATAAGTGAAGGCAGCAAGGCATAGTATTTGAATGGCTACCTTTCATTTTAACTCTACTTCTTAAATTCACAATTGGATTTGGGTTTGTTTCAAGTTGTTCACAATTTACTAACGAAATGTGCATCTCTCATTCTTCCCCCAAAAGAAAGAAGTCATCCACTCCAGCTACATATAAGTCTCCAATTTCTGTCTTACAACTAAACGTGAAAACCGAAATACCACTCATTGAAAAAAAAAATATACAGAGAATTGGCAGGCTGCATGTTTATGTGAACCTTCAGAAAACATGGAAACACGCAGCCCCAACTCACCAGGAAAATCAACACTTGTGATCAAACTATTTTGTGACATTTTATGTCTTTTATACATTTCACTTCATATCCAGTATTCCAGTTTTGCACCGGCTTGCCTGTATCAACCCCAAATCGCCTGAGAGCAATCTAGTACTGTAGCAGAACCGTTTCAACATGAAGAGTTCTGCTCATCGCCTGTGGCGTGGTCTTCGAAACACCTGAATCAAACATTGATTCCCCTCCCCCTGCTATTTAAAACCGAGGGACGTCAGGCTTGGGTTGTAGGTAAAGAAAAGCCACAGTAATCAAACAAGCAACCAAAATACCCGAACACGGAACACGCTAAGAACAAAGGAAACACAAGAGTGTGAACAGGAAATGAAGCAACTCTACACCCATAAATACCTTCTGGGGCCGCCAACATAGGTAAAAGTAAAGGTGGAGTCTGAGTATCTGAAATCTGAAACAGAAAGTCCTGTCAAAAGCTACCCCTGGAGTGGATTTGTTTTAACCCCGATCAGGACTTGGGCGCTCCATTTGGTGGAGTCAGGGGAGGCCTGGCCGGGCGGGTGGCGAGGGCTAGAGGGCGGCGAGGTCTCTCCGCGCAGCGTCCCAGGGGATGCGGCGCGCCCCCGACTGGGTGCAGCGGCAGGCCGCCCCCGGCAGCAAGTGCCGGGTGCCATGGCAACGGCGGGAATTTCCCAGTCGGGGCGGCCGGAAGCAGCCCCAGCCGGGCTCGCGGCAGCGAAAGCAAAATCCGATCTCTCTCCCGGGGGAGCAAAATGGACGAAAGGCGACCCCCCAGGCAGGGGCGCTGGGTGCCTTGGGAATCCGAGGAATCCCTTCTCTTTGCCAGTCGGAGGGGACTAGATGGAGCCGAAGGGGCCGGAGATGGGCCGAGCGCTGCCCCCCGGGGGTCCTCGGCGCCGGACGCAGCTTACGAGCGCAACGCAGCAGGCTCCATTCCCGGCCGCCGCCGCTCAGCCCATTACGCAAACCTGGCGGGTCCAACCAACCCCGCTCTGCCGCCGCTGCTGGAACCCATGAGGCGTGCTTGCAGGCTTCGGGCACTACGCGGGGCTGGAAATACCACGCACTGCCCCTTCGCCTAGACCCCCGCTCGGGCCACGCGGGTTCTGCCCTCAAAGCTGGTAGCTGCCCCAGACTTGGGGGTGGGGGGAGGGGAAGGGGCGAGGCTGGCGCCCCCTCCCGCTTTTGGCTCCCGCGTTCGTTGCAGCAGCTGTTGCCAAATGAACCCCGGAATGCGGACGTGCAAACCCTCCACCCCACCCCCAGCCACACACGTCGCGGTCAGAGAACTGGGAAGGGGGCGCTGGGTCCGAGGTTCTGGAAAAGCAAGAACTCACCTGCAAACAGGCAGTCCTCAGCTCTGGACTTCTGGATCACGACGTCGATATCCTTCTGAATTCGGTCTTGCCTTGAACACATCCCCATTAAATAAATCCTTGGAAAAGAAGCAGCCGCTATTTCCACCCCACCCCCCTCGCACGCTTTCAGCTTTCGTAAATATTCAGTTAAAAATGAAACCTCTGGCCGAGGCAGGGGCTGAAGGCCAAGTGGTTTCGGAAGTGATCCTGGGTGAGAGGAGGAGGAGGAGGAGGAGGAGGAGGTGGAGGAGGAGGGGGAGGTCGGCTTTCCATTTCCAGATGTGACCGCCCAGCTGCTGCTCGCCGCTGCTGGATTCCAATTTCCTCCCCTTCTGGCGATGGATTGGTGATGAAACCGAGTCTCACTTTCTCCTTCCCCCGCCCGGACCAACCGCCGTGGGGGGCCGAGGGTGCCGGGGACGGCCGGAGAGCGATCACCGGCTGGGCGGCGGGAGCCGACGAGGGGCGAGCCCCGCTCCGGCTCAAGCGCGCACACCCCTCACGGCCCGCACTCCGGCCTTCCACACCCGTGCACACTCTCGCCCGCGGGCGGCGGCAGCCGTGCCCAGGCTGCTGCAGCGCCACCCGCCCGCCGCGGACCCTCCGCGCCCTCCGCCTAGTCACCCGGCCCGGCCGCGGGCCGCCGGGGCTCGCAGAGTGTCAGCCATCCCGGGCAGGAGTCGCGTCTCCCCACCCCGACCTCCACTCGCGCCGGGAGCTGAGCGGCAGTGTAGGTAGTGAAGACTCCCTGGGGCTCCCAGCCTTCCCTCTCCGCGCTCTCCCCCCATCACTTTTATGAATTCGACTCCACTTTCTAAAGGAATTATGAGTCTTGTGGCAAACACAAACCGGAGTGGCCGGGAGGGGGAAAAGGAGGGAAAAGAAAATCTTTAAAAATTAAAAAAATAATAAAACGAACAAATCTTTACTTGTTGCCACCTCAGATAACACGGAAAAAGCCTTGAAATTACTCCAGATGTGCACCCTCCCCTTCCCTCAGTGCCTGAGTCTTTTTCCTCCAGATCGAAGTATTTCAGCCCTTTTGGGGCGCCGTTTGCGAAACACAGCCCCTTTTGAGGGACTTCCTCCTCTTGAAAAGACTCACCAGTTCTCCCTTCCTAGGTGTTTCTGTTCATGAGAAATTGTCAGAATCAACTGGCACGTTCCAGGGTCTTCCTAAAGGATGGAAACCTGTTTGGCTTGCTTTTTAAAACCACCTCCTTTGACAGTCAGTCCAGGGAAAGCTACAATCCAGGTGTTCAGAAATGAGATACTGCTCTGATTCTCACTTTCTGTTCTGCCTAAGGACACCTCAGGGTGACGTAGCTGCCCCACCTCTATATTGGTTTATGCCCTAGGAGAGGTCTCCAGCAGGCACTTTTCTTATTGATCTTTTCTCCGCTGAGAAGGCTCCCACCAGTAGACCATGACTCGTTTTGCTTTGCATTCTCAGTGCCACGTACAGTGCCTGGAATACAGGAGGGTGGCCTAAATGTTGGCTGAATGCATGAATGGTCATTTCTTGCAGCCTCTTTTCATTACCCTGTCTCATCAGCTTTCTTATCAGAATAAGTGCCCAAGAGTGCCAAACTGTTTCAGACCCTTAATCAATTTAGTTCTGATTCTGACCGTGACAACATGATGTTCAGCACGGTAGGAATGACTGCCATCTCTGAAGGAGTCTTAAGATTCTGTAGAATCAATGAAAGATTCTATGTTCTAACGCCTTTATCTTTCAGGAAAGAAATTACAAAATAGTTTCATTGTCCAGTCATATTCACTATGAGTTATAAGAGGAAACATTCTATCTAGAACTAGAAATACCATTTGACCCAGCCATCCCATTACTGGGTAGGTACCCAAAGGACTATAAATCATGCTGCTATAAAGACACATGCACACGTATGTTTATTGCGGCACTATTCACAATAGCAAAGACTTGGAACCAACCCAAATGTCCAACAATGATAGACTGGATTAAGAAAATGTGGCACATATACCCCATGGAATACTATGCAGCCATAAAAAATGATGAGTTCATGTCCTTTGTAGGGACATGGATGAAATTGGAAATCATCATTCTCAGTAAACTATCGCAAGAACAAAAAACCAAACACCGCATATTCTCACTTATAGGTGGGAATTGAACAATGAGAACACATGGACACAGGAAGGGGAACATCACACTCTGGAGACTGTTGTGGGTTGGGGGGAGGGGGGAAGGATATCACTGGGAGATATACCTAATGCTAGATGACGAGTTAGTGGGTGCAGCGCACCAGCATGGCACATGTATACATATGTAACTAACCTGCACAATGTGCACATGTACCCTAAAACTTAAAGTATAATAATAATAAATTTTAAAAAGAACAAAACATCACATTGTACGACATAAAAAAAAAAAAGTTGGATTTTGCAAGGAAGATAGACATCTGACTAAAGTTTGGCCAAGCAAGGAATCTTTGTTAGTACTACTTCTTGTTTAAGGAAAGAAGAGACATTCATCTTTCCTTCAAACAGTATAAGTCTCTTTTCTTGTTTGATCACCTTTTATTCATTAAGGACCAGTTGAATCATCTGTTGGGACTTGGTAGCAGAGGATATTTCCTGGATAGTGTGAGCTATCAGGCCTTTAATGTGGGAAGTTTAGTTTCTATAAAAATAAAATTAAAAAAGATTAATAGTTGGAACGAACTATAAAGACAGTTTCTGAGCCCAGAGGGCAGCTGATCAATAAGATTTCTAGATGCTGGGCTTTTAATATCTTCAGCTGGAGTGAGAAGAGGCATTGGATTAGTTTGCAGTTTGAATGCCATAAAGATGGGCCACACACAAGCTGTTGTGGTAATTTTTCTGAAGCTTATGTCAAGTCATCCAGTTTCAGTTTGAAGGACTTCAAGAAAAGAAAAGTTTATAATTTTAGTGATTCCAAGCCAGAATAGCAGGAAAAAAATGAAATATTAATTTGGAGTATTGTAGCTAAATATTGTAGTAAACTAGAAAAATTGAGGATCTATTGCAGATTGCAGGCAGATAATAAAACCTCAGAAAAAAAAAAAAAAACAGCTAGAATCTAATATTGGGTGCACTGCAGTTTTCTCCCGAAACATAACTTTTCTCTCTATATTCACTCTCATTTCTGTCAAAGATAATCAAAGTCAGATTGATTTGTTTGCTAAATAAGTTTAATCTCATTAAACTTGTACTGTTTATGTACACAAGTGCAGTTAAGAGTAGTGATTGACCATTTAGGCTCTTTTAAAGGTTGCGTTTGTCAGATAAGAAATCTCAGATTAAACTTTTTGTTTTTGTTTTTTTAGACAGAGTCTCCCTCTGTCACTCAGGCTGGAGTGCAGTGGTGCGATCTTGGCTCACTGCAACCTCCGCCTCCTGGGTTCAAGCGATTCTTCTGCTCAGCCTCCCGAGTAGCTGGGATTATAGGTGCGTGCCACTATGCCTGGCTCATTTTTTGTATTTTTAGTAGAGACAGGGCTTTCACCATATTGGTCAGGCTGGTCTTGAACTCCTGACCTTGTCATCCACCTGACTTGGCCTCCCAAAGTGCTGGGATTACAGGCGTGAGCCACTGTCTCCAGTCAGATTAAACTTTTAAAAGCCACTTGAGGCTGGGATACAAGCCCAAAACTTGTCATTAGTCTGCACCTGTTACATTTATAGATTCAGATAAATTTCTCTCTTCTTGAGGTCCCTAAAATATCCCAAGGTTTCCACACCTGCCAAACAGTGACATTCTTTATTTACCTGTAAGTCTGGGAACCCTAGAGCCAGTTTTTCCAAGATGGTACTTTATTGGTTCCATAAAGCCAACCTTAGTCCCCTAAAGCCTTCTGGTCATATCTGAAAACATGATGTTTCAGTCAAAGCCTTGGTGATATAACCTGTGTTTCCAGTTTGTCCTGTTACAAAGACAACAGATTCTTATTAAACTTATGCAAATAAATACTTTGCCATAAAAATAAGAATATGCACAAATAGTTTCCAAATTCTGGAGGGATAAGTTAGGGAGAAAAAGTAAATGTTTCCATTTTGCACAAAAGTATTCTTTACTGAATTGGTGTAAGCTAGAGATAGCTTAAAAAAAAGTTTTCTGAAATCTGGAAAACAAAACATTTAAAGAACTAGCAATGTTTCCAACAAAAAGTCATTTTAAAAATTATTCTCATCAGTTCATTCAGTACCACGTAATTAAATCTTGTTTTGCTTGATCTTGGGTTAGTAGTTACATGAACCCGTCAGTTTTATTAGAGTTCTGGAAATTCTTACCAGTCCAATTGTATGATGTTAAAGTTGTTCAGAAACCTGTATTCCAGAATACTCATAAGAGTATTTTCCATAAATCTCCTTGAAGAAGAAGCCATTTTGGACTGTAGCTAATTTCAAATGCTTTTAGAGAACAAGTAAATTAAAACAATGACTGTCTACAGATGACAAGGACTTAAAATGTCCATGGTTAAAAAATCTAATGAGAGTTCATTACAATGATGCAATTTATAAGAAAATTTGGTTAGCATGGCATACAGCATTTTAACATAATAACCAAAATTATGACTGATAACATACTAGATTTCTAGGAATCTCATACAACTTTTGTACACTTATCCCAATAATATATCCATAAATATAACTTAAAGATGGCTTAGCATCACTTTTTATTTGAATGCTACACATATAATTTAGCATATTAAATAAATCTAATTGGTTTAATCTCTCTTTCATACAAAAAGAAATATTCTTTGTGGCTTTCTGAGGGTCCAATATGGAGAATCCTAAGTTAATTTGAGGTCAAAAAGACTTAACTTAGAATGTGATTTTGGGAAGATTGTCAAAAATGTCAAAAAGTTTAAAACATTTAAAACAAATATTACCATAGTTATCTATTTAATAAAAGCTCCATTAAAAGATTTTAAAGGCAAATTCAGATTACATAGTTGTGAACAAGAACTTAGCTCCTTTAATATTGAGAAGACTCACTTTTCTTAAGTAACCAAAACCTAATAAAACAACATGAAACTCAAGAAATTATCTTGATGAAACAGTCTCTGTTTCTGAGGCCAATTACTTAAAAGGAAAAAAATACCCTTTACATTCTCAGACCAACATTCCAAGAAAACTTTACCATTTTAACGGAGAAGATCAAATTCTACTTTTGAATCAATGTATTACTAAAACTAAGTTTTAATAAAACCTTATAAATAAATCTATCCAATCTCAGTCAGCTTAGACCATACAAGATAAGATTTTCACAATCCTTCTAGATATGTTTTCTTATTTACATTTGCAACAGACATACACCAGACAATTAAGCAATTTACTTTTACTACATATCCTATTCTTAGGTTGAATTTATGGTTTTATGGCCTTAAACATCTAACAGTAACAACACAAACTTGTCTAATCAGCAAAGCCAGGTAAAATAAGTGTATGCTGACAGTTCTGAAAATGTTTCTATTTTTATTTTACCAATATTTTTTAAACTAGTTTTTATTTACTAAGGAATATCCCAGATTATGTGAACCTAAAAAAAATTGGGTCAGTTTCTACTTTTCTGAAAATTTTATACATTCTTATTTGTTTGAGTGCTCATTTATCCCTAGCCAATTTGGGTATTTTAGTTTGGTAATAACGTTGGAGGTAGAAAAATATCACATATACATAACATAATAACATAGATACACACATGTACACATACACAAACATATAGACTGATGTAACCAGATCTTATGACTTTTCATTTAAAAAATTTTAACCAGGCCAGGTGCAGTGGCTCATGCCTGTAATCCCAGCACTTTGGGAGGCTGAGGCGGGTGGATCACCTGAGGTCAGGAGTTCGAGACCAGCCTGGCCAACATGGCATAACCCCGTCTCTACTAAAAATACAAAAATTAGCTGGGCGTGGGGCATCGTGGCGCCCGGCTGAGGCACAAGAAGCACTTGAACCCAGGAGGTGGAGGTTGCAGTGAGCCGAGATTGCCCCGCTGCACTCCAGCCTGAGCAATGAAGTGAGACTCTGTCTCAAAAAAAAAAAAAAAAAAAAGTTTTTAACCATGAGGCAGTAAAACAGAGTAATACAAAAATACAAACTCACTGGTTTATCTCCACTTTATATTGTTATCCAAATTGTGTTTCTGGTGAGAAAGGGATAAGTTGAGTTGACCTACATAACAAAGGCTAAATCTTTTTACCAATATTTGTGGAGGAGGTTTTTTAAGATTTTTTTTTTTTTTACTTTATCAGTTTCCAAATAGTTTCTTTTTTTCTCCTATTATCAGCCCCAGGTGCTTGTTTTTGAGGGGCCTCTGAGTCCCTTGAGAGCCCCCTCAAAGGAGGGTAGGATAGGGGTCCTGAAGTTCAGCAGAAAAGAAACGGGTCTGGCAAGAGTGGACAGAGAAATAGTCAGCAGAGACTTGAGAAGAGGGGTTTCAGGTGACAGAGCTCCCATGGGAGAAGCAGGATCCAATAGAGAGAAGAGAAAGAGCAGAGTGGTTTTATAGAGAGCCAGGAAGAACAATTTGTAGCTCAGGGAATCAGGGAGTAACCCCTCACTCAGAAAAAGAGAGCCAGAAAGAAGAGACTTCTAGTCTAGGGACTCAGAGAATAGATCACTCAGAACAAGAAGCCCACAGGAAGACCTTCCTGCCCAGAGGATTCCTTTCAAAAGAAGCCTGGGACTCTACCCCAGCTTCAGAGAGAATATTCATCCCTTAAGATTCAAAATCTGTCCATAGCCATCAACGGGCTTTTGTGTGGAGCAATGGCTCAGAAATCTGATTCACCAATGGATCCCTAATCAGTCAGAAATGACAACAAAGACTTCAAAGGCATGCATTTAGGGTCCTGAGTGAGAGGCCCAGGATCCAGTGATGAATCTGTTTCAACACCATAATTGTTAAAGAAAAAATTATTCAGTGATACTTCAAATGCACAGTAAAGAAGACTTTATTCAGGACCATTACCATAGATATAGGAACCACTGCAACACAGTCTTGGAGCTGGGGAGAGAGATGGGCTTAACTCTGAATACAGCACGGGGAAGTGGGAATTTATAGCCCAGGAGCAATGCAGGGGTCAGTGAATGGAAAATCACTAAGAGGAAACATCAGGAGTAAGGGAGATTCTGGCTAAACCGCCCTAAAAGAATTCTTGCTGAAGACTGGCCAGGGTGATCAGACATCACCTGCAGAATGGTGAAGAATGAAGAACCTGATCAGATATTGAGAATGAGGGGGTCTTTGGTAAACTTGGCAGTGTTCTTTGCTAATGCTGGATTTTGTGAGGAAGTGCACAGTTTAGCCTAGCTGAAGATTTAGAAGCCTGACTAAAGTTGGCCAAGCAAAGAATCTTTGTTATCAACATATTCCATCAAACCTCACATCCCTGCCTTAAATGATCAAACCATCCGCACTCCTGTATGCTACTGTTCTCCATGAAAAGTTACTTCTTCTTTGTCTTAACCAAAATCCAGCCATTCTAGAAAGACACCAGAAGGCTTTCTGCAGCATCTAAAATTTCCCCACATTCTAGGCCCAAATCCTTTTCCTTTCCCTGTTGCTTTTAGATCCACATTGTGTAACCCTCATCTAGAAACCTCAGTTTCTTGGAGTCATTTTTTTTTTTTGGGACGGAGTTTCCGCTCTTGTTGCCCAGGCTGGAGTGCAGTGGCACGATCTCAGTTCACTGCAACCTCCGTCTCCCAGGTTCAAGCGATTCTCCTGCCTCTGCCCCTTGAGTAGCTGGGATTACAGGTGCCTGCCACCATGCCTGGCTAATTTTTTGTATTTTTAGTAGAGACAGGGTTTCATCCTTTTGGCCAGGCTGGTCCCGAACTCCTGATCTCAGAAGATCCACCTGCCTCAGCCTCCCAAAGTGCTGGGATTATAGGCATGAGCCACTGAGCCAGGCCATTCTGTCTTTTTATATAATATAACTTGTACTTTTATGTAGTAAGTTATCACAATGGTGTCAGACACTCTGAGGAAGAGTATTTTACTGTATCATTCCCATTACCCAATCAGGAAGTCTTAACAGGCAGATTTTAACAAAAATATAAGACACAACTGTGCCTAGCTTTTCTCACATACTTCCTACCTCACACTTCACACATTTCTTTTTCTCAGCACCCACTCTTAAGTAATAATTTATTTCCCCTGAATATTATTTACCTTCTGTGGGCTACCTTACATATCATCTGAAAGCATGATCAAAACAGTTATATTTGTGAATAATTTTATTTTGGTTTATTTCTTAGCAGAAGGAGGAGTTAATAGTAACATTTGTAGGCCGGGCACAGTGGCTCAAGCCTGTAATCCCAACACTTTGGGAGGCCGAGGCTTGCGGATCATGAGGTCAGGAGATCGAGACCATCCTGGATAACACGGTGAAACTCTGTCTCTACTAAAATACAAAAAAATTAGCCGGGCATGGTGGCGGGCACCTGTAGTCCCAGCTACTCGGGAGGCTGAGGGAAGAGAATGGCGTGAACCCAGGAGGTGGAGCTTGCAGTGAGCCGAGATCGCGCCACTGGACTCCAGCCTGGGAGACAGAGCGAGACTCCATCTCAAAAAAAAAAAAAAAAAAAAGTAACATTTGTAATCTCCCAGAGAATGCCAAGGAAAACATTCTCCTGGCTGAATTTATGTAGAGTTCATCATCTAAGCATAAAATATTTTATAAAGGAATGGGCCAATCAAATAACTGCTATGCGGTTGACACTGTAAACCAAGTTAGCTTAGTACCACTCTAAATAGTTGCTGGGAATATAATGATTTTCAAAGACATGATCTCTAGAAATAAATAACTAAAAGAGAAGCACGGTGTCATGCATTTATGCATACACATAAGCAGGGACTAGAGATCAAGAATAGAAATAAAAGAGGTTTTTACACTTGGGGTGCTAAGGTCGCAATGATTTATTTGGAGAGAAAACAGAAGCCCTTCTTTAGTAAATGCAAAGCACCATGTGTTTAATGAAGATACATGACCTAAGCTTTGAAGATCGTTTAACTAATTCAATAACCTTACCAAGTATCCATTACTACATCTCAACAATCAAATTTACAGTGACATCTTTGAGTTAAATATCTCCATAGATGTCTGGAAACAGCTTAATTCTGTTAACTGCTGCCCATTGAATTATGCTTAATTTGGTTGTAGAATTTCATGTCATCTGTTATTCTCCCTCACAACTTGGGAGACGTTATTCCTGTATTGTCTGTTCTCGTTGATGAAGAGAAGTCTGTGATAAAGTAATTGTCCTTCCTTTGTAGGTAATCTGCCTTCCATCTCTGGTTGATTTGAAAATATTGTATTAGTCTTTAGTATCTTGCATTTTACTGTGGTATGTCTACATATGGATTTATACTTACTGAGTTTGCTCAGAGCTTGGAGTATTTCCTCAGTCTTAAAGGCCCTAGTTGTGAAAATGTTACTACAGAAAAACTTTATTTTTTTAACTTAAAATCCTTTTTATTGGGAAATAAATGTAAGATTATAGATAAGTTTGAAAATAAAAGAATTGTTAGAACAAAAAATACTCATATGCCTGTTACCCTAATTTGTCTATTATTATTTTATTAAATTTAGGTTACCATTTGTTCTCTCTCTCTCTCTCTCAATATATATCCCAATTTTCAGTCTTTAGTTCTAAATCTTTCAGCAACCTGGACTATCATGGCCCCAGTGTAATGCTTGGCTTTGTACCTCATGAGGGAAGACATTTTTTTTTTAATCTTAAGTTCTAGGTTACGTGTGCACCACATGCAGGTTTGTTACATAGGTATACATGTGCCATGTTGGTTTGCTGTACCCATCAACTTGTCATTTACATTAGGTATTTCTCCTAATGCTATCTGTCCCCCAGCCCCCCACCCCCTGACAAGCCCCAGTGTGTGATGTTCCCCACTCTGTGTCCATGCATTCTCATTGTTCAACTCCCATCTGTGAGTGAGAACATGCAGTGTTTGGTTTTCTGTCCTTGAGATAGTTTGCTGAGAATGATGGTTTCCAGCTTCATCCATGTCCTTGCAAAGGAAGTGAACTTATCCTTTTTTATGGCTTCATAGTATTCCATGGCACATATGTGCCACATTTTTTTAATCCAGTCTATCATTGATGGACATTTGGGTTGGTTCCAAGTCTTTGCTATTGTGAATAGCACCACAATTAACATATGTGTGCATGTATACATCTTTATAGTAGCATGATTTATAATCCTTCGGGTATATACCCTGTAATGGGATCGCTGGGTCAAATGGTATTTCTAGTTCTAGATCCTTGAGGAATCACCACACTGCTTTCCACAATGGTTGAACTAATTTACGCTCCCACCAGCAGTGTAAAAGCATTCCTATTTCTCCACGTCCTCTCCAGTATCTGTTGTTTCCTGACTTTTTAATGATCATCATTCTAACTGGCATGCGATGGTATCTCATTGTGGTTTTGATTTGCATTTCTCTGATGACCAGCGATGATGAGCATTTTTTATGTGTCTGTTGGCTGCATAAATGTCTTCTTTTGAGAAGTGTCTGTTCATATTATTTGCCCACTTTTTGATGGGGTTGTTTTTTTCTTGTAAATTTGTTGAAGTTCTCTGTAGATTCTGGATATTAGCCCTTTGTTAGACGGGTATATTGCAAAACTTTTCTCCTATTTTTTAGATTGCCTGTTCACTCTGATGAGAGTTTCTTTTGCTGTGCAGAAGCTCTTTAGTTTAATTAGATCGCATTTGTCTATTTTAGCTTTTGTTGCCATTGCTTTTGGTGTTCTAGTCATGAAGTCTTTGCCCATGCCTATGTCTTGAATGGTATTGCCTAGGTTTTCTTCTAGGGTTTTTTATGGTGTTAGGTCTTACATTTAAGTCTTTAATCCATCTTGAGTTGATTTTTGTATATGGTGTAAGGAAGGGATCCAGTTTCAGCTTTCTACATATGGCTAGCCAGTTTTCCCAGCACCATTTATTAAATAGGGGATCCTTTGAGGGAAGAAAATTATTTCTAATATTTTAATCCAGCTATGTATGTAAAAAGAAGTCTTTTTCATATTTTATCTGTTATTTCTGTATGATTGGAGTATGAGTCAAAACATCTCAATATAAATAAAAAGTTACATTTCAGTAATTTTTTTTTCTAAAATTACAAAACACTAGTGGTCAAAAACACTACTATTTCCAATTCTCTTTCCTTTGTTAACATTACTTTTTGTACTTATGAGAGAAGAGTTTGCAATCCAAAAAGAGCAGGAAGGAAGAGAGATTAGAGATTTTTTCTCCTGCTTGCTCTATACATATGAGATATTTATATATCTATATATCAACAGTTGACCTTTGAATAACACTGGTTTAAACTGTGTGAGTCCACTTATAGGTGGATTTTTTCAGCCAAATACAGATTGAAAATACAGTATTTGTGGGAAGTGAAACCCACATATGTGGAGGGCCAACTTTTCATATGCAAGCTCTGCAAGGTTGACTGTAGGACCTGAGTATGTGCAGACTTCGGTATATGCAGGGCTCCTGAATCCAATACCCCACTAATACTGAGGGATGACTGTATATGTCTCTATCTATCTACTCTATCATATATATATATACACACACACACACACACAAATATGTGTGTATATATATATGTATGTGTGTATATATATATGTGTATATATATATATACTTCCTATATTACTTTGCTAGGGTTGTTATAACAATTACTGCAGACTGGATGAGTTAAACAAGAGAAATTTATTTTCTCACAGTTCTGGAGGCTAGAAGTGTGAGGTCAAGGCATCAGATGTGTTAATTTTATTCTGAAATTTCTCTCCTTGCCTTTTAGATAGTCATTTTCTCATCTTGTCTTCTCATGGACTTTTTTCTGTGCACATGTTTGTCTGTACCTAAATTTCCTCTTCAAATAAGGACACCAGTGATATTGGATTAGGACCCAGACATGTGACCTCATTTTACATTAGTTACCTCTTAAAAGTCTCTATCTCCAAATATAGTCACCTTCTGATATACTGGGATGGCAGGGGGCAGGGTACAGCATATTAATTTGGGGAAAGGCCACAATTCAGCCTATAACATATGCAATATATTCTTCTCTGATCTATACTATATAACTTTTATATATAATACATATATAATTTAATATACATTTTAACCCCTTGATTAATTTTGTCACTGCAGAGAAAACAAGAATTAAAGAAAAGCTTCAGGTGATACTGTTTTTGAATGAGTAAGAATTGAGCCTGCCCTTAACACAAGAATGAAGTAGAAATAAACTGACTTAGGGAACAGCATAAAAAAGTTCTCTTATGAGTCAAGATTTCAATGTGATGTCATCATTTTTTCCAGGGATTAAATATTAGAATATATTGCATGCCCATATTGAGGTGGAATCATAAACTTATTTCAGACTTATTATAATGGCTCATTTTCTTATGCCTTCACCATTGAACTTGTACTTAGCTGGGGATTGAGCTGAAAGTTTGCCTTTTCTGTATCTAGCATAGTTGCACCAAATCTGACCTTAATCCCAAATTTTCCTTTCTGTAATATCTTGTTTCCAAATGAGGCTCACATTGAATTTTCTCTTGTTAGAAATATAACTGGCAAGACCAATCAAAACCATTCATTCCATTCAGTTGCCTGTGAACAAGCTTGATTTGCTTTGTTATTAATACAGATTCTTGTGGGTTAAGTAGAAAGCTCTTTTGTAAATATCCCTCAGTTTAAGTATATATAGTTTACATTTCCAGGTAAACTGTAAATTCTCTGAGAAAGGCCCAGCATGGTGGTTCAAGCCTATAATCCCAGCTCTTTGGGAGTCTGAGATGGGTGGATCACTGGAGGTCAGGAGTTTGAGACCAGCCTGGCCAATGTGGTGAAACCCCATCTCTACCAAAAATACAAAAATTAGCCAGGCATGGTGGTGCACGCCTGTAATCTCAGCTACTCAGGAGGCCAAGGCAAGTGATTAAACCCAGGAGGTGGAGGTTGCAGTGAGCTGAGATCGCACCACTGCACTCCAACCTGGGTGACAAGCTGGACTCTGTCTCAAAAAAAAAAAAAAAAAATTCTGTGAAAAGATCTGTGATTTCCATTCTCCTTTATAGTAATTGTTAAGCACTCACAATTAGATGGTTATAACAACTATCAAAGAAAAACAATTATTTTAATAAATATTTTTCATCATTTTCTCCTTTCTAAGCCCTATGCTATGCACTAAAAACTGCAGAGAAAATCAACACATTCTCTACCTCACAGCAGATTTCTTGGAGAGAGATAGGGGTGGGGAGGGGAATAAGGGTTGCTAAATGTTGTCAACTTTGTAATACAACTCTCAAAGGGAGATAGTTATTAGGGAGGCAAAGTGCTCAGGCTCAGATTTCAGGTTGCCTAGATTTGAATTCTGTCTTCACTGCTTCTTTTATGATTTGCCCAAATTACTTAAGCTCTTTAAACCACAGTTTCCTCATCCTTAAGAGAGGGATAATAAATAGAACTTATCTCATAAAATTACTGTGAGAATTATAAGTGATTATGAAGTTGATTAAATTTCCCCAGTGCTTCATACAAAGAAAGGACTCAAAGGATATGCTAGTTCATAGTAGGGGCATAGAAGAAGATATCCCTTCTCTCCTGGGATATAGGGTATACATAACTGTCCACTATAAAATTGAAGATAGGCTAGAGAAAAGCTAAAAATGAAGAATCTAATAACTCTTTAGCCAAGAGAAAATGAAACATGAGGGAAAGGGAGAAGTTCCAAATGAGGTCCACATTTGTCGTGGGCCACTGAATGGTGGTGCCATTCAGGCAGAGGAAACCCAGAAGGAGGAGTCATTCTGTAGTTAGAGGGCACTTAATGAGATAATATTAGAGATAACTGAGGTTGAGTTGTTGGTACGTATCTGGGTGCAAAGTCTCCATAGGTCCGGAATTTTGAATAGTTTTCTGGAGTCATCTGGTTATTGTTAAAGCCAAGAGAATTGGTGAGATCACAGAATACAATAATGATCAATAAGAGGGAAGGGAAGAGAGCCAAGAATGGGAGACTGGGAAGCATACACATTTAATTAAGGTTTGGTAAGGTGAAAGGTGTCAGCAGAGAATGTAAAGGTGAAATAATGAGAGAAAAAGGAGGACATCAAGGAGAAAGTCGTGTTTTGAAAAAAACAAAAAGGACACATTTTCAAGAAAGACATTGTCAATAGTTTAAATGTCACAAAATAGTAGAGTATAATGCATTTAAAAAAAACAAAATCTATTGCTTTTGTTAATTAAATGACTAGTAACCTCGGCTGCAGCAGTTTCAGTAGAGTGAGGAGAGTTGACACCAAACTGCACCAGTGGAGTGAAAATAAGTGGGAAGAAAGAGTGAGGAAGTGGAGGACAGTCTTTTTTTTTTTTTTTAATAAAAATATTTTCCCAAACTGTCTTTTCTGGAACTTCCAACATGTCTGCTTAAGAGCTTGTCTTAGTTGAATTCATTCGAACTTCTTGAACCTAATTAGTTTCTTTTTGCTGTTTTTTTTTTTTTTTTTTTTTTTTTTTTTTTTTTGAGATGGATCCTTGCTCTATCGCCCAGGCTGGAGTTCAATGGTGCAATTTTGGCTCACTGCAACCTCCTCCTCCTGGGTTCAAGCAGTTCTCCTGCCGCAGCCCAATTAGTTTTAAAGACGCTGCATATATTGGCAGGGAAAACCTAGAACACAAAGTCAAACTTCCAATTATCTCCCTTCAGTGCTCAAATCAAGAGTTCATTTGTTGCAAGGAATGGGGATCTGGACTCCAGGGAGAAGAATAGAGTTTTAGGAGGAAAGTTCTCCTAAAACTAAATGGAAGGAGGGTTCTTTGAGATACCAAGGATTTGCAGGACTTTATTTACAATGAAATGTTAGTTTCAGACAGCCCAGGAGGAATAGGTCTATTAAAGGAAAGCAAGAGTAGTTGGCGTAAGGAAACAATTTGCACTGGAGCCTGAGAGTGAGTATAGTAATGACCACATGAGAGACCCATTTGACTCAAGTACTTCAAAGCATTGCCAGTGTTAGTCTTTGCTCCATAATCAAGTGGGGAAAAAGTGAAATGTCTTTGAAGAGCATTTCCTGTAGGTGGCCTTTGAGGAGGTCCTGAAAATTCCAAACCTGCAAGTATTAATGGCAAAGAATAAAAATTTGTTTATATAAAATACTTTTAAAAATCTTTCTAAATAGCAAGACATTATATATTATCATTGTTAAAAGATAAACGAATTGAGAAATATCATTAGAATTATATGCAGCAGATAAAATGGTCACTTTTTTTTTTGAGACAGAGTCTCGCTCTGTCGCCAGGCTGGAGCACAGTGGCGTGATCTTGGCTCATTACAACCTCCAACTCCCTGGTTCAAGTGATTCTTCTGCCTCAGCCTCCCGAGTAGCTGGGATTACAGGCACGTGCCACCACCCCAGCCAATTTTTGTATTTTTAGCAGAGACAGGGTTTCACCATGTTGGGCAGGATGGTCTTGATCTCCTGACCTTGTGATCCACCCGCCTTGGCCTCCCAAAGTGTTGGGATTACAGGCGTGAGCCACTGCGTCCAGCCAAAAGGTCACTTTTTAAACTTAAAAATTATTAAGAAAACAGTGAAAACTTAATGTTTAAAAGAGTAGAAGATAGGGAAAATTATTACACAGAAAAAGATAAACAACAGAGAAAGATAAATAAATTGCCAGTGAATATGTAAAAAGTTGCTCAGCACCAGTGGTAGTTCAAATCCAAATAGCACTGAGTTAGCATTTGTTAACTAATAAATTGGCAAAAATTATATTTTGATAAAACCCAGTGTTGTTGACATCTCAAGAAAAAGGGCTATGCTCACACAGCCTTGGAGCATGTGCACATTGATGATTTTGTTGGCATAAAAATTAGTGGTTTCTATTAAAATCAGCAGTGTAATTCACAATCGCTAAGACATGGAATCAACCTAGGTGCCCATCAGCTGTGGATTGGATAAAGAAAATATGGTACATATATGTCATGGAATACTTTGCAGCCATAAAAAAGAATAAAATTATGTCCTTTACAGCAACATGGATGCAACTCGATGCCGTTATGCTAAGCGAATTAACACAGGAATAGAAAACCAAATACCACATATTCTCACTTATAAGCAGGAGCTAAACATTGAGTACACGTGGACACAAAGATGGGAACAATAGAAACTGGGGACTACTCGAGGGTAGAAGGAGGGAGGGGGTAAAGGTTGAAAAAAAACTACTATGCCTAGTACCTGAGTGATCAGATCAATCATGCAGCAAACCTCAGCATTATACAACATACAACATACCCATGTAACAAACCTGCACATGTACCCACTGTATCTAAAATCAAAAGCTGAAATTATAAAAAATAAAAAAGAAAATCAACAATGTGTATTTCTCTCACACAGCCATCACGATGATGTATTTGGAATAATATATGCATAAGGATGTTCATTGCAGTGTTGTCTGCAAGGGCAAAGTGAAAACAATCTGAATAACCATCAATATGACACAGAGTAAGTAATTATTGGTACGTCTGTACAATGCCTCATGCAGTCACCACTGACAGCATGGGAAAGAGAGACATCTATTATGAAAAGACCACTAAGACATATGATTACATGATAAGTGCAAGGTTCATGAATAAATAGTATGTATACTAGTATAGCATACTTCTTTCTAAGAAAGAAACCATAACACATACACGAATGGACAAGAAATTATTAACAATAGCTAACTTTGGTGATAAGACTGTAGGTTGTAAAAAGCCAGACTTTCATTTCTCATTTTAAACCCAATGAATTATTTAAATCTAACCCTACTGCATTCATTATCTTTATAATAAAATAAATATGTATAACAATGAAACATAGTTTTTAAGTATTTGGGACATAAATTAAACATTAATAGATTACACCTCTTAAACTTGGTACTTTAGTATCCCATTTCTCTGTGAGAACTCTGAAAGCTTCATCTTCCACAGTTTAGGTAATTCTTTGGTGTCTTATTTTGTTATTTTCTTGCCCTGAGATTAGCAATGTCAGATCTCCAAACTACTAACTCTTCTCTTTGGCAGATCAAATGCTTCTTCTTAAAAAAATTGATTTTTTAAAATGTATTTCATAGGATTTTTGTTCTCTCTCTCCCTCTTTTTGTGCATATGTGTGTGTGTCTGATTAGTCTTTATTATCTTAAAATGGTTAGTCCTGATAGACCTGTTTCTTCAAAATTTCTCTCAGTTCTTTGGCAGTTTGCTCTTAGCTTATAATTAAAGATCAATTTCTGACTTGTCTTGTTCTAGAAAACCTCAATGGAAATTACAGCAAGCTGAATAGGATATTAATTAAAAACATAAACCTGGTGAAACCCGAACATAGAGGCTCTAGTTCAAAGATGCTTCCAATAGTTGACATGGCCATTCATTCCTTAAAACCAGCTATTTTTCTTTCGAATTACATTACCTTTAATTCTGTAAATTGGATGTTATATAGTACCATGAAAACTGCTGTGAGTAATTATAATACTCATTGCTGAGTGATGTGACTTCTTTCTCAAGGCTATTTCTGAGGGAAATTGTACAATTAGATCTTTAGGTATTGTGACTTGTTTTGGAAATCATGGTGGCCCTCCAGGGAGCTAATGAATCTTTAATTATTTAGAGGTTCACATGAGACCCCTTACAGATATAAGCACATTAGCTCTGTAGCTAAGGGAACATTTAAAAACAGTAACATGAAATGTGTCAGACATAGAGGAAAGATGAAGAAGCAAGTAGAAGCTAATGCAAACAGAGGAACTGCCAGCTCTCTGTGGCACTCTAGCTCTCTCTGTCAGTATTTGGTTGGCAATGTAGACATAGTGGATGAGTGCAATTACATATGTTAGGCTCATTCTGAAATGCAGGAGCATTTTAGATTTTCATGTAGAAGCCTGACAAGCAAACTACATCTAGGATATACTTTGATAATTTTGAGTTGAGAGCCAAATTTTTTGAAGGTAAACCATCTCCCTGTTTTAAAGTAGTGTTTAAAATTATAAAAATATTAATACATCTGTAACATAAAATATTTAGATATAAATACTACAAGTGCAAATGAATTTTTTTTTCTACTTCTGCATTCAACTTTTCTCTTCTCCCTTTAGGGAAAACACTTTTGTGTAAAGGCCTCCAAAATATATGTAGAGGCGTATGTATGTTAAAAACATGTATACATATAATGCATAACCAAACAAATGAAATATCCTAAACATATGGACCTGAAAATTGCTTATAATAAATTTGAACTGAACATATAGGCATAAATGTGGTTCAGAAGTGTCCAGTTGAAGCAACTTCACTTTGTTAGGTCAACAAAAGTTGGGGACACTAAGATCTACTCCTCTGATTTTGTTCTAGCATTATCTTAATGGAAATGTTTACTGAAATGGAAATACATGTAGTGGACATCGTGGTGGTGTCTCAAGCATTCAGTGTTCCCTGCTCTCACACACTCCTAGCCAAATAATGAATTTCTCAGCTTCACAATGTTTAAGTGACATGAGTCCCATGTCCAATTCTTGGTCACTGTAATTGGTGCATGAAGGAACGTGTGCCTTCTGCTAATCAAATCAGAATGAAGTACAACTTTTTCATTCCATGATTGAAGAGGGAAATGCCTTCTTTCCAAATGCAGCAGAGGAAGCACGAGGTACTAGGATTGGAAGTTGTCTACTCATGACATGATATTTTAAGCCATAGAATAAAACTGAGACCTAATGTCTTAGTCCTTTCAGGTCGCTATACCAGAATATCACAGCCTGGATGGTTTATGAACAACATAAATTTATTTCTTACAGTTCTAGAGGCCAGGAAGTCCAAGATCAAGGTGTCAACAGATTCAGGGTCTAATGAGGATTTGTTTCCTGGTTCACAGACAGCTGTCTTTTTGCTGTGCCCTCACATGGTGGAAGGGGCTAGGAAGTTCTCTAAGGTCTCTTTTATAAGGGCACTAATCTCATTCATGAGGACTCTGTCCTCATGACCTAATCACCCCCTGAAGACCCACTGCCAAATATCATCACACTAGGGATTAGATTTAAACATACAAATTTTGGGGGGATACAAACATTCAATCTATATCACTTAAGGTAGAGTGAAGAAACAGGGAGGACAAGAAGCATTTATTTTGTGTTATTATTAAACTTCTGCATTAAACTATCTTGAGCCTATACTATTGTTCAAAATCTCTTTATTATACAAGCCATTTTGAATTTTGATTGTTTGCAACCAAAATTAACCTAATAAATTAAAATGTACTATAATGTTACATCATAATTTGTCTGTACTAGTAGTATTTGCTAGAACGTTTAGGGGAATACTTGCTTGTTAACTTTTTAGTAAATATAACACTCCATGTTCAAATACATTTGGAAAATACTGAGCATTTCACACTTTTAGAGACTCAAAACAGGCAGCACATTTTTAAAAAATAAAAATAAAACCAAATAGCATTGCATTTGGAGAATGGTATAAAAAAAGAGAATTTGATAAACTGGAGTTATCAGAACTCAGTGGATACTATGTGTTAGACATTATTATAAGCCATTAAACATTTTACAAGCTTGATATCTGAGTTAAAAATTAATAACCCAAAGACACATTGGAAGAGAAAAGTTGACATATTTTTATTATATTAATGACCTAAAAATATCATAGCAACTAACGTCATTATAGTCAACAAGTGAATGAACGTAAATAATATTAAATAACTATTAGAAAGTCTCTCTGATTAAGCATGGAAATAAATAAGCAGTGCTTTTGACCAATAAATGGAGGAGTTACAATACTTTCCAATACAAAACAAAAAGATTCTAAATGTAAAGGTATTAGGCCCAAAATATGTTAGTCAATTCATGACAGCAGAAATTCAGCAGGTCATATTTTTGAGGTAATGTAAATGACAATAGAAATCATGGACTAAAGTGTAACAAATAAGTAATATCTAGGCAGGTGGAAATTTTAAGATCTTTTAAATTAACTTCTGGACTATAGCAAAAATTCAAACTAAAATTCATCAGGGAGTCAGGGAAGGTCAAATGAAGAAGCATGGGGACTGAGGCAAAAACCCTGAATTATACCAATATTATCTTTTTTTTTTTGAGACAGGATCTTGCTCTGTTACCCAGGCTGGAGTGCAGTGGTGCAATCATAGTTCACTGCAACCGCGACCTCCTAGGCTCAAGGGATCCTCCCACCTCAGCCTCTTGAGTATCTGGGACTACAGAACCTCATCACCAAAACACCCATCTAATTTATTTATTTTTTGTAAAGATGAGGTCTCACTTTGTTGCTCAGGCTGACAAGTATTATCTTAATGTTATAGAAAAAAAGTAATTCTGGCCATATATAGGTATTATTCTTTGCAGTAGAATATCATTTCAGAAATTTGTGCCAAACATAAAATTAGTTTTCTAGTAGTAAAAAGTAATTAAACTCTTTAAATTATTATTACCCCTAGTATACTGGGGAATGGGTGTGTGTTCCAAATGAAAAAACTTGGGATGTCTAATGAGATGCTGTTTTCTGTCGCAGAAAATCTATGTAAAATGTTTTTTCTCACGTGTACACTGTTGATATTTGAGACAGCACATGTTAACACTTCAAGAAGTAAAATAAATGTGTTGATTATATCCACAGTTTTCATATTTATTAACTACATATTTCGTTTTTAATGTAATGCCTATTGAAAAACCTGTAAATAGTTGTTTCTTAAAATTGACAAATACTGCCTAAGATTTTTCTGTATATTTTCATATTTCAATTTTCCTGTGAGGTTAGAATGAACACTTTAGCTAAGACATTTGTGCCTCCAAATCCTAAACCTTTCAGAATGTTAGTTTATTATTTGGTTTTTACCTAAATTATTTTCTGCTTATTCAAGAACCTTAGGTCTATCCAGTTACGTTTTTATTTTTTTATTTTTATTTTTTTATTTTGAAACAAAGTCTCGCTCTGTTGCCAAAGCTGGAGTGCATTGGCATGATCTGGGCTCACTGCAACCTCTGCCTCCCAGGTTCAAGTGATTCTCCTGCCTCAACCTCCCGAGTAGCTGGGATTACAGGGGCATACCACCACACCCAGCTAATTTTTGCATTTTTAGTAGAGATGGGGTTTCACCATGCTGGCCAGGCTGGTCTCAAACTCCTGACTTCAGGTGATCTGCCCACCTCAGGATCCCAAAGTGCTGGGATTATAGGCATGAGCCACCATGCCTGGCTGTATCCAGTTACATTTTTAAGACCAGCCAGGCTTAATATATATTTGGTCTTTTGCTCAATTCAATTTGTTGCATTTTGTCCATTGTACTTCATGTGACACAGAATATATCTTAATTTAAAAAGACATATGTTTGTTGAGCTATCTGTTACGTTGGTATATCTTGGAATTTTAAAAAATATAAACCACAGAAGCCAATTATGGCTGACATTAACAATAAATAGGTTTATCACAGAAATAGTGGGGAACTTGTAGAACTGTTGAGAAGGCTAGAAAGCCAGATCAAAGCTAGGCAGCCAGGAAATGTACCCCAAACCATGCTGTAGAACTCATCCAGGGAGGAAACCACTGTCACCACCAGTAAGAAATAACACCGAAGATGCAGGCAGCAACAATTGCAGCAATTGCTCAATCCTAGGCTAACTGCAAAGCCACCAGCACCACTCCCACTTGTTCGCTTTGCAACAGATATTGTAGCAGCTGCTACATGGCCTCCACCAGAAACAAGAGAAAGCATAACTGAATCTGCTTCTTTTTTTATTAATTCCGAAGTGGAAATTCAGCACTGGCAAACAGATGGGCAAAACCTAAGTCATATGCTTGTACCCTAGCTGCAAAGGAGGCTGAGAAAGCAAGCATTTGGCATTTTAGCTTCTAAAGCAGGAGGTGGTTTCTTGTTTTCGTCAAAACTGAGAGGCTGAGGAATTCCTCAAACACAGCAACAAACATCAAATAATAAATTTTCATGCTTTAACTTGCTCAATATCAATATAAACTTTCCCTTTTGAAAGTAAACACGAAAGACCCAAGCTTCCTTCTAACAGAGTGCAACTATTTCTCTAATAATTGAACATGTACCTACAATCTCTTGAACAATGAAACAATAAAAAATTCTCAATCACAGCATGTACTCTAAGTCTAAGAATTCTGGGTTATGTCCATTCCTCTACGAAGTTCTTCACTATACTCTCTTGACATTCTGCCATATATCATTTAAAAATTAAGTTAATCACCCTCAATAAGCCCTGTTTTAAAAAGAGGGATAAATGGAGAGGAAAGAAGGAAAGTTGTTAAGATACATAAGTATGCACAGGACAATACAAGAGAAACAATGTGTTTGGATGTCAAGGCTCTCCTTTCTGCAAGTGGCCAGCAGGTCACTATTGGCATCTATGGCCATGTGCCCTCAGCTAACACCTCTGCTAGTCAGGGTTTTGCCTTGTGAGATGACCAAATATTCATTCCTGACAGAGAAATGTCCTTGATAATCTTTTTGTGTGAGCGTGCCATGGTCATTGTTAATTTCTTTCATTTAACAAAATAATAGACTTTATTTTTTGAGCAGTTTTAGCTTTATGGAAAGATCGAGCAGAAAGTACAGAGTTCTCACATACTGTCACCTTTATCCCACCCCCAGTTTACATTAGGGTTCACTCTTTGTGTGGTACAGGTCTAGGAGTTTTGCAAAACGCATAATGTCATGTACCCATCATTACATTATTACCAATGTATTTTCAATCCCCTAAAAATCGCCTGTTTCAGAACTATTTATCTCCCTACCCATCCCCAAACTCCTGGCAACCACTGAGCTTTTTTGTTGTTGTTGTTGTTACTTAGTTTTTATTTCATAATCATAAACTTAACTCAACTCTGCAATCCAGCTAGGCATGGAAGGGAACAAGGAAAACATGGAACCCAAAGGGAACTGCAGCAAGAGCACAAAGATTCTAGGATATTGCAAGCAAATGTGGTGGAGGGGTGCTCTCCTGAGCTACAGAAGGAATGGGTCTGGTGGTGAAAATAAAACACAAGTCAAACTCATTAGAATTGTCCACAGTCAGCAATGGTGATCTTCTTGCTGGTCTTGCTATTCCTGTACCCAAAGTGCTCCATGGCTTCCACAATATTCACACGTTCTTTCACCTTGCCAAAGGCCACATGCTTGCCATCCAACCACTCAGTCTTGGCAGCACAGATGAAAAACTGGGAACCATTTGTGTTGGGTCCAGCATTTGCCATGGACAAGATGCCAGAACCTGTATGCTTTCGGATGAGGTTCTCATCATCAAATTTCTCCCCATAGATGGACTTGTCACCAGTGCCATTATGGCGTGTGAAGTCACCACCCTGACACATAAACCCTGGAATAATTCTGTGAAAGCAGGAACCCTTATAACGAAATCCTTTCTCTCCAGTGCTCAGAGCACGAAAGTTTTCCGCTGTCTTTAGAATCTTGTCTGCAAACAGTTTGATGGAGATGCGGCCCAAGGGCTTGCCGTCGACGGTGATGTCAAAAAAGACGACGGAGTTGACCATGGCTGATAGTACAGGGCTCACAGTGATGGTGGCGTCTGCAAAGATAACCACTGATCTTTTTACTGTCTTTATAGTTTGTCCTTTTCCAGAATGTCGTATAGTTGAAATCACAGTATGTACCCTTTTCAGACTGGCTTCTTTCACTTAGCAAAATGTCTTTGTTTTTTCTGTATCTTTTTGTGGCTTGATAGTTTTTTCCTTTTAGCACTGAATAATATTCCACTGTAGGAATATACCACAGTTTGCTTATGCAGTCACCTATTGAAGGATACCTTGGTTGCTTCCAAGTTGTGGCAGTCTTCATTAATTTCTTTCTTTCTTTCTTTCTTTCTTTCTTTCTTTCTTTCTTTCTTTCTTTCTTTCTTTCTTTCTTTCTTCTTTTTTTTTTTTTTTTTTTTTTGAGACAGAGTCTTGCTCTGTCACCCAGGCTGGAGTGAAGTGGCACAATCTCAGCTCATTGCAACCTCTGCCTCCCAGGTTCAAGTGATTCTCTTCCTCAGCCTCTGGAGTAGCTGGGATTACAGGTGTGCACCACCACGCCTGGTTAGTCTTCAGGAATATTTACAGGACTGTATAGAATTAGGAGCCATCAAAGGGGATCCCTGAATTCTTTCTGTTTTTCTTACAAATACCAGTTTTAAGGTCAAGATTTACTACCCCATGCAACAATGTAGCCGCATTTTAAATTTTAAATTTTTGACAGTTTGTTTAAAGGTCTCAGGCAACCTAAAAGGCTAGATAGAAGTCTCTCATCCTCTAACGAAGGATGGATTGTAAAATGGAATACTGCTAAGACTCTCCCTTTGGGTACTAATTCTGCAAAAACCTAGAATCTCAGAGACAAGAGACAAGTATTTGGAGTGGATCATTAGATGTAATGACAAAAGGAGTCACTTCAACGTTCATAACAAATATCAAAGATTGTTGTATTTTTTATATGGGAGACACCAGACAAGCTTATACTTAGTTACTAGTTCAGAGGATACACCACCACATCGTCTAGCATGAGTACAACCTTATAAGCCATTGTCTCCAGCTGGCACTGTGATTGAGTCTTTAATAAAATATTCACCATTGTATAATAATAATAATTTTGGTTGGTGATAGGATAAATGGTGGACCAGGTGAGTCCAATGAATATCTACTCATTTGTTATACAACAAGTTCTTTTAATAGAAGGATGTAGAACAGGATATTATGGCAGTATATATAAGGCATTCAATGTACCCATGGAGAGTGGCGATCAGAGAAAAATGATGTCAGGTAAAGCAAATGTAATTCAAGGATAAAGGTAGATTCCATTTACAAAATTCCTTGTTGCCTTTATCATAGAGGAGCTCCAGTAAAATCAACAAGTCTGACAAAAGGTGACTGGTTTATTCACCCAGGATATGTTATTGTGTGCTTAGCCTTGGACTTTGTTGCTTGTGTGTTGGACACCTAATAGTCTTGACAGCTAAATAGGCTTTTGTAAGCGAGAGTGGTAAAGTCCAACATGTTGCTAAACCTATGTGTATTCTCTACTGCTACCACCAATGTTGCTGTTTATTAGCCTTCTGAGCAAGCAATGTAGTGCCTGGTGAAAGAGATTGTTTCATACCTTCATATCTATTTGATAACCTTCCTGATGATAGTTTGGTGAGCATTTGTATTAAGCACAAATATTCTTACACTCTGGCTCATTTTCTGTGGTTCATCTACATATTTTTTCCCCAAAACTCATTGCCACCAATCCTTCAGTGTTTGTCTTTCTGAGTCCCTAATTATCTTTTCTTTTCTTTTCTTTTTTTTTTTTTTTTGAGACAGAGTTTCACTTTGTTGCCCAGGCTGGAGTGCAGTGGTGCAATCTTGGTTCACTGCAACTTCTTCCTCCTGGATTCAAGAGATTCTCCTGCCTCAGCCTCCCAAGTAGCTAGGATTGCAGGCACACACCACCACATCTGGCTAATTTTTGTATTTTTAGTAGAGACGGAGTTTCACCATGTCAGCCAGGCTGGTTTCGAACTCCTGACCTCAGACAATCCACCTGTCCTGTCCTCCAAAAGTTCTGGGATTACAGGTGTGAACCATCAGGCCTGGCCCCAAGTCCCTAATTATCTAGACAAATTATTAGCTGCCACATATACATCAATAATATCTCTCCTTCTAGACATCGTGGACAACCAATTACATAGGCTGAATTTCTTTTAAAATTGCATTCACGTAGGTTATAATGCCTAAGCAATCTACTTTTGGCTGTTGCTGTGATGTTGTACAGTGACTTCTGTAAATCAGGCTCAATTTTTCCCTCACTAATCAACTGGCCATAGAGAACTTCCCATGAAGACATAGGTATAGATTCTATTATTCCTACCTGCTGATGAAGCAGGATAGTTAATTGGAAAACACTTATTTCATGATAAGCAGCTCATGTTGTCATATTTTTTTGCATTGATAGGACTTCAGTTTCTACAATGGTCCAGGATCAATCAAGAGTTCTTTAAAGAAAACATTTATTTTGTCAAAGAAAGAAGCATTTTGTTCCAAATCCTAAGAACAATAGTAGTGGTGTGTCAGAGGCTCTATTGCATCTGGATATAAAAACAAAGGGGCACAATATTCCTGACCAGTTGGGAATTATTATCTTGATCTCAATCCCATCAAAAGGTGGCAGCATGACAAGTCATGAAGTAAAAGGACCAGGTGATAAAATGAGGTCTCCAAAATCCAAAGCATCAAAGTTCTCAGTTAGTGGACAGGGCTGCAAAGTGCCATAATTTTTCACTTTGGAAGGTATATCTTGAGAATATTGAGTGTATGAGACAAGTTAAAAGGTCATGCAGCCAGACGCGGTGGCTCACGCCTGTAATCCCAGCACTTAGGGAAGCTGAGGTAGGCGGATCATGAGGTCAGGAGTTCAAGACCAGCCTGGCCAATATGGTGAAACCGCATCTCTACTAAAAATACAAAAATTAGTGGGGCATCGTGGTGCCCTCCTGCAGTCCCAGCTACTTGGGAGGCTGAGGCAGCAGAATCGCTTGAACCCTGAAGGCGGAGGTTGCAGTGAGCTGAGTTGGCGCCACTGCATCCAGCCTTGGCAACACCGCGAGACTCTGTCTCTTAAAAAAAATAAAAAAATAAAAATAAAAAAATTTAAAAGTTCGTGATTAACACCTCTGTTAGCCTCTGATCTTTATAATAATTATCACACACACACAAACCAAACACCACACATAGAGGAAACAGTAAAAGATTAAAGGACACAGCTAAAAATACATTTGTATTATTACTTCCCAAAGTTCTAAAATTATGAGAAGGGACTAGTGAATCTTTAAAAAATATTGATTATCCAACACTTTTTAATAACCAGTATAATTGCATTGAAGGCTACTGAACATGCACATGTTCCTAAAATTTTTCTGTTATGGTGTCTGGTTTGCGAAAGGAACAAAATTAAACATAGTTCCTTGGCAATTTTTCCCTCTTCCACTCTACTAATTGGCGTATGTGCGATGTGTGTTTATTGTAAAATAGGAATAAGATTCAGAGGTCAAGAATCAAAGTGAGTCAGAGTAGGAAAAGCCAGACTCAAGCATAACAGAAGGGCAGAGCCTGTCAAACCCCAAAATTAAAGGGTAAATTTCAACACAAGTAGAAGTGGTTCAAAAGCTAAGGGCATCCTCATAGTTCATGAAAAGCAAGTATTCACGCAGGTAGCAGACTCTAATCTGCTTCAAGCCAATGTGCTATTCTCTTCGTGTTATTTATATCCCTCAGAATACCTCAAAGTTCCCAAGAGCAGTCAGTATTTAACTCTAAACTATATCATCTATATGATATATTTATTATATATAATATATATATTATATGTATTATATATTATATATTTATTATATGTATAATATATATTATATATTTATTATATATATAATATATATTATATATTTATTATATATATATTATATATTATATATTATATTTATATTTATTATATATATAATATATATCTGTTTATTATTATATATTTTTTTGAGACGGAGTTTTGCTTTTGTTGCCCAGGCTGGAGTGCAATGGTGCTATCTCGGCTCACCACAACCTCTGCCTCCCAGGTTCAAGTGATTCTCCTGCCTCAGCGTCCTGAGTAGCTGGGATTACAGACATGTGCCACCACGCCTGGTTAATTTTGTATTTTTAATAGAGAAGGGGTTTCTCCATGTTAGTCAGTCTGGTATTGAACTCCCATCCTCAGGTGATCTGCCTGCCTCGGCCTCCCAAAGTGCTGGGATTATAGGTGTGAGCCAACGTGCCCAGCCAACTATGTAATATTTTAATTGTGTAGTGATAACCCTCATCAAAAGGAGTATTCATTATGGCCAGTGTACTCTGCTTATTTACCACTAAAGCTTAACACAAAATTGTTGAAATAAACATGCATATTGAAGTACTTAGCTAGCTATTGAGGCAATACAGGTTTCTAGATTTACTCATTGTTTTCACTGTACACACATGTCATGTGTGTCATGATAAACCCATGTGTGTGCATATATTGATTAAATATTATATTTCTTTTTACTTTTATTATTATTATTGAGAAAAGGTCTCACTCTGTCGCCCAGGCTGGAGTGCAGTGGCACAATCTCGGCTGCCTGCAGCCTTGTCCTCCCAAAGCCCTAGACCCTGTAACATAATAGAATATGTATGTTTCTAATTTGTGCAATATGGAAGCAGGAATACTACATAGAACTGTCATCTTTTCCTATTGCATTTATTTTGGTGTGGAAAAATCTAATAATTGGCTTCAGTCAGTAAGTCTATTTCATTCAAGAATATTTAAATATAATCCAAACCATCTTAGATACATTTTGTGATACAAGAGGATGGTATCTTCTATTTGGAAATATAAAATCCCAGGGTCTCACAGTTTAAGTATACTTTCCAGGGGTATGTATAAAACAAGAATCCCACTTTACAAAGTTAATAGAAAAAAAATATGCTAATTGGAAGGAGAGGCTTCTGATTGAGGATAAAGTGGAAATTTTCACATACTGCTAATTACACTTTAATGGAGTAAGAAAAAAAGAATTGGAAATAGTACCCTATAAAACTTCTGAAATGAAATTACAGTTTCTCTCTCTCTCTTTCTTTTTTTTTTTTCTTGAGATGGAGTTTTGCTCTTGTTGCCCAGGCGAGAGTGCAAAGGCGCTATCTCAGCACACTGCAACCTTCACCTCCCGGGTTTAAGTGATTCTTTTGCCTCAGCCTCCCAAGTAGCTGGGATTACAGGCATGCACCACCATGCCCGCTAATTTTTTGTATGTTTAGTGACCCACCACGCCTGGCTGTCTCCTCTTTTTAGAATTAGGAGAACTGATTTTTTTCAGTGCTAAACTGGCACTGTCCTATGTTTTCAAGAAAGCAATATGGTGAAATGGAAGAGTCTGGATAGCATGTTTTGTTAGCTGGTGTCTAGTTCTTTAAGTTCCATGAGTCTATTGTGTCTTCTTTACATCTCAAAAAGAAGAGAGAAGAAACCTGCATCTAATTACTGAAGCAGTTTCATTCAGCAAATGTAATTGCATCGCAGGCACATCTCAAATTAAAAATCTTGATCTTGGTCTCTGTCATTTCCATTTTAAACTGGGACTGAATAACCTGTTTTGCCACTCAAAATAATAGCCAGTGTCTCTTTCTTATTAAAATATGTGATCTTTTGCTTGATTACCTAATTATGTCACCTGCACCTTACGTGAGGCAGATAGAAGAGTCTTCCAGTCTGCCAGAGCAGATCTACCAAACTAGACTGCACATACAAATTACCTGGGGATCCTGATAAATTACAGATTCTGAGTCTGCTTTCAAAGAGGGCCTCAAGTCAAGCTGATGGTATTAGTCCCAGGATCCCTCACTGAGTAGCAAGGTCTTAGAATTAAAAAGTGTGCAAGTATAAGGCCAGGAGCAGTGGCTCATGCCTGTAAGCCCAGCACTTTGGGAGGCCAAGGCGGGTGGATCACCTGAGGTCAGGAGTTCGAGACCAGCCTGGCCAACATGGTGAAACCCCGTCTCTACTAAAAATACAAAAAATTAGCCAGGTGTGGTGGCACGCACCTGTAATCCCAGCTACTCAGAAGGCTGAGGCAGAAGAATTGCTTGAACCTGGGAGGTGGAGGTAGCAGTGAGCCAAGATCACGCCACTACACTCCAGCCTGGGCTCCAGCCTGGGCAACAACAGCAAAACTCCATAAAAAAAAAAGTGCAAGTTTATAAACATGGAAACGTGGACAATTGTAAGCAATATTAGAGAACTGTAGAAAACAATTTTTTAAGTGATATGTTTAACCTATTTAGAATAAAACCCATTAGGGTCCTAGGAATTTCTGGAACTGCCTTACTTGTGAGAAACATGATCCTAAGATGCCCATTTGTTTATCAGTACATCAATTTTCTCCTTCTTAAATTGGTATAATTATTTTCTTCCAAGAAGCCTAGCACACTTTTGTTGTTGTCATTGAAAGAGGGCATATAAGGGTTATGGCTGCTATTTGGAGAAATGCATTAGAAAATAAAAAGCTTGAAAAAGTTGTATTACTGAGAAAAAAGTTGAATGAAAATAAGAAAGATTAAATTGAAATAAATAATGAATCAGTAAGGTATGCACTGTTAAACACTTGATGGGATTTCCCAAGTATTGACATGCTGATAACTTGAAATAAGAATGGGAGAAAAGGTCAATCTGAATTCTTAAAATGTTGAAGGCTGGGAATAAGAAGTAATATATCACAGAATCTGATAGAAAAATTTTTATTTATTTTATGGGAGAAAATGGGAGACTAACAGACAATAGGAATAGGAAAGAATTAATAGAAATAGCAAAAAGAAGTGTATCTGCAATTATTAATATAATACAAGAGGAAATTGTGTAGAGATATTTAAAGAAAGATTGATGAAATTTAGATTTATGGAGAAATATCCTAATAAAGGCATTATTTATAATCAACTGTTCATAATTATTATATAATTCTGACAGTTTTTAGGATATAAATGTAAGGCAGAATGATCTAATATAAAATGTATAAATGGGACAACATATAATTTTGCTTAGGAAATTGAATAAATAAAGTAGTGATTTACGATTTGCATTAATATAAAAAAATTTAAAATGGTTTACATCTTGTTTGAAATGGATGATAAACAGGAAAAGAGTAATTTAGTACATTGAGTAATTTAGTACATTGGTCACCAAAGAAATACAAATTGAAACTATAAGATGCCTTCTCCCATCTTTGTCAGATTTGTAGGTATAAAAACAGTAGTAGTTGTATTGGTTGGAGAACAGAAAGATGACACTTTCATATGCGGCTGATTAGAGCACAGATTGGTATATTATTTCTGAGATGCAATTTGAAAATATGTACCATCAGCCTCAAAGATGATTATGACCATGTGTCACTACTTTCTTGGAAATCATTATTAATGCATGTATAGATTGATGTTTACTGTAGTATTACTTAACATAATGAGTTGAGTACAACCTTCACTCCCAAAAAACATGAGGTAGGGGTGAATTAGTTAAATATACAATCACAATGAGCTATGACAAAATGCAGTTACTTAAAAGCACATTTATAAGACTATTAATGGCAATAAACATGATTTGATATAATTTTTTCAAAAATTAGGGGAATTCTATTCCTAGCATTGTGACAGACTAAATTTGCTGAATCACTATCCTGCTATATGAAATCTACAAATACCAGATAAAATGTACATGTCATTTTTCAAAAGTATATTACTGACTTGAATAGAAATTAAGGTGAACCACATAGGCCAAGCATAAGGAGAATACATAAATCCAGAGAGGTATGCAGACCCCCAAACCAGAAGCTTCCATAAGGACAGTCCTGGCCCTAGTACCCTGAGCTTCAATTTTTATGACCACCTGGGATATGGGAGAGTGTGAGACAAAACCTAGTGCCTGCCCAGTATAGCAGTCTTACAGGAGAAAACTGCTGAAAGCCAGAGATATGAAGGACTATAATTTCAGTGAAAGGATAAACTAGATAAAAACCTGTTCCTCAGGGGGAGACAACCAGGAAATTTTCCTGCCTCAAACTCGGTGCTATTTAGAGGAAAAATTAGAAGGCCATCTTCACATGAATTTGTGGTTTAAATTTTCACTGTAAGTATAATTTTAAAAAAACCCACACATGAAACTGATAATTTATTTTATAGTTATCCCATGTTGGTATTACCACCAAACACAAGACGAAGGCAAAGTGTCTTTGGAGAAACCCACATTCAGCCCATGTCTCAAAGAATGGCCACAGGTAAAATTTCATCCAAAATGAGAAAAAAGTAAGACTCTTACAAAACTCATGAGGAAATAAACATCATGAGCAGAAACAGAATTATGCCCATAAAGATTTCAGATATTAGGATGATTATATAACTATAAAAGCTGTGTTTAATAGGTTTAAAAAATCAATGAGGTGTGCCAGGAATATAAATTGAGACAGTGTATGTATCTTATGTTAAGCAGATTGAAACTGAACTTAAGAGATCTTTTAGAAATAAAAAATATAATGAAAATTAAAAACTAAATGGACAGGTTAAACACAATATTGGATAGAACCAAAAAGAAAATAAGTGAGTTGGAAGTTAGACTAAACAAATTATGCTGAAGACAGTACAGAGGAGGAAAGGAAAATGGATAGGTGAAATAGAGGTTGAAAAATTAGAGTATCTAATCATATCTGCAAAAGAAAAATTGAATTGGGGGAAGGTTATATTTAAGGTTATATTTAATATCTGAGGGCTTTTCATCATTGGAATTTATTAATGTTCAAGGAAACCTGGAAAGTTTTCTAACACATTAAAGGAGCTTTAATTATAAGTTCCAAATTCTTCTTAGAAGAAGAGAACCAGCAGGCCCAGACATTTTTACTGGTGAGTTCTATCAAATGTTTTCAAGAAATTGATTATTTCCATTTTATAAAAACAACTCCAGAATAAAAAAAGGTCCATTTGTTTGTTCATTTTATGAGGCCAGTACAACCTTGATACCAATGTTATATGAGAAATGTGTAAGACAGGAAAATTACATGCCAACTTTCCTCATGAACCTAACGGCAAACATTTTAAATTAAAAGTTAGCAAATTAAGTTTAGAAATCTGTAAAAAAGATAATATAGTATGAAAATTGTGTTTGTTCCATGAATGCAAGGATTTCTAACAATAGAAAAAAAACTATGTATAATTCATCACATTAACAAGTTAAAGGAGGAAAAGCAAATCATCATTGTAGAAGAGGCAAAAAGTGAATTCAATAAAATAAAATATTTAACTTTGACAAATCTTGTTTAGCAAACAAGAAATAGAAGAGCTTTCAGTGTTTGCTTATAAATCAGAAACTATTCTTCGTCTTTCAAGCAGAGGTGATTTAATACAGGTGATTGATTACACAAGTGATGGAAGCCAAACCAGGCTTGGTGAGTCAGCAGCTCAAGAGCAAGAAACCAGTACTGCCCCTAGGACTAGAAGGATCATGGAAGAAGGTGTTATTATCAGAGCCAAGGGGCCAGGACTTCAGGCAGGTTGCTAGAGCTAATGGGAATTGGGTCCATGGAGGGAGGGGCTATCTGGTGGGAAGCAGCCCTGCAGAGAAGAGGCAGGCTTTTATGGCATCTCTCACTGGATAGCCTACTGGGAAAATGGAGGGCAAAGGAGACTGGGAAATAAATGTTATTTTCCTGAAACATAGAACAGAGTTGGAGAGTAATTTGGGAGGGATCTGGGGGCAAATTTGTCAGGACCCAAGACATGATTAAAGCAGGCAGGGAAAAGAGATGCTGGTCAAAGCAGGTGGCCTTTGCTGGTATTTCAAAGTCCTAGTTTTAAAACTCAGAGGTTTTAAATTATTATCTTATTACTAATCAGATATTTTATACATATTTAATATATTTATATATTAAATATTTAATTATAATTCAAAACTTTTATGTACACTATAATCTCATTATTGTTTTCTATACTATTATATACAATATACAAATACAGAAATACAGAAATGTACCTCAGTTTGAAAGAGAATTTGAATATGAGGCAAAAAATACCCCCAAATTATAGTTACATTACAAGAATTGAATTTAAGAAGGAAGAAGCAAATTGCAAGAGATAAGACCAAGCCTCTTTAGTAATGATCATTCTAAATCCAATTGGTATAAATTTAGAGATGCACAACTGGATTGCAGTGTAACTAAGAAAGTTTGTGTGTCAAAAACCATATTTATCCTATGTGAAGAAATAATAGTTTCATAGGAGAAGGTTAATTGGCATGGAGTCTGTAAAAGAGAAGTTTGGATAGATGATCGAGCTATATATTTGTCAAATAATATCTAAAGGTAAAAAGATCTAGTTCACAGAGGCGAATCTCTGATTTTTTAATTTGCATTAACAGAAACAACATTGGAAGGGAGTATATTAAGATTTTAATAGTGACTATTTCTGCCAATGGTTTCTGTTTTATTGTTTACTATTTTCGGTATATTTCCAATGTTTCTTAATAAGTGTTTATTATTTAAAAAATGAGAAAACAGCAATGAGTAATTCAGTAAAATAAAATTTTTCAAAATTGTGACTGCTATGATTATGAGCCAATTATGAAAGAAAGAGACACAGATAGAAATAGGGTGACCAATCTTTCAACTTACTCAGGAATGAAGGATTTTCTGGATGGGGGATTTTTGTTGCTAAAATCGGGACAGTAGGGGACATATTGGGACTGTGGAAAAAGCCTACAGGGATTTATTTCCTAACTATGAATGTCTATCTTGGTCTAGAGACGACTGTTCTCATAAATAGGTAGAGTAGATGTGGTATTTCTGGAATGAGATTTAACATCTTTACGTAGCTTGCCCTATTAAAAGTAGACAAATGCTTGTGAGAGAATATCATATACTTTTGAAAGCTAATGTCTTAACTAATTTGCTGCAAGCAAAGCTCTTGAAGACTGTGATGTAACAGAGATTCCTAGGTATCAGTGAAGATACGGAGATGAAAAAGGGAAGTTGAAAAAAGAAGCTGAGAGATAAGCATGGAAATCATTTTCCAACCTCATTTTTCCAGTCTCCATTTTCCTGTATTGAGAAGTGAAAATATGTTTTCTAGAGATAAAGTTCTAGAAATGAACTCTGACATAGATATTTTAAAACCAATTTCAGAAACAAAATAATATGTGAACCTAGAGTAGTTGTAATTTATGTCCTTTTGTTTGTCTTTATCCTGTAGTTAAGTTTCCCTTGGGATCTCTTTGGGAAAATGGAGTACTGCATTTTACAAGGCAGGACTTGAATTTTCTTTCTTTTCCTTCTTTCTCTCTTTCTTCCTTTCTTTCTTTCCTTTTCTTCTTTCTTCTTTCTCTCTTTTTCTTTCTTTCTTCCTTTCCTTCCTTCCTTTTTCTTTTCTTTCTTTCTCTCTTTCTTTCTTCCTCTCTCTCTTTTTCTCTTCTTTCTTTCTTTCTTTCTTTGTTCCTTTCTTTCTTTCTTCTTTTCCTTCCTTCCTTCCTTCCTCTTCTTCCTTTCTTTCTCCTTTCTTTTTATTTTTTTTGACATGATCTCACTTTGTCACCCAGGCTAGAGTGCAGTGATGTGATCATAGCTTAATGCAGCCTCTCTCTCCTGGGCTCAAGCAATCCTCCCACCTCAGCTTCCAGAGTACCTGGGGCTACAGCTGTGTGCCACCACGCCCAGCTAAAGGACTTGAATTTTCTTACATATCTTGGCCCTATAGAGTGGTTCTCAACCTTGGCTGCACATGTCTATTACCTGAGAAAAGTTTTAAATAACCTAATACTCAGGTCACACCCTAGACTTTAGGGGTGAGACAAGCATTAATATTTTTTAACACTCTTAGAATTAAGAGCCACTAATATTGTAGCATTGCAATTCCTATAAAGAGAACAGATGTGAGTCAATTTGTTACAGTATTGTTGTATTCATCTGTTTTCATGCTGCTGATAAGGACATACCTGAGACCGGGCAATTTACAAAAGAAAGAGGTTTAATGGACTTACAGTTCCACATGGGTGGGGAGGCCTCAAAATCATGGTGGAGGACAAAGAGGAGCAAGTCACATCTTACATGGATAGCAGCAGGCAAAGAGACAGCTTGTGCAGGGAAACTCCCATTTTAAAAATGATCAGATCTCATGAGACTTACTCACTAACACAAGAACAGCACAGGAAAGACCCATCCTCATGATTCAGTTATCTCCCACTGGGCACCTCCCACAACATGTGGGAATTATGGGAGCTACAAGATGAGATTGGGTGTGGACACAGCCAAACCATATCAATTGTCATCACTCAAGGCAGATGAGTATATAGAAAGCTATCAGTTGTAAGGAATTGGACTAAGTTTAAGAGAATAATAATTAAGATAGAACAAATGTTTGGTCCTGCTTAAGGGCTAGGATAGATGAGGCACAATAGAATCATGTGGGGAGCTGTAAAAATGCCCAGGCCCTACTCTGTGTCAATTAAATCAGAATCCAGAATCTCTGCTTGAGTGTGTCTAGAGTATTGGTCAAAGGAAACAGTGATTTTGATGTGCAGCCAGTTAAGAGCTGATATCCTCAAGGATCATGATGTGACACAGCTGTTTCAGAAGGGTAAATCTCCATACTCCCACTTTAGAAGAAAAGAAAAGACAAAATGACAAAACAATCAAGCAAAAGGGCTGGAAGAGCTGGTAGATAACAGGGTGTCAACTTGAATTAATTCAGCTCTTTGGTAAAGATTAGCTGGAGTAAAGAAATTCCAGTTAGTCAAATGGGATGAATGTCCTTTTATGGAAACCATATCATGCTTTTTGAATGATCTGAGAAAGACTGGAAGCATTAGAGGTGAAGTATATCCATTTGCTCAATGGGAGAAGATTTTGTTTTATTTTATTTACATAATGTGATATGCTTGGCCATCTGCAGTAGTGCCTGAAAGGGGATGTAAAACGGAAAATGTAGTCAATGAGACTGATTAATAACCCTGGGTAGAAAAATAGGCCAAGTGGAAAAACTTATTCATATAATTGCTTCATTTTGCTGACTGCAAAAGGATTTGTTTTGGAAGTGATTTCTGCTCTTTAACCTAGTGGATTGATAGATCACAGAAAGGTCTTAGAAATGACATTACGTAATTTTGTTCATAACATGAAATTAGCTTGAATCAAAAAATGTATACCTTTTTTTGTATCTACCTTCTAAGACATTTGTCTTGAGAAATTAATGATTCTACAACATAAATAGTCATTGTGAAAGGAAGGAAAAAGATAACAGAGGGCTTTCATAATAATCATGGACTCAAGATTATCTAATTTAAAAAGACATATCTCATTTTCCTTTATTTAAACATAAAACAAATGAGAGAAAACAGAAATAGCTCATAATTTTATTTATCTGATAAAACATGCTGACATAAAAATATAATTCATGCACCCAGTAAGAAAATCAAAAAATTAAATAAAGGTAAAAATGAAATATAAAATTCTCTTTCCTCTAGTCTCTTACCCCCAGACATCTAGAATCTCTCCTTAAGATAATCACTGTTGACAATTTCTTGAGTACCTTTTTAAAAATGACCTTAATACACATCCCCCGTATAGAATATAGATCTTAAACAAGTTAGAAAATAAAATTTTATCTTTTAGTATTACACAAAAGGATGTTCAGAACTAAGCTTTGTATTTTTTTTTTTCTAGAGATGAGGTCTCACTGTGTTGCCCAGGTTGGTCTCAAACTCCTGGGCTCAAGCAATCCTCCAGCCTCAGTCTCCAAAAGTGTTGGGATTACAAGCATGACATGAAGTCTTGCCTGGCCTAGGCTTTCTATTTTTGTTTAATAATTTACCTTCAAGATATTCTTAACTTTTAACAACTGTATTGTATAAATATATTTTTTATTTAAACAATAGGCTACCAATAACATTAATAACATATCTTGGTTTATGTATTTTACAAGATTCTCCAAGTGATAAATTCCAACCTGAAAAGTTGCTATAGAACATATGAATTTAACATTTTTTAATTGCTGCGATCTAATATGATCCTAAAACATGGCCCTAGTTTATATTCCTATGAGAATGTCTAATACCTACACTCTTGCTAACATTGACTGCTATTGCATTTTAAAGACTAATTTGATTGGATTGATGTTGAACATCTTCTGTTACTCCTGGCCATTACATTTCTTTTTCTACCTATTAATCTCCCTTGTATAATATTGCATTATTCGTCTTTTTTGTCTCATTTATCGACAAAGATTAAAGTTATTGGCAGTAGTGAAAATGGAGAAAAAAATCAAAATTCAAATACTGTAGAGTACAATATTTTGGAGAATAATTTGATTCTATATATTGAAATTTAAATTGTCTTTAATCTTTGACCCAGTTATTCTATTTCTAGTAATTTTTCTACCCAAATAATAATACAGGAAAAAAACCTTTACAGAGATTATTCTTATAATGTTTGTGATACAATATTTACAGGCAACATAAATTCTCATCCAGAGATCAGAGTAAATATTATATAGTATATCTGTAGAATGAAATGTACCTTGCTGTTTAAATGAGTAAATTAGTTATTATCATAAAATAAATGTCATGTAAAGACATTTATTTTATGGTGTATAAAATTAGAAAAACAAGTTATTAAAAATAACATGATTTTTTGTAAAATGCTTTTATTTTGTTTTTAATTGACATAATAATTGCACATGTTTATGGGGTACAGTGTGGTGCTTTAGTGCATGTGTACATTGCGTAATGGTCAAATTTAAAAATTAAATGTATTGATAGAAAAAGTGTTTGGATATTTGTATCCTAAATGCTAACAGTGATGATATCTGGAATGTGGAACTGCTGGTAATTTTTCCCTTTTTCTTTTAGAGATTTTTGTACTTATTTTTAATAATAAACATATACTAATTTTATAATAAAAATAACAATGAAGTCCTTTCCATTTTGAAAAATTAATTCCAATAGAAAAATATTGTACTTGAGCCACTTTCCAGGGTTTTCTTATTCTTAGTGCTGGTATAAGGTACCAGTGATATTATATTTTCAGATATGTTTGGCTTTTCTGCCTTATGGTTGAAGATGAGCTTAGGAAGTATTGCTGCCTAATTTTCAGGCTTTTGAGCCAATGCTTGGTGCACAAAAAGCACCACATCAACTTTAAACAGAATATTCTGCTTCTTTAGACTGTATTTCCTACTTTTTATAGTATTTATTAGCGCCAGAACTCTGTGACTGTTTCCCAAAGAACAAGAGAGAAAGATCAAGGAAAGTGAGAAGCAATGAAACTAGATTTAATTAATACTCTGGCTTGTCAGCAGCCAGATTTGTTTGTTGAAGAAGTTGAACCTATTAGCTTAAACAGGGATTAACTCTGCCAACTCTGACAGAGCATGGACAATTAAGAGTTTATTGGAAATTAATTGAAAATAATACAGTGTTGTGAGGTGAGATGAAGATGATTTCCTTTAAGGAAATTATGCCAAGTGTTTTGAATCAGCCAAGGATAAACAAATGCAGACTATCATTTGATGGAGGTATTATAAACTGATAACATGATTCGAAGTATAAGAATGGCAAATTGTGAAGAATGAATGAAATTACAGAGATAAATAGCAAAAATGTGAAACTAAAATAAAGAGGAACAGTGAGTAAATGGGGTTAGCTGAGAATATGGTTTAACAGGGCATACTCTATTCATTTATGAAGAAATTTTAATCCTCAAAATGCTACTTGTCTTAGTCTGTGTAGGCTGCTGTAACAAAATACCACAAGCTGAGTAACTTATAAACAACAGAAATTTCTTACAGTTGTGCAGGCTGGGAAGTCCAATATCAAGGCAGATTCAGCATCTGGGGTGAGGTTCACCCTTCTGGCTCATAGATGGCAACTTCCTGCTGTATCCCCATACTTTGGAAGGGGCCAATGAGCTCTCTGGGATCTCTTTTATAAGGGCACAAATCCCATTCATGAGAATCTTGTCCTCATGACCTAATCACCTCCCCAAGGCTCTATCTCCTAACACGAGTAGTTTGGGGGTTAGGATTTCAATATACAAATTTGGGGGGACATAAACAGTCAGTCTGTGACATTGCCATTTCATCAGTAAGAATTTTCATGAACTCACTATTAAGATTTATGTTTAGGTTTTTTATGTGGATGTTCTCACTTTATAATATTGTTTGTCTGCATAGTTTAAAGAAAAGGACAATGCCCAATTAGAACAGGAGGTGTCTTTTGTTGGCCAGCAAAATATTTTAAGATGCCTTTAGTGTGACCCTACATAGAGATCATCAAGGTAACATCATTTTGTTCTTGTTATAGATCCACATGTTTCACTCAAGATCCCAGAAAGAAAATGTATGAAAACACATTGAAAGACAATAATCCATCCTTACAATGCTAGCCAATGTTTATTATTGCTTTCTATGTGTGAGGAATTGTGTTAAACACTTAAAAAGATGTTATCCCTCATAATTATCATAACACCTGAAGAAGTAGGTGGGGTGATTTTCTCCAATTTAGATATTATAGGAACTGAAACACTTGCCCACTAAACAGGCAATTGAAAGAGATAGGATTTCTATAGAAAATTGCCAGCTCCACAGCTAGTGTTCCTATTCTCATCATTAGTGTTCCCTTAGTGGTTTTGATATTACACCTAATACTATTTAATACAAAATTAAAGCATCCACCCTATTCTGGGATTTACTGTCAAGAATAGAGCACTGAGCCTGATAAACAGTATCCACTTTGGAATGCATGTTTCTATCCAGCTACTTAATATGACATAAGTTCATTGGACATTAAGGCCAGATTTCTTGACATGCTTTACCCTCAAATTAACAAGTTTGGCTTATTCAATTGTGGACCTTTAACCCTTAGGCCAGATAGTATATGAGGCCTAGAGTAGTGGAAAAAGGTAACTGGATTTACAAAATTTGACTCTTCAAATTCTGTAAGAATTCAATATATTGAGGAAAGTTTAGGTGCATAGTAAAATTATAATTTCATATTGTTGCACAGACTCAGGCAGATGAAAGAGACTCCAATAGTGGTCAGGTAGTACCCAGACAGTCAGTTGATTGTCTCTGTGCTGAAAGGATTTAAGAATGAAGAAGAGTTTGCTCCAATGTATGTTTCAATATCTCATTGTTTTACAATAATATTTGAAATAATACCTAGGAACCCAACTTACAAGGGATGTGAAGGACCTATTCAAGGAGAACTACAAACCACTGCTCAAGGAAATAAAAGAGGACACAAACAAATGGAAGAACATTCCATGCTCATGGATAGGAAGAATCAATATCGTGAAAATGGCCATACTGCCCAAGGTAATTTATAGATTCAATGCCATCCCCATCAAGCTACCAATGACTTTCTTTACAGAATTGGAAAAAAACTACTTTAAAGTTCATACGGAAACAAAAAAGAGCCCGCATTGCCAAGTCAATCCTAAGCGAAAAGAACAAAGCTGGAGGCATCACGCTACCTGACTTCAAACTAGACTACGAGGCTACAGTAACCAAAACAGCATGGTACTTGTACCAAAACAGAGATATAGACCAATGGAACAGAACAGAGCCCTCAGAAATAACACCACACATCTACAACCATCTGATCTTTGACAAACCTGACAAAAGCAAGAAATGGGGAAAGGATTCCTTATTTAATAAATGGTGCTGGGAAAACTGGCTAGCCATATGTAGAGAGCTGAAACTGGGTCCCTTCCTTACACCTTTTACAAAAATTAATTCAAGATGGATTAAAGACTTACATGTTAGACCTAAAACCATAAAAACCCTAGAAGAAAACCTAGGCAATACCATTCAGGACACAGGCATGGCAAGGACTTCATGTCTAAAACACTGAAAGCAATGGCAATAAAAGCCAAAATTGACAAATGGGATCTAATTAAACTAAAGAGCTCCTACACAGCAAAAGAAACTGCCATCAGAGTGAACAGGCAGCCTACAGAATGGGAGAACATTTTTGCAATCTACTCATCTGACAAAGGGCTAATATCCAGAATCTACAATGAACTCAAACAAATTTACAAGAAAAAACAAACAACCCCAACAACAAGTGGGAGAAGTATATGAACAGACACTTCTCAAAAGAAGACATTTATGCAGCCAACAGACACATGAAAAAATGCTCATCATCACTGGCCATCAGAGAAATGCAAATCAAAACCACAATGAGATACCATCTCACACCAGTTAGAATGGCGATCATTAAAAAGTCAGGAAACAACAGGTGCTGGAGAGGATGTGGAGAAATAGGAACACTTTCACACTGTTGGTGGGACTGTAAACTGGTTAAATCATTGTGGAAGACAGTGTGGTGATTCCTCAAGGATCTAGAACTAGAAATACCATTTGACCTAGCCATCCCATTACTGGGTATATACCCAAAGGATTATAAATCATGCTGCTATAAAGACACACGCACACGTATGTTTATTGCGGCACTATTCACAATAGCAAAGACTTGGAACCAACCTAAATGTCCATCAGTGATAGACTGGATTAAGAAAATGTGGCACATATACACCATGGAATACTATGCAGCCATAAAAAAGGATGAGTTCATGTCCTTTGTAGGGACATGGATGAAGCTGGAAACCATCATTCTCGGCAAACTATCACAAGGACAAAAAAACAAACACCGCATGTTCTCACTCACAGGTGGGAATTGAACAATGAGAACACATGGATACAGGAAAGGGAACATCACACACTGTGGCCTGCTCTGTGGTGGGGGGCTGGGGGGAGGGATAGCATTAGGAGATATACCTAATGTAAAAGATGAGTTAATGGGTGCAGCACACCAACATGGCACATGTATACATATGTAACAAACCTGCACGTTGTGCACATGTACCCTAGAACTTAAAATATAATAAAAAAAAATTAAAATATTCTGCAGTCACAGTGACTGTCTTGGCTTCTCTTAATTTATGAGGACCTTTGTCTTATAGACTCTTTTTTAAAAAAAAAGATGGGGTCTTGCTATGTTGTCCATGCTGGAGTGCAGTGGCTATTCACAGGCTTGATCATTGCATACTACAGTCTGGAACTCCTGGACTCAAGTCTCCCAGTGGCTGGGAATACAGGTGAGTGCCTACCACACCTAGCCTGATTTACAGATTTTTGACATCTATTATAGTTAAATGTATTTTCAGCATTTGCATATTAAAGGAATAATATTGATGCTTAACTTCATTAGTGATCAGGGAATTCCAAATTTAAAAAAATTTTTTTCATCTCTTATAGTATATTTAAAAATTCATTGCTGATAAGGATTCAGGGACGCCAACATTGTACATTGGTAGTGAAAATGTAAATTGGAAACTTTCTGTAATCTGACAGTAATTATTTTTTTAAAAATCCTTTTGAACTTGCAGTTCTACTTTTGGGATTTGAATTTATGGAAAGTAAAGTGCCAGTGAGAAAGAATATTGTTGCCCCTTGAACAACATAGGGTTAGGGGAGCTGGCCTCCCACACAGTGAAAAATCCGCATACAACTTTTGATTCCCCCCAAACTAATAACCTATTGTTGACCAGAAGGCTTACTGATAACATGCGTTACATTTAAGACATATTTTGCATGCTATGTGTATTATATACTGTATTCTTACAATAAACTAAGCTACAGAAAAGAAATTATAATCAAGAAAATTGTAAGGAAGAGAAAATATATGACCCATTCATTAAGTGGAAGTGGATCATCCTAAAGGTCTTCATCATTGTTGTCTTCATGTTGAGTAGGCAGAGGAGGAGGAGGAGGAGCTGGTCTTTGTGTCTTAGGGTAGCAGAGGTGGAAGAGGGTGAAGGGATGGAAGGGGAAGCAAAAGAGGCAAGCACACTTGGTGAAACTTTACAAAAATACATCATTATTTCTGTCTATTTTGCTTTTTCATTTCTCTAAAAACATTTCAGTGTAGTACCTATCCGTCTTCCACCATTTGCTTTAGTTTCAGTTCCTGTATCATGGAACGGTCTATGTCATAAAAGAAGTCAAAAGTAGTCTTGAATAATCAAAGCTCTTTTGCCAGATTGTTGAATGCCAATTTGTTTTCTGGCACTGCTTTTCCTATGTCTTCTTCCTCATTATCTGGCACTGGTTAGGAAGCACTCATCTCCATGAAGTCATCTTTTGTTAATTCCTCTGGTGTGGTGTGTATTAGCTCTTAAATTCCTCCAAGATCCATATCTTGCAACCCTTCACTCCACACCTTTTTTTCCCTTCATATCCATACTTCTTTCCATGGTTTTCTCTAAATTGGGTTTGTCGTAATTCTGTAGCTATGCACAACATCTGGACACAAATTGTACTTTTGTCCAGCAGGAATTTATTGTTTTGAGTTTCATGGTTTTCTATATCAACTGATGACATCTTGAAAGGTGTAAGCCTTCCAGACTTCCATGATGTTCTCTGTATTGGGTTTCTCTTTTGCAATGTTGACAAACCTTTCCATAGAGTGCCATATGTAGAGCCTTAAAGGTCCTTATGACTCCCTTATCTAGAGGCTGAAGTAGAGATGTGTTTGGGGGAAAAGGAGAACACTTCAGTGCCTTTGGTGTTGAACTCATGGGGTTCTGGGTGGCCAGGGGGCATTTTCCAATTAAACAACAACAACAAAAAACTTTAAAAAGCAGTCCCTTACTGGCAAGGTACTTCTGACTTCAGGGACAAAGCACTGATGGAACTAATCCAGAAAAAGCATTCTCATAGTCCAGGCCTTCTTGTTGTACAACCAAAAGACTGGCAACTAGTGTTTCTCTTTTCCCTTTCAAGACTCAGGGGTTAGCAGCTTTATAGTTAAGGGCAGCCCTGATCATAAACCCGACTACATTTGCACAAAGCAGTAGAGTTAGCCTATCCCTTCCTGCCTTAAATCTTGGTGCTTGCTTCTCTTCCTTACTAATAAATGACCTTTGTGGCTTTTATTTTTCCCCCTGGAATAGGGCACTTTCAGCTGCATTAATACCTATTCAGGCAGATATCCTTTCTCCTCAATGTTTTTCTTAACGGCATTTGAGAATTCACTTGCTGGTTCTTGGTTGGCAGAAGTTGCTACTCCCATTATCCTGACATTTTTAAAACCAAACCACTTTCTAAAATTATCAAATCATCCTTTGCTGCCATTAAATTCTCCAGCTTTAGATCTTTCATCTTGCTTTTACTTTAAGTTGTCAAATAATGACTTCGCTATTTCTTGAATCAAATAAGAGTCTATAGGTATGTCTTTCTTATAGCAATTCTGTACCCCACATAAAAGCTGCATTTTGAATATGAGATAAGAAAGGACAAGGTTTTCATGCCTGTTGGCATGAAATGAGGCCTTATGAATTTCTCTTTTTTTTTTTTAAGGGACCTTACACTGGATTCATTTATTTTGAAATGGCAGGCAGCTGAAGAACTCAATCTATAGGAAGCAATCTAACTTTTTCTCATAATGTCACAACTTTTCTCTGCTTCTTGGGAGCACTCCCAGCATCACTTGTGGCACTTTGTATTGGTCTCATGGTGTTATTCAAGATTTATAGTATTACACTAAGCACAATGAAAAGAGAACTGTGAGAGAACACACTATTTACTTAGATACAGAATTTACTGAAGAGACCAAGTGCTCATGGCAGATACTGGCAACATGAGCTCACCACAGTAGCAACAGGGGGTGGCTACAAAATTATTATAATAGTACATACACTGGAAAGTAGACGCTGGAGAATATTCCAAAAGATGCCAGGGTTGGAGGGGAGTGAGGGTTGAAAAATTATTATTGGGTACAATGTTCACTATTGGGGTGATGAGTACAGTAAAAGCTCAGACTTCACCACTAGCAATATATCCAAATAACAAAACAATCATATAATAAAAGTATGCTTGTACCTAGCACATTTATAAAAATAAAATAAAACTAATTATTTGGGTAGTACAGTATGTGCTATAGTTAATTGTATGCAGTTGTGGTTTAATACAGCATCTTTATGTTTGTTTATGTTTCTCTTGACTGCAAATAGTGACTTGTACGGTTTGTGTGCATACATTTTGATAAGTTTTAACTTTTTATAATAGATTTGTGTATATTTTATGGTAGTAAATGATAAAATAGATTAACATATACATATACTTTATGCATTCAGGATGTACATAGCTTTTTCTTAATTTTTTTCTTATATTCTAGGCTATGCAGTTAGTCTGCTAGTTTTTTCAATTGCAATTCTCCAAAACTTTTTCTGATATATTTATTTTTTTAAAAAAATACCAGTGTAGGCGGACCTGCACAGTTGAAACCCATGTTGTTCCAAGGTCAACTAAAAAATCTGAAATCTGAAATGCTTCAAAATTGGAAACATTTTGAGCACTGATATGATGCCACAGGTGAAAAATTTCACATATGACATTATATGACTGGTCACAGCCAAAAGACAGTCAAAATTTTGTTTCTTGCACAAAATTTTACAAATACATAAAATTACCTTCAGGCTACATGTATACTATATGTAGGGAATGTAAATAAATTTAGATTGGGTCTCATTCCTAACATATCATGTTATGATATGAAAATATTTCAAAATTTGAAAAAATCCAAAATCTACAATATTTTTGGTCCCAAGCATTTCATATAAGGGATACCATACTCCAGAATGTTAGAATGTTTATGGCTACTTTGTTTGTAGTACAGGGGGAAAAAAATCATGATGAGTCTCCATCAGTAAAAAGATAGTTTAAAAACTTGTAGAATTTAGTCATATACATATATTTACACATGCATATATGCACACATATTATTTTTCTCTATATAGAGAAACTGTGCATTCATTTAAAGTGATATTTCCTCTTTTTGTTAATTGACTTGGAGAAATGTTCATACTGTATTGATAAGTTGGAAAATCAGTTTGTTTACATGAGGTGAAGTGGAAAAGTTAAACTACATTATAAAGTACATTATAGGCTTTTCAAAGGGCAGAAAAGTGTCACCTGAGATGAGGCAATGAAGTGCTCATGGCCATTCATCCCTGTTTTACACCAATAGAAAGAAAAGTTTGGAAAATGATGGATTTCTCAATAAAATTTCAAGGAAGTAGAGATAAATATGTTACTGTACTAATGTATTCATGTCTTCTTAAGAGAAATGGAACTCCAAATTTTTAGAATTTTTGAATAGGAATGATAGAGGAAAGAAAACAGAACACTAGTGACTCCGGCATTGTCTGAAGCTGAGGACTGGGCTGTGGGTAACCAACAGGTGATATTACTTTAGCCTGAATAATCCAGACGTTATGATGTTTTGGCCTCTGTGTCCAAGACTCTTGTAGATTTCTTGTCAGGCCACAATTCTTTGAGTGAGAGTAATATTTTTTCAGTAGGCAAAAATCCCTTGAAAGATCAATCCAGGGACATTTATAATAAAGATAGGATTAGAAGGTAGACTTTAGGCTAGGGTTAGGGTTGGAAAAATCAAAACACGTTGTTCTCTTTAGAGTGAGAAATTGGTTTATCCCAGACTTTGAAAGATAATATAATCTATAACCCTCTGGTTATGGGAAAGAAGAGACCTACATGTGGCCATCTTGGGAGCAAGGCAGAGAGCAGGCTGGAAGATCTTCTAGGATGGATATGGACTTGTGAAATGCAGTAGTTAAACAAAGTTTTCTCAGAGTTACATTTGCCTTCCATCATTCCTGAACACTCATGTCATCATGAAATTAGAAGAGCTGATCCAATACTATTGATAAGGAAAGAGACTCTCCTTTCCCCAAAGCGAGAGATAGCAGCAATAATCAGATAATGGCCCAGAAGATGGATGATCATACACACGGCTTGTGTGAGGCTTATGGAAGATAAAACAACCACAATATTTCAGAAATGTTTATATGTTGTTTACAGTTCTACCACTACAAAGCCTTCTAGAATGTGAGACAGAATGGTGTGATGATTATTCTTAGTATAACCAGATTAAGTAAGATTTCACAGGTGGAGTTAAGAATTAAGAATTTTTGATTCAAGAGTCTCATTCACCCTCTTCCTTCTTTGTTAATAGTTCTGTTAGGATCTGCCTTTAATTTGTCTTTTCCTTTAGGGCGCTCAAAACAACACAAGGATTAAATGCCTTTCTATGGTCAAAGTTCTCTCCTTATTTGCCAGTTCTTTTTTTCATGTCCCAATCATAATCTTAATGGTATCGTTGATCACTCAAGCAACTAACCCTGAAGACTGCCCAGTCGCAGGAGCCAATACATCTTTTTATGTTTAAACTCAATCACTTCAAATGTTGATCTTACCTTGTATAATAGAAATTAGTCGTAGAGACTGTGGTGGGATGAGATAGCATTGCGGGTAATCTGGCTCAGCTATGGCTGAGTGGAAGAAACTTGCATCAATTATTTATGGTTAATACAGAGTATCCTAGATCGTAGTTGTGGACTGAATACAGACATTCAGCTCCCTCCCCCACTGAGCTCTCATAACAATGCAGGGACTGGAAAGAATGTCAGCATATGGGATGGGAGAATGAGAAGACAGGAGCTTCTTGGGCAGATATTACGTAGTGAGGAAGCAGTGGGTGAGAACATTCAGTGAGAGACCACAATGTAAGGAGAAAGTCTATCTGACGAGTGGAAGCAGAGACTCCAGACTCAGAACCTTTGGTACGAAGAGTAACTACAGCAAACGGGCAAAGAATAGATTGTGAATTTGGAGGTTATGTGCTTCCTTCTGGCACATGAAAAAACTCCTAAAGCTTTTTGTGGGTCCAAAATGAAATAAAAATCTTTCCCCATTGGTATGAAAATAAGTTAATTAGCTTTTACAATGGTTTGTTTTTGTGTTACTAGTTTCCAGTTGTGGCTGTTTCTCTCAGTTTCTCTCTGTTTTGGTTTGTTTGTTTGTTGCTGTTTTCCTTCTCTTAGGAAACTTTGGCAGATAATTGGGCACAGAAATTGGTCATTTTTTAAACACTCTAGGTTAGTGATTCTCATAGTCCCTAGACATCGGTATCAGTATTACCCGGCAACTTGTTAGATATGCAAATTCTCAAATCTTACCTACTGAGTCATATACTGCCAAGTGAGCCAAGGAATCCGTTTAATTAGGCTTTGCAGGTGGTTCTGATGCACACTCAAGTTGAACCACTGCTGAAGCCATAACTATTGGAGACAATCTTGCATAGCTTGAAAAATGGAGAGCTCTAACTGTTGGTAGGGCTTTGCTTTATTTGTCTTAAGAAAGCATTAATGAGAATAGCTTTGTGTTTCTTTGAAGTTCTGGGTGCTTCTGAAAACTCTAAAGGTTTTCAAGCATTTAAATTTCTCTAGCCCTTTTCTCAAACAAACAAAAAACCCCAAACAAGGAAAATCTCATAGAAATATAAAAATGAGTTAAAATAAGTTGTGAGGAATATTCTATACATCAACAGTAAAGTATTACTCAACCTCAAAAATTACATCTCTACCATAATCTATAATCTGACTGGATAAGGACTATAAATAAATAGCATATGAAAGTCTACAATAAAGCAGGGAGAAAATCATCACTGGCTCCGAATTTGATAATGACTTCTTGTTGTATGTATGTAAATATCTTCTGAACAAATTATTGTACATTTTCCTATCTCTGGAGAAAATTAATGAATTAGGTTAAACAATTTCTTAAGTTTAATGGAGCTTCTGTTTTCCTTGGCTTATGTATACTAGCACAGGTAACTTGCTGAACTGCAGCTCAGAAGAAAAAATCTATAGAGAGGTTTAGTTCTGAGGTGAATTAATGGACTTTGTTGCTATGTCAGAAGGCGAGAAGCAAGGGAAGGCAGGCGGGTAAGAGAATCGCATAACGCAAAGGACTTCAGTGCTTCAGAACAAAATTGAAGCGTTTCAAAAATTTGACTGAAGTAAAGTTCAGTAATATTTTTAATCATGGGAAATCCTTGGATAAATGTATATGGTTTGATAATTTTGGTTTAAATTAATTATGTTTTTTCTCTGATTTTATCACAATCTTAGAATTAATGTTAGCATATTTTTCTGGTTTATAAAATATTTTAACTTACCAGAGCTTTCTAGATGTCCCCTACTCGATTTAAGGCTCAGCTGAATTGAATTATTAAACTAGTATTTTTTAAAACATTTGTTCCTGTAACTTGAGATGGGGCTACAAATAATTATACTGTATAGGTAAAACCACACATACCCTACCTGGTAAAAAATTCAAATTTCATATGTAACACAATTTTCATGTAAATTTTTATATTTTAGTATAAATTCTCTGCAGTGTGTCAGTTTAAAATGAATTTTAACATACTAGTTAGCTTTATGAGCTTGGCTAATATTTCATTGAGATAATTAGTGAAAAATCTTTGGATAAGTCTCATAAAATTTTTAACATATCCTTGCTGCATATTTTTACACATTATAGAGTGGCTATCAAGTAGGAGAATGAACAGTATGTAAAAGTACCCTTAGTTCTGATTAATGCACATGTTCTTTTATACTACTTTAAGAAATTAAGTCAGTTTGAGTATTTAGAAAAGTGCATGCAATATAATTAATGTGTTTTTGCTTATCAAGGCAAAGAGAGTAATTTTGTCTAAAAGGCAAATTGTAGAGTTTTGCTAGAATATAAAACTGAATTTTAAAATACAAATTTAAGGGCATACAATAATTGTAGAATATCTGAGGGAAGTAAACTTCATTTGCTATAGCTTATAATAGCTGCAAATAATGAGTTTAAATGAGCAATAAAACGTTTATAATTTTTGGACTAACTTTACTCAATGTTAATTAGTTTGGGCATAAAACATAAAAGAACTTTTGAGTCTTTTAGTCAATTTGTTAAATGGATGGTCTCAAAAAAGTCATATTAGTATTTGGGTTACCTTTTTGATAAAATAATAAATCAATCTCCATATATTAGCCTTTTTTTTTTTTTGAGACAAAGTCTTGCTCTTGTCCCTCAGGCTGGAGTGCAATGGCGCCATCTTGGCTCACTGCAGCCTCTGCCTCCCGGGTTCCAGTGATTCTCCTGCCTCAGCCTCCTGAGTAGCTGGGATTACAGGCGCCTGCCACCATGCCTGGCTAATTTTTGTATTTTTAGTAGAAATGGGATTTCACCATGTTGGCCAGGCTGGTCTCGAACCCCTGACCTCAGGTGATCCACCCTCCTCGGCCTCCCAAAGTGTTGGGATTACAGGCGTGAGCCACCACTCCCGGCCATATATTAGTTTTTTAGCAAAAATTTAACACTTGTATTCTCCACAGTGTCCTACCGGATTAGATATAGCTCTCCTGGACTAAATTGTTTCTCACCCACAGCAATATTGCCATCCGGGAGAAAAGAGATTTATAGTAGTTTACTTTGTACTCCTAGAAATCCTTTCAAGAAGTATAAAAGTGAATACATACATATTTAAATGATAAACATTTATCTTTGTGATAAAATAGTTAAGTTTCCATGTGAGTCAGGTTTACCACATGAGTGATGAACCAGCTTTAATTAACAATATAACCATTCTCCTCTGTCACTGTAGGCTGTTCTAAAAAAAGAAAAAAGTTTACAAAAGCCTTAATTACCTTATGCTATTTGGGGAGAATTAAGCAATGAATGGAGTGTTGCATTTAACAGGTTATAGAAAATTTTTCTGTGTCCAGCATATAATCAACTACTAATTTTCAGACTGGTTTGGCACAATATAGATTTTCTGCCACTGAATAGAAACTAAAAAATTTGAAAGTCAGAAAATTATTTCCCAGGTTCTGAAAGATATCAACAAAGATATTTTTAATTGACTATGTATGATTATTGATTTGAGATTTAATATACCATGTCTATGAGAATTCTTTGTAATACTTCTGCAGTGTAATTTGCTACATAATGAAAATTCATTTTTCATAATAAATAGTTTTCAGAAGTCATGTTATCTTTCTTGCTCCCAGCAAGTAGCTCTATTTCTTGGCCACATTGAGGAATCAAAATCTAATGTAATTCTTCTAAATAGAATAGAGAACACCTAGAGTCGCTGCTCCTATGACAAATCTTTGGATAACAACTCTCATGTGCGTAAGACATTTTCTGATCTCTTCTGTACTTCAACTTGTAAAGAACTTTGGACATTACAGTCAGAAAGTCTGCTATTCCTACAAAGACAAAAGGGGAAGCCTCTAAATTCCCTGAGTAGTGGGGATAATTAGCTTTCATACTCATCTGCTGACCCCTGATTATCAGAAGACATTTTTATCTCTTTGGCATGCCCCATCACCTGCTGTCTGTCTCCAAAAGACCTGTAGATCAGAGCAGGCATTGTAAGGCAGGGACAGTTCCTGAAATTTCCAATTAACTGATGATGGGAAAGCTCAGAAACACAAACTCTGGGGAGTGGCTGCCTGGTACTGCTAATACTCCTGCTGGAAACAGGGGCACCTGGGCTACAAACAAACGTAAGACTTTGGAAGAAGGTGCGTTAACTTAATTCTGCCTTTCACATGTGAGCTCCCAATTTCCCTTGTGGCTATGAGCCACAAGGGCCCAAATTCAATGGGAGGGTGGTTCGGGTCTATCATGACAAGCCAGGATGGAGGAGACAGAGGTCAGTTATTGGGAGCCCAGATTCTTGCCCTTTAGAAACATGTGCTGTAGCAGAGAGGAACCCACTACAGCTGGGATCCTGGACTGACACAGCGAGTGGGTAGTCCATCCAGGGTCACCTGATTGATAGCAGGCCCTTCACATCTGCAGCCCCCACCTGTGACACTGTTTTTGATACCATATTCCCCAAATTTAACCCTCAAATCCAAAATAGTAAAACTACTGAGATGTTATTTATGAATACAGTATCTCTGGGTTTCTCAGATGGCTGCTGGGAAACTCCAGAGATCCTCCTCCTAGCTCTTAACATGAAGATATATTAGAAATAAAGGTAATGTTTTGCATTCTCCAGATATTTAATTGGCTCAAAACTATGCTCAATATAGTGGAAGCTGCTGTGTTTTTCAAGGCCATATTCTGAGAAAATAGCAATAAAATCATCTTAAATTAATTAAATGCAATAATTATGTATGATTACTGTGGCTATGTTACAATAATTGTGCACTTCTCAGGTTGGATTCAGGCATATTTATGTTCATGTACAAAGACTGGTGCAATAAATGTCAACCAACTGATTAAAAAAAGTAAACTTCTCAGTTGGTGACAAATAATAATATCTACTTTGTGGGGAAAATTAAAGGCCCTGGAGAGGTATCGGGATGCACTAATTGTTCTTCATGTGTTCTGTCTTTTACGGTAATCACTGATTAAAATTTCATTAGATGAGTATGTATTACACCTCAACAGAGAATGCCACTGTCCCCCATTGTGATGTCGTTTGCTATGGCAAAAAATTAACCAAACTTTACAGTTTTATTATTAGCAACATCTCCTCCCCCTATCCCCGCTGCTTTTTTTTTTTTTTTTTTAGATGGAATCTCGCTCTGTTGCCCAGGCTGGAGTGCAGTGGTATGACCTCAGCTCACTGCAAACTCTACCTCTCGGGTTCAAGCTGTCCTCCTACCTCAGCCTCCCGAGTAGCTATATTCAGGTGCCCGCCACCATGCATGGCTAATTTTTCTATTTTCAGTAGACACAGGGTTTCACCATGTTGGCCAGGCTGGTCTCAAACTCCGGACCTCAAGTGATCTGCCTGCCTCAGCCTCCTAAAGTGTTGGGATTACAGACATGAGCCACTGTGCCCAGCCCTCCTTTCCCTTTAAGCATACCTAAAAGCCTCTCTACAAAGCGCCAATCAGAATTTGAGTCATCTGGAAGAAATATCAAAAGAGCTCCAGTAATAACGGTAGCAGACACTGTTGATACTATTGATACCACAGGAAATTGACTCATGGATATAGGCCTCCAAGAATAGGCTGACCTTGTCCCCACAGACAATATTCCAACTATACGAAGTAAATGAGTCAGGAGTTCCAAGACACTCACAATGTAGAAGCGGATGAATTCATGAAAGTAGACTGCTTAACTCAAGACCAGCACGACAAGAGGTTGTTATTTAGGATTAAAGGGCCTCAGTAAGGCAATTTAATTGAGGTTAGTTTAATTTTCTACTTTAATGAACATGAGAACAACCCATTTTCTTTCTTCTTAATCTACCTTTAATCTCCAATTAAATTTACAAATTATTAAATTTGTAAAAACTAAATAAAACACTCTGAATTCTTAGTGTTGAGGGAAAAAATACCTTGCAGAAATTCTTAATATAAAAACAAAGCTAATAAGTTGCCAAGAAAAACATACAAATAATTATTTTGTAAAGAATTGTGACATACAATATTTGGTTTTGTCTATTAACATACCCTTAATTAGCAATATTGGTTAAATCTTGCACAAAGTTTCTTTAATAAAAACATTTACTTTTTGTGACTATGTAGTTATTTATATTGGTTCAATAAGAATTTGTCCTCCCTTCTACCTGAATATATTACTAATTAGAATTTTTTTTTTTTTTTTGAGATGGAGTCTTGCTCTGTTGCCCAGGCTGGAGTGCAATGGCGTGATCTCAACTCACTGCAACCTCTCAATCTTGGGCTCAAGCACTTCTCCCACCTCAGCCTCCCAGGTAGCTGGGATTACAGGCACCCACCATCATGCTAGGCTACTATTTGTATTTTTATAGAGACGGGGTTTCACCATGTTGGCCTGGCTGGTCTTAAACTCCTGACCTCAGGTGATCTGCCGGCCTCAGCCTTTCAAAATGCTGGGGTTACAGGCATGAGCCACCTTGCCCAGCCAGGAAGAATCAATTTTTTAATAAAAAATTTATAGCTGTGCTACAAATTCAATTTAACTAGACAAGACAAATCCAGTAATAAGAATAATTTCTATGTTTTTCACGCAGAAGCGATGCCTATAACATCCTTCTAGGAAACCAATCTGGTGCTTGCTCTATGGACTATGCAATCTCAGGCTTGGAGGTAAGAAAGAATGTCCTTTCTTGGCAGAGCAGGGACACCGAGACATTGGATATCTTTTATTAAAAAGGATACATTTGCATTATAAATACTGCAGATGAAATCAGGTAGAGGTGAACGGACTGGTTTGGTCTGCTCTAAACTGAGCTGTTAAACATGTAAAAGTAAATTTAAACCACAAGGGCTTTATAAATCTATAGATAGACGTAAACTTGTGAGACTTAGTTTATTGTTTCATCAAAAAAATACTAGGAGGTCATTAAATATTAATCAACACTTCTTAGATCTGTGCAAATAAAATGGATCAAATTAAAATGTAAAATCAATAGTACTGATTAGGAACATTGTTCAGCAAATGGAGGTAGACAAACATGTCCTGTAGAGAAGGAAACATGACCGCAAGATGAAGTGTAAAAACCAAAGTGACATCGGGGCCTGACACCATTGTCAGCCCATTCATCATGTCCCACTGCTGAAGAAACAGAGAAAAAAAAACTCTGCACTCTGACATAAAGAAACAATAAAAGGGTCTCTCTGTCTACCTGCAGTCCTCCAAATGAATAAAACCTTGAGCATTTCCTGAGATTTGCTAACTCCTTAATGAAAATCACTTTATCCTTGACTTTACAATGCTGTTTATTGTCTGAAGATATGTCATGAACTTTCTGAATATAATAACCATGATAAAATTGCTGTTTTCTGCCATGAAGAGATTAATATAAACCCTATAGTCTTCATAATATTGTTTGTCTTAAAAAGTTCTATTTTTTTAATTTTTTGGGCAGTTCTTTTGAAGAATGACTTCCTCACATTTCTTTGCAAGTAAATGCCTCCTTCTGCTTATTTTTCCAACATGCTTTTGTTTCTGAGCCTTTCTTTCATGCTCTATACACACAAATCAGCAGGAGATAGTACCTGCAGCTGTATTTGGAGTTTACTGCCTCAATGTTCACTTTCAATGAAAGAGCGTATTTCTTAACAGAAGACCAGAAATTCATGCTGAACCAATAAATTGTCCTCTATAGTTCTCATCTGCAAGGAGGATTTAAATATTTCTAGCTCAGTAGTTCAGCCCTGAAGATTATTTCACCCCCACTGCTAATCCCGACCTAATCTGTTTTTGTGTTGTTAATGCTCCTATATACTAGCCAGGTCAGTAATTCTGTAACAGGCTTAATTTCTTAATATTTTAGGCCATGTGTTAATTTTACTATTTCTTAGCCATTTTTTCCTCAATAGTTTTAAATTGCATCCCTGCTTACTCTCCCTTTTACTGGACGGGCTTCCTCTGTTTACTAATACAATTCCCCAAATTGATTCATCCACTTGTTGAAATACCTAATTTTAGGCCCTGCACTGACAGCTTGCCTAGGCTTATACTTGTGTTTGGTGTTGCAGTCTTCAGATTCTAAAAACACCATCTAGACCTTACATTACCTCCAGCCAGGGCTATTCCCCCAGGGCCTGCCTTAAGAAGCAGATTTCTTTTCAAGTTTCATCTTCTTCCCATTTATTTCATTTCATGACAGTTAGAGAAGCTGTATACTAACGTGACAAATGGTAAGTTAGCAGAGAAAAACGTTATTTCAGGATAAGTTCAGGGAAAGCTTTTTGGAGGAAAGTCAGCTCACATTAGTCCTGATGATGGATAGTGTATAGAGACTACAGATGATGGAACGATGAAGTGGAAACTCGAGTGGCTACATACGGACATTCCACATAGAAGCAGTGTGAGCAAAACCACCAAGACAGGAAATGAGATGGAATTGATAAGGCAATGCAAATAATTCAGGTTATTTAGATCATCAGTGTTGGGGGAAGCTGGGTTTATGGGAATCAATGGTTAATCAGAATGTGAGCACCATTGGTTTGGTAATTCATGGAAGAGGTTATCATTCAACAGGGGGAGTGGCTTCTCGATTATAAACATGTCTGAAGGTCACTGAACATCAAGGCTATCCTTCAGTTAAAATCTTATTAAAATTATACTGACCTCTGATGACCTTCAGAGAGCTCCAGCTAGATGGATTGATGATAAGAGAAATTCGAGAAGGCAATGGGGCAAATCTTTGTGCAAATCTCTGTTATGTCATATATCTAAGGCTTCTGCTGGATCCAGTGATTTGTTTGTTCTGACTGTAGTACAAATCTATTGGAACAATAAATCTAGTTATAATAAATGACAGAGGGCATTGAAGCAGATGCAAGAAGCAAAATATACAGGTGTAAAGACAAACTATATTAGGCCTCCCATCAAGCTTCTCTAATATTTTCACAGCACAGCCCTGCCTGACTTCTCTCTATCTGGATAGGCCCCTTCTGTTTGATAACCAGTTCTCTGATGTTGACTACCTGATTCTCTAGTCCTCAAGTTGACTCATCCTGTTTATTGAGAGTGACATTTTTAGACTACTAATAATATTTATATGTAAGAAAGAAACTGGGTTTTTATATAAATATATAATCTTTTCAAATAAAAGATTATAATCAAGGAACTGTAAATAATAGAAAAATTACATAATGTTTCCCTATTTGGGGATTGGTTAAATGCAATATTATAGAAGTCTGAAAAAATAATGACTGTATTACAAAAGAATATAAAAATAATTGAAGACTAGGAATTATGTCTACCAACTAATTCAGTCATTTGGCTGTTTATTCTCATTTGAACAGTAGTGGATTAAGAAAAAAACAAAAAGACTTTCGACTTCCATCACAGGGAGAAAAGGATCAAGTACACATTAGAGAAAGCTGATGGCAATGATTTCTAGTTTCAGTTTCTATTTTCTGTCAATTAACCATCATTTTGGTAAACAGCCTTTTTAAATGTCTTTTCTTTTAATTTTTAAATTTTTACTTTAAAGACAGGGTCTCACTATGTTGCGAAGGCATTGGCCTCAAACTCATGGACTCAAGTGATCCTCCTGCCATAGCCTCCCTAGGTGCATATCACCATACCCAGCTATTAATGTCTTTATAAAAGCATTTTTAACCCTACTGGTCTAGCTATTGCATCAAATAAATAGCTAATTCCATTGAGGAAGGATTAGGGACTCACGAGTGAAAATAAATGTTTTATTTGGATAATGGCTACAAAATCTCAACAGTCAAAATAAATAAGAGATTAAAGGCATGATGATGACTTAAAAGATAAAGTTAGGTAGAAATGTGAACTAAGGGAAATGACTCAACACATTCAGCAACACAAAACTGTGGCCTAAATTCACTCTGACAGTTGTTATGCTATCTCCTGCTGCCCGAGTAAAGTAAGTTATGAACAAGACACATGAAGGGGATCAGGCAGACATATGGTCAAATGCTTTCTGTGCAATATTTCTGTCTCCATATTATCTTCTCTCTCATTGCACTTTGGACATTTTTATTCTTCCTGCAGATCTATTTTTATGAAGCAATGTGATTTAAATTAAAAGAGCACTGAATTCTCAGCCAGATATTTGAGTTCTAGTTGAAGATTTATCACCTAGTGGTTATGAGATTTGGGGCAAATTACTTAATCTCTCTCTTTCTTTACCACTTCATTTGTAAGTTTTCTTGCCTCCCTACAGGACTGTATTGGGGATCAATCAATGTTGAGTTGAAGGCTACATGGTTTAAGTTGGCTTAATGGAGAAGTGGTAAATCACTTAAACGGGTAGAACAACACAGTGTAGAGGATGTTGGGCTGCATGAGGAAGTGTGGAAAAAAAGCATGCCATGAAAATATCATCACAATCTCACATTTCTTCATTTATTTGCACACTCTGAACACATGCATGTGATAAGGACTGTGCAAGGTTCTCAGGATACCCAGGTAAAAATCACCACTTCTGCCAGTCTTGACTTTGCAAGCTTGAGGAGCAGGCCTGGAGAAATTTGGCTATTACCACACCAAAGTTGTTCCTCACATTCCCTTTGACATATGGTCTCAGGAAAAAATGAAAAGAGTAAAAAAAAAAAAAAAGTCCTTCATTTTTGAAAGGAAAAGTCATAATTAATTTCTAGAAGGAGAAAGAAAAAAAGAGATAACAGTGTGTGAAAAGGCTTAGAAAATGCTAGAGCACTACAGAAAGATAATGTGAGATTATGTCTAAGAGTAGCTTGGTTATTTTGCTTTTGTTGACAAAGTATACCTCCTTCATTTTCATAGTTGTCATAATTCTTTCCATGATTTTCTTAGTGGGTTTGTTTAGGAGAAACTGTATTCTTTCTTTATTCATCTAACTCTCCTTAACTCCAAAAAGATGCTTCTTAGGATAACATTTTAAAAGGATATACATTATGCACATTTTTAATGCTTCTATACAGGACTGAAGGCCAATATTACCATGATAATAAGGCATGTAACAAAAATTTGTTCTGCAGAGAGTGAGAAAGCGTGAGGGAAAACACAGTGCAGGATTCTATGCTGTTGCCCAAGAACCCAGACAGGCAAGTGAAATAATAGAGCAGACATTTCCTGAGGCTGTGGTCGATATGATTAGGAGATAGTGGGTAAAAATGGCCTTTAAACTATATACACATGAGAAGATAGATGTGAAAGCCCATTGCAAAGGCAATAAAATTATGCAAATATAAAATATCACTATTAAAATGTATGATGAATTGACATGCCATGAAAACAGTTCCAGTGCTGGGCCAGAAATCAGGAAACATGGGCTTTTGATTTCTCACCATTAAAATGAAGAAGTTGGATTTATACCCAAGGGTACCTTGTGGGCTGTATGGCTTCTAAGTAACTGGTCATAACAAAAGGGACACAATCAGGTCAGTTTCAAACCAAGAATAAAATGGGAAATTAAAGAACTGAATTGGCTACTTTCTGCTCAAATGATTGTTAAAAATAAAGTTTAAAAAAAGCCCCAAGGACTATGCAGTGCAGTGAGCAGAGGCTCCCGATATTAAAAAGAAAACAAGGAAAATGGATTCCTGGTGATAGAAGTGGTGTGGGGGAAGACAAATAGTGTGGCTGCAAATGGAACAATATGCAAAAGAAAAGTAGCTAAATATAGCTCTTTTTTGGGAAAGAGATTGTGTCTAAGTCCATCAGTGGAAAGGCAACTTAATTGTTGTATAAGTCTGTTCAGGTTGCCATAACAAGATACCATACACCAAGTGGCTTAAACTATAGAAATGTATTTCTCACACTTCTGGAAGTTGGGAAGTCCAAGATAAAGGTGGTAGCAAAGCGGATTTCTTTCTAAGGTCTCTTCCTATGGCCTGTAAGTGGCTGTAGATTCACTGTGTGCCCATGTGACCATTTCTTCGTGCACCAGGGGGAAGGCGGACAAGCAAGCTTTCTAGTGTCTCTCTTCTTGTAATGGCATTAATCTCAGCATGAGGACACCACTCTCATAACCTCTTTTAATCCTGATTACCTCTCAAAGGCCCCAGCTGCATAAATCATCACAGTAGGTGTTAGGGCTTCAACATTTAAGTGCGGGAGTTGGTGTTCACATTTCAGTCAATTGAGGTGACAATTGAAATGTGAAAGGAAAACCATAGTTACTAGAGAGAACGGTTGTCTTGGGGAGGATCACTGGACAGGACTACGGTCCTGTCCAGGTTGTTATGGCAACCTGAACAGACTTATACAACAATCCAGTCCTAGAGGCAATACAACTTCTCTGCTGATTCCAGATTCTGAGCGCCTCTCAGTCCTTGGTTGGGTTGTTTTGATCCTGTCCATATTATATTTATAAATATTCTCTTCATAAAACTCTCTTTAGGCCGGGCGCGGTGGCTCACGCCTGTAATCCCAGCACTTTGGGAGGTCAAGAGATCGAGACCATCCTGGCCAACGTGATGAAACCCGCTCTCTACTAAAAATACAAAAAATTAGCCGGGTGTGGTAGCGGGCGCCTGTAGTCCCAGCTACTCGGGAGGCTGAGGCAGGAGAATGGCGTGAACCCGGGAGGCGGAGCTTGCAGTGAGCCGAGATGGCACCACTGCACTCCAGCCTGGGCAGCAGAGCGAGACTCCATCTCAAAAAAAAAAAAACAAAAAAAAAACCACAACTCTCTTTAAATCACACATCCGAGTGTGTCCCTTGTTTCCCACCAGAGCCAAGACTGAATTGAGATGATTTCTTAAGGTCAGGTTGATGTCCTAATCCAGTTGTGCTGCTATAACAAAATACCACAGAGTGAGTAACTTATAAACAACAAAAATTTATTGCTCACAGTTATGGAGGATGGTCAGTCCAAGATCAAGTTGCCAGCAGGTTCAGTGTCTAGTGAAGGCCCATTCCTCTGTCATCCAGGCTGAAGTGCAGTGTTGCAAGCTTGGGTCACTGCAACCTTCACCTCCCAGGCTCAAGTAATCCTCCCACCTCAGCCTCCTGAGTAGCTGGGACCACAGGTGCTCACCACCATGCCTGGCTAATTTTTTTTTTTTTTTTTTTTTTTTTTGTAGAGATGGGGTTTCACCATGTTTCCCAGGCTGGTCTCAAACTCCTGGACTCAGGCAATCTGCCAGCCTCCTGAGGGAGTGCTGGGATTACAGGCATGAGCCACTGTGCCCACCCCCTTTTTCCAGTATTACCTGGACAATGTGTCTCCCTGTCAGTATCCAGGGAATGGCACCTGGATCAAGCATTTAGTGTTCAGTTGCTACACTCTCACCTAATCCCTCATTTTCAATATTTTGCCATGTTTTCCAGTGACCCAACTGGCCACCATGTCACAGACTTTATGGTCTCCAAGGGAGACCCCTCCATTTCATGTTTTGTGATTTGAGCAACAGACTGGAATCTACTTGAAATTTGCAAATGGTCTTTGACTTGGGCTTTCCAATTTTGCTCTACTTCACAGTGTTTTCTGGGTTATATACAAGGGAGATGATCCAGTCATTTGTTAAGCGCCTCAAATAAGACATGCCCTAGATGTTTTTTTGCTTGTTTGTTTTGTCAAATTGGGATTATTTTTGTGTCTTTGGAGAATATAAAATACTAATATGAGGTAAGCACTAAGGTTCTGAGATGGCCGTGGAAGAGATGACAAACTCCATCACCATGCCTGAGAGTGTCCAATCGTCTCTGCGGGGGCCACATATTTTTGTATTACACTGTATTTGAAATAACAACAACAACAAAAAACCCTTCAAGATTCATAAAATTGGACAACTGTCTTTGTAACACTTCTAGTGGTAAAACCAGTAAGGATGGCTAGTTTGCAACCCATCTGAGCAGCCTCTCTGGTTTCATAGATATGTTTTCTCTCTGACATTGAATGGCTTTCAACTTGAAGCGGAATGCTACATCACAAAGATAAACAGGTTTGAAAGGAACCGGTTTTCCTTGTAATCCTAAACGTTCAAGTCTGCGCATTAAAAGACATTATCTGAAGAAGGGTGCAAAAGCTTCCTGTTGGCCGCCAGAAGGGTTCTCTGCAGGACACAGATCAAGTACCACAGTCTTAGGGGGAGACCAGACGCGGGGTCTCTGCGCACCTCCCCAAAGGACAATGGCAGGAGGAAAAGGAGAAAGAGACAGACGTCACTTCCTTCGCCAGCTCCGGCAGCGGGTTGATCGGCTGAGTCGGCGGAGGGTGGGGCGGAAGAGCAGACGGGGACTGGGAAAGGCGCTGTCAGTGACATCACGGATAGGGCGATTTCTATGTAGATGAGGCAGCGCAGGGGCTGCTGCTTCGCCACTAAGGAGTTCCCGTGCCGTGGGAGTGGGTTCAGGACCGCTGGTCGGACCTGAGAGTCCCAGCTGTGTGTCAGGGCTAGGAGGGCTGGGGGGGGCGGGGAGGTGCGCGGGGCAAGTGACCGTGCGTGTAAAGGGTGAAGCGTGTGAGGCTGTGGCGGGGCGGAGGTGCAAAAGCTTATACTTACCTGGCAGGGGAGATACTATTATCAAACGAAGGTGGTTTTTCTCAGGGCGAGGGTTATCCATTGTGTTCCGGATGTGCTGACCTCTGCGATTTCCCCAAACGTGGGAAACTCGACTGCATAATTTGTGGTAGTGGGGGACTGCGTTCGCGCTTTCCTCTGGTGCTTTTGTGGTGCGAATAGTAGGTGAGCCGTAAGTGTTTTTGTAATTCAGGGTGCGGGCTCGTGTTTTGTGGCTGTGTTCTGTCCGGTCAGTTGTTTCCGTTCGCAACGGTTAGTTTTCGTTTGTGAGGCCATGTTTGGGGACAGCTTAGAACTATCCACTTACTCTCTTGGGAGGCGAATTTCAGTCTCTGTTGGTTGGGGTGTTCTCCCAGGTTAGCTGCCGCTGTACTTGCTAGGTGGAGCTCAGGGATCAAGGGTCGGGAGCTTTCTGGTTTGTTCAGTGCTCCCAGGGCTTCTAACATCTCTTAAAAACTCTGGTGTTTTCTGTCATCCTCGGAGTTACCTCTTAGCCTCTGTTTTTTTTGTTGTTTTTTTCCCCCCCTCCCTAAGACAAGTCTCGCTGTACCGTCCAGTCTGGAGAAGTGGCGCGATCTTCCCATCTCAGGCTCCCGAGTAGGACAACCACACGCCACCACACCCGGCTAGTTTTTTCTCTTTTTTTTTCTTTTCTTTTCTTTCTCTTTCCTTTCTTTTTCTTTTTTCGTAGCGGTTTCACCATTCTGCTCAGGCTGGGCTCCAACTCCTGGGCTCAAGTGGTCCGCCCAGCCTTCTGAAGTGCTGGGATTACAGGTGCGATCCATCTTGCCCTGGCAGCTCCTGCTTTTCACCACAGCATTCACGGGAGTTTGTAGGATTTCTGTGTTGGGGAAACGTGTACTCAGTTAATAGAGCCAGGTGGAAGTTGTACTCAGAACTGGTGGTTTTCTTTGGAATGAAAACCGTGCATGTTGGGGGCTCTTAGTGTCCCCGTTCGGTTGTAGACATAACACCCTTGCTTTGTGTAGGGGGAGGGCTTTGCCCATGCCCTGGTGCCCTGGCGCAGGGCATCGAGGCCTGCAGGTCAGAACCGCAGTCTAACCTATGTCTTGGCGGAATACCCTGCTAATTCTCCCTGGAATGTAAGATGGGAGGTCTTGTGAGGAGGTTTCTACAAGTAAGAAAACAAATTTCCATTCGGTTTTTATTGACAAAATTGAAAATTATAATAACTGAGTCCAGCCTCTCAGATGACAAATGTCTTTTGCACTGAGAGCTGGGAACCGCCGCTTGCCTCAGCTCCTGCATGCAGGTGCAGCCCTCGCTTCCCTCCACACTTTCTCCAGCGGGTGTCAGTTCCTCCACAAGAGGCAGACAGCGTTCTGCAGAACCACAGCGCTCAAGGCCTTCGAGAGCCAAAAATCTCGGAGCGAGCTGCCCTGTCCTGGCTGTACCTCACGACTGACCTAGAAATGGCCTTTGCTGGGAGCAAAGGGTAGGGGGGAGATGGTCGTCGGAGCTGGGGCCTGTGCACTGGACCAGGTTGACCACGGGAGGGGAGGTACCCAGAGTTAGAAGGGGGCCAAGCACTGAGACCTCACCATCCTCAATCTCCAAAAGGACTCAGAGAGATGCAGAGACTGAGACAGGCTTCCTTTTTCAAGGAAAGAGAAAACTACTGAGGAAGGCCCCAGGGGCTCTGAACCAAAATCCAGACTTTTTTTTCCACCTGCAGCTTTTTGTTTTTATTTTTGCTTGAGAAGGGGTCTCGGTCTGTTGCCCGGGCTGGAGGGCAGTGGCGCAATTTCGGCTCGTTAAAACCTCCATCTCCCGGGTTCAAGCAATTCTCCTGCCTCGGCCTCCCTAGTAGCTGGGACTACAGGTGCCCGCCATGACGCCCGGCTAATTTTTGTATTTTTATTAGAGACGAGGTTTCACCATGTTGGTCAGGCTGGTCTCAAACTCCTGATCTCAAGTGATCCACCCACCTCAGCCTCCCAGAGTGCTGGGATTACAGGTGTGAGCTACCGCGCCCAGCCCGCACCTGCAGCTTAATCCCATTTCGCTGGTGCAACTTCATCCTTCCGTATGCTCAGGCCAATAAACAGTACTGTAGGCTGGTCGTTCTTTGACCCCCATACATCCTATTGGTCGGAAAATTATGTTTTCTCTTTGGTTAACCGCAGACTTTGATATGCACACTCTTTCTTGGTCTGAAACCCACCCAATAGTCCCATACGTAGATTTTTGGATAAACATAGAAATGGACCCTTCTGATCTGAAAGTTTGAAACTCGATATTTGTTTTATTTGAGTTCCTTCCTTCAGGCCTCTCAAAAAAGATATCAAAGAACTGAAAGTCACCCAGACAATGAGATGCCGGACCCCTCATTCATCCTGATTGCTTCCTTGCCCCTCCCTAGTTCCTGTTTTCTTTCTTTTCTTTTTTCTTTTTTTTTCTTTTTGAGACAGAGTCTCCCTCTGCCTCCCAGGCTGGAGTGCAGTGGCGCTATCTTGGCTCACTGCAAGCTCCGCCTCCCGGGTTCACGCCATTCTCCTGCCTCAGCCTCCCGAGTAGCTGGGACTACAGGCGCCCGCCACCAAGCCCGGCTAATTTCTTTTCGTATTTCTAGTAGAGACGGGGTTTCACCGTGTTAGCCAGGATGGTCTCGATCTCCTGACCTCGTGATCCGCCCCCCTCGGCCTCCCAAAGTGCTGGGATTACAGGCGTGAGCCACCGCGCCTGGTCTAGTTCCTGTTTTCTTACACATTGTCACATTCTTTCCCTGCCATCTAAGCCTCTAGTTTTGGTTGGTCAGGGAGATGGATTTGAGACTGAGTTCTCATCTCCTCCGCTGCAGCACCCTATTAAAGCCTCTTCCTTGGCAATAACCATCTCAGTGATTGGTTTTCTGTGTGGCAAGCAGCTGGAACCCCAGGTCTCTGAACTTTGGCAAAGGAATCTCCTGATAAAGGCGAGATCGATTTTACTGACCAAGCTGAAAACGATCAGACGTTTGAAAGCCTTAATCTCGGAGCCTGTCGGAGTTTGGTCTGCCCTTGAGGCTTTTCTTTGGGCCTACCAGTCAAAATCAGCCTGGCCAAACCTGTCTTCAAGGACCAGGGGCAGGGCCGGCTTCTCCCGCCGGGTCGGCAGCCACCTTCCCCTTCCCTGTGACTTGAAGAGAAGCTTCAGGGGGCGTTTATTCAATTTGCGAGGAGCCCGCGAGGAGCAGGTGCGCGGTGACTCTGTGGATCCCACCGCACCCGCTGCCCTCTTTGGTCCTCTCGCTGTCACCGGCGGGCAGTAACGTTCCGGGTGAGCTAGGGCTCCGAAGACAGCAGGCAGGGAGGGACCAGTGGGTAAGGGCACCGCCCGTTTAGGTCCTGCGCAGGAGGGATCCGAAAAAGGTCTTGAAGAAATAGAAAGGGAGGGCCAGATGCGGTGGCTCACGCCTGTAATCCCAGCACTTTGGGAGGCCGAGGTGGGTGGATCACGAGGTCACGAGTTCGAGACCAGCCTGGCCAAGATGGTGAAGCCCTGTCTCTACTAAAAATACAACAAGTAGCCGGGCGCGGTGACGGGCGCCTGTAATCCCAGCTACTCAGGAGGCTGAAGCAGGAGAATCTCTAGAACCCAGGAGGCGGAGGTGCAGTGAGCTGAGACTGCCCCGCTGCACTCTAGCCTGGGCAACACAGCAAGACTCTGTCTCAAATAAATAAATAAATAAATAAATAAATAAATAAATAGAAAGGGAGAGTTGGAAGTAGATGAAAGAGAAGAAAAGAAATCCTAGATTTCCTATCTGAAGGCACCATGAAGATGAAGGCCACCTCTTCTGGGCCAGGTCCTCCCGTTGCAGGTGAACCGAGTTCTGGCCTCCATTGGAGACCAAAGGAGATGACTTTGGCCTGGCTCCTAGTGAGGAAGCCATGCCTAGTCCTGTTCTGTTTGGGCTTGATCCTGTATCACTTGATTGTCTCTCCTGGACTTTCCATGGATTCCAGGGATGCAACTGAGAAGTTTATTTTTAATGCACTTACTTGAAGTAAGAGTTATTTTAAAACATTTTAGCAAAGGAAATGAATTCTGACAGGTTTTGCACTGAAGACATTCACATGTGAGGAAAACAGGAAAACCACTATGCTAGAAAAAGCAAATGCTGTTGAGATTGTCTCACAAACACAAATTGCGTGCCAGCAGGTAGGTTTGAGCCTCAGGTTGGGCACATTTTACCTTAAGCGCACTGTTGGTGGAACTTAAGGTGACTGTAGGACTTATATATACATACATACATATAATATATATACATATTTATGTGTATACACACACACACACACACACACACACACAGGGTCTTGCTATCTTGCCCAGGGTGGTCTCCAACTCTGGGTCTCAAGCGATCCTCTGCCTCCCCTTCCCAAAGTGCTGGGATTACAGGTGTGAGCCACCTCACCCAGGCCATTTTAATTTTAATTTAATACTTTTAATTTGAATACACAATCCAAAAATCATATAACAAGTACAGGAAACCCACTTTATGCCAAGTTTACAAAAACAGGAAAGATATGTCAATGACAAAGCGTCAAAGTGGCAACATCCTAAAGTACTGAGAGAAAAAAAGTTATTCTAGAATTCTATGCCAAATTGAAATATCTTTCAAAAATGTGACTGAAATCAGGACATTTAAAGACATACAAAAAAATGACAGAATTCACCGAACCACACTACAAGAAATATTAAAGGAGTCCTCCAGGCCTAAGGATAAGGATACCAAACAGAAATCTGAACCTACACAAAGAAATGGAGACGACTGAAAATCGCTATGTACGTACTTGGATGTTGGGGTTTATAACATGTCCAAAATCAAATTCCCTGACAACACTAGCATAAAGGCCAGAAGGGGAGGTATAATGTCACTTGATGGCAGACAGATAAAGATGTATTCTAGGGACCCTAAAGCCATCACTGACATAACAAAAGAAAGAGTTACAGCTAATAAGCCAAATAAGGAAAGAAAATAGAATGATATATATTAAAAAAAAATGTAATCGCTGGGTGCGGTGGCTCATGCCTGTAATCCCAGCACTTTGAGAGGCCAAGGCAGGCAGATCACTTGAGGTCAGGAGTTTGAGACCTGCCTGGCCAAAACGGTGAAACCCCGTCTCTACTAAAAATACAAAAATTAGCCCGATGTGGTGGCTCGCGCGGACCTGTAATCTCAGCTACTTGGGAGGCTGAAGCAGGAGATTCGCTTGAACCCGGGAGGCGGAGGTTGCAGTGAGAGCTGAGATGGCGCCACTGCACTCCAGCCTGGGTGACAGAGCGAGACTCTGTCTCAAAAATAAATAAATAAATAAACAAACAAAAACTGTGTAATCCCTATGCTGGAGCAACTGCTCTCCAGGCCTCTACCCTATAGAAATACACAAATGGCCAATGAGAAGTGTACAAGAATGATCACTGCCGCATTATTTGCAATCATAAAATAGTAGCGCCAAAGTAATTTCAAAGATACATGAAAATCGTTTTATTTATTTAACAAACACAAACAATTGAACAAACAATGGAAGCAAGTCCTTTTGCCTAAAGGAACACAGAGGGTCATGCGGATGTTGCTCCTCCAAGGATTTCGGTGTTCCCCAACGGCTAGTTTTGGGTCTAGTTCTTCTGGAAGATCTTATTCTTGGGGAGCTACAGGTTCTGGCGTTTGGGGCTCTTTCAGGTTCTATCTCCATTTTCCCCTCAATTCCTCCCCATTCTGCTATAATAAAAAAAAATTCTCACCTCCGGAAGATCCCGCCTGTGCCTCCCCGCCAGCCTTTCAGGAGGTCTGGACGTCTGGTCCACCGCTCCCCGGCTTCTTTCACCGCTTTTGCTTTTCCCTTCCCCTGCTCCCGCCCTCCGGCCTCAGGACCCGACCACCGCCCAGCTGAGCCCCCGCGGCTCCACGGCGCAGAAGGTGCACTGGAGGCCCTGCCCGTTGCCGCCCCGCGGGGTGCCAAGAAGTCAACGTAAATAAATGCTTTGTAAAAGGAACTTCCCCATGGAAAAATCTCTCATGATTTCCATTCTCAAGGCTCTTCAAAGGACTAAAAGCTAAAAGGATGGATTCATTCGACAAGTCCTAGTCCTGCGCCCTGGTGAGTGCCAGACCCTGCTCCCCACGAGGGGGACCCACGAGCCACCCTCACCACGATCCCTGCTCTGGTGGAGCCCCCGTGCGGAACACAGGATCCGAAGATGGCAGCGGAAGCTCCGCAGCGGCCCCAAAAGCGACTGGGCAGGGAGGGCACAGGCTCCCTCACTGGGTGAAGTCGGCGCAAAGAACGGGAAGAGCCATCCCGGGAGCCACCGGGCGTTCAGCCTCCCTAGGGCCCCCAGGCGGCTCGGGCCGGGGTCTCAACCGGGGCGTTTCCGGGGGTTTCTGAAGCAGGCGAGGGGCAGGGCGGGCCAAGGCCATTCGGCTATCCTTCTGGCTCCAGAATCTCCCAATGCGCAGGTGTCCAACGTGACCAGCGCGACTTACCACTCCAATCTCTCCGGTCTTCCAAGGCCTTGCTCAGTCGTCCTGCCGGGCGGGCCCTGAGGATGCAAGGGACGGAGGAAGTTTCGTGCGTGCGCCCTTCCTATAGCGCCCAGTAGAACTGACTGACAGTACCTGTCTCTGTGGCGTAGTCGGTTAGCGCGTTCGGCTGTTAACCGAAAGGTTGGTGGTTCGAGCCCACCCAGGAACGGTTGTTCGAGCTTTTAAAGTATTCATGCATTGTCAATCACTAGATAAATGGGGAAAATTTTATCTTCCTGGAGTCCTAAGCCACTAATTTGTGACTTATCCATGTCAAGGGCCAGCCTACCTCCCCGACCGGATTCTTAACCGGGTATCTCCTGAAATCCTGGGTTTATACGTGTGTAACTCAGGAATCCTGAAACAGAGACCTAGGAACCCACTTCTGGTGTGATAAAATTCTAATTCAGTCCGTTATACGCTTAAACGAGTAATTTACATGCCTCCATTTTTTCATATTTTAATAATAGGAGGTCAGTAATATCCCGAGGATGTGCCTGGATTTACTGATTGCTCTATCAATAATGTGACCAGTGGAATCATTCATCATCATAGTGATCCTCTCCATCATTTTTGAAAAGAGTATTTTTCCTCAGTTTGTGCATGATTTATTTAACCCTTTTCAAAATGTTTTTGTTAGCCAGGCATGGTGGCATGTGCCTGTAATCTCAGGTACTTGGGATTCTGAGGCAGGAGAATCATTTGAACCTGGGAGGTGGAGGCTGCAGTGGAGGCTGCACCAGTGGAGGCTGCACCGCTACACTCCCGCCTGGGCAACAGAGCGAGACTCCATCTCAAAAAAAATAAAAATAAAAAAATAAAGTTTTTGAGATGAGGTAGGTTTCATTGTTTTAGGATTACAAAGAATGCTGCAGCCACCTTTCTTGTACACATATCTTTGGTCATTGTGGAAATGTCTACACCGCAGATATTTCTATAGTGTAGGGAAGTTGATGCACTATTGCTACATTATAGGGTTTACATGATGCTTCTAATTTGAGTACATTCCGCAAATGTATCTTTCACGGGAGCCGTACCAAATAATATTCCAATAGCAATATTTATAGGAGGAAAAATGTGCAGAAGTGCAACTGAGCTTCGTGCCTCTCCATGGGGCCCATGTTCATAAAATGGTGGCATTAGCAATCATCTGAGAGTGGAGTTTGTGGCCCTCTGACATCAAAAGCTGAAGCAGAGGACATGAAAACCCTCACTGTGCATCCTCTCTAGTCTGGCCAGAATCATTCCTAGGTCGGTGGTCTCTTATCAGGAGGGAATGCTGCTTGCTTGTTTTGTCAAAATCACAAAACTGAGGAAAAGCATCAGGCCGTTGGTTGATAACAGTGGTGAAGCAAGTCTTTCCATAGGGCTGGTTTGTTGTTAACCCTTAGGGAAAAAAAAAAGCCGTTTTTTTTTTTTTGAGACGGAGTCTCTCTCTGTCGCCCAGGCTGGAGTGCAGTGGCGCGATCTCGGCTCACTGCAAGCTCCGCCTCCCGGGTTCAGGCCATTCTCCTGCCTCAGCCTCCCGAGTAGCTGGGACTACAGGCGCCCGCCAACACGCTCGGCTAATTTTTTTTACTTTTAGTAGAGATGGGGTTTTACCGTGTTAGCCAGGATGGTCTCGATTTCCTGACCTCGTGATCCGCCCGCCTTGGCCTCGCAAAGTGCTGGGATTACAGGCATAAGCCACCGCGCCCGGCCAAAAAAGCCTAATTCTTACCAGCTGGTGCCGTGCAGTTCCAGGCTCTTGGTGTCCCAAACAAAGACACCAAGAGCCTGGAACTGCACCAAAAACCAAAACCAAGGTAGGGGCAAGATGATAATCACAGAATGTCACCGGTATATGTTTAGGTTCAAATACTATTATGAGAAGTGGCAGGTAAAGGAGGTAGGAAAAAGAAAACACATCATGTAATTGACTGTTGTATGGAAATATTTGATGCTGAAAGTTATAATTTAAAACTATAAACCAAATATTAGAAGTGTGTCTATTTCAAAGGGAGGAAAACCATCAAAAACATTTTTAGTGCAATATTTAACATGAGCTATACAACCCTTCCTAAATGCCAAAGGCACACACAGACACACACACAGACACACACACACACACTCACACTCACGAAGAATACAAATGACTAGAACCAAGCAATGTAAATACATTCTGCTACGTATGGTAAACATAGCCTACAATGTGGAAGAGATTAGAAAATAAACATGGAAATGAAATGTTTTTATTAATTCGCATCAGTACCCACCAAAACCAATCAGCATAATCAAATATTATAACACTGAATGTAAAAAACAATCCAAAAGTCCAGAGTGATAGCAAAAGGTTTTAATTGTATAGATTAAAATTAACTTTGGACAAAAATTAAAACTCAGGCAGAGAATGTTTTCTTCTTTTTGCAACAGCAGACACTAGTAAAAACAAAGGCACAGTAAAAATTGAGACCCAAAATTTGCAGTGTAGAGATATGAATATAATAATAGACACAGGCAGGGAGGATTAATAAATGATAAAATGTTTAGAGGATGATCATTAGAATACAGGATATTTATACTCTTGAAAACTGCTTTCCCAAGTACTTCATTATAAGTAAGGTGTCTCTAAAAGGGACAGATCTCCTAGACCCCTCCTTAACCAAGTAACCAGTCCTGATATCATAATGGTGATGGACAAACTAGACCTTCTCTGCCCGCAGATGGGCTGAGGTTGGAAACTCACAGCATTGTCTCTGCAGTGTTCCCGGCAAAACGTTTAGGCTGAATTTAATCATGAAGACATTTTCAGACAACTTCAGAATGTAGATCATTGAGCCAGACAGCTGACCTGTCCTCTATAAACAAGTCCATGTCACCACCATCCATGACAACAACAAAAAGATGAGGAAATATTTGGGGTTCAAAATAACTAAAGAAATGCAGCTACATTATCTTTTTACTTTTTTTCAACCGAAAATATCTCTTCTCCTTTTTGTTGTGTGATTTGTGGTGATATGGACTATGTGAAGGAGACAGGTCAGTTGTCCTGCTCAGTGTTCTACATTCTGCAGTTGTCTGGTGATTACCTCCTATGAAACTCAGGTTAAGCGTTTTCTGCAAGAACATGGCATTGCTCATATTCTGCACCGGCAGAGTCCTGGGTGACATGCTGTCTCCTGCCAGCGGCTCCTGACTCCTGTTCTCTACAGGATGGAATTGAGAGGAGCAGGGCTAAGGCCTCCCAATGCTGTTTGTCCATCTAGCTGTGGTCTTCCTAAGTACTGACACCAATTGGAGGCTGAAGGACTGTGGCTTCTCTAACCAAAGGAGCCTAGCGGGTTAACAATTGTCAAGAGCAGTTGGTGGTTCTGAAATACAATCCTCAGCCAAGGATCCCTCCTGTGTTACAGATGGATCAGCTAAAACAAGCCAACACTGAAGACACAAAGAATGAGGTTAGGTTCATTGAAACCAGGGTAACACCTTTGGATGAGCTAAACACAAAGATGACAATGACCTTGAGCAGGTATAGAAGCTCAGAGACATGCCTGCAAAATGACATCCCTGAGGAATTTTGTAGCTACCCAGAGATACGTGGTTCAAATTAAAATGTCTGACTGATCACTCCCGGCATGTGCTGCACAGTTATGTGAACGTGTCACACCTAACGTGGGTCCATTGTCTTCAGACTGAGCACAGGTTGCCACTGGCATGGTTTGAGAATAGGAATAGAGCCATGCCCACTGAACCATCCTATGTCTGGGCTTCCAAATGGAACTGTACTTTCATTCAAATCTTCACGTGCCTATAGGTCCTGCCTGCAGGAATGACACCTCTCGGCTTAGTAAGGGCTGCTTATTGTGGGAATATGACTCCCATCTGGAACACCAGGTGGAGACTTGTCACCGTCAAAGTAAAAAACCTATTGTCCACGTAAAGGGCGAAGCTGATATGCTCTTCCTCAAATGAGTAAAACACACTTCTGTAGTGCTGGAATGAGTCAGGTAGTTCAAAGTACATTGACGGAGTCGAATAACATATATCCAGTGAGTCCTGCAAGACTTCAGGCTCTTCCACTTCCATCAGCATGCTGTTGAGCCTGCAAAAGGAGACAAAACTAAAGAAGCAGCCAGGGAAAATCGGACACCACAGAGCCCCACTAGATTTCAGAAGTAACATAAGGAAGTGGTTAGAAAAGAAAAAGGATAGATCCATTAATGAGGTAAAAAAAAAATTTATTGCCTTTATGTTGGGATAGAACAGGGCCAGGTAGAAAACAATGAAAGAGAAAGACAGAGAGAGAGACAGAGACAGAGACAGAGAGAAAGTGACCTAGTGAATTGGCCAGGTGACATACTGGTAAGGGAGTCAAAGGACACTCTGAGTTAGTGCCCTCATGACACACAGCAAACTGTGATCATGAAAAGAGTGAGCTCAATAGTTTTCCATAAAATATGCTCAAAATTCGATGCAGTGGCCATGAGAGTACAACTTTTGAAGTATGGTCAACCTGTGGTACGTTAGTAAATGATAAGGGGAGGAAGAAATGGAAACCTAAACATCTACTGCAATGAAAACCAACAGCAATGACAGTAGGAGTAATTCAGCCTTCGTTGAAAACATGACATCAAACACACTCTGGTTTCCCTGAATCTGTTGCCTCCAGGTGTTAACACAGAATTAAGCATCCACAATTGCTGAAAGTCACCTGGGGCATGGTGGGTTTTGATCTTCTTCCCCTTCTTTTCTTCCCCTTCTTCTTTCCTTCTTTGATCTTCTTCCCCTTCTTTTCTTCCCCTTCCCCTTCTTTTCAATTTCTGCAATAAATTCAGACATGGACAGACACATTAAGCTGATTCCCCTACACACATAACAATCCACTGTCTAATCCTCACACAGGGACCTCAGGCTCCTCAGCATAAGAATAGGACACTGTGAGAGATATATTTCAGGAGGCCTGAAGGCTGGTCATGATAGAAATTCCTCGGTTTTTCTCCCAGAAACTGTGGGTAAAATGTCCCTATTCTAGTAGATCGTTATCCCAATATCATTTGTCCCAAATTTGTGCAAACAGTTATGCCATATTTTTACAATCAACTTAAAGCAAATACCCTCAAATGATTTCTAGGAGAAAAACTGCAATATTTAGCCCTGTCTCATCAAATAGTCAGATTGTTCATGGTTGTGAGGACTTTAGACACTGAAATTAGAGTGAAAAAGGAAATCTACAAACCCTTGAGTCAAAATCATAGTTCTCTGAATTTGTCACATCTGCCCAGGTCCAATGTCATGAGAATAGGATCAGGGCGCCACAGGTATGGCCTGAGACTAGGAAGAGAGTCTTGCTCACTGACCCATCCCTTGTCTGGGCTTCCAGGTAGAACTAGAGTTTCATTCAACCTACATGTGCGTATAGGTCCTCCCTGTGGCAATGACATCTCTCAGCTCAGTAATGGCCACTTGGAGCAGGAATATGATCTTTATATGGAAGACTCAGTGGATCCTTATCACCTTCATAGAAAGGTACTCACCTCCCACGTCAAGAGAAAAGCCAACATGTTTTTCCTCCAATGCATAAAAGGAACTTCCATAGGGCTGGCAGGAGTCAGGCTGTTCAAGACAACTGGAAGGAGTTGAATAACATCTATCCAGTGAGTCCTGCAAGACTTCAGGCTCTACTACCTCCAGCAGCTCCCTGCTGAGCCTGGAAAAGGAGGAAAAAGTAAAGAATAAGCCAGGGGAAATCAGACACAACAGAGCCCCAACTAGGTTTCATGGGTAGCATAGGGAAGTGGTTAAAAAACTAAAAGGATAGATCCATTAATGAGGTAACAAATTATTGCCTTCATGTTGGGACAGAACAGGGCCAAATGGAAAAGAATGAAAGAGAAAGACAGATAGACACACACACACACACACACACACACACACACACACACAGAGAGAGAGAGAGAGAGAACGAGCTCAGTGAATTGTCCAGGTGACACACTGATGAGGGAGTAACAGGACACTCTGAGTTAGTGCCCTCAGGACACACAGCATACAGGGATCATGAAAAGACTGTGCTCAATAATTTTCCATAAAATGTGCTCAAGTTTCCATGCAGTCGCCATGAGAATACAGTTTTTGAAGTCTGGTCCACCTACAGTAGGTTAGTAAATGAGAAGGGGAGGAAGAAATGGAAACCTAAATATCTACTGCAATGAAAACCAACAGCAATGTTAGTAGGAATAATTCAGGCTTGGTTGAAAAGATGTAATCGATAATGTCAGCCCGCTCTGTTTTCCCTGAACCAGGAGTCTCCAGATGTCAACACAGAAGTAGCTGTTCACAATTGCTCAGTTACCTGGGGCATGGTGGGCCTTGGTCTTCTTCCTCTTCTTGGTCCTTTTTAATTCCTGCAATACATTCAGACAGGGACAGACAAAATAAGCCAATTCACCTACACCCATAACAGTCCACTGTCTAATCCCCACACAGGGATCTCAGGCTCCTCAGCATGAGAACAGGACAATGTGAGAGATGTACTTCAGGAGGCCTGAAAGCTGGTCATGATATTCTTTGGTTTGCATCTCAGAACCAAGGGTGAAATATCCCCATTCTGGTAGATCGTTATCCCAAAATCATTTATCCCAAGTTTGTGCAAACAGTTATGCCTTATTGTTCCCATCAGTTCAAAGAAAATGCCCCAGATGATTTCTAGGAGGAAAACTGCAGTATTCAGCCCTGTCTCATCAAATGCCCAGCTCGTTCATGGATGCAAGAATTTTAGACACTGAAATTAGAATGAAGGAGGAAATCTACAAACCCTTGAGTCCAAATCATACTTCTGTGAATTTTTTACATCTGCCTGGGTCCAATGTGCTGAGAGCGGGCTCAGGTTGCCACAGGCATGGCTGGAGACTAGGAATGGAGCCTTGCTCACTGACCCATTTCATGTCTAGGCTTCCAACTGAGACTACAGTTTCATTACAACCTATATGCGCCCATAGGTCCTGCCTGCGGCAATGACATCTCTCGGGTCAGTAAGGGCCACTTGGAACAGGAATATCACCCCTATCTGGAAGACCAGGTGGAGGCTTATCACCTTCATAGTAAGGTACTCACTGTCCACGTCAAGAGCCAAGCCAAGGTACTGTTCCTCCAATGAGTAAACAGCACTGCTGTAGGGCTGGCCTAAGTCAGGCAGTTCAAGATAACCTGAAGGAGTCGAATAACATCTACCCAGTGAGTCCTGCAAGACTTCAGGCTCTTTCTCATCCAGCAGCTCCCTGCTGAGCCTGGAAAAGTAGGAAAAAGTAAAGAATAAGCCAGGGGGAATCAGAAACCACACAGCTCCAGCTAGATTTCATGGCTAACATAAGGAACTGTTTAAAAAGAAAAAGGACAGATCCATTAATGAGGTAATGAATTATTGCCTTTAGGTTGGGATAGACCAGGGCCAGGTAGAAAAGAATGAAAGAGAAAGACAGGGAGAGGCAGAGAGAGAGAGAGAGAGGAGAAAGTGAGCTCAGCGAGTTGGCCGGGTGACACACTGATGAAGGGGTCAAAGGACACTCTGAGTTAGTGCCCTCGGGACACACAGCGAACAGTGATCATGAAAAGAGTGGGCTCAATAATTTTCCATAAACTTGCTCAAGATTCCATGCAGTTGCCATACAGCCTTTGAGGTATGGTCAACCTATAGTAAGTTAGTAAATGATAAGGGGAGGAAGAAATGGAAACCTAAACATCTACCGCAATGAAAACCAACAGCAATGTCAGTAGGAGTAATTCAACCTTCGTTGAAAACATGAAATTGAACACACTCTTGTTTTCCCTGGACCTGGCATCTCCAGGTGTCAACACAGAATTAAGCATCCATAATTGCTCAAAGTTACCTGGGGCATGATGGGTCTTGGTCTTCTTCCACTTCTTGGTACTTTTCAATTTCTGCAATAAGTTCAGACATGGACAGACATATTAAGCTGGTTCTCCTACACACATAACAATCCACTGTCTAATCCTCACACAGGGACTTCAGGCTCCTCAGCATGAGAATAGGACACTGTGAGAGATATTCTTCAGGAGGCCTGAAGGCTGATCACCATAGAGATTCCTTGGTTTTTGTCCCAGAAACTGTGGGTAAAATTCCCTATTCTGGTAGATCGTTATCCCAATATCATTTGTCCCAAGTTTGTGCAAATGGTTATGCCATATTTTTCCAATCGATTTAAAGCAAATGCCCCCAAATGGTTGCTAGGAGAAAAACTGCACTATTCAGCCCTGTCTCATCAAATACTCAGATTGTTCATGGTAGTGAGGATTTTAGACGCTGAAATTAGAGTGAAGGATGAAATCTACAAGATCTACAAAATTGAGACAAAATCAGAGTTGTGTGAATTTGTCACATCTGCCCAGGTCCAATGTCATGAGAGTAGGATTAGGGTGCCACAGGCATGGGTGACCTAGTGAATTGGCCAGGTGACATACTGGTAATGGAGTAAAAGGACACTCTGAGTTAGTGCCCTCATGACACACAGCAAACTGTGATCATGAAAAGAGTGAGCTCAATAGTTTTCCATAAAATATGCTCAAAATTCGATGCAGTGGCCATGAGAGTACAGCTTTTGAAGTATGGTCAACCTGTGGTACGTTAGTAAATGATAAGGGGAGGAAGAAATGGAAACCTAAACATCTACTGCAATGAAAACCAACAGCAATGACAGGAGGAGTAATTCAGCCTTCGTTGAAAACATGACATCAAACACACTCTGGTTTCCCTGAATCTGTTGCCTCCAGGTGTTAACACAGAATTAAGCATCCACAATTGCTGAAAGTCACCTGGGGCATGGTGGGTTTTGATCTTCTTCCCCTTCTTTTCTTCCCCTTCTTCTTTCCTTCTTTGATCTTCTTCCCCTTCTTTTCTTCCCCTTCCCCTTCTTTTCAATTTCTGCAATAAATTCAGACATGGACAGACACATTAAGCTGATTCCCCTACACACATAACAATCCACTGTCTAATCCTCACACAGGGACCTCAGGCTCCTCAGCATAAGAATAGGACACTGTGAGAGATATATTTCAGGAGGCCTGAAGGCTGGTCATGATAGAAATTCCTCGGTTTTTCTCCCAGAAACTGTGGGTAAAATGTCCCTATTCTAGTAGATCGTTATCCCAATATCATTTGTCCCAAATTTGTGCAAACAGTTATGCCATATTTTTACAATCAACTTAAAGCAAATACCCTCAAATGATTTCTAGGAGAAAAACTGCAATATTTAGCCCTGTCTCATCAAATAGTCAGATTGTTCATGGTTGTGAGGACTTTAGACACTGAAATTAGAGTGAAAAAGGAAATCTACAAACCCTTGAGTCAAAATCATAGTTCTCTGAATTTGTCACATCTGCCCAGGTCCAATGTCATGAGAATAGGATCAGGGCGCCACAGGTATGGCCTGAGACTAGGAAGAGAGTCTTGCTCACTGACCCATCCCTTGTCTGGGCTTCCAGGTAGAACTAGAGTTTCATTCAACCTACATGTGCGTATAGGTCCTCCCTGTGGCAATGACATCTCTCAGCTCAGTAATGGCCACTTGGAGCAGGAATATGATCTTTATATGGAAGACTCAGTGGATCCTTATCACCTTCATAGAAAGGTACTCACCTCCCACGTCAAGAGAAAAGCCAACATGTTTTTCCTCCAATGCATAAAAGGAACTTCCATAGGGCTGGCAGGAGTCAGGCTGTTCAAGACAACTGGAAGGAGTTGAATAACATCTATCCAGTGAGTCCTGCAAGACTTCAGGCTCTACTACCTCCAGCAGCTCCCTGCTGAGCCTGGAAAAGGAGGAAAAAGTAAAGAATAAGCCAGGGGAAATCAGACACAACAGAGCCCCAACTAGGTTCATGGGTAAAGTTACCTGGGGCATGATGGGTCTTGGTCTTCTTCCACTTCTTGGTACTTTTCAATTTCTGCAATAAGTTCAGACATGGACAGATATATTAAGCTGGTTCTCCTACACACATAACAATCCACTGTCTAATCCTCACACAGGGACTTCAGGCTCCTCAGCATGAGAATAGGACACTGTGAGAGATATTCTTCAGGAGGCCTGAAGGCTGATCACCATAGAGATTCCTTGGTTTTTGTCCCAGAAACTGTGGGTAAAATTCCCTATTCTGGTAGATCGTTATCCCAATATCATTTGTCCCAAGTTTGTGCAAATGGTTATGCCATATTTTTCCAATCGATTTAAAGCAAATGCCCCCAAATGGTTGCTAGGAGAAAAACTGCACTATTCAGCCCTGTCTCATCAAATACTCAGATTGTTCATGGTAGTGAGGATTTTAGACGCTGAAATTAGAGTGAAGGATGAAATCTACAAGATCTACAAAATTGAGACAAAATCAGAGTTGTGTGAATTTGTCACATCTGCCCAGGTCCAATGTCATGAGAGTGGGATTAGGGTGCCACAGGCATGGCCTGAGACTAGGAAGAGAGCCTTGCTCACTGACCCATCCCTTGTCTGGGCTTCCAAGTGGAACTAGAGTTTCATTCAACCTACATGTGCCTATAGGTCCTCCCTGTGGCAATGACATCTCTCAGCTCAGTAAGGGCCACTTGCAGTAGGAATATGACCCTAACCAGAAGACTCAGTGGATCCTTATCACCTTCATAGAAAGGTACTCACCATCCATGTCAACAGCCAAGCCAACACGCTGTTGCTCCAATATGTAAAAGGCACTTCTGTAGGGCTGGCATGAGTCAGTCAGTTCAAGACAACCTGAAGGAGTTGAATAACATCTATCCAGTGAGTCCTGCAAGACTTCAGGCCCTTTCTCATCCAGCAGCTCCCTGCTGAGCCTGGAAAAGTGGGAAAAAGTAAAGAATAAGCCAGGGGGAATCAGAAACCACACAGCCCCAGCTAGATTTCATGGCTAACGTAAGGAAGAGTTTGAAAAGAAAAAGGACAGATCCATTAATGAGGTAACAAATTATTGCCTTTATGTTGGGATAGAACAGGGCCAGGTAGAAAACAATGAAAGAGAAAGACAGAGAGAGAGAGAGACAGAGACAGAGAGAGAGACAGAGACAGAGAGAAAGTGACCTAGTGAATTGGCCAGGTGACATACTGGTAATGGAGTAAAAGGACACTCTGAGTTAGTGCCCTCATGACACACAGCAAACTGTGATCATGAAAAGAGTGAGCTCAATAGTTTTCCATAAAATATGCTCAAAATTCGATGCAGTGGCCATGAGAGTACAGCTTTTGAAGTATGGTCAACCTGTGGTACGTTAGTAAATGATAAGGGGAGGAAGAAATGGAAACCTAAACATCTACTGCAATGAAAACCAACAGCAATGACAGGAGGAGTAATTCAGCCTTCGTTGAAAACATGACATCAAACACACTCTGGTTTCCCTGAATCTGTTGCCTCCAGGTGTTAACACAGAATTAAGCATCCACAATTGCGAAAGTCACCTGGGGCATGGTGGGTTTTGATCTTCTTCCCCTTCTTTTCTTCCCCTTCTTCTTTCCTTCTTTGATCTTCTTCCCCTTCTTTTCTTCCCCTTCCCCTTCTTTTCAATTTCTGCAATAAATTCAGACATGGACAGACACATTAAGCTGATTCCCCTACACACATAACAATCCACTGTCTAATCCTCACACAGGGACCTCAGGCTCCTCAGCATAAGAATAGGACACTGTGAGAGATATATTTCAGGAGGCCTGAAGGCTGGTCATGATAGAAATTCCTCGGTTTTTCTCCCAGAAACTGTGGGTAAAGTGTCCCTATTCTAGTAGATCGTTATCCCAATATCATTTGTCCCAAGTTTGTGCAAACAGTTATGCCATATTTTTACAATCAACTTAAAGCAAATACCCTCAAATGATTTCTAGGAGAAAAACTGCAATATTTAGCCCTGTCTCATCAAATAGTCAGATTGTTCATGGTTGTGAGGACTTTAGACACTGAAATTAGAGTGAAAAAGGAAATCTACAAACCCTTGAGTCAAAATCATAGTTCTCTGAATTTGTCACATCTGCCCAGGTCCAATGTCATGAGAACAGGATCAGGGCGCCACAGGTATGGCCTGAGACTAGGAAGAGAGTCTTGCTCACTGACCCATCCCTTGTCTGGGCTTCCAGGTAGAACTAGAGTTTCATTCAACCTACATGTGCGTATAGGTCCTCCCTGTGGCAATGACATCTCTCAGCTCAGTAATGGCCACTTGGAGCAGGAATATGATCTTTATATGGAAGACTCAGTGGATCCTTATCACCTTCATAGAAAGGTACTCACCTCCCACGTCAAGAGAAAAGCCAACATGTTTTTCCTCCAATGCATAAAAGGAACTTCCATAGGGCTGGCAGGAGTCAGGCTGTTCAAGACAACTGGAAGGAGTTGAATAACATCTATCCAGTGAGTCCTGCAAGACTTCAGGCTCTACTACCTCCAGCAGCTCCCTGCTGAGCCTGGAAAAGGAGGAAAAAGTAAAGAATAAGCCAGGGGAAATCAGACACAACAGAGCCCCAACTAGGTTTCATGGGTAGCATAGGGAAGTGGTTAAAAAACTAAAAGGATAGATCCATTAATGAGGTAACAAATTATTGCCTTCATGTTGGGACAGAACAGGGCCAAATGGAAAAGAATGAAAGAGAAAGACAGATAGACACACACACACACACACACACACACACACACACACACAGAGAGAGAGAGAGAACGAGCTCAGTGAATTGTCCAGGTGACACACTGATGAGGGAGTAACAGGACACTCTGAGTTAGTGCCCTCAGGACACACAGCATACAGGGATCATGAAAAGACTGTGCTCAATAATTTTCCATAAAATGTGCTCAAGTTTCCATGCAGTCGCCATGAGAATACAGTTTTTGAAGTCTGGTCCACCTACAGTAGGTTAGTAAATGAGAAGGGGAGGAAGAAATGGAAACCTAAATATCTACTGCAATGAAAACCAACAGCAATGTTAGTAGGAATAATTCAGGCTTGGTTGAAAAGATGTAATCGATAATGTCAGCCCGCTCTGTTTTCCCTGAACCAGGAGTCTCCAGATGTCAACACAGAAGTAGCTGTTCACAATTGCTCAGTTACCTGGGGCATGGTGGGCCTTGGTCTTCTTCCTCTTCTTGGTCCTTTTTAATTCCTGCAATACATTCAGACAGGGACAGACAAAATAAGCCAATTCACCTACACCCATAACAGTCCACTGTCTAATCCCCACACAGGGATCTCAGGCTCCTCAGCATGAGAACAGGACAATGTGAGAGATATACTTCAGGAGGCCTGAAAGCTGGTCATGATATTCTTTGGTTTGCATCTCAGAACCAAGGGTGAAATATCCCCATTCTGGTAGATCGTTATCCCAAAATCATTTATCCCAAGTTTGTGCAAACAGTTATGCCTTATTGTTCCCATCAGTTCAAAGAAAATGCCCCAGATGATTTCTAGGAGGAAAACTGCAGTATTCAGCCCTGTCTCATCAAATGCCCAGCTCGTTCATGGATGCAAGAATTTTAGACACTGAAATTAGAATGAAGGAGGAAATCTACAAACCCTTGAGTCCAAATCATACTTCTGTGAATTTTTTACATCTGCCTGGGTCCAATGTGCTGAGAGCGGGCTCAGGTTGCCACAGGCATGGCTGGAGACTAGGAATGGAGCCTTGCTCACTGACCCATTTCATGTCTAGGCTTCCAACTGAGACTACAGTTTCATTACAACCTATATGCGCCCATAGGTCCTGCCTGCGGCAATGACATCTCTCGGGTCAGTAAGGGCCACTTGGAACAGGAATATCACCCCTATCTGGAAGACCAGGTGGAGGCTTATCACCTTCATAGTAAGGTACTCACTGTCCACGTCAAGAGCCAAGCCAAGGTACTGTTCCTCCAATGAGTAAACAGCACTGCTGTAGGGCTGGCCTAAGTCAGGCAGTTCAAGATAACCTGAAGGAGTCGAATAACATCTACCCAGTGAGTCCTGCAAGACTTCAGGCTCTTTCTCATCCAGCAGCTCCCTGCTGAGCCTGGAAAAGTAGGAAAAAGTAAAGAATAAGCCAGGGGGAATCAGAAACCACACAGCCCCAGCTAGATTTCATGGCTAACATAAGGAACTGTTTAAAAAGAAAAAGGACAGATCCATTAATGAGGTAATGAATTATTGCCTTTAGGTTGGGATAGACCAGGGCCAGGTAGAAAAGAATGAAAGAGAAAGACAGGGAGAGGCAGAGAGAGAGAGAGAGAGGAGAAAGTGAGCTCAGCGAGTTGGCCGGGTGACACACTGATGAAGGGGTCAAAGGACACTCTGAGTTAGTGCCCTCGGGACACACAGCGAACAGTGATCATGAAAAGAGTGGACTCAATAATTTTCCATAAACTTGCTCAAGATTCCATGCAGTTGCCATACAGCCTTTGAGGTATGGTCAACCTATAGTAAGTTAGTAAATGATAAGGGGAGGAAGAAATGGAAACCTAAACATCTACCGCAATGAAAACCAACAGCAATGTCAGTAGGAGTAATTCAACCTTCGTTGAAAACATGAAATTGAACACACTCTTGTTTTCCCTGGACCTGGCATCTCCAGGTGTCAACACAGAATTAAGCATCCATAATTGCTCAAAGTTACCTGGGGCATGATGGGTCTTGGTCTTCTTCCACTTCTTGGTACTTTTCAATTTCTGCAATAAGTTCAGACATGGACAGATATATTAAGCTGGTTCTCCTACACACATAACAATCCACTGTCTAATCTTCACACAGGGACTTCAGGCTCCTCAGCATGAGAATAGGACACTGTGAGAGATATTCTTCAGGAGGCCTGAAGGCTGATCACCATAGAGATTCCTTGGTTTTTGTCCCAGAAACTGTGGGTAAAATTCCCTATTCTGGTAGATCGTTATCCCAATATCATTTGTCCCAAGTTTGTGCAAATGGTTATGCCATATTTTTCCAATCGATTTAAAGCAATTGCCCCCAAATGGTTGCTAGGAGAAAAACTGCACTATTCAGCCCTGTCTCATCAAATACTCAGATTGTTCATGGTAGCGAGGATTTTAGACGCTGAAATTAGAGTGAAGGATGAAATCTACAAGATCTACAAATTGAGACAAATCAGAGTTGGTGTGAATTTGTCACATCTGGCCCAGTCAAAATTCGATGCAGTGGCCATGAGAGTACAGCTTTTGAAGTATGGTCAACCTATAGTACGTTAGTAAATGATAAGGGGAGGAAGAAATGGAAACCTAAACATCTACTGCAATGAAAACCAACAGCAATGACAGGAGGAGTAATTCAACCTTCGTTGAAAACATGAAATTGAACACACTCTTGTTTTCCCTGGACCTGGCATCTCCAGGTGTCAACACAGAATTAAGCATCCATAATTGCTCAAAGTTACCTGGGGCATGATGGGTCTTGGTCTTCTTCCACTTCTTGGTACTTTTCAATTTCTGCAATAAGTTCAGACATGGACAGATATATTAAGCTGATTCCCCTACACACATAACAATCCACTGTCTAATCTTCACACAGGGACTTCAGGCTCCTCAGCATGAGAATAGGACACTGTGAGAGATATTCTTCAGGAGGCCTGAAGGCTGATCACCATAGAGATTCCTTGGTTTTTGTCCCAGAAACTGTGGGTAAAATTCCCTATTCTGGTAGATCGTTATCCCAATATCATTTGTCCCAAGTTTGTGCAAATGGTTATGCCATATTTTTCCAATCGATTTAAAGCAATTGCCCCCAAATGGTTGCTAGGAGAAAAACTGCACTATTCAGCCCTGTCTCATCAAATACTCAGATTGTTCATGGTAGCGAGGATTTTAGACGCTGAAATTAGAGTGAAGGATGAAATCTACAAGATCTACAAAATTGAGACAAAATCAGAGTTGTGTGAATTTGTCACATCTGCCCAGGTCCAATGTCATGAGAGTAGGATTAGGGCGCCACAGGCATGGCCTGAGACTAGGAAGAGCGCCTTGCTCACTGACCCATCCCTTGTCTGGGCTTCCAAGTGGAACTAGAGCTTCATTCAACCTACATGTGCCTATAGGTCCTCCCTGTGGCAATGACATCCCTCAGCTCAGTAAGGGCCACTTGCAGTAGGAATATGACCCTAACCAGAAGACTCAGTGGATCCTCACACAGCGAACAGTGATCATGAAAAGAGTGGGCTCAATAATTTTCCATAAACTTGCTCAAGATTCCATGCAGTTGCCATACAGCCTTTGAGGTATGGTCAACCTATAGTAAGTTACTAAATGATAAGGGGAGGAAGAAATGGAAACCTAAACATCTACTGCAATGAAAACCAACAGCAATGTCAGTAGGCGTAATTCAACCTTCGTTGAAAACATGAAATTGAATACACTCTTGTTTTCCCTGGACCTGGCATCTCCAGGTGTCAACACAGAATTAAGCATCCATAATTGCTCAAAGTTACCTGGGGCATGATGGGTCTTGGTCTTCTTCCACTTCTTGGTACTTTTCAATTTCTGCAATAAGTTCAGACATGGACAGACATATTAAGCTGGTTCTCCTACACACATAACAATCCACTGTCTAATCCTCACACAGGGACTTCAGGCTCCTCAGCATGAGAATAGGACACTGTGAGAGATATTCTTCAGGAGGCCTGAAGGCTGATCACCATAGAGATTCCTTGGTTTTTGTCCCAGAAACTGTGGGTAAAATTCCCTATTCTGGTAGATCGTTATCCCAATATCATTTGTCCCAAGTTTGTGCAAATGGTTATGCCATATTTTTCCAATCGATTTAAAGCAAATGCCCCCAAATGGTTGCTAGGAGAAAAACTGCACTATTCAGCCCTGTCTCATCAAATACTCAGATTGTTCATGGTAGCGAGGATTTTAGACGCTGAAATTAGAGTGAAGGATGAAATCTACAAGATCTACAAAATTGAGACAAAATCAGAGTTGTGTGAATTTGTCACATCTGCCCAGGTCCAATGTCATGAGAGTAGGATTAGGGCGCCACAGGCATGGCCTGAGACTAGGAAGAGCGCCTTGCTCACTGACCCATCCCTTGTCTGGGCTTCCAAGTGGAACTAGAGCTTCATTCAACCTACATGTGCCTATAGGTCCTCCCTGTGGCAATGACATCCCTCAGCTCAGTAAGGGCCACTTGCAGTAGGAATATGACCCTAACCAGAAGACTCAGTGGATCCTTATCACCTTCATAGAAAGGTACTCACCATCCATGTCAACAGCCAAGCCAACACGCTGTTGCTCCAATATGTAAAAGGCACTTCTGTAGGGCTGGCATGAGTCAGTCAGTTCAAGACAACCTGAAGGAGTTGAATAGCATCTATCCAGTGACTCCTGCAAGACTTCAGGCTCTTTCTCATCCAACAGCTCCCCGCTGAGCCTGGAAAAGTGGGAAAAAGTAAAGAATAAGCCAGGGGGAATCAGAAACCACACAGCTCCAGCTAGATTTCATGGCTAAGATAAGGAACTGTTTAAAAAGAAAAAGGACAGATCCATTACTGAGGGAATGAATTATTGCCTTTAGGTTGGGATAAACCAGGGCCAGGTAGAAAAGAACGAAAGAGAAAGACAGGGAGAGGGAGAGAGAGAGAGAGGAGAAAGTGAGCTCAGTGAATTGGCCGGGTGACACACAGATGAAGGGGTCAAAGGACACTTTGAGTTAGTTCCCTCGGGACACACAGCGAACAGTGATCATGAAAAGAGTGGGCTCAATAATTTTCCATAAACTTGCTCAAGATTCCATGCAGTTGCCATACAGCCTTTGAGGTATGGTCAACCTATAGTAAGTTAGTAAATGATAAGGGGAGGAAGAAATGGAAACCTAAACATCTACCGCAATGAAAACCAACAGCAATGTCAGTAGGAGTAATTCAACCTTCGTTGAAAACATGAAATTGAACACACTCTTGTTTTCCCTGGACCTGGCATCTCCAGGTGTCAACACAGAATTAAGCATCCATAATTGCTCAAAGTTACCTGGGGCATGATGGGTCTTGGTCTTCTTCCACTTCTTGGTACTTTTCAATTTCTGCAATAAGTTCAGACATGGACAGACATATTAAGCTGGTTCTCCTACACACATAACAATCCACTGTCTAATCCTCACACAGGGACTTCAGGCTCCTCAGCATGAGAATAGGACACTGTGAGAGATATTCTTCAGGAGGCCTGAAGGCTGATCACCATAGAGATTCCTTGGTTTTTGTCCCAGAAACTGTGGGTAAAATTCCCTATTCTGGTAGATCGTTATCCCAATATCATTTGTCCCAAGTTTGTGCAAATGGTTATGCCATATTTTTCCAATCGATTTAAAGCAAATGCCCCCAAATGGTTGCTAGGAGAAAAACTGCACTATTCAGCCCTGTCTCATCAAATACTCAGATTGTTCATGGTAGCGAGGATTTTAGACGCTGAAATTAGAGTGAAGGATGAAATCTACAAGATCTACAAAATTGAGACAAAATCAGAGTTGTGTGAATTTGTCACATCTGCCCAGGTCCAATGTCATGAGAGTAGGATTAGGGCGCCACAGGCATGGCCTGAGACTAGGAAGAGCGCCTTGCTCACTGACCCATCCCTTGTCTGGGCTTCCAAGTGGAACTAGAGCTTCATTCAACCTACATGTGCCTATAGGTCCTCCCTGTGGCAATGACATCCCTCAGCTCAGTAAGGGCCACTTGCAGTAGGAATATGACCCTAACCAGAAGACTCAGTGGATCCTTATCACCTTCATAGAAAGGTACTCACCATCCATGTCAACAGCCAAGCCAACACGCTGTTGCTCCAATATGTAAAAGGCACTTCTGTAGGGCTGGCATGAGTCAGTCAGTTCAAGACAACCTGAAGGAGTTGAATAGCATCTATCCAGTGACTCCTGCAAGACTTCAGGCTCTTTCTCATCCAACAGCTCCCCGCTGAGCCTGGAAAAGTGGGAAAAAGTAAAGAATAAGCCAGGGGGAATCAGAAACCACACAGCTCCAGCTAGATTTCATGGCTAAGATAAGGAACTGTTTAAAAAGAAAAAGGACAGATCCATTACTGAGGGAATGAATTATTGCCTTTAGGTTGGGATAAACCAGGGCCAGGTAGAAAAGAACGAAAGAGAAAGACAGGGAGAGGGAGAGAGAGAGAGAGGAGAAAGTGAGCTCAGTGAATTGGCCGGGTGACACACAGATGAAGGGGTCAAAGGACACTCTGAGTTAGTGCCCTCGGGACACACAGCGAACAGTGATCATGAAAAGAGTGGGCTCAATAATTTTCCATAAACTTGCTCAAGATTCCATGCAGTTGCCATACAGCCTTTGAGGTATGGTCAACCTATAGTAAGTTACTAAATGATAAGGGGAGGAAGAAATGGAAACCTAAACATCTACTGCAATGAAAACCAACAGCAATGTCAGTAGGCGTAATTCAACCTTCGTTGAAAACATGAAATTGAATACACTCTTGTTTTCCCTGGACCTGGCATCTCCAGGTGTCAACACAGAATTAAGCATCCATAATTGCTCAAAGTTACCTGGGGCATGATGGGTCTTGGTCTTCTTCCACTTCTTGGTACTTTTCAATTTCTGCAATAAGTTCAGACATGGACAGACATATTAAGCTGGTTCTCCTACACACATAACAATCCACTGTCTAATCCTCACACAGGGACTTCAGGCTCCTCAGCATGAGAATAGGACACTGTGAGAGATATTCTTCAGGAGGCCTGAAGGCTGATCACCATAGAGATTCCTTGGTTTTTGTCCCAGAAACTGTGGGTAAAATTCCCTATTCTGGTAGATCGTTATCCCAATATCATTTGTCCCAAGTTTGTGCAAATGGTTATGCCATATTTTTCCAATCGATTTAAAGCAAATGCCCCCAAATGGTTGCTAGGAGAAAAACTGCACTATTCAGCCCTGTCTCATCAAATACTCAGATTGTTCATGGTAGTGAGGATTTTAGACGCTGAAATTAGAGTGAAGGATGAAATCTACAAGATCTACAAAATTGAGACAAAATCAGAGTTGTGTGAATTTGTCACATCTGCCCAGGTCCAATGTCATGAGAGTAGGATTAGGGTGCCACAGGCATGGCCTGAGACTAGGAAGAGAGCCTTGCTCACTGACCCATCCCTTGTCTGGGCTTCCAAGTGGAACTAGAGTTTCATTCAACCTACATGTGCCTATAGGTCCTCCCTGTGGCAATGACATCTCTCAGCTCAGTAAGGGCCACTTGCAGTAGGAATATGACCCTAACCAGAAGACTCAGTGGATCCTTATCACCTTCATAGAAAGGTACTCACCATCCATGTCAACAGCCAAGCCAACACGCTGTTGCTCCAATACGTAAAAGGCACTTCTGTAGGGCTGGCATGAGTCAGTCAGTTCAAGACAACCTGAAGGAGTTGAATAACATCTATCCAGTGAGTCCTGCAAGACTTCAGGCCCTTTCTCATCCAGCAGCTCTCTGCTGAGCCTGGAAAAGTGGGAAAAAGTAAAGAATAAGCCAGGGGGAATCAGAAACCACACAGCCCCAGCTAGATTTCATGGCTAATGTAAGGAAGAGTTTGAAAAGAAAAAGGACAGATCCATTAATGAGGTAACAGATTATTGCCTTTATGTTGGGATAGAACAGGGCCAGGTAGAAAAAGATGAAAGACACACACACACACACACACACACACACACACACACACAGAGCGAGCTCAGTGAATTGGTCAGGTGACACACTGATGAGGGAGTCAAAGGACACTCTGTATTTGTGCTCTCAGGACACACAGTGAACAGTGATCATGAAAAGCATGTCCTCAATAATTTTGCGTAAAATGTGGTCAAGTTTCCCTGCAGTTACCATGAGAATACAGCTTTTGAGGTATGGTCAACTTTCACTAGGTTAGTAAATGATAAGGGTAGGAAGAAATGGAAACCTAAAGATTTACTCTAATGAGAACCAAAAAGCAATGTAGTAGGCATAATTCAGACTTGTCTGACAAGACAAAATCATTATTTTCAGCATGTACTGTTTTCCCTGGACTTGGCATCTCCAGGTGTCAACATCAAATTAACTGTCCACAATTTCTCAGACTCACCTGGGACCTGTTGCCTCGTGGTCCTCCTTTTTCACTTGATCCCACCGATGTCCTGCAAATAAATTCAGATGGGCCCTCTTACATTAAGCAGTTCTTCCTTGCACACAGAAACATTCCTCTGTCCAATCCTAACACAGGGACATCAGTCTTGTCAGTGTGAGAACAGGAGACTTTGAGAGAAATATTCCAGTAGGCCTGAGGTCAAGTCTTGAGAAAACTGGCTTGGGTTCTTTCATGAGCCTTGGGCAAAATTCCCCTGTGTTGGAATGTTATCTTCCCTATGTGCTCTGTCCTAGGTTTATGTACACAAATGAGCAATTTTTTCCCCAATAAATTGTAGGCAAATAGTTCTAACACCTCATAGGAGAGATACTTCAATATTAGGCTTTTCTCATTAAATACCCAGAATTTGATAGTTTATGAGATTGTGGACACAGAGATTTGATGAAAGGGTGCAATGTACCAGCTCTTGAGTCAAAATGAAACTTGGTTCTACACAGAAGCATCAGCTATTATGGCTTTTGTGGGTGAAAAGTCAGCCATTTATCTAGAAAACATACCAGGAACATGACGGACAGATGAGCTAAAACAAGCGAACTTAGAAGACACAGAAAATGGGAATAAATTCAGTGAAACCTGGGTCACATCTTTCACTGAGAGGTAGACAAGGGTGACACTGGCCTTGGGCAGGTAAAGAACCACACAGACATGCTTTGGGAACAAAACTCATAAGGAATTTTGTAGCTGGCAAGAGACATTTAATTCAGATGAGCTGAGCTGACAGACAACTCCTGGGCATGTGCTGCATAGTTTGGTGTGAGTTTGCCACACCTGCCTTGAGTTCAATGTCGTGACAGTCAGTCCAGGTTGGCACGGGCATGGCCTGAGACTAGGAAGAGAGCAAAGCTCACTGACCCACCCCATGCCTGTGCTTCAGACTCGACTCCAGAGTGATTGAAATCTACATTGATATATAGGTTCAGCCCACAGTGATGGCAAATCTCAGCCCAAGAAGGGGCACAAGGCCCAAAGATTATGGGGTCTACCTGGGCCATGAACTGGAGCTTTATCACCTTCACAATGGAGTACTCACTGCCTATGTCAACAGCCATGCAGACTTGCTGTTCCTCTAATGAGTGAAATGTGCTGCTGTAAGACTTGTACGAGGCTAACATTTCAGGAGGAATTGAGAGAGTCGAATAACCTTCATCCCAGGACTCCTGGGGGACTTCCTCCTCTTCAGACTCCTGCAGATTCCTGATGAGCCAGGCAGGACAGGGATGACAGAAGATTTAACCAACAGACTTTAGACAACAAAACCTCCCAGATGATCTGATGGGAGACAGAATGGAGTGGTCACAGAAACCAAAGGCATTTTTCCTTCAAGAGGAATAAAACTATCCTTCTAAATACAGGGTGGAGGGTGACTGCTCTGGGGACAGAGCAAAAATGGGCAGCGTGTGCTCAGTACATTTGCCACAGATGAGCCAACTCAGGGCACCCAGACTCTCCCTGTAAACTACCATCATGACTTGCAGCACAGAGAACTGACACAGGGCTTCAACTACTTTGCATAAATTGGGTTGAATTTTACATGCAGCATTCAAGTGAAGAGAGTTCTTGACGCAGTGCAGACACAGATCTTGTGTATTAAGGGCCCCATTTTCCCAATATTTTGATATAATATATTTACTTTTTCAATTTCTTTTCTTGCAAAAATACTAGCCAACATACTACCAACAAATAGGAAGAAAGCATATATACACCTCTCCCTGGATTTAAACACATGGGAGAGAATAGGCAACACCAAGAAATCCCTGTTTGAGGGTCTGGAGTGGACTTCCAGCAAACTCCAACAGACCTGAAGCTGAGGGACCTGACTGTTAGAAGGAAAACTAACACACAGAAAGGAATAGCATCAACATCAACAAAAAAGACATCCACCCCAAAACCCCATCTGTAGGTCGCCATCATCAAAGACCAAGGGTAGATAAAACCACAAAGGTGGGGAGAAACCAGAGCACAAAAGCTGAAAATTCCAAAAACCTGACATCCCTTCTCCTCCAAAGGATCGCAGCTCCTCGCCAGCAATGGAACAAAGCAGGATGGAGAATGACTTTGATGAGCTGACAGAAGTAGGCTTCAGAAAGTCGGTAATAACAAACTTCTCTGAGCTAAAGGAGGATGTGCGAACTCATCGCAAGGAAGCTAAAAACCTTGAAAAAAGATTAGACGAATGGCTAACCAGAATGAACAGTGTAGAGAAGACCTTAAATGACCTGATGGAGCTGAAAACCATGGCACGAGAACTATGTGATGCATGCACAAGCTTCAGTAGCCAATTCGATCAAGTGCAAGAAACGGTATCAGTGATTCAAGATCAAATTAGTGAAATGAAGCGAGAAGAGAAGTTTAGAGAAAAAAGAGTAAAAAGAAATGAACAAGCCTCCAATAAATATGGGACTATGTGGAAAGACCAAATCTACGTTTGATTGGTGTACTGAAAGTGACGGGGAGAATGGAACCAAGCTGGGAAACATTCTTCAGGATATTATCCAGGAGGACTTCCCCAACCTAGCAAGGAAGGCCAACATTCAAATTCAGGAAACACAGAGAACACCATAAAGATACTCCTCGAGAAGAGCAACCCCAAAACACGTAATTGTCAGATTCACCAAGGTTGAAATGAAGGAAAAAATGCTAAGGGCAGCCAGAGAGAAAGGTCGGATTACCCACAAAGGGAAACCCATCAGACTAGCAGCAGATCTCTTGGCACAAACCCTACAAGCCAGAAGAGAGTGGGAGCAATATTCAACATTCTTTTTTTTTTCCATATGTATAGTTTTCCTTTATTATTTTTTGTGTGTATGTATATATATATATATATATATATATATATATATATATATATATTTTTAATACTTTAAGTCTTAGGGTACATGTGCACAACGTGCAGGTTAGTTACATATGTATACATGTCCACATTGGTGTGCTTCACCCATTAACTCATCATTTAACATTAGGTATATCTCCTAATGCTACCCCTCCCCCCTCCCCCCACCCTACAACAGGCCCCAGTGTGTGATGTTCCCCTTTCTGTGTCCATGTGTTCTCATTGTTCAATTCCCACCTGTGAGTAAGAACATGCGGTATTTGGTTTTTTGTCCTTGCAATAGTTTGCTGAGAATGATGGTTTCCAGCTTCATCCATGCCCCTACAAAGGACATGAACTCATCATTTTTTATAGCTGCATAGTATTCCATGGTGTATATGTGCCACATTTTCTTAATCCAGTCTATCATTGCTGGATATTTGGCTTGGTTCCAAGTCTTTGCTATTGTGAATAGTGCCGCAATAAACATATGTGTGCATGTGTCTTTACAGCAGCATGATTTATAATCCTTTGGGTATACACCCAGTAATGGGATGGCTGGGTCAAATGGTATTTCTAGTTCTAGATCTCTGAGGAATTGCCACACTGCCTTCCACAATCGTTGAACTAGTTTACAGTCCCACCAACAGTGTAAAAGTGTTCCTATTTCTCCACATCCTCTCCAGCATCTTCAACATTCTTAAAGAAAAGAATTTTCATCCAAGAATTTCATATCCAGCCAAACAAAGCTTCATAAGTGAAGGAGAAATAAATCCTTTACAGAGAAGCAAATGCTGAGAGATTTTGTCACCACCAGGCCTGCCTTACAAGAGCTCCTAAAGGAAGCACTAAACATGGAAAGGAACAATCGGTACCAGCCACTGCAAAAACATGCCAAACTGTAAAGACCATTGACGCTAGGAAGAAACTGCATCAACTAACGGGCGAAATAACCAGCTAACATCATAACGACAGGATCAAATTCACACATAACAATATTAACCTTAAATGTAAATGGGCTAAATGCCCCAGTTAAAAAACACAGAATGGCAAATTGGATAAAGAGTCAAGACCCATCAGTGTGCTGTACTCAGGAAACCCATCTCACATGCAGAGACACACATAGGCTCAAAATAAAGGGATGGAGGAAGATCTACCAAGCAAATGGAAAACAAAAAAAAGGCAGGGGTTGCAATCCTAGTCTCTGATAAAACAGACTTTAAACCAACAAAGATCAAAAGAGACAAAGAAGGCCACTACATAATGGTAAAGGGATCAATTCAACAAGAAGAGTTAACTATCCTAAATATATATGCACCCTAAACAGGAGCACCCAGATTCATAAAGCAAGTCCTGAGAGACCTACAAAGAGATTTAGACTCCACAAAATCATCATGGGAGACTTTAACACCCCACTGTCAATATTAAACAGATCAATGAGACAGAAGCTTAACAAGGATATCCAGGACTTGAACTCAGCTCTCCACCAAGCAGACCTAAAAGACATCTACAGAACTCTCCACACCAAATCAACAGAATATACATTCTTCTCAGCACCACATCACACTTATTCCAAAATTGACCACATAGTTGGAGGTAAAGCACTCGTCAGCAAATGTAAAAGAATGGAAATCACAACAAACTGTCAGACCACAGTGCCATCAAATTAGAACTCAGGATTAAGAAACTCACTCAAAACCGCACAACTACATGGAAACTGAACAACCTGCTCCTGAATGACTACTGGGAAAATAACAAAATGAAGGCAGAAATAAAGATGTTCTTTGAAACCAATGAGAACAAAGATACAACATACCAGAATCTCTGGGACACATTTAAAGCAATGTGTAGAGGGAAAATTATAGCACTAAATGCCCACAAGAGAAAGCAGAAAAGACCTAAAATTGACACCCTAACATCACAATTAAAATAACGAGAGAAGCAAAGCAAACAAATTCAAAAGCTAGCAGAAGACAAGAAGTAACTAAGATCAGAGCAGAACTAAAGGAGAGAGAGACACAAAAAACCCTTCAAAAAATCAATGAATCCAGGGCTGGTTTTTTGAAAAGATCAACAAGAAAACCCTGTTTGGCTAGTTCACCTGGCTCATCTGATGGCAAGTTCCTATCTTGAGAGGACTATGAAATTAAAACCAATACAAGTGCCACAAATAACATACAACATTGTAAATCAGCACAATTTGTAGCTGGGTGAATGGAAGAAATAGTTCTATTCATCACTTCCTCATTTTCCCTAAATCTACAATCTCCAGATGTCACTACTGAATTAACAGCCAACAATTCCACAACATTACCTGGGAGACACTGGTCCTTTTTCTTCCTCTTCCTCATCATCACTTTCATTTTCTGTAAATAAATTCAGAGAAGCAGGTCACATTAAGCAATTCATACTTCACATATGAACAAATCACTGTCCAGTCATAGCACAAGGACATAACTATTCTCAGTGCAAGAATAAGGATTCTGACAGGAATATTCTAGGTTGTCCTAGATTAACTTTGGTGAGAATTAGATGACCCTGCTTTCCAGACCCACAGGCCAAAATCTCCCTCTATGTGTAGACCATAATGCCATATTCCCTGCTTGAGTCAAAGTTAAACAAAATTTTTTCCCCAAAAAAATCTCCAAAAATTGGTCAAACAATTTTCTAAGAGTGTTGCTGCGATATGGACTTATATCACCAGGTAACATGGACATTAAATGTTTAGAGGCATCTATACATGAAACACGACTGATAGATAAATTTGAACAACTCTTGCTTTAAAAAGAATCTGTGATTTGGGAGGCCAAGACAGGTGAATCATTTGAGGTCATGAGTTCAGGACTACCCTGGCCAATATGGGGAAACCCTGTCTCTACTAAAAATACAAAAATTAGCCAGATGTGATGTTGTGCACCTGTGGTCCCAGCAACTCAGGAGGCTGAGGCAGGAGAATCACTTGAATCTGGGAGGCAGAGGTTGCACCAAGCCAAGATGGTGCCACTGCACTCCAGCCTGGGTGACAGAGCAAGACTCCATCGCAAAAAAAAAAAAAAAAAAAAAAAAAAAAAAATCCACGATGCTACAAAGAAACATTGGATCAGCCATTGCATTGACAGGGTGGAGAACCAGGGTCCAGCCTTGCTTTATGGAAATATATCAGCAAAGTAAAGAAGAAAAGTTTCTGTCCTGATTTCAGGGTGACTGTGCAGCTAAGCAAGCTGACTTAAAGGAGATCCAGATGAAAGCTGAGAGCAGTGAAGCCTGGTGAACAATATTTCCAAATACAAAGGCAAGGCTGCCAGCTTCCTTAAACAGGCATAGAAACTCCATGGACATTGTTCAGGGACAGATGACTTAATCACAGATGACAAGAGATATTGAATCGAAGCTAGGAGGCCTGACAGATACTGCCTGTGCACCTCCTGCACTCAGGTGACTATGAGATTGTCACACTTGCCTGGGGTTGAGTAACTTGATACTGGGGACTGGCAGACAAAGTCATGACATTAGCTGAGAAGGACAAAAAACTCCCTGATATCTGTTTAGAAACCCATCACAGTTTTTTATTCAAATGAATTTGTGTTTATAGAGCCTGTCTTCAGAGTTTATCTTCCTCAGCCAAGAAAGAGGTATGAGACACAAGGAAAACAGAGGCTACCTGGAATAATGTGTACAGCATCCTCCCATTCAACATGAGAGGATGAGCCAATGAGAGTTGAGTCGACTTTGTCTTCCTCAAATGTGATTTTGGTTTTCCTATGTGGCTGGTTGCAGTCATAAGGGCCATGGCTATTTGAACAAGTGATGGCACATTCCTCCAGTGAGTCCTCAGGGACTTCCTTTTCTTCAGCCTTCTGCATCTCCCTGATGAGCCAGGTGGGACAGAGATGACAGAAGATTAAACACAGAGGGATTGGACCCCAGGGAGTCCTAGCTGGTTTTGACAGGCGGCATTAAGAGAGTGGTCCCAGAAAGCAAAATGGAGGTTCCCATTAAGAGGGAACATGCAATCCTGTTCTCTCTGCAACAGAGCATGGCTGCCATGGGAACCAGAGAGGAAGAGAGCAGCTGCTGTTCATTGCACTGGACAGATAGGAGCTGAGGAGGATGAAGACTCAGCTATCCCTGTACGGTGCAGACATGACACTCGGCACACATAGAGAAACATGACAGCTACCGCACCCTGTGTCTAAGCTGGGTTATATTTCACATACTGTGGCCAAGCGAATGCGGGTTTTTGGTCCATCATAGATGCCAGAGAGGGTGTGCCTCCTAGATATTCCTCATATGTTACCATCCATTAATTGTTCCTGAGTATTCAGTGTTACCTGGGGGCAGACGATTTCTGCACTTTCTCAGCCACCTCAACTTGAACATCTTCATCGTCATCGTTGTCATTTTCTGTAAATACAGAAGTGTTCGTTCAGATATTTCCCACTTCACAGTCTGCAAGCACAGTCAGCCCAATGTGCAACAGAGACATGAACATCTAGGCATGGGTCACCGTTCAACTGAAAACTCTCATGATTTATCTTTAACAGAATGCCCTGGCATGGTTTCCTGATCCATCAGGCAATGCATTTCTGATCTGGAGGGCCACCATCAAGATGTGGCCAAATATTGAAAAGACCTTTTGCTTCCCATATCACTGGAGGCTTGTGCAGCCTCTCTCTGGACGTTGGCAGCTGTCTCCCCCATCCTGCCAGATCTGATTCCCAGGCACAGGCTTGGTGTCCTGTCACGGTTTGCATTTCAAACCTAATTCTTTCTCTTAGAAGCAGACAAACTTGTCCCACAGTCCTCTATGCATCAGAAGATTTCAAGCCTCCAAGTGGCTTCTGCTGTGTTCTTCAGGGACATTCTATCCATGGGGAGTGCTCCAGTCTGAAGCACTTCCTACCACAAAACGCCCCCACATAAAGTGCCTTCTCCAACATCACACGGCGAGGGACTTCATCTCATTTTGGAAAGCAGTTGTAAGTGTTCCCACATTTGAATGCTTCAGACACTTGCAAGAGACAATTTGTCTGCCACGGAGAGAGAGAAACTCAGGAAGGACAAGTCATTCACTCTCTGACAGTTACTAAGAACATTGTCGAAAAGACAGCCTGGGAACCTTCATTCTTAGTCCAGAGCTCTTTTCACTCTAACAAGCCTGCTCCCATCCCAGCCTCCTTCCTGTCCTTTAAAACTAGATAGATGCTGCCTCTTGCTCCAAAGACCACCTTCCATCAAGGAAGGAGGGACACTTGCAATACTGTGACCTCCAACCCCATGGGTTTCCCATCTCTGTTCTTACCCAAGAAGTCCTGGTCATGTCATGGCCACATAAGCTTAGTGGAAAAAAACACCACTGATACAACTGTCATTGTGAAAGTATGGAGGTCTGGAGTCTCTCATAAGCCTGGGATTTTGGGTCATCAGGGCCTATGGCCACCTTACCTGGGCTGAGCTTTTGGACAAGGTGCTGTGCCAGTCTACACCCCTCAGCCAGCTGTTCTTGGAGGTCCTGCCCCTGGGACTTGTCCGGCTCATCCGGAGTGAGGAGGGCCTGGAGATGCTCATTCAATGAGCGGGAGGCATCTCTCCCTTCCCGCAACTTCTCCCTTAACTGGGTCAGCTCTCGTTCCTGAGCGTGAACCAGGACTTTATATTGCCTAAGGTGAGACGGTAGAGAAAATTTAAGAGTAGAAAGGGTTGAGTGATCCGCTCAAATATTGCAACAGAGATTTCTGAGACAATGTCCTCAAGGAGACCTCGAAGCAGAAGGTCAGCACATGTTTAAAGGAATGTCTGTGGCCAAGAGAAAGAATAGAAAATGGTTTACAGGCTTCCTCTGAATCAGAGAGGGCTCTTGCAAGATCCTCGATGATGTTCCATTCATCTTTCTCTTCTGTAAACAAAAGTAGGTGTCTTCCTAATTCCCTTTCAAAAAGACATCCTTTCAGTTCCTCACTCTGGCCATGGACATTTCCATGTGAAAATACACATAGTGCATCTTGCGGCCACTAGATACAAAGCCATGTACAGAAATGAGGCCAGGTGCAGATGGGGCGAATTGAAAAGAAGAAAGAAGAAAAGAATGACAGGGTCGAGAAGGCAACATTGATTGAGTGAAAGAATGAGAAGCCGCAGTCAGTCAGGAGGTGATTCTCACTAAGGGTAAGTGGGGTGGTGATGGCACACCATTTTGAGTATACTGAATGCTGCTGTGTGGTTCACACTCCTTTGGTTAATTTTGTGTTATGTAAATTTCACATCAACAATTACTTGTTTGAAAAAGAGAAAACAAGGCTCTGAGAAACAACTGCAACCCATACATTTTTACTATCCTCCTTCTCTGTTTGATAAATATTTGTGTGTAGCGAGCCTGCCATGGCAATTCCTGCCCTTCCCCTGGCCCAGCTTAGCTCTTACGTCTCCCCACCGAGCTGCTGTACTTCAGAGATTTACACACCTGCCCCCCTGCCTGCCCCCATGGGGTCCCCTCACCTGAGCTCCTCAGCTTGCTTGAGCTGCTCTGCAAGCTTCTCCTCCTTGAACTGTCGCTCATTCCTCAGCATAGATTTTATGAGATCTTTGCACTCTTCATATTCTGAGAAAAGACAGACACACCTGCCTCAGTGGAAGGCTGGACATGCTGCTGTGGTCATTGCCTACAGGACAGGAGCCAGGTCCATCCCAAGGACAAAACTCTCCCCAGTACCAGGGTCTAGACAGGGATTTCCACATCTTTACTCTTCAGTCTCCTGACTTTCTGGCATCTGATCCTCCAAAATTTAGAGATGAAGAAAGAGAACCTCAAGGGCACATCAAGGAAGTTGACAAGATGATTCAACCACAACGAAGTGGAGTCAGAATTCACAGTCCCTGAGGTCTGACTCTGAATGCGGGGCCACTTTCCCAAGCCTTGCAGCCTCTCCTCTAAAACACTGCACTGGGGCATGAAGTAGTGATTTCTTGTACAGTTGGGAAAGCCCCTAGGACTATGGGACTGATGGTTTCCCTTTTACTGGGAATTTCAAGGACAAGTATGCGAAAGATTTTTAAAATCTTTGATTTTTAAATCATATCTCCAGTTATGATTTTAAGAATCATATCTGAAGCATAAAGTGTGACACATAACACCATTAGGCCATGAAGGAAATATGCCCAAATGTTAATAAAGTTTGTGTTAATTTAGAAACAGCAGAATGAAGAACTAATAGATAGTGTTTACTCTGTGCCAATAAATGTTCTAGGAGATTGACAAGAAATAGCTCATGTAATTCACTGCAGCAATTTACAGAGGTAGGTATTATTGTAGTACCCTCTGAACAGGTGAGGAAACTGAGGGACAGACAAGACAAGCAACTTGGATGGAGCCCAGGAGACAGGCCCACGGTCCCTGCTCTGTACACTGCACTGCTATCTCCACACATTCTCGGGTGCGATCTTTCTTCCTCTTTAGCAACAAGACTCTGTGCCCCAGGAAGCAGGACTTCACTCTCACCAAGCTACTCTCTGCTTTTTATTCTTATTTTTATTTATTATTATTATTATTATTATTATTATTATTATTATTTTTAGCAGTCTTGCCCTGTCGCCCAGGCTGGAGTGCAATGGCAAAATCTTGGCTCACTGCAACCTCAGCCTCCTGGGTTCAAAGGATTCTCCTGCCTCAGCCTCCTGAGCAGGGGTGATTACAGTCACCTGCCACCACGCCCATCTACTTTTTGTATTTTTAGTGGAGATGGGGTTTCTCCATGTTGCCCAGGCTGGTCTCAAACTCCTGACCTCATGATCTGCCCGCCTCAGCCTCCCAAAGTGCTGGGATTACAGGAGTGAGCCACCATGCACGGCCCCTACTCCCTGCTCTTGATGCTGTCATTTATAGACAGCACAGGTTCTATTAGGGGTAGACTCCTCTTGAAGCCCCTCAGAGCAGGTACTGGCTACTATCACCAAGTTTCCCTCAGAGTCACTAGAACAGAGCTTTGCCTGTTGGGCCTCAACAGAAACTTGAACTGAATAAAAGTTCACTAGTCTCAGACATTTAGAACAACAGACTAGATGTTATTTGTCTGCAGGATCTTATATGGTACAGAGAGGATTCTTGAAAACACGATTGAGCCTCTTGGAGAAAACAGGTCATTCTGTGCCTGTGTCAGAAATCAATAAATGGCAGTTTAACTCTAGTCCCACCCCCACCTGATTGCAAACATGGAAAGTTGCTAAATACTTTGGTACCTCTGTCTTCCAACTTTGACAAAATGTTAAAATACCCATTTCTGTTTTCCTAGAAGTACGGGGAGGATGACATTATTTTTGATGGAGAGAGCATTTAGTGTCTCAGAGAGAAGACAGGACCTCGTTCATCACTTTCGTGATGGTGAGCCAATAGATCTTACTGTATTTGTTCTGCTGGTTGGCCAGGAAGCCGGCCAGTTGAGTTAGAAAACATTTCTCTTTGAGGTTTCTGAACTGCTGTTTCTTCTCTGCCAGCTGGGGGCGCAATTTCTCATTGATTTCTAGAATGTTTATCGCTGCCTTCTCGCCGGACAAAGGGCCGGCTGATACCACCATGCTGACGTTTGTGGCAGAAGAGGTGGGGCCAGGGACTGGGGAGAAGAAAGGCAAACACATGATGGGTTAAAAACTGGTGAAATCAAATAGGCTTAATCAGGACTGAGGGATGTCACTGGTAGCCTTGTTTACTTATTTGAAGATGTTTCCCTGGTTTCACTCTTGTCATCTCCAGTCTTGATCTCCTTTAAGTCAACTTGTCTTAGCTATGCAGTCACCTTGAAACCAAGACATAAACACTTCTACACTTTTCTTGCTTATACGTTTCTATAAAGCAAGGCTTGGCCCTGAGATTTTTACCCCATGAGTGGCCAATGTTTCTGTGTAGCACAAAAGATTTCGTTTTGCTTAATTTTCTTTTTTGGTTTTTTTGTTTGAGACGGAGTCTCACTCTGTCGCGCAGGCTGCAGTGCAGAGGCACAATCTCAGCTCACTGCCACCTCTGCCGCCCGGGTTCAAGTGATTCTCATCCCTCAGCCTGCCAAGCATCTGGGATTACAAGCGCCAAGTAACATGCCAGCTAATTTTTGTATTTTTAGTAGAGATGGGGTTTCGCCATCTTGGACAGGCTGGTTTTGAACTCCTGAGCTCAGGTGTTCCGCCCACCTCGGCCTCCCAAAGTGTTGGGATTAAGATGTGAGCCAGCGCCCCTGGTCAGAGACTTTTTTTTTTTGAGATGGAGTCTCGCTCTGTCTCCCAGGCTGGAGTGCAGTGGCACAATCTTGGCTCACTGCAAGCTCCGGTTCCTGGGTTCATGCCATTCTCCTGCCTCAGCCTCCTGAGTAGCTGGGACTACAGGCACCCACCACCACACCCAGCTAATTTTTTTTTTTTTTGTATTTTTAGTAAAGACGGGGTTTCACCGTGTTAGCCAGGATGGTCTCAATCTCCTGACCTCATGATCCACCCGCCTCGGCCTCCCAAAGTGCTCGGATTACAGGTGTGACCCACTGCGCCCAGCCGAGACTTATTAATAGCTAAGACAAGCCAATGAAAAGGAGAGAGAGTCTAGCCTGACAGAAGTGAATTAGAGTGGGAGGATCATCTCAGCCCATCCTCCCACCTAAGTCTCCTGAGCAGTTGGGACTATAGGCATGCAGCACCATGCCTGCCTAATTTTTTGTATTCTTTGTAAAGATGGGTTTCACCATATTGTGTAGGCTGGTCTTCAACTCCTGAACTCAAGTCATCGTCCCACTTGGGCCTTCCAAAGTGCTGTGATTATATGTGTGAGTCACAGCACCTAGCTCCATCCCAGTTTCTGACTAAAACAATAACAATATGTGTATATACAGCCTGTCCTCAGAATTGACCTTCCATAGCCTAGACAGAGGTATGAGACACAAGGAAAATAGAGGCTACCTGGGAGAATGTTTAGAGCATCCTGACATTCATCATGAGAGGATTCTCTGTCTACAACCAGAGTTGAGTTGACTTCGTCTTCCTCAAATGTGATTTTGATGTTCTTGTGAGGCTGGTTGGAGTCACAAGGGCCGTGGCTATTTGAACAAGTGATGGCACATTCCTCCAGTGAGTCCTCAGGGACTTTGCTCTCTTCAGTCTTCTGCACCTCCCTGATGAGCCAGGTGGGACAGAGATGACAGAAGATTAAACACAGAGGGATTGGACCCCATGGAGTCCTAGCTGGTTTTGACAGGCGGCATTAAGAGAGTGGTTCCAGAAAGCAAAACGGAGGTTCCCTTAAAGAGGAAACAGGCAATCCGCTTCTCTCTGCAACAGAGCATGGCTGCCATGGGAGCCAGAGAGGAAGAGAGCAGCTGGTGTTCAGTGCACTGGACAGATAGGAGCTGAGGAGGATGAAGACTCAGCTATCCCTGTATGGTACAGACATGACACTTGGCACACATAGAGAAACACGACAGCTGCCGCACCCTGTGTCTAAGCTGGGTTGAATTTCACATACTGTGGCCAAGGGGATGTGGGCTTTTGGCCCACCATAGATGCCAGAGAGGGTGTGCCTCCTAGACATTTTCATATGTTACCACCCATTACTTGCTCCTGAGTATTCAGTGTTACCTGGGGGCAGATGATTCCAGTACTTTCTCATCCTCCTCAACTTGAACATCTTCATCCTCATCTTCGTCATTTTCTATAAATACAAAATGTTCGTTCAGATATTTCCCACTTCACATTCTGCAAGCACAGTCAGCCCAACGTGCACAGAGACATGAACATCTATGTATGGTTCAGCATTGTACTGAAAACTCTCATGTTTTATCTTTCACAAAATGCCCTGGCATGGTTTCCTGCTCCATCGGGCAATGCATTTCTGATGTGGAGGGCCACCATCAAGATGTGGCCAAATACTGAAAAGACCTTTTGCTTCCCATATCACTGGAGGCTTGTGCAGCCTCTCTCTGGACTTTGGCAGCTGTCTCCCCCATCCTGCCACAGATCTGATTCCCAGGAACAGGCTTGGTGTCCTGTCACAGTTCGCATTTCAAACCTCATTCTTTCTCTTAGGAGAGGACAAACTTGTCCCACAGTCCTCTATGCGTCATGAGACTGCACAGGCCCTCCATGTGGCTTCTGCTGTGTTATTCAGGGACATTCTATCCATGGGGAGTGCTCCAGTCTGAAGCACTTCCTACCACCAAATGACCCCACATCAAGTGCCTTCTCCAACACCACATGGAGAGGGGCTTCATCTCATTTTGAAAAGCATTCGTAAGTGTTCCCATATTTGGATGCTTCAGACCCTTGCAAGAGACAATTTGTCTGCCTTTGCAGATGGAGAGAGAGAAACTCTGGAAAGATAAATCACTCACTCACTGACACTTACTAAGAACATTGCCAAAAAGACAGCCTGGGAACCTTCATTCTTAGCCCAGAGCTCTTTTCACTCCAACAAGCGCCCTCCCATCACAGCCTCCTTCCTGTCCTTTAAAACTAGATAGATGCTGCCTCTTGCTCCAAAGACCACCTTCCATCAAGGAAGGAGGGACACTTGCAATACTGTGACCTCCAAACCCATGGGTTTCCCATCTCTGTGCTTACCCAGGAAGTCCTGATCATGTCATGGCCACATAGGTGTAGTAGAAAAAAACCCCACTGATACAACTGTCATTGTGAAAGTATGGAGGTCTGGAGCCTCTCATAAGCCTGGGGTTTTGGGTCATCAGGGCCTATGGCCACCTTACCTGGGCTGAGCTTTTGGACAAGGTGCTGTGCCAGTCTACACCCCTCAGCCAGCTGTTCTTGGAGGTCCTGCCCCTGGGACTTGTCCGGCTCATCCGGAGTGAGGAGGGCCTGGAGATGCTCATTCAATGAGCGGGAGGCATCTCTCCCTTCCCGTAACTTCTCCTTTAACTGCGTCAGCTCTCGTTCCTGAGAGTGAACCAGGACTTTATATTGCCTAAGGTGAGACGGTAGAGAAAATTTAAGAGTAGAAAGGGTTGAGTGATCCGTTCAAATATTGCAACAGAGACTTCTGAGACAATGTCCTCAAGGAGACCTTGAAACAGAAGGTCAGCACACGTTGAAAGGAATGTCTGTGGCCAAGAGAAAGAATAGAAAATGGTTTACAGGCTTCCTCTGTATCAGAGAGGGCTCCTGCAAGATCCTCGATGATGTTCCATTCATCTTTCTCTTCTGTAAACAAAAGTAGGTGTCTTCCTAATTCCGTTTCAAAAAGACATCCTTTCAGTTCCTCACTCTGGCCATGGACATTTCCATGTGAAAATACACATAGTGCATCTTGCGGCCACTAGATACAAAGCCATGTACAGAAATGAGGCCAGGTGCAGATGGGGCGAATTGAAAAGATGAAAGAAGAAAAGAATGACAGGGTCGAGAAGGCAACATTGATTGAGTGAAAGAATGAGAAGCCGCAGTCAGTCAGGAGGTGATTCTCACTAAGGGTAAGTGGGGTGGTGATGGCACACCATTTTGATTATACTGAATGCTGCTGGGTGGTTCCCACTCCTTTGGTAAATTTTGTGTTATGTAAATTTCACATCAACAATTACTTGTTTGAAAAAGAGAAAACAAGGCTCTGAGAAACAACTGCAACCCATACATTTTTACTATCCTCCTTCTCTGTTTGATAAATATTTGTGTGTAGCGAGCCTGCCATGGCAATTCCTGCCCTTCCCCTGGCCCAGCTTAGCTCTTACGTCTCCCCACCGAGCTGCTGTACTTCAGAGATTTACACACCTGCCCCCCTGCCTGCCCCCATGGGGTCCCCTCACCTGAGCTCCTCAGCTTGCTTGAGCTGCTCTGCAAGCTTCTCCTCCTTGAACTGTCGCTCATTCCTCAGCATAAATTTTATGAGGTCTTTACACTCTTCATACTCTGAGAAAAGACAGACACACCTGCCTCAGTGGAAGGCTGGACATGCTGCTGTGGTCATTGCCTACAGGGCAGGAGCCAGGTCCATCCCAAGGACAAAACTCTCCCCAGTACCAGGGTCTAGACAGGGATTTCCACATCTTTACTCTTCAGTCTCCTGACTTTCTGGCATCTGATCCTCCAAAATTTAAAGACGAAGAAAGAGAAACTCAAGGGCGCATCAAGGAAGTTGACAAGATGATTCAACCACAACGAAGTGGAGTCAGAACTCACAGTCCCTGAGGTCTGACTCTGAATGCGGGGCCACTTTCCCAAGCCTTGCAGCCTCTCCTCTAAAACACTGCACTGGGGCATGAAGTAGTGATTTCTTGTACAGTCGGGAAGGCCCCTAGGACTATGGGACTGATGGTTTCCCTTTTACTGGGTATTTCAAGGACAAATATGTCAAGGACTTTAAAAATATTTCATTTTTAAATCAATATTCAGATATGGTTTTAAGAATCATATCTGAAGCATAAAGTGTGAGACATAAGACAATAAGGCCATGAAGGAAATATGCCCAAATACTTTATTAGTATGAGAGGCAGCATTAAGATTTAGATTAGTTGTGTTAATTTAGAAACAGCATAAGCTTAGTTAGTGTTAATTTAGAAACATCAGAATGAAGAATAGATAGTGTTTACACTGTGCCAATTAATGTTCAAGGAGATTGACAGGAAATACCTCATGTAATTCATTGCAGCAATTTACAGAGGTAGGTATTATTGTAGTACCCTCTGAACAGATGAGGAAACTGAGGGACAGACAAGACAAGCAACTTGGATGGAGCCCAGGAGACAGGCTGAGGGTCCCTGCTTTGCACACTGCACTGCTGCTTCCACACATTCTCGGGTGTGATCTTTCTTCCTCTTTAGGAACAAGAGCCTGTGCACCAGGAAGCAGGACTTCACTCTCACCAAGGTACTCTCTGCTTTTTATTTTTATTTTTGATTTATTTATCGTTTTGTTTGTTTGTTTTTTGACGAGTCTTGCCCTGTCACCCATGCTGGAGTTCAATAGTGCAATCTTGGCTCACTGCAACATCTGCCTGCTGGGTTCAAAGGATTCTTCTGCCTCAGCCTCCCGATTAGTGGTGATTACAGTTGCCCGCCACGATGCCCATCTACTTTTTGTATTTTTAGTGGAGATGGGGTTTCTCCATGTTGCCCAGGCTAGTCTCAAACTGCTGACCTCGTGCTCTGCCCGCCTCAGCCTCCCAAAGTGCTGAGATTATAGGAGTGAGCCACGTTGCACGGCCCCTACTCCCTGCTCTTGATGCTGTCACTTATAGATAGCACAGGTTCTATTAGGAGCAGACTCCCCTTGAAGCCCCTCAGAACAGGTACTGGGTACTATCACCAAGTTCCCCTCAGAGTCACTAGAACAGAGCTTTGCCTGTTGGGCCTCAACAGAAACTTGAACTGAATAAAAGTTCACTAGTCCTAGACATTTAGAACAACAGACTAGATGTTATTTGTCTGCAGGATCTTATATGGTACAGAGAGGATTCTTAAAAACATGATTGAGCCCCTTGGAGAAAACAGGTCATTCTGTGCCTGTGTTAGAAATCAATAACTGTGAGTTTAACTCTAGTTCCACCCCCATCTGATTGCAAACATGGAAAGTTGCTAAATATTTTGGTACCTCTGTCTTCCAACTTTAACAAAATGTTAAAATACCCATTTCTGTTTTCCTAGAAGTACAGGAAGGATGAAATTCTTTTTGATGGAGAGAGCATTTAGTGTCTCAGAGAGAAGACAGGATATCATTCATCACTTTCATGATGGTGAGCCTATAGATCTTACTGTATTTCTTCTGTCGGTTGGCCAGGAAGCCGGCCAGTTGAGTTAGAAAACATTTCTCTTTGAGGTTTCTCAACTGCTGTTTGTTCTCTGGCAGCTGGGGGCGCAATGTCTCGTTGATTTCTAGAATGTTCATCTCTGCCTTCTCACTGGACCAATGGCCGGCTGATACCACCATGCTGACGTTTGTGGCAGAAGAGGTGGAGTCAGGGACTGGGGAGAAGAAACCCAAACATATGATGGGTTAAAAACTGGTGAAATCAAATCGGTTTAATCAGGACTGAGGGATGTCAGTAACTGAAATTCTTACCTTACTGTTGTGAAAAATGTGATCACTCCCCACAGCACTTTAGGATCCTTCACCACAAAAACAAGGTTCGAGGTGCCTCAACTCAGAGCTGAAAGCACTGCCAGTAGCTCAGACTCTGATAAGAGTGAGGCAGAATGTGGCCAGCGTGCCAGGTAACCGTCTGCAGTTGCAATAACAGAATTAGAAGGTGGGGGTGTCATGGAAACTTAGGAGCCCTGCATTCCAATTGCCCAGGCTTTGCTGAAACACAGGCACCCTAGTCTCACCTGAGGGTCACCACCAATGGGGATCATTCCTTCAGCATTCACTCTCAGTATTCGTGTACCCTTGTTGACAATGCCACAGACCCGTGTCTTTCCCAATACATCTAAGCATATTCCTCACTGTTTATCTCTTGTCTGTACAACATCATCAAGGCAGAAACAGTTTCCCAACAGGTTATATTTTCTTAATGGTAGTCATGAAGTCACCCCACCTGCTCTCAGTTAAAACAGAGCTTAAGGCTTTTCCACAGGTGTAAGATATCAAACTTTTAGCCTGCCCTGATATCCTCCGGGTCTTCTGCAGTTTTTTCTGTATCCACTAGAAAGTGAATGAATAATTCATTTTTTAAAAATATTTTCTTTCCTGTCTCAGTATTCTTGCTGCTGCATCCCATTGTTAGATTGATTTCTTCTTTCTTACTGGGGCACCTTCTTGGGTTTTCATTACATTCTAGACCAGTTTGACATCCCTACGTCCAAAGCTCTTCCTCTATGTGGGTTGATGTGTTTTTTAATGTCACTGAGCACTACATTTTAAACTTGTCACTTATAGATGTCATTCTAGTGCCACAAGACCTCTTTTCAAGGTATCAAGTGATCAAATCATTTATATAGAGGTCTCCTGAAAACATGTGTGACCATCTATCTTGGGAAGTTTTGTAAACCTGATACTATTTTGTTGTTTCCATTTTGTTTTCCCATATACTGAAAAGAACAGGGCCACGAGCAGTTCTTATGGAATATGGTTTGATATATATTTTGTTGAGATGACCTAACACCATTGATTTTGGGTTGCATTCCACTAACAGAACATGGCAAGATCAAGGTTATGGTCAGGGTTGGTTGGCGATCCTCAGTGTTGCTGTGCAGTAGAAGGTGAGTTTGAGGTGAGAGGAACAAGTAGGAAACAGTGATCCTCTGAACCACCTCTTCGCTTTCTCAGCTTTCATCCCCACCTACGTTTTGTGAGCCTGGAACTTGAGAGACTGTTCTGTAGCCCAGGTCTCCTAAGATTGGCTGCTGGACTTGCCTGAGTTGAGGGTGCAGTGGGTTGACCCTGGGCTGCCCAGCATTCATGTGGAAGTGAAGGAAGGAGGACTGGTTAATCCCATTTGAAAGCATCCCTCTCTGCAGCCCGCACCATCTTCCAGTGACACTGTAAGGATACTGCTTTGAGATGTATCAAAGGCTTTAAGTCAATGTATTTTCTAGGGTCTGGGAGACCTGACATTCTGTGTCAGAATGAAAATCTGTCAAGTTTCTAAATGAAAAAACTGCAGGTTCACAAAGTGTCATGGGTTACTTGAGGTCACAAAGGGATGAGTTTTCAGCACTGCCAATAAAAGCAATCACAATAATTATTCAGTAATTATTCATAGGATCCATACAATCCAGTAAATATTCACATATTTAGTAATTATTCATTGACCAATTCGTACAAGGCATTTTGCTCAAAACTGTGTTTATATTTGGACATTGTATCTTCATCATAATCCTTAAGGTAATGCTATTATCTACAAGTAACAGATAAGAAACCTGAAGATGAGGGACAGCTAATCACGTATTTGGCCATATTTCCATTTTTTGGTTTTTGTGATGCTGGAAGAATGACCAGAATGGGTCACGGGAAGAGTATTCATTCCTGTATTATTTTCCAGGACAGAGGTGTGCCCTTCTAGAGTACTGGGACCAAAATTCAGAAGTGTCTGAAACCTTGCTTTAACAGTATGGGAAATAACCTCTATCACCTGGAATTTCCCTGGAACTTTGGAATATACAAGAGAAGTATGAGACATGGGTCTTCCCTTGGCTGTGTTTAATTCACTCTTCTATGGAATACCAATGATTCTCACTAAGACTTTTGCCTTTTTATAACCACAATGTATGTCTTATGGAGAAGATTTTACACTTTGCTCTATTTAGAAAGAATAAATATGAGCAATAGTTTTAGGTTTTATGCCCTGGACTTCATATTTTTCTGATTTCTGTTTTGAGATTAAATTCTCATGTAAATAGAAAAATACTTATTATTTCTCATCAGGCCAAGTTTGTTATCAGCTTGAGTTTTTGAAGATGAAGCACAAACTTTTGATTTTATCTTTGTCCTCATCAGCGCCACTCATTGTCTCTCAGTATGACCTGGACTTGCCCCTGCATTTACCCTCATCCTGCTGAGCCATCTCCATGCACTGCCCAATTCCATCAGTGATTCGGGGTCCTCCCAAGGCTCCCTGAAATGTGCACAGGGATCAGGACGTCAGACACATTCCAGACACAAAGGCAACCCACACTGTAGAGTGAGCAGCTGTGTTCCCACTTCCCTAATGTTCCAGTGATGTCCTCAAACTGAAGGGAACACTTTCCCTTTTTAAGGGTCTGTTCTTCATGTCTCAATGCCTCTGATCTAGTGAACACAACTGTCCTGAAACTGAAAGAACCTGTTAAATTTCGAGTTTCTAGTTAGGTGGCTAGAATAGGTTTATAAGACTTCCTTACTTACCTATGACTGCTGAAGTTTGAATTCTTAGCAGTATGATTCCTTTTCTTGTAAGCTGAGCAGCTTAGGAAAGATTGGCCATGTTGCTGTGCAAAAAGAGGTAAACTTAATTTATATTCAAAGCATGCTTGAATTTGAAACTAGGGCTTCCACTCTTCCAAAGTTGGACTGTCACTACCTCAGGCATGTGTCCCGAAGGGCTCATGTCTCTGTTGTACTCAAAGTTCAAATGGAGTCCAGCAAGCCAGATCTCCTTTACTTCTAGGTTCACTCAACAGTTTCTCCTCTGCTTTAGAGACTGCCTTGAAAATCTTCTTGTCCTGCTGTTGTGTTTTGGCTTTGGAATGATGTGATGCAGCTCAATGGGTCCTACCCCCAAGTTGATCAGAGTAAGAAACAGCTGGGAAAGTCAGTGCAAATTCAAGTTCATCGTCCTCCTTACAGGGATTCTCATTCAGAGGGCTCAGGTGGGGCCTGGAATGTGTTTGTTAACATGACTCAGATGTGCAGTCAGTTTGGGGACCCGCTGATACCATCGACCTTATAGTTTATGGGATGATTCTGTTTTGCTGATAAAGAAACTGAGGCATAGACAGTCTGTAACTTGCCCAAGTTCCCCTTGCTGTAAGTCCTGGAGCCAGATCTCAGGTGGAGCAGCCTCTTCCCCATCCCCTTCCCACATTTTCCAATTCAGCTGGGTCAATTCTTTCCAAGTACGTGTTTCTCTCCCCTATACCTCATTTCTGAAAAAAGGAGAACTGGAATTTAACTTCTTTCATCTAATACATTTCCTCACAACATGCTACCAGCATCATATTCTGGCCTCTTACTATTAAAGTGAGATGCCTTTTTTTTTTTTTTTTTTTTTTTTTGAGACAGGGTCTTGTTCTGTCACCCAGGCTGGAGTGCAGTGGTGATTATAGATCACTGCAACCTTGAACTCCTAGGCTCAAGCGATCCTCCTGCCTCAGCTTTCCAAGTAGTTGGAACTCTAGGCACACATCACCATTTCTGGCTAGTTTTTTATTTTTCATGGAGACAAGGTCTTGCTATGTTGCTCAGGCTGGTTTTGAACTTCTGGCCTCAAGCGATCCTCCCACCTAGGCCTCCAAAAGTGCTGGGATTACAGGAGTAAACCACTGAGCCTGGCCCTGAAATGCTTTTTTTTTTTTTTTTTAATGAAAATACAAGGCATGGAGATGTGGAAAGACACCTTGCTTTATTACTGTTATTATTAGTTCTATAGTATAATTCATATATCACAAAAATCACCATTTTTAAGCATATATTTCAGTGTCTTTTACCATATTCCAAAAGTTCTGCAACCATCACCACTACCTAATTCCAGTATATTTTCATAATGCCAAAAAGCATGCCTGTACCTATGGGCAGTCACTCTCCAATTCCCCACTTCTTGCAGTCTCTGACAACCACTAATCTACTTTCTCTATATATAGATGTACTTGTTCTGGGCACTTAATTCAACAAATGGTCCTGGGACAACTAAATATCCACATGTAAAAGAATCAAGTTAGACTCCCTCCTCGCACATAAAAATTAACTCAAAATGGATCAGAGACCTAAAGGTAGGTGGTAAAATTATAAATCACTTAGAAATAGTAAATCTTTGTAATGTGGGATAAGCAAAGTTTTCACAAATATGACTGAAAGCACAAGCAACAAAAGAAAAAATAAATTGTATTCCATCAAGTTAAAAACATTTGGGCTGAAAAGTATATCATCAAGAATGTGAAAAGACAGTACATAGAATGACAGAAAATATCTGCAAATCATATTATCTGATAAGAGACTTGTATTTAGGATATATTTTTTAAAAACTATTACAGTTCAATATTAAAAAGATAAACCAATTATAAAGTAGGTAAAGGATCTGAACAGACATTCTCCAAAGAAGATACATAATGACTAATAAGTATATGAAAAGATGTTGAAAATCATCAACCATCAGGGAAATGTAAATCAAAACCACAATGAGATAAACACTTCACATTACAGATGAATATAATAAAAAAGACAGACAATAACAACTGTTGATGAGGATGTGGAGAAACTGGAATTCTCATACACTGCTGGTTGGAATGTAAAATAATGTACCCACTTCAGAACAGTCTGACAGTTCCTGAAAAGGTTAAACAGCATTACCATCTGAGGCAGCAATTCTGCTCCTAGGTATATATCCAAGAAATATGAAGATAAATGTTTACCAAAAAATTATACAAGAATGTTCATAACAGAATTATTGATAATACTCAAAAAGTAGAAGCAACTCAAATGTCAATCAACTGATGATGGATAAATAAAATGATAAAATGTGGTAAATCCATATGATAAAATATTATTCAGCCATAAAAAGGCACAGAGTACTGATAAATGCTACCACATCAATGAACTTTGAAAACCTCATGCTAAGTGAAAGAAGCTGTCATAAATTACTACATGCTGCATGTTTCCATTTGTATGAAATGTCCAGAAGAGGCAAATAAAGACAGAAAGTAGACTAGTAGTTGCCTAGGGCTGGGAGGGAGTTAGGAGGAATGGAGAGTAATTGATAATGGGTAAAGGGTTTCTTCTGATGTATAAAAATATTCTAGAATTGACTGTGGTGATGGTTACTCCTATCTACTAAAATTACTGAATTGTGTACTTTTTTAAGAAGTAAATTGTATGGTATATAAATTATATCTCAAAGCTATTGTATTAAGGGAAAAAGCACTAAACACAGTGCCTTACACATATTAGCTAATATTATTATTTGTCAGTGGTATTATAGCATTTGTTAGAGATTGTCTACTCTAATCCTTTTATGTTACAGATGAGGAAGTTGAGAGCCACATGGCTGACTTGACCAAGATTAAACGGCTAGTAAGTAGGAATAAGTACTGAAACAGAAACTTTACCCAATTGCAGTCCATATGTTTTCTGGGATCCCGGAGTTCCCTTTCAACAATGTAAAATACAAACTTAGGTCAAAAGTTCCCATGTCTGAGAAGACTCAAGCCAAATCAGTTCTCCTCCAAAGTTGACAGGATTTATGCTTTAAAAATAGAGATACAGAATTCTCTTTGGAAAGATCTACCAAATTCCTGTAAGAAACAGTCTACCCAAAGTAGGGGAAAGGCTATATGAAAAGTTACAAGGCACTTCTTAAAAATATATCTTAGGTTTTTAGGGAAAGGTAAACAGACAAGTTTCCAGACCCGTGGGTGGAATGGATGTAGCAGATTCACTGAGAGGCTCACAGTGCCGTACTAAAGGGAGTCTACTGCTTAAAGCCAATTCACATCCTTAAAAGGTCAAATGGAGAGAAATTAAACTTGGGAGAAGCATTTTAAGACTGTGCTGTTACAAAACCTCGGGCCACTTAACTGATTAATCATGGCAATGAGGGCAGGGACCAGAAAAGAGTCTTTAGAACCTGTCATCCCCACACAGAAGAGCAACTTTCAGGGAAACACCCTTATCTTTCCATTTTCAGACCCCGGGAGGTGTGAGGGTGGAAAGGCTAGGTAGAGAAGAGAGCAGAAAGGAGATGAGATGACACAACCAGGATTCTCCGAAGCTGGGCTTGAAGTCCTCAAGAAAAACTCCCATGAACAAGGAAGGAAGAGTGAAGAAAAAAACAGGGATACCTGGAACTGGACAAAAGTAAAAAGATAGAAGGATACTTTTTTTCCCCCAGAAGAAGTCTGTCACAAAAGCAAACCTGCAAATATACGATCAGTATAACACCCAAGAAAATGACACATGCGGCCAGGCATGGTGGCTCATGCCTGGAATCCCAGCACTTTGAGAAGCCGAGGCAGGTGGATCACCTGAGATCAGGAGTTCGAGGCCAACCTGACCAACATGGTGAAACCCCATCTCTACTAAAAATACAAAAATTAGCTGAGCATGGTGGCAGGCACCTGTAGTCCCAGCTACTTGGAAGGCTGAGACATGAGAATAGCTTGAACCCGGGAGGTGGAGGTTGCAGTGAGCCGAGATAGCGCCATTGCACTCCAGCCTGGGAGAAAGAGCGATGCTCCGTCTCAAAAAAAAAAAAAAAAAAGAAAAGAAAAGAAAAGAAAATGACGCATGCCCCCAAGTGTGAGAATGCAAGAGGGAATCCCTGACCTATCCCTATCCAACCAGTTTTCTTGGCACACACCTTCCATTCTCTGAATGAGCCCAGATTAACTCACTGACCCCTGTGCCACGTATCGCCCACTCCATCACCCGCCCAGGCTCACTGCTTCCACCTGCGTCCCTTCATATCTCCCTACTGACCTCCACTTTTTTCTAACTTTGTCACCAAAGAAGTCACAGAAATAAATAGGAGGATTCAAAAAGAATAATTTCAGTACATTTAAAAAATTGTAGAATATAGGATTCTCATCTATGTTTATCACGTTCAATTCATTCATTTTTCAAATTTTCATTGTGGCACCATTTTATGACAGGCACTATGCTGGGGATGCTGGCGACTAGGGTAGGGAGTTAAAATGAGAGTGTCTACTTGGAAAGATGAACAGATAAATAATCACCGTGATAAGTGCTGTGCTAGAGATATGCAGATGTCAAAAGACCTTAGAAGGTCTACAATCCACTTGGAGGGTAGGGAATATAGAAGGCATTTCAGTGAAATAGGGTGCCTTTGACAAATCATTAAGAATGAGTTCTACATTAAAAAGGGGAAGAGAGGGTGATAGCTGAGGAGGCAGCATAGGCAAGAACATCCAGCATGAAAGAACAGTGAGGGACATCAGGAACATCTTTCAGGAACATCAGGTAAAACAGACTTAGGGCCCAAGTCAAAGGAGCTAAAATAATACACCCTGGAAAGTGGTATGATCATTTCTGCATCTGCTTCAGAGAAACCTGCCAAAATATGATTAGCATAATACCCAAGAGAACATCACATTCCCCATGTGTGAAAATGCAAGAGGGAATTATTTCTAATAGTTCATAAGCTCAGCAACAACAGAGTAGACACAAAAGCCACAGAATGTGCTTAGGCTTTACTTTAATGATATAGGGATATCATATATCATCAGCCTGTGGAGTACAGAGGTAGTTTACAAAGGATAAACCTTCATTGTTTGGAAAGGAAAGATCAGAGAGCTCTTTATGAAGTTTAAACAAAATCAGAGAAATAAAGAGATGTGGGAAAGAAAGAAAAAAAAGAAAGTACATTGAGGACAGTCCAATCTAACTGTGAACTCATAAGGGACAGCCAGTAAATTCAAAACAGCCTACTGTTTTTTGATTACTTGTGCTACTCTATTAAAATAGCCACAAACACAAAACTAGTCTACCTCTTTCTCTCCCCATTATTGGCCCTAACCCAAAAATAGTGGGAGTAAATGATTTAATAATTTATTTTCATGCTCCATTTTGTTCTTAAGTTAAAATTACTGTGGTTGGTGCCCCTCCTTTAGCTTCTGCTAAAGACTTTACATAATGAAAGCTCATGAAGTGTCTGGATTACTAACAGTTACTTATCCAAAAAGATGAGACATGGTTCATTGATTTGATTCAATTAGTTCTCTCTTGAAGATATTTTTCTCCTCCCTCTGTGAAGAAACATTTCTTTCTGTGTCATACAAGACGAGTCATTTTTGTAGTTTTAATTCCCTCTTGAGTCCTACAATAATACTAAAATACTCACAGTGACTACAGTATCCTTTGCAGGGAAAAAATTGTAAATTAACCATTTAAATATAGTCACTAAGTTATGTGGCATTCACTGACTCAGAGTTGAAAAAGACTCCAAAATTCTTATCCAGTATTAGAGTATACAAGGACAGAAGGAGAGGCCAAACTAAGTCTAGGACGCACAATACAAAGAAGAAAATGAGAAGACCAAAGTTACAGTCTCAATACTATGACATGATACTAAACCATACAGTCAGTCAGCCAATATATATTTGCGGGCCTAGTATATACTGGGCACTGTTTGTAGGTGTTTGGGTTACATCAGTAAACAAAAACAAAGATACTAGTTTTCATTCTGGAGAGGGTAAGAGGCAGTAGAATTTGGAAAAGACAGACAATAAACAATAGACATAATGAAGTAAATTATATAGTATAAATTATATAGTAAGAAGATAAGAGTTACAGAAAAAGAAAACAAAAAGTAGACCAGGGTTAGTAATTAAGGGGGTGGGGGACAGTTACAATTTTAAATAGGGTGGTTAGAGTAACCCTCAATTAGAAGTGCCAAGACGTGAAATGCAGTGGAAGCAACCATTTGAAAGTTGCAGAATACTTTAACAAGCTACTTTGCCTCCTGCTGACTTTGCTTCCCCATTTTTAGAACTGAAATAATAATTCTCATCAAATAAGGGTGCTATTTACATTGAGATAGTGACTATTACTATAAGTAACATTTTAGTCTCTTGACAAGCATGGGAAGCAATGGAATGAAGGGCAATGGAAGGAAGGGCACTGCATTATGAAAAGGACTTTTTAAAAGAAAACCATCTCTAGGCACTATTTCCCTTTGTGGAAATGAAGTGAATATTTTCTGAACTCCACCTGGGACATACGAACAATGAGCATGAAATCTTACAAACTGTATAAATAACATTTATTCACAGTGTCACTGCATCATCTATTGTTTTGAATTCTCTTTAAATTTCCTTCTATATATTTATCCAAAGCTGAAGTCATCTGGTTTAGATTATGGGACCCTGAAAAGCAAGAACTAGTCTATGTAACTACTTTTAAACATCTGCACAACGGCATATACACACACACACACACACACACACACACATATTGATATGTAACAAGTACTATTTGATTATAATTAGGAGTGTCTTGGTTTTCTTATAACATGAACATATATTTTTAACCCAAACAGCTTAAAGCATTTAACGAAAAGTTTTACACACCTACAAAGTGCTTTCAGGAAGCAGATGTGCAGTGCAATGTGGCGCAGTAAGATGCACAAAGCAAAGGCTTTGAAAATAAACTGCCTCGGTTTCAGGACCCAGCCTAACCACATATTAGCTGTACAACTTTGGGTGAATCACTTAACATCTCCAAACTTCAGTTACTTCATGTGGGAAGACTTGAAAAATAATACCTGGTCCCAAGATTTTTGTGTAATTGAGCTAATAAGCATGGAAGTACCTGGCACAGTTCCTGAGTCACCAAAAAAATGTTAGTTTTCTCTTCATCAAATCTCCCCATTCCCACCCCTCATGCTAATCTCCCCTCCCACACACACACACACCATCAGTGAGTAAATAAGTGTCTTGCGTTAAACTACAACCAGAGAATAAGAGACAGCCAAGATTTCCTTACTCTATTTCACTAGCCCTGGCAGCCTCTCAGCTGCGGAATCCTTGGTTATTTCCTTTCTCAAGGAGGAGATACTATTCTAGTTTGACAGATCCTTTCCTGGACACACTCTCAGAATTCCCTAAGGTTCTTATCGTGGCTAATGGATAACAATGCAGAGGCTATGGGAGTGAATAATCACTCTCTCTCAGCTAAAAACTTCCTTTATTGACTTCTCTAACTTCCCGTCAACATCTTGCTGCCAAATCAACCTCTTGTTCTAGGCAATTATTAAAAGCAATTTTCTTGAAACTGAAAAACACATTTAGCCTTCAACAATAAATCACACTAACATCAATTACTAGCCAATTAGATTACTAGAATATCAGACCCAGAGATATTTGCAGTGTTGAAATATTTTCAAAATAAAGTTGTTTACATTTCTATTTCTGTCTTTAACCCTTAAAATGCAAACAAATACAGGAGTGAAGACAGATGTATTTTAGTTACTTCTTCTACAAGATAAAGTGGATAGTAATATTATGTTAAGAAAATACTTATTTAGTATCTAGAATGATAGCATTATCTATTCTTTATTAAAAGAGAAACTAAAAGTAATATAATTAAATAGCTTGTTCTTGTGACTTAAATAATATAAAATTTTCATTTCAATTATGTGACAATGCTTTGTATAGCTGTATTCCAAATACATAGCATGGTGCCTAGAACATAGCAGGCAGTCAATACATTTTTACCAAATGAAATGAATAAATTACCAGTTGATTTTATACTGAGGACCAAACTATGACCTTTAATCCCTCCAAAATAAAACACACAATCCCATTATATGTGAACCATATCCACAATACCAGAATCTAAGATTCCCACTCTGAAAGAGTAACTAGAACAACTTCTTTTTGAGGCAATTCTGCTTACTTAGCACATTACTCCCTCCTACAGTTTTCCTTCTTTTGTTTTTGTACTAAGGATATTTGTATAAAAACAGGATCTTTGTTGCTTAGTAATTCATCTGCTTCAGCTGCTTGTATTCTGTTCCCAATCAAAATTCTTGGTTTTCAGCCTCCTCATCATTTTTATAAGGAGTTGAATGAATTGGCCAAGCTTGTTCCTTTCTCCCTCTCCATGGAACACCAGGCCCCAAGCTCCCCGACACTGCTCCTCTTTTTATTTCTATCTTTGGGTTGTGTGTGCACTCTACAACACTTGTATCAGTGAAGAGTGTAACAAAGTATTGTGCCACACATAGTCTCTCATATATCATCTATCAGCTCATCAAAAAGTGCTCACTGATTAACAGAGGATCCCCTCCTCAGTTTCAGAATTCTCTAGCTTTAAGTTAGGGGAGGGTTACCCCAAAGTCAGAGAGGGTACATGGGAGAGGGTTGTGAAGGCCAGTAGCCCAGAGAAAATCAAGGGCAGCTGGGTGCATTTAGGTGGATAAGAAAACAATGAATTACTCCATCAAAAGCAAAAGCACAAGCACATAGTAAAGTTGATCACCTACTGTTAATGTCAATTCAGTTTAAAGCACTTTATTAACCACACATACATATTTTCCAGTGTCTAATTCTCATCGTGTTCTTTTCCATTCCAGACTTGCCTGTCTCTTTCCCAGAGCTCTGTTCCTCTTATTTCTCACTGTTTCTACAAAAGGGACAATAAACAATTTTCTAGCCACTCATCATCATAAACCCTGACATGCTAAATTATCCCCTGCTCAGTTTATGGACCACAGTGGGCCCATAAAACTCCTCCCTCACTAGCAACCCACCCCACACAAAATTCTCACTTCCCTTTTTCCTTGCGCTTCCTAAAAAATGCAATTGAGCCACACCCACTACCTCCTGTGCTAGGGGTTTGTCCCCTAATCCTGGGACACTAGGGAGCTCCTTACCTGGAAGGCAGTTGCACTCAAAAGTGAAGTCACCAGTCTGCCGACAGGTGCCTCCATTGACACAAGGCGAGTGTGCACAGGGCACATACAGTCTGTCACAGTACTGGCCTGTGAAGCCCTGAAGGCACTGGCACTGGTAGGAACCAGGCAGGTTGAGGCAGGTGCCACCATGCTGGCAGTGTCCTGGAATGTCACACTCATTGACATCAGTCTCACACTTCTGCCCTGTGAAGCCTGTGAGGCATTTGCAGGAGAACTGGTTGGCCACAGTGGTACAGGTACTTCCATTTGCACAGAGATGAGACAGGCAGGCATCGGTCCATTGGCACTCCTTACCTAAAGGAAGGATAACAAAACTCAGTACTGGCCACAGAAATAGGAGATGGCCCCATCCTCAATACCTCATTGACATCAGCGAGCTCTTGCGTGGAGAAGACCTCAACTCTTTGCATTTTACAAAAGGCTAAATCAGAGCCTCCTCAAGGTAATCTGACACAGAGCCCTCTCCAGTAACTCTCCAAGGACCTCAGCAGAGACACAAGGACTCAGTGGGTGGAGCACCTGGAGGCAATTGTAGGTTAGTCACATTGAAGCCCAATCCTGCAGGACGCTATTAGCAATAGGAGTCTGGATCCATCTACTCTCTCAGAGCTCACTGTCTTTGCATATGCTGCTCCTGTTTGAATATCAACTTCTGGGCCAGGAGCAGTGGCTCACACCTGTAATTCCAGCACTTTGGGAGGCCGAGGCAGGCAGATCATGAGGTAAGGAGTTCAAGACCAGCCCGGCCAATATGGTGAAACCCTGTCTCTACTAAAAATACAAAAATTAGCTGGGCATGGTGGCGCGCACCTGTAATCCCAGCTACTTGGAAGGCTGAGGCAGAAGAATCACTTGAACCCAGGAGGCGGAGGTTGCAGTGAGCCGAGATTGTACCACTGCACTCCAGCCTGGGCGACACAGCAAGACTCTATTTCAAAAAAAAAAAAATCAACTTCCCTTCTGTTTTCCTAGTGAACTCTCCCTATCTTGGCAACTGTACTCAAAAGTTCCAACCTCTGTAAAGTCATCCTTAGTGCCCCTCACATACATACATGTGCGCAAACACAGATACACCAAGTTTGCTATTTTCTTCTATTATACCACCTGCCACACTGGCAGGGTTGGGTCTCCATGGTATGCTCTCAAATCATGTCTGTTGAATGGATAAAATATATCGATATTTTCCACAAAATATAGTTACTAAATAGACCTCTGGTGATAGAAACAAGTCAATACTACTTCTGTTTCCTCTAAATGTAACACACACATATATTCTGGGAAACATTTTATTAATTGTGGCCTTGCTATAAATATCTGTTGATGTGTTTGAAAATGATGAAGGAACTCTGGGTCCCTATATAACAAATGAAATAGAAGCCATCAGGAGGACAGAGGTCTCGAAGGTATTCCATGGACTTTCTCAAGTAGGAAAGTACCAGCACTAGCAGGAAGACTCTGACGGGTTGAAAACTAAATCATGATGGCAGGGGAAGCAAAGCAGATTCTTTGAGGCAGAAAGAGAAAGAGAAAAAAATATCCTCACAGAACTAGTAAATTTGGTATTCACATGGCTGGCTTTTTGTTGTCATTAGTCTAAGTCACTTATTATTTAAACTACAGAGATGAGAACTCCTTGAATTTTTATTACTATTATTATTATTATACTTTAAGTTCTAGGGTACACGTGCACAACATGCAGGTTTGTTACATATGTATATATGTGCCATGTTGGTGTGCTGCACCCATTAACTCGTCATTTACATTAGGTACATCTCCTAATGCTATCCCTCCCCCATCCCACCACCCCACGACAGGCCCCGGTTTGTGATGTTCCCCTTCCTGTGTCCAAGTGTTCTCATTGTTCAATTCCCACCTATGAGTGAGAACATGCGGTGTTTGGTTTTTTGTCCTTGCAATAGTTTGCTGAGAATGATGGTTTCCAGCTTCATCCATGTCCCTACAAAGGACATGAACTCATCCTTTTTTATGGCTGAATAGTATTCCATGGTGTATATGTGCCACATTTTCTTAATCCAGTCTATCATTGATGGACATTTGGGCTGGTTCCAACTCTTTGCTATTGTGAATAGTGCCGCAATAAACATACGTGTGCATGTGTCTTTATAGCAGCACGATTTATAATTCTTTGGGTATATATCCAGTAATGGGATGGCGAGAACTCCTTGAATTTGTTAATACTCCAGTTGATTGTCTAGGAAAGTATCTAAATCTCTGACCTCATAGAAAGGTAAATGGGAGACACAAGAGTTTTTCTATAAGGGAAAAGGATGCGAGATGTGACATATGAGCACAGAAAAGTGCTCTCTGCCTATCAAGGAATGTCAAATCAAAGGAGAAAACTATAACACAAATTTAGGCACAGCATATACATCTCAGGGAGCTAAGACAGAAAATGAAGGAACTGCAATTCTTCTTGTCTTTCCACTCATGTCACTAAGAGGCACTTATTTACAGTGGAGAAGAGATATAAATGCTCACTTCTAGCAAGTGTGATTTTCAGAGTGATGCCCACAACTGAAACAGAAAGATCCCTGGGCCGGAAGTGGTGGCTGATGCCTGTAATCCCAGCACTTTGGGAGGCTGAGGTGGGCAGATCACTTGTGGTTAGGAGTTTGAGACCAGCCTGGCCAACATGGTGAAACGCCATCTTTTCTAAAAATACAAAAATTAGCCGGGCTTCATAGCGCATACCTGTAATCCCAGCTACCTGGGAGGCTGAGGCACAAGAATCACTCGAACCCAAGAGGTGGAGGTTGCAGTGAGCCGAGACTGCGCCACTGTACTAAGCAACAGAGTGAGAAGAAAGAAAGACAGAAAGAGAGAGGGAAAGAGAGAGAAAGAGAAAGAAAGAAAGAAAGAAAGAAAGAAAGAAAGAAAGAAAGAAAGAAAGAAAGAAAGGGAGGGAGAAAGAAAGAAAGAATCAACCCTGAATTTGGTTTCCATATATATTATGTATAGGCACTAACTTGCTGCCTCTGCTTCTTCATCTCTGAGTGGAGATGAGCTAGTAAGCTGACTGAGGTATAGTGCTATCACAAAAACCAAAAGGATGACCTTGATCTGTGATGATTCCTAAAGTGATAGACAAAAATAGCATATGTATAAAAGATGATCAGAATCGGCCCGGTGTGGTGGCTCACACCTGTAATCCCAGCACTTTGGGAGGCCGAGGCGGGTGGATCATGAGGTCAGGCGATCCAGACCATTCTGGCTAACAAGGTGAAAGCCCATCTCTACTAAAAATACAAAAATTAGCCGGGCATGGCGGTAGGTGCCTGTAGTCCCAGCTACTCAGGAGGCTGAGGCAGAAGAATGGCGTGAACCCGGGAGGTGGAACTTGCAGTGAACCGAGATTGCGCCCTGCACTCCAGCCTGGATGACAAAGCAATACTCCATCTCAAAAAAAAAAAAAAAAAAAAAAAAGGTGATCAGAATCTTGCAGAACACACCAAGAAGAGATCCTTCTTAACAACAAGGAAGAAGTTTTAATTTGGGACCATTTCAGAGTGACATTTTAATTATGAAGAAGGCATTACTGTCATTTCCACTAGCCAGAATTGAAATATTTTAAGTGGGTATATGCCCCCCTACTTTGCCTCCTAATAGCAAAACAACTCAAAACTGACAATCAGGAAGAAATTATTCTTATAACACCAAATATTTTCAGTGACTTACATCATCAATACCATCATCATCATGATGGAGATCATGGATCATCCTAACTACCCTCTACCCCACCAACACCTTTTGATGAATGATATGGTTTGGTAGTGTCCCCACCCAAATCTCAACTTGAATTGTATCTCCCAGAATTCCCATGTGTTGTGGGAGGGACCCAGTGGGGTAACTGTATCATGGGGGCCAGTCTTTCCTGTGCTATTCTCATGATAGTGAATAAGTCTCATGAGATCTGATGGGTTCCTCAGGGGTTCTGCTTTTGCTTCTTCCTAATTTTCTCTTGCCACCACCACGAAAGAAGTGCCTTTTGCCTCCCACCATAATTCTGAGGCCTCCCCAGCCATATGGAACTGTAAGTCCAATTAAACCTCTTTTCTTCCCGGTCTCGGGGATATCTTTATCAGCAGCGTGAAAATGGACTAATACAGTAAATTGGTACCAAGAGTGGGGTTTTTGCGAGAGTGCCAGCTATCCCGAGGGAAACTTTGGAGGGAACCAGCTACTAGATGGTTCAATTAGTCTTTCGCCCCTACACCCAGGTTGGATGACCGATTTGCACATCAGGACTGCTACGGACCTCCACCAGAGTTTCCTCTGGCTTTGCCCTGCCCAGGCAGAGTTCACCACCTTTCAGGTCCTAACATTTGTGCTCATGCCCCACCTTCCCAGTGCAGAAAACAAGATGGGCCGGTGGAAAGCTGACCTGGCTACTGCCACCGCAGAGTGCCCAATTTGCCAGCAGCAGAAACCAACACTGCGCCTTTGATATGGCACTATTCCTCAGGGTGATCAGCCAGCTACTTGGTGGCAGGTTGATTATGTTGGACTTCTTCCATTGTGAAAAGGGCAGACGTTTGTCCTTACTGGAATAAACACTTACTCTGGATATGGGTTTGCCTATCCTGCATGCAATGGTTCTGCCAAGACTACCATCCGCGGACTCATGGAATGCCTTATCCACTGTCATGGTATTCCACACAGCATTGCCTCTGACCAAGGCATTCACTTTATGGCTAAAGAAGTGCAGCAGTGGGCTCAGGCTCATGGAATTCACTGGTCTTACCATGTTCCCCAACATCCTGAAGCAGAACGGTGGAATGGCCTTTTGCAGTCACAATTACAATGCCAACTAGGTGAGAATACTTTGCAGGGTTGGGGCAAAGTTCTCAAGAAGGCTGTGTATGCTCTGAATCAGCGTCCAATATGTGGTACTGCTTCTCCCATAGCCAGGATTCACAGGTCCAGGAATCACGGGGTGGAAATGGAAGTGGTACCACTCACCATCACCCCTAGTGATCCACTAGCAAAATGTTTGCTTCCTGTTCCCGCAACATTAAGTTCTGCTGGCCTAGAGGTCTTAGTTCCAGAGGGAGGAATGCTGCCACCAGAAGACACAACAACAATTCCATTAAACTGGTAGTTAAGATTGCCACCAGGACACTTTGGGTTCCTACCTTTAAGTAAACAGGCTAAGAAAGGCGTTACAGTGTTGGCTGGGACATCAAGGCTATCAAGACCCAGGCTATCAAGATGAAATCAGTCTACTACTCCAGAACGGAGGTAAGAAAGAGTATTCATGGAATACAGGAGATCCATTAGGGCGTCTCTTAGTATTACCATGCCCTGTGATTAAGGTCAATGGGCAACTACAACAGCCCAATCCAGGCGGGACTACAAATGGTCCCGCCTGGATGAATGAAGGTTTGGGCCTCTCCATCAGGAAAAAAAAAAAAACACAACCTGCTGAGGTGTTTGCTGAAGGCAAAAGGAATACAAAATGGGTAGAAGAAGGTAGTCATCAATACCACCTACTACCATGTGACCAGCTGCAGAAATGAGGACTGTAATTGTCCTCAGTATTTCCTCCTTCTTTTATTAAAAACATGTCTGTGCTTGCACACACTTGTACTAAGAAAATATCTTCATTTTATTTCCTTTCTCCTTTATCATGTGACATAAGATTTATTGACTTCACATCAGCATTTAAGTATCGTTAACTTTATGTAAGAGTGTTTCAGTTGGGGACTGGTGTGTTTCCGGATGTACGAAGAATAGTTGTACTACATCAGGTGTAATTATGACCTAATTATTGTCTTTATTTGAAGATTATGTGTGATCTCAGGAGATGTGTATGGGTTCAAGTTGACAAGGGGTAGATTTGTGGTGGTTAAAACTGAGTGTGTCAACTTGATTGAATTGAAGGATACAAAGTATTGATCTTGGGTGTGTCTGTGAAGGTGTTGCCAAAGGAGATTAACATTTGAGTCAGTGGGCTGGGGAAGGCAGACCCACCCTTAATCTGGATGGACACCATTTGATCATCTGTCAGCAAATATAAAGCAGGCAGAAAAACATGAAAAAGCGAGACTGGCCTAGCCTCCCAGCCTACATCTTTTTCCCGTGCTGGATGTTTCCTGCCCTCAAATATCGAACCCCAAGTTCTTCGGTTTTGGAACTCAGACTGGCTCTCCTTGCTCCTCAGCCTGCAGACAGCCTATTGTGGGACCTTGTGATCATGTGAATTAATACTTAACAAACTCTCCTTTATATATATATAAAGATTGCCAATATATATATATTAAGATTGCCACCAAGACACTTTGGGTTGGAATATATATACATACATATATATTCCATCAGTTCCATCCCTCTAGAGAACCCTAATACAATGAAAAATTAATATAACAGTATTCTACACTAACTGATCCAGTATAGTCTTCTGAGTACATTTTTCACTTTTTTGCTTATTGCATTTATAGAACTCTTGGTTTAGTGCTTAAAGCAGGAGAAAAAATGAAGAATGTTCCTCCTTTTCTCATCTAATTTAATAAACACTTTTGAATAAAGCTCAGACCCACCTAGAAAAACCCACAATCTATTCAGGTGAGATATGTGTAAAAAAAATTACAATAAAATGTGATACATAAAACTAATAAAACTTAGAGACCATTTGCCTAAAGGAATCATGAAAGGGTCACTAAGACACAGTTTTAAATAACATTGGACAATCACCAGTTGTAGAAAAGGGCATTCCAGGCAAAAGGGTGTGTAACTGTATGGAAGCAATAATAAGTACAACATTTTCAGGAAATAAGGAGAATTTGGTGTGACTAGGCCTAGATGCTTGTGGGGAGGCCAGGCTATAAAAAGATGTAAAGTCTAGGCTGTAGAGAGCTATGGAAGTCATGTAAAAGAGTTTGCAGTTTATTCTGCGGATGATGAAAAAATATTAGACATTGTAAGCAGGTGAGATTGTTAGAATATTTGCATTTATAATCAAAGATGTAGTAATATCATGGGTGAATGAGATGGGGAGAGAATAAAGGCAAGAAAACGTATTCAGAAACTACTTCAGAAGTCCAGGTGAGAGATAACATGGCCCTCAACTACAGGGTAGCAGAGGAAATGGGAGGAATAGACAGGTGAAAGGCAACTCAGAGGTTGGCTTGGGTGACTGAGTTGAAATGAGGTCAGAACAAGGGACAGGGAGTTTCTAGCGTGGGTATTTGGGATGTACATGGTTGCTACGTATTTCTGTCAACAAGGTGAGCTGAAAGTACCTGTAGAATATCTCCAAGGAGAACATACAAAGGATAGCTAGAAACATGAGCCTGAATGTCAGGGTTGGGTGGAGCTAAGGGAATGATGGTGAGATTCATCAGCAAGCTAATGAAGACAGTGGCAGTGGAGGCGAATACAGACAGTGAAATTCCCTAGGGAGAGCTGTGATGTGGCTCAAAAGAGGGCGCAAAACAGTGCTCCAGGGAGCACAAACATTTAATGGATAAGAACAAGGTAATGAAGAAGCAAAAGGAACAGGGTTCAGAAAACCAGAAAAGCCAGTGCCCTGAATGTCTAGGGAGGGAGATTTCTAAAAGCAAATAGTCAATAACATCAGCAACTTTTCCTCTGGTGACAGTGTACTTATTTCTTTTAGTGAAGTAAACTCTGATTCCCCATCCTGGTGTACATATTTTTTTTTTTGAGACAGGGTCTCACTCTGTCACCCAGGCTAGAGTGCAGTGGTGCGATCATAGCTCACTGCAGCCTCAAACTCCTGGGCTCAAGCAATTCTTCCACTTCAGCCTCCCAAGTAGTTAGGACTACAGGTGCACACCACCACACATGACTAATTTTGTTTTATTTTTATTCTTGTTTTTTTGTAGAGATGGGGTCTTGCTATGTTTCCCAGGCTGGTCTCAAACCTCTAGCCTCAAGTGATCCTCCTGCCTTGGCCTGCCAAAATGCTGGGATTGCAAGCGTGCGCCACCGCACCTGGCCCTGACATATATACTTTAAGCAGTCAAAGTATTTGGTCCTTTTTCTTTCTCTTTCTCTGCCCCCTGAAACTCTTAAAAGGAAGTTAGGGATAGTTGTCTGGAACATCCCAGTTCCTTATCATAATGTTAAATGTGCACCAGAGCTGGGGGACATTTAAGAGCCAGACACCATGATCTAAAAGATGCTAAATAAAGGTATCTGCTGAAGGTAGGGAAGCACTGGCTTTGGTCTCATTAGTTACCTGTAAACCCGACTTGACAGGTGCACTCATAGGTATCCCGGCTGAGCATATGGCATGTGCCGCCATTCAGGCAAGGTCGAGACACAAAGCATGGATGAGGTGTCGAGTACTGGCAGTCCTCTCCTGTAAACCCTGAGGCACACCGGCACGTGGCTTTCCCCAGCATGGCCTGGGCCACACAAGTCCCACCATTCTGGCAGCGGTTCTTCTCACAGGGGTCTCGATGTTGACAATATTCCCCCAAGAAGCCTTCTGGACATCTGTATGGAAAAGAGAAGAGTCCATGAAAACACCTGACTTCTTGTAAGTCCAAAAAATTACAGTAAAACAATACAGTCCAATCAAGAAAGCACGAGATTGTGAATCAACAGACCTACAAGTACCACCTATAAAACTGCTTCCCTTTAGAAGAAAGAGTCCTTAGAGAACTTAACCACGTACTCCCATGTCCTTTTGAGTCCTGGCAGAAAAATTCTTACACTCTTGGAGTTTACATTCTAATAGCTGAAGACGAAAACAAAATTACTAAGTAAAAGATGCACAATAGATGGAGTTAAGTGCTGTGAAAAAAAATTAAACAGGAAGGAATGGAATGGAACTGGGGATGAGGGTGTGGGGTGAGCAAAGAGAAGTATCTCAGTTTAGAATAGGAAAATCAGAGAAGACCTTCACTGACAATACTTGAGTTGAGACCTAAATAAGGTGAGAGTAATCATGCAGGTATCTTAGGGAAACACATTCATGAGAAAGGGAACAGCAAATGCAAAGGCCATAACACAGAGAGCAGCCCTAGCGTGTTTGAGAAACAGCAAGAATATCTGGAGCAGCAGAAAATAGATGAGAGCTGTAACTGGGATGTGGATCAATTGGGGCCTTTAAGCCACTGTAAAGAAAGACTTAGGGTTTTCCTCTAAATGGGATAATACTTACATATGAGGTACAACAGACTTACTCTCCTAAAGCCGGTGTACAGAACCATATATTTGCTTTATGTGAAACTAGACCTACTGTATTAATAAAGTTTGATTTCTATTTAAAATGTTTTAGAGGGCTGGACATCAGCTTAGTTCTTTACTTTTACCTTAGAAGATATACAAGTCTCTTTTAACCCACACTTTCATGAGGTCCCATTTACCTTTCCAAATTATTGTTTCACAGCTAACCTTCTATGACTGTAGCCTAATTTCAGATATTTCTCTTTCTTTTCCATCTACTTCTTACTTATCCCTCTGCAACAAAACTTTAATTCTAATTATTGCTTAGAAACTGTTTTCTAAAAACAATGACTTTCCTCTAGTCAAGTTCAGTGGTCTCATCTGAAACTTCATAAGGAAATTCTCTCTCCTATAGGGAGAATTGCTAACCACTCCATGTACCGTTTTAATCATTTTACCTTGGCTTCTATGACTCCCTCTGTCTAACTCAAAACCCAGTGAAGTCTTAGTCTGGATTGCTGATTTCTCCTTCTTCCCCATATATTATGGCCACCCTAACGTTTAAGTCTGGACTGCACTGCTCTTTCTCTCAAATGCATTTGTTACTGTTGTTCACTTGGTTTTAAACAACTTCCTTCCTGTAACTGACTCCAAAATACACTGTTCCAGTCCCATATGTTCAGTTTTCTAGAAGTCATCTCTCTATCCTAATATGTGCTGCCACTATTTGAAACTAAACATTTGTAAAAGGAGATCATCTTCCCAAGAAACTTTAATTATTCAATTTTTCTAAGGCTTCCACACACAATTTAAAGTAACTTCATCTCTTTAAGTTGTATATAATTTATTACCACATTCTGACAAGACTTGTTAACTGAATTCCTATAATACTTATCATTCGTGTTCACAGTTTCCTTTTTGATACAAATTCTGATCATCTTAAAAGCCTCAGGCCAGACATCATCTTGTTGCTGGCTTTTCCCCCATTTCCAGCCATCCTTGGAATAACAGAACCTTCAGATTCAAGAAATTTAATTTCTATCCAATTAAGTAATCATTTCTAAAATATTTCTAAAAGATGATCACCAGCCTCTGCTTGAATACAAGCATGTAGCATGGTGCCGGATAAATCTTGAGAATTTAATAAATGCTTGGAGTTATTATTGTTCTGCTCTTAAGAGTACAGACTCTGGAACCAGACCACCTGGATTTCAATCCCAACTCCACCATTTACTCAATGTGTAATCTTGGGCAAGGTACTAAACTTCCCTGTTGTAAAAGAGATGTAATAACAGTGCCTACTTCATAGGATTTTTAAATAAGGGTAAAGCACTTAGAACACTATCCAGCACATAGTAAACACTATGCATTTGTTAAGTGAAATTACTGGCTGACTACTTCAACAAAAGAACAGTCTTCAATGTGGGTGGATTCCACTGTGAGAAAGCTCTTTCTTAATTCTTCAAATTCTGCCTCCCTTCCTAGGTATATACCCGAGATAACTGAAAACATATGCCCACATAATAAAAATGTTCATAGCAGCATTATTCATAATAGCTAAAAAGTAGAAACAACCCAAATGCCTATAAGCTGATGAACAGATAAATAAAATGTGGTATATCCATAAATGAAATATGTGGCCATGAAAAGGAATGACATTCTGATACATGCTACAACATGGATGAACCTTGAAAACATGCTAAGTGAAAGAAGCCACACACAAAAGGCCACATATTATATAATTCCATTTATATGAAATGTCCAGAATATGCAAATCCGTAGAGATAGAAAGTAGATTAGTGTTGCCAGGAGCTGTAAAGAAAGGGAAATAGACAGTGACTACTAAGCAGTAGAGAATTTCTTTCAGGGTGATAAAAATGTTTCGAAATTAGATAATGGTGGTGGTCTCATAACTCTGGAAATACTAAAGTCTACTAAATTAAACACTTTAAAAGGGTAAATTTTATGATACATAAATTATGTCTTAACTTTGAAAAGAACAAACTTTGTCTCTCTACAATTTCCAGGTTATCTCTACCCTCTAGAACAAAAAAGAACAAGCCTTCTGCTTCTCTTACACGTAGCCCTTCAAGAATCTGAAGATAGTTATGTGGGCCTTTTGTTTTCTTTTTTCCAGGATTCAATGGTTTGGCGTATTCCTCAGTATAGGGTTATTTCCAGGCTTCTTCACCTTTTTAGTGGTGCTTCTATGCTTAATAGTAGTAATAATAATCAGAATGACCAAAATTTTCTGCCTCCCTTCCCAGGTATATACCCGAAGTAACTGAAAACATATTTTCTAAGTACTTAACTATGTATTGTATATTTGCTAAGCATTTGATAGCTATTGTCTCTTGTATTACTCGCTCCAGTGCTATATTATAATCTCCATTTTATATATGAGGAACTCGAAGCTTAGAAAGATTAAGATTTTACAGCTAAGCCAGGTGCGGTGGCTCACACCAGTAATCTCAGCACTTTGGGAGGCCGAGGCAGGCAGATCACCAGGTCAGGAGATCGAGACCATCCTGGCTAACACAGTCCTGTCTCTACTAAAAATATAAAAAATTAGCCAGGCGTGGTGGCAGGCGCCTGTAGTCCCAGCTACTCGGGAGGCTGAGGCAGGAGAATGGCATGAACCCAGAAGTTGGAGGTTGCAGTGAGCCAAGATCGCGCCACTGCACTCCAGCCTGGGCGACAGAGCGAGACTCCCTCTCAAAAAAAAAAAAAAAAAATTCACAGCTAGTAGATGGAAGAGGCAGGATTCAAACCCAAGTAGACTCTAGAGTGCGTGTGCTTCAACACTAGGCTATCCTGCCTCCCCATCACTGGATGACTCCAGTTCATCAAAAACCTCTTTAAAAAGTGAGGCTCAAAATGGAAAAAGGCTTAACACATGTTCTTACCAGTGCAGCACAGAGCTGAACCATGACCTCCTGATCTGGACACTATGCTTTTACTATTTCAGAGTAAGTTCTTAAACTGAGGAGGCATCGTGAGAGCGCAGTTCAAGAAAGAATAATGCTCCGACTCATACCCAATGGATATGTGTACTTTTTTAGAAGCCACAAAATACTACTATGTGCTATGGAATACACACTCAGCTAAAATATTCAGAGCCTTATTTCACATGAACTACTAGTGTACCCTATTTTTCTCATCTTATACTTGTAGCACATGTTTTTTGAACCCAATAATTGGAACTATCATTCATTCCTTTTAAATCCATCATATTGAGTCTTTACTCCAAGTTTCCTTGATTGAGACAACTTTTACATTATACTCATACAATCACAGAATTTCAGCAGTGATCTCAGAAACCAAATGGTCTGAACCCCTATAGCACTGAAAAGGACACCAAAGCTAACTGATCTACCCAAAGTTGGTTATCTGTGAATCTAGCAATTTCCCCAGTTTTACAAATATATCCCTATCTTCACCTAGACCTTGCAATGAAACAGTACTTAACTGAAAGTGTATGACTAAGTCTTGCCCCAAGACTAGCACCTATTCAATCAGCTCTAACATCCTAAATGGACCAGCATCCTATCCATACCTCTCCTCTCCCTAAGGACAGTCTGGAAATTCCTTGCTGAACCTAAGCATATGACTAAAAGAATAATCTTTCCTAAGCATAATTTTCATGTCATTCTTCTGCTCAGAAACTAGCAACAGTATTAATACCAAGCCTTTCAAATCCAAGTTCTTTACAATCTCTGATCTGCCTGTCTGTCCCATTCCAATCATCTAACCATCTTACTCTTTAGTAATCCATAACTCGAACACTCCATATTATTTCCACAATCTTGTTTACTGTCCCCTATATTAAAATCTTTTTAATTTCCAGTGAGAAACATCATGCTTCCCTTCTGGTATATCTCCAACTTAGGTTCCTTTCTTCCACCCTTTTTTCAAAAATCTGCTGTAAACCTGTCCTATAGTAAGCCTTCTACAAATCATCCCACCTGTCTCTGATCCTTCCAACAGCAGATGTAGTGCCATGTCATGCACTACATTGTCTCCACTGGTATGGTTCTTCTTTATTTAAGCCACTGTTATGTCTTTGCTGTACCTTTCTCAAACTCCCATCTAGATAGTTTTTGTGGGGAAGAGCCTGTCTTGAACCCTTGGTGTAGGTTCCCTGAATACCTGAGTACCTAAACCCCACTAAGCAGCTGGTTCCATAGCAGGCTAAATTTCATGTGATGGATAAAGTCAGTCTCTCAATCCAAATGTTCCACAAAATCCATCTCTACTCTGTGATCTGCCTGGTAGAATAACAGGCCAAATCAACCTAATAGTCATCCTGAGGTACAGAATTATCCTTCACACCCCAGGAAGCTAAGCAGCATTATGGACATGGGAAGAAAGGGGAGTAATAGGTAAGACAGTCAGAAATAACAGACCCTTGTTTCCTAAGGCAGGAGATCTTTCAACTTGCAAATCCCTGTTCAACTGTGGTATAAGGAGAAAATATACTCTGTTAGTCTTGGTGGAAAGTAAGGTTCTCTGCTTGAAAACAAGGGCTTAAATAGCTGTCTTCTTGAGATGGCTAAAGTTGAATTTGGTTAGAGAGTGAAAACATGGCTAAACACCCAACACCCCTTACATATCTATAATTCCATTAAGCTACCCAGCACACATTTTGGAAAATAGTCTACCACTTGAACTAAAGGTGTATATTCTAAAAAATAACCACAAAAATCTAACAGATGCCTTTCATCCGCAAAACTATATGAATGTTTCCCTCCTGTAGGGAGTTTATTAATTATTTTCATAACTGTCTCTTCAATGTCTCTCAGTGACTTTTACTTACTCTCTCTTCTCTAGCATTGAACTCTGAAAGAACATACTTCGCAGATGAGGTTGTGAATACAGAGAAAGGTTTGGGGAGCATTTTTCCATTTTAAACTCCATAAACTAATCTGAATACTTACCAGGTCCATAAAGATGTATTTATGACTTTTTCTTTAAAAGTCTCAGCTGGGCACAGTGGCTCACACCTGTAATCCCAGCACTGTGGGAGGCCAAGGCAAGCAGATTGCTAGAGCAGAAGTTCGAGACCTGCCTAACCCCATCTCAAAAAAAAAAAAGTGTCATTTCTGACATTGAGAGGTCCACATTTCCATTGTTACTGTTCAAACATACGCATGGGGTTGGATGTAGAAAAGCAAAGGAAGGAAGAAAACAGAGAAAAACAAGGGATTCCTCCTAATGGAACTAGAAAACATTCCATTTGAAGGATACCCCTACAGTTTCCTCTCACTTAAGCAGATGAAAACCAGACCCCAACCCTCACATCTCACTAGCAGCCTGGATTAGTTTACATGTAGCCACTTTACAGATTTCAACGAAGCTGGGATCTGAATAGCAATTCCAATCTATCTGGCAATGGCTACAGTTCAGGATCAGTCTCCCTAGTAATACAGGACAGAAAAATTTGTTCTTTCACGTTTCCTAAGTGAATAGCCACTCGTCTACAGAAAAGCTTAAAACAGTGTAGCAGCTTGTGTCAGCTCCAAGATGACTGAAGTCTGAGCAGGAAATAAGCCCCTTTTCCAAATAAAAGCCAGTGTTCTCTCCCCTTGTTTTCTCCACCGAATGTTCTGTATCAGCAGGGTGAGGCCAAATTGCATCCAGGGCTTTGCTGCAGCTCTGTCTTTAGCTTTTTTTTTTTTTTTTTTTTTTAAAACGAGGATTTGGCCATTCAAAAAAAAACAACAACAACAACAAAGCAAAATCCCACCACATACAAGAAGAAAAAGAGAGGCATGCTTTACAAAACAGCTATTTCAAAATCATGATTTTTAAAAAAACTATACAGAATGTGGAACGAAGGGGAAAAAAAAGTCTCATGTGGGTTGCGTCGGCACTGAAGCTGCTCCTCATTAAAGCTCCTCTTTACTCCCTCTGGGCTAGTTTCCAGCAGAAAATTCTTTGAACAGAACTCTGCTTTCAACCCACTTTCTTCTTGCGCTGGGCCTCTTGGCCCCCCAATCCGCAGTGGCAGCCTGCCCTAGCTGAGCTCTAGAGGGGGGAGCTGTCATTAAGGTAAATGAGGTAAGGGCAGGGGAAAAAACTAACAAAACCCAGAAACCAAATTAAGCATCGGTCAGTAACAAAGGTCTGCAGTTTGAAAGGCTCCAAATCAGTCTGTTCTTTCCTGTGACCATAATGCCAGCTTAGTTTCCTGCCCCCCTACTCTGTCCCCCCTGTTAAAGTAGATAAAAGTAATTGCTAACAGCCAAGGCTAGCTGGAACCAGTGAAAGTTCCTATGTAACATTCAATTCCCAAGGCTCCGACTACAAACTTGTAGGTACCCCAGAGCCTATAGAATCAAGTCTAAACTTCTAGGCTGGCATTCAGGAGGCCTAACCCACCTATTGGTCTAAACTCACTGGTCTCCCTCCTTTCAGTACCTCCTGGCTGAGGTCTGATGGGCTTGTCAACTTTTTAATTCTCTCTGTGTAAAGGTAACTAACTAGGTTATGCTAATTACCAACTTTGTTTTAAAAACATGCATGAGGACTTCTAGTTAACTTCCTGGTAAAGAGGGGAAAAAAAGAGAAGAAGCTCTGTCATACTACTTCTTGCCATTCCCACTCTACTCTCAACCCCCCCTTCTCTCAAAAAAAAAAGAAAGAAAAAAAGGAAATACTATAGCTTACTCAGCAAGAAGGAAAAACAAAAAGAACTTTAAAAAAAAGTATTTGTGTATAGATTGGTGTCCAGAACTGGGACGCTTGTGGTAAAACACACTTTCTAGTGTAGTTTTTCTAGGGCCTTACTAGTTGTATGTGAAGAAACAAAGACAAGTATACAATCTCTCACTCTCACACACGTACACACACACATACACACTTTTATCACAACTAATACACAAAGACTACCAAATACTGCAGGGCAGCTCATTTTTCTACTATGTAAATTCAGCTTCCTGGACAGACCATTTCTGCTTTTCTTGTAGAAGTATTTCAGAAAATGTTAATCTTGGTTCCCACATTAGGTTGCATGCTTCCAAATTAAAAGTTTCCCACAGGAAAAGAACTTCACGAGGAATTGTGAGGCTGGGAATTATCTCTGAAACCCCACCTCACTTAGTTTACATGTGTTAGGTTTTTCACCCCCTCATCTGAATAAAGCATTAAATACACACTGATTTTAAGAAACCTAAACCAAAAAGAAGCTGAAGTGATACGGACTTTAAAGCTGTTGATTCACAGCATCATTCATCTTCACTCAGACTATGAAATCAGTAACCACTGCAATGAGAAACCATGCTTTATTTATACAAGAACTTTACAAACATCCTTATCTTCCAGTTTACAGTCTGGGCTCATTTATCAGAACTCAAAGGCTGAGCTGAGCACCTAGTCTCTTCAATCATCACTTGAAAGATTGGGAAGGGGCACACAGTGTTAAAAGACTTGTGTTGTTGCTATAACAGAAGGTGGTCTTTCCTCTGTGTTCCAGAACACAATCAGGATCTTACCATACTTCACTGCACTGGACCCTGAGAAAATATCTACTTGTGATTAAAACATGGCAAACACATTCTAGACATATGAGTTTACAAAAAACACCCTTCGATGTAATGGACAAAACTGAATGAGTTAGCTCAGTTGTTCCCAAGGTATGGGCTGTGGAGTTATTGCAAGGGATTGCAATCCTTATAAATCACTTTCTAAACTACTAAACAGTATCTTGTCCATATTTAAATATATGTATATGCTTTTATGACTAGTAAAACATAAAGATATATTAAATGATTCTTGAATTCTTAGATTTTGACAGTATACATTGTATTCAAACAACACACTGAGAAATTGTTTCATCTCAAGCTCTCTCCTTTATGCACTATACTCTTGCTAAACGCCTTTCAGCTCCTAGAAAATGCTATAGTACACTACTTCTCACTTCCAGACCTCTGTACACGCTGTTCAGTCAGCCCAAAATGCTTTTCCCCACTTTCTCATGGCTAAGCCCTAAAATTTCATTAAGTCTCAACTTAAATGTTATTTCCTGTGAAAAACAGCCTTGATACCCCCTCTGTTCTTAATAACCCTGAGCCTGTGTTACTCATTAGCCCTTATTATGATTATCTGTCAACAGACTAAAATTATTAATTCTCATACTCCCAGTGCCTAACACAATGACTGGCATATAGAAGGCATTCAACTATTCAGTGCAGAAGCAAAAGGTCAAAGTGAAGGGCTCTGTGGAATCTTTACCCCTTAAAAAGACCCTATAAATACACTTGAAGTTTGGGAACAACTGGGTTGAGCTATTTACCTAAAGGATTTTCAAAACTAATTAAGATTCCTGATATATAGACTACTTCTTAACCCCCACTCACCCCTATATCAGTCAAATTGGGCCAACTCCATGCAAAGTAGATTATTTTTTAATCACCTTCCCTCCCACCTACCAAATATGAAGTTAACCAACACACACAGAGAGGCATGTGTGCATGTGCAGACATACACACACACAGTCCTCATTCCCTCTTGCACTTTTATTAGTCTTTCATCGGTTGTTGATAAAAGACTGACTACATAAACCACCAGGGACCTGGAGCCCTGACTAAAAAAAAAAAAAATCCTACAAAGTGGTCTCAATAGCATGAACTGCTAGATTCTGTAGTGACTGCCATTGAAAATTAAAGAAGATCTCTAGAAAGAAAAGTGTTGGAGCCTTCTTTCCATTCCCCAATGTTGGTGGATGACCACCTTCAAAGTTCTGAAGTCCAAAAACTATCTAAAAGCAGAGTAATTTAAAAAGCTTACTGTTTAGTCTAAAAGGATTTTCCTAGATCAAAAACAACTGTACCTATTTGGATACCAAAAATGAAAAAGAAATAGTGCAGAATCTTTAGATTGCCTAATGGGATCTGGAGAAACAGCTCTTAGTCCCAGTCTACATTCTAATGAGTTATGTAATAAAGGCTAATTCGCTTAGCTGTATTACACCTCAGCCGCCTCACTTATAAAACAAAATGAGTGACAAAGGTGCTTTCCAAAGTCCCTTTGACCTCCTAAGTGTGATGACTCTATAATCTTGGCCTTTGAAGTCCCTTGGCAATACCACCCAAGGATGTAATGATGCTTGCTGATGTTAATGTTTGGGTGTTTGTGGTTGTATATGTCTTGACCACTGTCCCACTCCAAGCAGGGGATCCTAGGGTAAGAACTGTACTGTGTCTCTTTTTTAATATCCCTCACAGTGCCCATCACCCTCTAGGTGCACAGATAATTCAATATACACTTATGTAAATGAATTGTTCCACAACTCACACTTTCAGCTAGCCCCTCACAGATGCATAAGAAAGCAAAGAACAACCAAACAGAAGGAACAATATATTTAAACAAGATAAGGGGAATGAAAAAGAATCTTGTGTTTAAAAGGGATAGAAAGGTCTAACCATCTTCTATCCCAAACAACTGGCCAACATGAGAGCCTGTTTTCTTGAGCATAGAATGGTGGTAGGTATTTCAGCCTCTATGGAATCTGACCTGCTGATTAGTTATACAAGGCTAAAACTGACTGAAGTGTGTATGTAAGACAACGGTCTGGGAAGAGAAGCACTAAATTTAAGCTCACAGGGAATCAACCACTTAAAATGGTAAATTCAGATAGAACTTTATCCAGATTTCATTTTTATGCATCCTCTCTACAAGCATAAACGCTTATCTTACTCACTTCCCATCTCATGATGCTATCATCAATTCTTATAAAATTTAGAAAAGAATAGGTGATGTCTCCTAATTAGAGAGTTTGCTTCTGTCACAAACTGTGACAGTCAGTGTCAGCCTTTGCCTGGAAGAAAATGAGTCACTTTTTCATTAGTAATCAAGTTATGTCTATTTTTTAAGAGTGACCCAGAAATTCAAGGCCATGAGTTTCAGCAATACGAGACAGAGAATCAGACACCACAAACATTGTATACAAATAGAATTAAGACAGAAAAATTAAAGTCAAGGAGGTACAGAGTTACTTTTCAGGATGACTGAGGTTTCAGAAAGGGCAAGTTGCCCCGTAAAATATTCTCAAGATGTGTCTGGCTTACACAACGAGAACCAGTATTTCAAAATCTTAAAGTGACAGGCAGTTAAACGACTAAGGCACTACCATCGTCTAGGCAAGAGAATCTTAACCACCATCAAATGTTTTCCACACAGAATAGGCAGACCTAGTTTATTCTGGAAAATTGAGGGTTTGGATATGTACTATATAATCAGAGGAAACAAGCAGTAAAGGACCTGAGCTAATTTGGGGTAACCAAAGACTTGGCTAACAGATGCTTCCTTACTCTGGATCCCTCATATGAATCAGATCTGGCCAGCGATATGCTGGACAGAAGATATCTGAGGTTGAGATACCTGATTTCTCAACTAAGGGAATGAACTATGCAGTACATGAAAACCAACCCTCTTCTTAGTGCCTCTGTTTTCCTATCACTTCCCCTATCCCAATCCATTCTTGCTCTTGCCTTAGAGATTCTTAGATTCTGATTTTCCTCGCAAAACATGGCCACAAGCCTACCGCCTCTCTGTCTGGTAGAAGTACAAGAATCAAGAGTCAAGGCCAAAAAGGTCTGAGGGAAGGAGCATAATTGCTCCCAGCTGCCCTCTCTTCCTGTCCCCAGGTCCTCTCCTTCACCCTCACTCTAGGCATTCTACCTCCAAACGTTCAAGTTAACATGTGCTAAAGGAAGGATTTTCTAAATCACTTACCTGTCACTGTGAAACTAGATTAATCCACATACTGGTTTAGTAAAACCTCACACAAACCAGCATATACACAGAAGACAGCAATCAAGATGAAGAAAACGTTTGAAACTGTGTCATTAAGAAAATGTGATGAAGAAATTGGTAATGATTATTCCAGGAAATAACAGTCCCTTCTAGTCTCCTCAGCTCCCTTCCTCTCACCCTTCTCCTACCTATCCGTCTTCTAAGGCACCACTAATATTCAAAGATTTAGGATCTAAGCAGTGCACCAAAAGTCCTCTGATTTTACTCTTTTGTCCCACAGTACTTGTTCCTTTGTCTGAGTGTCCATAGTTATTATCTGTGCCCCTACACTGGGATATTACAAACTGTTTTATTTTACACATCTCTGTATGCTTCATCTCCCCAGCAAGACTTCAGAAGACTGCCACCATGTCTTATGCAGGAGAAACTGCATTCACTGTCAGACAGTCTCTGGGTACGTATACTTGTGAATAAGGAAGTCAGGTAACACAGGCCTCTTGGGCTTTTCTGGGTATTCACAATACCCAGTACAGTGATCAGTTATAGTAGCCTGCTCAATAAATACTAGTGTGATAAAAATTAAACTTTTGTTTGAAAAGTGAGGATTCTATAGTGCTTCAGAGTCCATCTAACTTTCAGTGTTCAGCACACAGGATTATAGACAGTGACTGCAGGAAAATGACCTGAATCTATACAGATTTAATACTCTAAATGCTACCATTCTACATAAATCCTAATCAGATTATTTTCTTATTAACACCTACCTTTCTCCTCATATTTACGTGAAGGCAAAAAACTGGATAGAATGCTCTAGTTGAATGTGTTCGCTGAATAATATCACCCATCACTTAAATAATGCCTTTCTTAGTCTTTATTTTCACTTTTCTTTCATAAAACTCTTTTCATAAAGATCAAGTAGAAGACTGTTTAGGAGAAGAGCATTTCGAGCAGAAATTAACTGCATTACTTTTTCATAGGAGAAGGCTGATGGAGTCTAAGAATTGGCAATACATTTTTGGACACAGAGGACTAAGTGCTAGTGAAGGTCACTGACAGTGAATAAATAGGATCTAGAAAATGTGCGGAAATCCAATAGAAATTTTAATTTACCTTACGTTGGGTTGTAAGGTAAAACTCAACTAAAAGAAATATGAAAACAAAATGCATAACACAGTCGCATGTGCACACATGTGTGCATACACACATATGACAGGAGGACGGAGAGACACTAAACTTCATTCCTAACTACTGTATGTTGAGAGGAGGCCTAATGAAAACCTCTATCACACCCACATATTTATGCTAGCTTAACAAATTTTAAAGTGCTTGGAAATTTTTAGATGATTACTTTTTCTCATATTCTGATATCCCCCATTCCTTTGCTATCATTCATAAGGGCAGATGTAGACAAAATTAAAGAATTTAATTAAGCCTCTCCATATCCTGAAAGAGAAATATTTCTCATTTTGCTTAGTCACAAAAAAAGGGAGAAAAAAAGAATTCCTGTGTGAAATTAATGGTGCTAATGAGACATGCCTGAATAAGAAACTTCACATAAGATTACGATTGACCTGGAGACTGTGTTGAAAGAAACCTAGCTAAATTCACATCTATTAATGCCAGACTGCAGGCCAAAATTTGTTGATTTAATTTCTTGGCAGTTACCCAAGACAGGTAAAAGGATATAGGCAGAGCCTAAGAACCAGATTCTCCTACTTCTTCACTGAACACTGAAATATATAAAGGTCCCAACTGAAAGAATAAAAATTAGTTGAAAATAGTATGGAAATTATGTTGCTATGTGTTAACAAGCTACTAACTGGCCAGGCACAGTGGTTCAGGCCTGTAATTCCAGCCCTTTGGGAGGCAGAAGTGGGAGGATCACTTGAGCCCAGGAATTCGAGACCAGCCTGAGCAACATGTGAGACCGTGTCTCTATAAAAAGTTTTAAAAATGGGAGACTGAGGCAGGAGGATGGATGGCTTGAGCCTAGGAGGTGGAGGCTGCAGTGATCCATGATTGCTCTACTGCACTCAAGCCTGGGCCACAGATGGAGATGCTAGTAACCAAGACTTCCTTTACAAAAGACCCCTTAGGGAAACATCATATTTGATAAAGGATTTTAATAGGACATAAGTATTAATAAGAATCACTTAGGAATGGTACTGTTAAAGGGTCCAGATCTCAAGTCCTAATACAAGGAAAAGCCTCACAGGACATACTCATATGCATCTGTAACTCACTATGCAAATGTAAGGTGCCATATTCAACAACTTGTGACTTTTGTGCTGGCAACAACATTTATCAAAAATCACTGAATTTAACCTGTCTCAATTTCACAACTGCATAAATCTGTCTGGACTTGCTCCTGTTCCATTAGTAAAAAGAAAGGAGAAGTTTCAAATTAGTTCTCTCTACTGAAGCACACTTTAATAGACAATATCCTCTATCCCCACCTTCACTGCCCTCTTCTTCTATTTCATCCACAGTTATTACATTGAGCTTTCATGTTAAAGGCCATTTCTCAGAAATGCAGTATTCACCAAACCTGGCCCATGTACACTCATGTAACTATATGCAGATTTAGTGTTCTAGAATGATATGAGGTACTCAGGCCTACCTAATGCTACTGTCTTTAAATTTAGAAATTACATAAATCAGTGTTTTAATCATATTCCTGATCTGAAAAGTCCCCTTTTTGTATACTTTCAAATGTTCCACACTTCCTTTTCAGAAGGTTCCATTTGAACTACCAACTTAAAACAGGTAATTCTGTCCCATTTTATTGACAGGCAAACTGAGACTCAAGGTGACAGTACATTTTCCACGAGTATATCTCAGGTTAGCTACAGAGTGATGGGATCTTGAGTGAATTATTTAACTTCTCTTAGCTTCCATATAGTCTCTCTCTCACATGAGGACTAAAGTAAATACATGTTAAACTACTTGAGAACAGACCCTAATATGCAATAATGTTAGCTAGCATTATAGACTTTAACTTGCCAAAGATCCAATTGTTAATAGGAATCAGGACTCAAACTTAAGTCTATCTGGCATAAAAAAACCTATGTCCTCGGCTGGGTGTGGTGGCTCACGCCTGTAATCCCAGCACTTTGGGAGGCCGAGGCGGGCAGATCATGAGGTCAGGAGATAGAGACCATCCTGGCTAACACAGTGAAACCCCGTCTCTACTAAAAATACAAAAAATTAGCCGGGCGTGGTGGCGGGCGCTTATAGTCCCGGCTACTTGAGAGGCTGAGGCAGGAGAATGGCATGAACCCGGGAGGCGGAGCTTGCAGTGAGCCAAGAAAGCGCCACTGCACTCCAGCCTGGGCCACAGAGCGAGACTCTGTCTCAAAAAAAAACAACAACAAAAAACTATGTCCTCTTCATGTCACCAGTCAAGGATCTTCCAGGACCCTTACTCCACTCACCAGTGCAGGCTGAACCATACTAGATCATAAGGCAAAAGAAAAAATCAGTAGTACTGATCTCCTTATTTAAAATTTTGATAATTTTCAACTTATTTTGCATTAATTTTGATTTTTTGAACAACTACATACAAACATTATTTTGATTAGTGAGTTTTTTGGCACTCTCTTAAATTTCACAAGAGAGGCCTGTGCCTTACTTGCCTCACCATGGTCCCAGCCCTGCCATTCACTGGCGGCCCCTGTACAGAAGGCCACATTATAGTCAGTTTTTTTCATACTTGGCTTTACTCTGAACCTCTCTAAGAAGCCCAAGTTAATGAACTGGTAATTATTTTATGACTTCCCAAAGAAGTGTGAAATAATATGATAACAATATTGATTAACTGCAACTACTACCACAGACTTGAGTTATCTGTTATATGTGGTACACATAAATAGCATGCAATAAATAACTCTTGAATTAATAAAACCTGAACACATTACATTTTAAGAAAAGATTACTCTATGAGAGGTATTTAATGAGCCAAAAAAACAGCATTCTTTGTTTTATGTTAAAAAGATAAATGAACTATGGAAAACTGGCCAAGCTTCTGCTATCATTTTCCAGAAAAACTATATACACAATGTTCAGCTAAATAGGCACCGTACTTGAAGGAACTAGGCTGGCAGAACCAGTTTCAGCTGAGAAGAAAGAGAAAGTAATTTAACAGTTGATATTTTTCCCTGTCTATTTCTTTGATCTGACAATGCCCCTGTGCCTCCCTGAATGCACTCACAAGAAGGTGAAGGAAAAGGGGAAATGCTGAGTCAGCCATGACTTCTGAAAACGCCTTTTTGGGGGAGAAGCACCACAACAGAACCATTGCGAATGCATCCTCCATAAAAAGCTAAGTTCTAAGGGATTATGAGTGTCTCTACTCTCTACTTACTATACAGACATTTACCAAGAAGACAAAGAAGGCAATGGCTCTAGTTTTTCTTGGATGGATTCAGGAAATCTGGACCACCAACATGACTGCCTAATCCTGGCAAGGAAAATTGTTAGCTGTTAATGTTTAATGTTTATTACAGCTAGCAGACAAGTTTTAGACAAAATGTGACACAAAGTTATATTTTATAACACTTTATATTTATAATAATTTACCTTAAAGTGTAGTTTTTAGATCAGCACTTTAGCAAAAAGTGGACATTCTCAAATGCAAGCACCCATCTACAGGAACGTATACAACTCACAGTGACTTTCTGCTGTTTTACAAACACTATGTTAGATATTTACCAAGTGGTATGTATGAAATTCTGAAAGGCCCCTTTATATTTCCAATTTTCATCATTAAAAATAATTGCAGAGTAACTTATATCAGACTAGCCCTCTTGCTCTGGACAAAATATCAAAGGCACTGGAGAATCACTGAAAGCAGGCATAAACTAGAAGGGATATAAGCCTCAGAAAAAGCGAAGCAAACTATATGAAACCCACATTTACAGTTTTGTTTTTTTTTTTTATCGTGAAGGTACACCCCAGTTCATGCAGCAGAAGAGGAAGAGTGTGCAAGCAGAAAACGGAAGTCCTGTGATACTGAGGAGTCAGAGGTATCTGGAGCTGTCACAGCAGCTAGAATATGAGGAGAAAAATTCCTGGAAAAGACAGAACCACAGAGTGGGTAGCTTCAAAGTATGCATACAACTCTGCTCAAATCCTTAAATAATTCCTGACTATGCATGAGCAAGATAAGATTCAGAAACCCAAGAGAAAGTAAGAGCTGGACGGCTGAAAAGACTGAGCAGAAGGCTCCTGGGGCTGGGAGGACAAGTTCTGCCTTAGAGGGGCTTAATGAACACCTCAGGGCTTGGTAGGCCCCTCACACTTTCCACTGAACCCCTAGAAGGGTCCCATCTTGGGAATAAGAGCCCTATCCCATGACTAAGATTTGTGTCATCGGACTAAGGGCAGAACAGAAGTAGGCCCACCCTAACGTGTCCTAAAACCTAGCATCCATAGGATCAAGATGATCTGCCAATCTTGACAAAATTCAACATTCTTTAGTGGGAGATAAACTTTAAAATCTATCACCCACAATGTCCAGTAAGTAATGTAAAACTACCATACATGTGTAAAGTAAAGGGAAGTCATACCCATGGTCCAAAGAAGGAGCAGTTGATAGAAATAGAAACACATCCATAGACAACCCAGTTGTTAAGAACCAGCAGACAAAGATTTTAAATAACTACAATAAATGTCCTTAAAATACATATTTTGTCAATTATACAAATCATAACCTAACCTACCCCCAGAATCCTAGTGAACTTGAGTTGTCCATGATCTTTAATCAAATTGGGATTTAGAATGGTTTATATTTGAAAGTCTGAAGCAAACAACAACTTGAAAGTGATTAATGACATCAAATTTAATTACATATTTACACCTCCCAGTAGGACAAGGGAAAGAATAAAATATCTTATCTCCCTGTAGTGAGAGGGCTTTATTAAGATTTGACAGTAGTTATTTAACAGCAATAATTGAGTTTTATGCAAGATTATACACGTTCTCCTAATCTGGCATCAAAATCTAATCACAGACTGATAGGGTACTTAGGCTCCTAACAGTGAGAAAAAACAGTGGAGCTGAGTACAAAACTAATCTTCAAAAGTAGTTATCTTCATCTGTCAATGTGATCTTATCAAGGATTTTTATAATTTCTATAAACAATCATTATATTTTAGCTGAATCAGTAGCATTATGCTGTCTAAACAGATAGTCAGATTCCTTCTATTTTAAAACACTTTCTACCAGTTCCCATCCCACCACTCACCACTCACCCCCACGCTGGCCCTGTAAAAGGAATTTGGCTTCAACTTTCTTTTCTTAATCCACTAAGCAATCGCATGAATAAAAAGATAATCACATGCCCTGCATGCCTGATAGAATTTTTTTAAATCTTCTAAGTGTTTTAATATTTATTTTCTATTTTGTGAAAATAATATTTACTGAACAAGCTAGATCATCTTCTTTCTCCACAGAAAAAAAGGTAAGGTTGGTGAAAATACACTGAAAGCTCTGCTAGGTACACATTATTTTTGCATAAAATTTTGCTTAAAATTCTGTGGAGGCTGGCAAAGCACTGTAGAATGATTGACATGGCTGCCTTGATATTGTTCTTGCTTTTTCTTTGTCCACTTATGTTGACCCTGCCACTCCTAAATATGCTAATATTACTTTTGCTGAGGTAGGGAATCACTCTCTTTATACAAGTTTTGTTGTTCATCTTGGTCTCCCAAAAGGATGGCCTCACCAAATTTTTTCTTACTCTCTCTCAAGGAGTTTGTTTCCCTCAAAACAGGAAAGACATCTGAGGGACATACCCAGAACTGTATCCATAAGCATTCCATCCTATCAACAATTAACAAGTAGCCAGGGACAGAATTTAGGCAGCTCCATTTTCTTTTTTTTTTTTTTTTTTTGGAAACACAGTCTCGCTCTGTCGCTCAGGCTGGAGTGCAGTGGTGCAATCTTGGCTCACTGCAAGCTCCGCCTCCTGGGTTCAGGCCATTCTCCTGCCTCAGCCTCCCGAGTAACTGGGATTACAGGTGCGTGCCACCACGCCCAGCTAATTTTTTTGCATTTTTAGTAGAGATGGGATTTCATCGTGTTAGCCAGGATGGTCTCCAACCTTGGTTGGAGAGTATGAGACTAGCAGCCCAACAGTCCAACAAAGAACTATTGGACTTCTTCCCAACAGTGACCCTTAGGTGTCCTCTCCTGGTAAGTGCTCAGAGATTAGTCTCCCCTAGAAACCTTCTTTCCCCATGTCAGACCAAAAATATATAGGCGAACACTTAGAACATATTTGAAATTCTCCATATATAAGTCACCAAGTTGAATGATCTTCAAATAGAACCAATTTGCCTCTCTGTATGGTATTACCACCCTGAATGCTATGTGAAGTAAATAAATTTTTTTTAAATTTTACTTTTAAGTTTTGGGATACATGTGCAGAATGTGCAGGTTTGTTTCATAGGTATACATGTGCCATGGTGGTTTGCTGCACCTATCAACCCGTCATCCAGGTTTTAAGCCCCACGTGCATTAGGTATTCATCCTAATGCTCTCCCCTCCCTTTCCCCCCACCCCCTGACAGGCCCCAGTGTGTGATGTTCCCCTCCCTGTGTCCATGTGTTCTCATTGTTCAGCTCCCACTTATGAGTGAGAACATGCCGTGTTTGGTTTTCTGTTCCTGTGTTAGTTTGCTGAGAATGATGGCTTCCAGCTTCATCCATGTCCCTGCAAAGGACATGAACTCATTCTTTTTTATGGCTGCATAGTATTCCATCGTGTATACATGCCACATTTTCTTTATCCAGTCTATCACCGTTGGGCATTTGGGTTGGTTCCAAGTCTTTCCTACTGTAAATAGTGCTGCAGTAAACACACATGTGCATGTGTCCTTATAGTAGAATGATTTATAATCCTTTGGGTATATACTCAGTAATGGGATTGCTGGGCCAAATGGTATTTCTGGTTCTAGATCCTTGAGGAATCGCCACACTGAAATTTTTAAAGGAGAGAACCAGTGTCTTCTTATTTAACATAAATAGATAAGAAACATGTGCATGATGGTATCTACTTAGCACCTTTTAGTTTAAGAAACACATTGCTGAACAATAACTACACCAGGCACTGTACTAGGCATTAACTATGCAAAAAATGCATAAGACTAAGACCTCACATTCTAGCAAAAGAAACACATCAACAAATGACCATAATGCAATGGGGTTAACTACCACAAGAGTTGCATAACAGAATAAAGCAAGCAACTAAGGCACCAAATGCCACAAAAAGACTAAACAAGATTTCAGTGGCCTACTCTAAGGTATTAAGTTCCCTCCCTTATTATCTCCAGTTGTATCTCCATTCTTAGAGGAGAATGCACCACATGTTTTTTTTTTCCCCCAGCTAGAAAAACTAAATGAGCAGCTCATAATAAGCTACATAAAACCTTTATTTCCAATGTTATCTTTATTCCAATCCAAACAACCTATTGTTAAGCTTTACTGTCATCACAGCTTAAAATATTTTCACTTTAGTGAAGAAAATTATTTCTGACTTGAAAAAAAAAATCTTGTTTATAACATTAAAAAACTAAATCCTGGTGTCAGAACAGATCTCACTGGAAAAAAGTTGTAATTACATTCCTGGTAAGAAATAAAAATGTGTTGGATAAACTCACTTAAAATGCTTACTAAGCAAGTACCTCCACCAAAGCAAAGAACAACTACTCCTCACAAAAATGAAGGAAAAGAAGAGAAATTTCATATTACCAAATTTTATTTCTCCAGCATCTTCCCTGAAATAAAAAGAATGGATACATATTCCTCTTAAAAATTTTCAATTGAGGCAGAAGAAAAAAAATTATTTGCAGGAAACCTAGAAAAGCTATTATGAAATTATCTCACAGCCTTCCTCAAACAAACAAAACGTCTTGGCTAGAGTAGATGGTTGGAGAAAAAGGAAAAAAAAAATGCTCTTAAGCCAAGAACTAGCCTACATTTTCCTTCATCCTTACTCTTTTATCCCCATATAATAATACACACCCAAAGCCCCTGCTCCCCCTCAATCTACACACATGCACACATCTTCCTCTCTCACTGTCTCACTTTCAGAATTAGATTTTTTACACTAGAAAAAAATATGAATATAATATTCACATATACTGGGCCGAATATTAAAGTTGATATCTATTTGGTTTTACTTAAAAACAAGATAATAGGTAACATGTTAAGGGGAGACTCTAAGAGTATGCCTTAATCTGAAAAACACAAGGGAATCTAATATATATTTTTTTATATATTTTTTTTATTTCTTTTTGAGACGGAGTCTTGCTCTGTCACCCAGGCTAGAGTGCAATGATGTGGTCTCAGCTCACTGCAACCTCCGCCTCCTGGGTTCAAGTCACTCTCCTGCCTCAGCCTCCCGAGTAGCTGGGACTCCAGTCATGCGCCACCACACCTGGCTAATTTTTGTATTTTTAGTAGAGATAGGGTTTCACTATGTTGGCCAGGCTGATCTTGAACTCCTGACCTCGTGATTCGCCCAACTCAGCCTCCTGAAGTGCTGGGATTACCAGCATGAGCCACCATGCCTGGTCTACCCCATATACATTAACTAGCCACTCACTGAAAAGTCTTTTTCATAGTGAGAAAGATAACAGTAAGATAGTAAGAAGTTCTTATTAGCCAATTATCTGGCATCCACATCCTTCCATCCTCACCCCCAACCAAAATCTGTACCAGGAAAGCTCAAGAACCAGTAACATTCCACAGAAGCATTAAAAATAGAGGAGTAGAATCAAATCTTGTCCAGTGTTCTATCGCAAAAAGAAAATATATGAAGAGAAAAACTTACTTGCAGTATCCTGTGCCACTGTGGTAGGTAACACACATTCCTTTATTTACACAGGGTTCATAGCCATCTCGACACTGCAATGCTAAAAATAAAAACAAATGCACATTAGAAGTAAGTCACTAATCATAACCCTCAGACACCAAAGAAGTGTAATCCAATCCAGATCAGCATTCATTCCCACCTAATCTGGGTTTCTTTTTAGAGTTTTAATCAGTTTTTTATGTTCTGGCTTCTAGCACAGAAGCCCATCCCAAAACTATCTTCCAACAATAACCACATTTGTGGTCTTGAATGATGCTCTTATTTCTCTGTGTTTTAGTATCTCCAGCTGTTACATCTCCATCTCCCAATTAAAAATTAAAGCCATACCATCTATGGCATGACACATCATCTTGGGATTTAGATACTTCAGATGAGTATTATAAGGATTCATCAATGAGTGTTTAGGAAAATGCTAGATAAATAATAGATCACCATTATACTGATGAATTACTTAGCCTTCAGGTGAAGTTTTAAAACAGACCGCTTCAAGAAGTAATCAGAAACAGCAATAACAGTAATTCAACAAACTAAAATTGAGAGCCTAGTATGCACCAGGCACAAAATTAGGATCCAGAAAAAAGGAGAAATGGAATACATAAATAACCGAATAAACATAATCTCTAGCTTTAAGGGGCCCATAAAAAGATGGGGAGTAGATCATGAATAGAGACTGCAGAGAGAGTATCAAAAGAAATAAAAGGAGAAGGCAATTTTATACATACAGATAAAACAAAAATTCTCAAACTGTTGATTCCCCCATTCCCTTTAAGAGACAATAAAAAGGCACTTTACCATCTGAGGCCCTCCCAAAAACAGACTTTTCAGAGAAAAGAACAAAAACAACAGCAATAGTAGACATTTTCATTGATTTCAGCCAAGAATGGAAGAAGTCTACTCGAAATCTGCCAATCACTTGCTGGATAATTACAATATCTTGATTGTTTAGCTTTTAGAGTTGAAATTTTCATCACCAAAATACATATCAAGAACCCTAACAACTGGAAAGGTAAGACAGAAAGAAACCTAGTCAAACAATAAATATCAAATTGAAGCTCATGAACTCTTTCTTGGAAGTTATTAAGATGTCCATCTCTTATGATAGTTAATGTATAAATACCTGAAAGCAAAACTGAGAAGTTCCCCCCTCCAAGTTTCCTCTAACCACACCACTCTATGCATAAATTGTGCAAGATCAGAGAGACGCTAGGCCTGGCCATCCCTGGCCACGAAACCAGTAGCCCAGGTGCAAGCTGGATGTCAGAACAACTCCTCCAACAACAATTACTGCATAAAAGCCCAGTATTGTATCCAGTAGTAGAATCATTTGAGAACATGTTTACAGAAAATGCATCCCATCCTTGAAATAATATTTTTAAATGGTAATAGTAATAATAATAATAGGCTAACACATAGAACTTACTAAATACCAGGCACTATCCTAAGTACTTTACATAAATTAGCTAACTAATTCAATCTTCACAACAACCCTTAGAAGTAAATTTCATTATACCCACTCTCAGGTGAGAAAACAGGGAGGATAAGTGGCCTGCCTACTGCCATGCCAGTGAGTTAGAAAGCCAGAATTTGAATCCAGAGACTCTGCCCTTAACCACCAAGATACACTGCTTCCCATTACCTGAAATTTCTCAGGATTGGCAGCGTGGATATTATTATACCCATTTACCAATAGTAGAGGCCAGAGAGAATAAGTGGCCTCTTTATGGGGCATTGCGCCACTAGCTGGTGGCAGTGCTGGGCCTAGGACCCAGGTCTCAGTAAAAGTCCAACCCATCTCTATGACAGCTGTTGGGATCACACAAAGAGTCACCAGGCTGCAGGCCCAAACAGGCAAATTCAGGAAGAGGGTCATCTTGTTGTCCATATCCCACTTCCCTGTAAGGCTCAAATGCTCCCTCTTCCCACACTGATAAGCCCAATGCAACAACTATAATTAAAACAGTTAATGTCAGGTTATTTCCTCCATACCAAAGTTCTCAAACTGATTTTTTCATTCTCTTTAGACACTTTTATTAGTTTCAGTGAGAACTTCCGGGGTTTTTTCTATTTACTTTTTTTCTTTAAATAAAATAATAAATAAATAAAACCCTCACAGTAGGAAAGGAATGTCCTGTAGGCACAGAAAAAGCTGTAGCTCTGTCCCCCTGCAGGAATCCTGGTGCAGTGGAGGGACTCAGGAGACCTGAAATCCTGTCTGTACCCCTAACTGCAAGCAAAGCACAACTTCATGGGGGCTCAATTTCCCTACCTGTACCAAGCTGAGAGCGAACTAAATGTCCCTAAAGGTTCCCTGTGATCCACCAGCAACAGCTCCCTCCTTATAAGTACATGAATGGCATGCCCAGTGCCTGAAGAAACCTGGAGTACATAATGACCCAGCCACCCATGACTCAGAATGCCATGGGTGCAAAAATCACGGCCTGTTCCTATTAAGTGTCCTGACAAATCATTACAGTGACAGGTTCAGAGAAATACAAGCAACCCAAAGTCAATATGTAGCAATCAATCTAGCAAATAACTTTACAGCCTAGCCCTAGTGAACCAATCAAACTCAGTGACTGAAAAGAAGGTGGGCTTACCAGGCTAATAATTAATGCCACTTGGCTGATGTGTGGGATCATGCTACCTTGAACCTTTAGCATTTACTGAGCCATGGTTCTCAAACTTTAGTAAGCATTGGAATCACTTGGAGGGCTTTTTAAAAAAGAGTGTTAGACTCGACCCCCACAATTTCTGACTAAGTCCGCAGGGAGCCTGGGAATCTGCATTCCTAACAAATTCCCAGGTGATGTTGATACCACAGGTCTGAGGAACCACACACTGACTATGACTATATGAACGCTTGAGTGTCCACTTTTAAAAATACTCAAAAGCTATATAATATAGAGGTCTTAGATGATTTAGATGATAACATATTGTCTGAATAAACAGGATGTGGAGAAATGGAACCCTTCTACTCTGTTAATGGGAATGTAAATTAGTACAACCATTGTGAAAAACAGTGCAGACGTTCCTCAAAAAACTGAAAATAGAATCACCACATGATCTGGTAATCCCACTGCTGCGTATTTACCCCAAATATTTTAAATCAGTTTATTGAAAAGATGTCTGTACACCCATACCAAGTTATGGAAGTGTCCATCAACAGATGAATGGATAAATAAAAGGTGGTAGATAGGCTGGGCACAGTGGCTCACGCCTATAATCCCAGCACTTTGGGCGGCTGAGGCGGGTGGATCACGAGGTCAGGAGTTCAAGACCAGCCTGGCCAAGATGATGAAACCCCATCTCTACTAAAAGTACAAAAATTACAGCACGCCAGTAATCGCAGCTACTCAGGAGGCTGAGGCAGGAGAATCACTTGAACCTGGGGGGCGGAGGTTGCAGTGAGCCGAGATTGCTCCACTGTACTCCAGCCTGAGTGACAGAGAGAGACTCCATCTCAAAAAAAAAAAAAAAAAAAAAAAAAGCTGTGGTAGATATATACAATGGAATACTATTCAACCTTTAGATATAAATTCTGTCATTTGAGACAACATGGATAGAATTGGAGAACATTATGCTAAGTGAAATAAGGCACAGGAAGACAAATACAGCATGTTCTCACTTATACGTAGAATTGAAAACCATCAAAATCATAGAAGCAGAGAGGAAAATGGTGGTTACGGAAGCTGTGGGCCTGATGATCAATGGGTACAAAAAGCTACAGTTACACAAGAAGAATTTTTTTGTATATGTTTGAGATATATTGCATAGAGTGGTGAATATAGTTAATAATAGGGTATTGTACATTTCAAAATTGCTAAGAGAGTAAATTTCAAAAAATGTTAAATATTTGAGATGAAGGATACACTACCTTTTAATTGTTCTACATTGTATTAGCAAATTATAACATCACTTTGTACCCTATAAATGTATACAACTATAAATTGACAATTCTAATTTTTAAAAAAAGAAAAATAATCTTGAGACTTGTGGCTTTACTCAGGAGCAAAAATGAATACTATAATTATCTTCCACACAAAGAGAAATTAAAACTTTGATAACCTGAAGCCATGAAAGTGAGACCGGGACAGACCTCATTTCAAAATTCAATTTACTTTTTTCCAATGTAAAACACTTAAATTTAACAATAAAATTGAAGGCAGCTTCATGCTTATAAAGTAAAAAAAGAAACATTAATCATACCATAGAGAATTGATGTTTAAACTGATGCTTTAATAGACTCCAAGAAACTAGTCACTCACAAAGAGTCACATTTAACCCCAATTTTCATGTCAATAAATACTTGCTGGCTGAAATAAATCTTATTTACTGTGTGTGTCTCTGCTGTTTGTGCAGGCCCTCCTCTACTCCACCAAAAAAAAAAAAAAAAAAAAAAAGCAAAAAGAAGTAGTAGATTTCAATCTCATCACTCCATCATTTGGCAATATAATACAAAAATCTAGAAGCCAATTTCCAATTTTCATACACTTTCAGTGCAGTGCATTTGGGAACTAGCTATCTAATATTCAGAACATATTTAGAAAGCATCTACTATCGGCAGGCACAAGCCCTGATGTCAGGGATACCGTAGTATACAGAATAAACTCCCTGTCCTCAGGAACCTTATTTCTATAAGAGAAAGGTGGCTAAAAAATTAATAAAATAATTTAGGACAGTAATAAGCGATAAGTTCCATTGGAAACAAAACCCAGTAATGTATAAAAAGCAATCATGAAGGCTGGGGGTGCAGGAGTGTACCTCAGATAGTGTCTAGGAAAGGCCTCCCTGAGGAGGTATGCTTTGAGCTACAATGTAAATGAACAAGTGTCATGAAGATATGAGGGAAGAGCACCCCAGGCAGAGGAAACAACAAGTGTAAAAGCCTTGAAGTGGGAATTAGACTGGTATTCCAGGTTCATATGGCTAGAGGTTACTAAGCAAGGACAGAGGCCAGGGAGGCAGGCTGGGGTTAGATCACAAGAGCCCATGATAAGAATCACAGCTCTAAGTAGGAGAGTAAACTACTCAGCTGTTTTAAATAAGAAAAATGACACAGATTTATGTTTGAGAAAAGTCAAGATTATGAAATGGTCCAGTGAGTAAAAAGGTTTTTCTTTTCTTTCTTATATAAGCTTATTCAAGTCATCCCTTTTTAGACTAGACTGAAGACATCCATTTTCCCAGCTCCCCAAAATGGCAATGATTTTATTCTAACCGCATCTAACCTTCCAGAAGCACTACTTGTAACATGTTGCCCCACTACTTTCTAACCTACAAGGGCTGTCAGTTCTTACTTAGTTCTCAGAACTTAGCCTCAGTTTGGCTCTCTTAAGAACCAGTTGGGAGGTCTGTGCAGTACCTTCACACAGTACCAAGTTTGACACTTTTTCTTCCAAGGACAAGCCATTTCTTACTTTAACCAGTCTAGGCTCCCATGCTGGCCTTCCAGATCAGAGCTTACCTTACCTGCCCAGTATTACTCCCCACCACTTCCACTGCATTCTCTGCCCAGTTTATGCCCTCTTTCCTGAACAGATCGTCATTGAACTCAGTTCCATTCCTCCATGCATGTCTGTGCTTCCACTGATTTCTGCCTTCCTCATTACTATCTAAATTCTACCCATTCCTTCAAGGCCCAGTTCACCTCTTGCCTCACCCAGAAAGCTTCCCCTGGAGGGTTCTGGTCCTCACAGGGCCACCACCCCCTATCCTTGTAACACTCATGACTCTCAATTCAGCACTACATGGTCTTCTAGCTCTCTGCTTTTTCACTTTTAAGTTCCTGGGATATGGAAAACATTTCGTCTTTTCTGAGTATTTGAAGCAATGCAGTTAAGCAGTTGAAAGCACGGATGCAGAAATCAGACAAATCTGGGTTTGAATACTAGCTCCACCATTGACTATCTCTGTATCTTCTTTGTGCTTGATATAGTTTGGCTATTTTGTCCCTTCCAAATCTCACGTTGAAACGTAATCCCCAATGTTGAAGGTGGGGCCTACTGGGAGGTGTTCAGGTTATGGGGGCAGATCTCTCATGAATAGCTTGGTGCCCACCCACAGTAATGAGTGAATTCTCGCTACCATGTGAGCTGGTTGTTTGAAAGAGACTGACATCTCTCTTGCTCCCTCCTCTCTTGCCATGTTACATACCTGCTCCCTCTTCACCTTCAGCCATGAAAGTTTTTTGGGCCCTCACCAGAAGCAGATGTTGGCTCTAAACTTCTTGTACAATCTGCAAAGCTATTAGCCAAATAAACCTTTTTTCTTTATAAATTATTCAGCCTCAGGTATTCCTTTAGAGCAATGCAAAACAGACTAACATACTTCTTTTAAAAAACTATAGCACTGAAGGCATAAGGAGAAGTGATCCACTAAAGGTAAAATAAACAATATATGTGAGCAAAAACTCAATTTTAATACAGTTCCACTAATATTTGTCGAGAAACTACTGTCAGCATTGTCCCCTACTAGGCACTGCATGAAAATTAAGCACAAATAAAACAAACAATCTCTGTCCTCATGGTCCTTACAATCTAATGAGAAGTTGGGAGTAGGGGCAGAGAGAATGTGACCTACCCAAATGACTCTAAGATAAATACAAACAAAATAAAAATTGCCAATATATACCCTTGGCATACCCTCTTAATACCAATCTTGGAATCACTCCAAAAAGAACTTTTAAGAAATACAATATGAACCCTTGATGTTTAGCACTAACTGTAACTCAATCCAGACAAGGCTCTTTTATTTATTCAGGTTTATCAGCCCCAATTGTACATAAAAACTGCAAACAACAGAATAAGCTGCCATTGATTTTAACCAGTTCCAGCGCCTCAGAAATTTATTCATTTAAGGATAAGGCTAAGGTATCCAGACTTGATGGAATCTTCCTTAAAATTTCCTCTAGGCATTTACCTAAGTTTTCCAATGCTTTTCAGTATCATACCAGCTACATATCACTGGCTTAAAAGCCTCCCTTTGTTTTAGGAATCTCTAACATGAGTAATTAAGTCTGTACTTCAGCCAGTGTAATCTGAGAAGCCTTCAATGTGTTTTACTTGTTGCATTAACATGTAATCGTTTTAAACTGGCATTACTTGTTGCTTTGTAGCTTCTTCAAATAAGCCTCTGTCGTCTATCTCACATGATTTTTTTCATATCCTTCTCCCTATCTGCAGTGTGGTATCTGTGCTTAGACCCACTGCTCAATCGGAAGGTATTTTAACGTCTTGACTGTCTGAGGCTCCTAAAATACATGAAGAGGAGTTATACAGGCTCTTTTAACTTTTTCTTCAACGTTTATGCAAATTTCAAGTAGCAATATTTGAGAGATGAAGTCTGAGTTTACGCCCTAGGATCTTGGCTGTGGTTGGCTGCTGTTGATTCTGGCACATGGCCTCTGGAAGAGGCTCAGTAAAATGAACAAAGCAAAGTTTTCTAAAATGACTGCCTGCATTATTACCAAAAATAGGAGAATTGAGGGCAGACAAGGAGACATCAGGGATTTGCAATAATTCTCATAGCGCCCTGCAATTTCAAACAAAACTTTCTCTAAATTTTGTGTTCCATTTTTTGGGATCAAGCCATGAAAAAAAAATCCAAACAAACAGAAGAAGTGCGGAAGCTTCAAATCCCAAGTGGTACATTTAAATAAAAACGAAGTGGAGAAACATCTGTCTTCCTCCTTGAAATTTGTCTTGATTGAAAGGAAAAAAAAAAAAAAAAAAAAAAGCAATAAGAGATAAATCGATTTTGTTTTCCTAATAGTGTTCCAAGGATTTATGTGCTCTTTACAGATATTATCATATAGAAAGTGTGTTTTCTACCTAAGAGATGCTAGTATCAGATCCAGATATTAAGAACTGGGCTATAGGGTCATAGCAAATTATTACTGCTTTTCAAAAACTGAAAATATACCTTAAGAAAATATAATCAACGATAACAACTTATAAATGAATATTTTTTGTATTACTAATAGACTTTTCATACTATAAAAAAATCATTCCAGTTAGCTGATAAATCTAGAATAATTTTTGGTTTTAAAAATTCCAATTTTGTTCTATTTTATAATATTGAACTTATTGCAAAAAAAAATCATCAGTGTTTGCTGTGCTATATTGAAATCTACTATATACTGTGTAGTTTTTCCTTTTATTTTTCTCTTATTAAAGACTTCAGAAAAAAATTCAATTTATGCATGGGTTAAATTTCAATACCTGGATCTTGGAGATGAGACTAATGCATTCAGCTCTTCTACATGAAATATAAGGTTTGAAAAATCCACAAATACTTACAAATTAGGATGTAGCCAATTTGCTAATAATGATCACCTCTATACCCATGTACATTCTTTTACCTGAAAAATATTTTACCTCCTTTTCCTTTTTCTCTATCTTGCTAAATTCCTACTATATTTCAAATCACAGATAAAGCATTATTTTCCTGAAGAAGCTCTCAGAGACCCACTGATACAGATGTTCCTCTTCTGTGCTCCCATTTTATCCTAAGTAGATGTATTATAAGTGCTGGCTCACTCATCTCTCTCTCTCCCACTTCTAGGCAAATTCCATAGAGGCAGTAACCACAATTGGCTCCTCTTTGTACACCTGGGACCTAAGAAGATGCCTGGACCACAGCAGGTACTCAATACTCAATAAGATATTCAATAAACTAAATATCTATAATTAAGACAAAACCTATGAATAAACCCAACCTTCAGCTTGCATGTTTATGTGTGGAATTTCACTTTGTGTAACAAATTAGAAAAGTAAAATAAGAAAGAACAAAATGCTGCAAATTTCCAGGCCTTTAACAAGGATGAAAAGTTGAGAAAGTAGAATTGTACTTTTCTAATCTTTGCAAAACTGAAACAGTTTTGAAAGTTCCTTTCTTACCATTTGTTTGAAGGAAGATACACTCTCCACTCTTAGCCTCCTATAAATCTTAAGCCATGTGTATTATGGTAAAAACTAGCTGAAATAGGTTGAATGGAAGCCAAAATAATTTACATCTAAATGAAAAACATAGAAAACAGAGTAATAAAAAAATTCCAACTGAATGGGAAAATTCATTGTATAGTATTATCTTCCCCATGAGTAGGTTCACTAATACACATCGGCAGAACAATAAGCACCAACGAGATCCAAATGACACTGACCAACATGATCACAGTTTACATGTCCAAAAGGTTCAGGATCTCAGTGTAATAAAATCCAACAGAGAGGAAGAAGCTGTATCATATCTAGAAATTTAATTATTCTCTACAAAAAGTGCTATATATTTGTGTGCTGCTTAGTGGTCAAAGAAAGTGAATATGAAGTGTTATTCCATGTCTTGTCTTACATCTTGTATTATCTGTTCTGTTCCACTATCTGTATTTGTACGATTATCAAGACAAATTTTGCCTGTCACCAATTTCCTGTGCTTTTAGTAAACTCCCTTTTTAAAGCTTTTTTTTTTTTTGAGATGGAGTCTCGCTCTGTCGCCCAGGCTGGAGTGCAGTGGCGCAATCTCAGCTCACTGCAAGCTCCTCCTCCTGGGTTCACGCCATTCTCCTGCCTCAGCCTCCCGAGTAGCTGGGACTATAGGTGCCCGCCACCACATCCGGCTAATTTTTTTTGTATTTTTAGTAGAGACAGGGTTTCACCGTGTTAGCCAGGATGGTCTGGATCTCCTGACCTCATGATGCTGGGATTACAGGCGTGAGCCACCGCGCCCGGCCTTAAAGCTTTCTAAAGATTATTTTGTTAAGTACAGCTTAGTTTTTTTAAGTCCTTAATTTTAAGTACATGCTTTTAAGTACACTTGCTGGAAAAAAATTTATAAATATATATAATCTTCTTGCTATACACCCAAAAGAAACAACATATTCTTTTAGCTTAAATTGCTCAGGACACTTTTTAAATGGAGTACACAATTTCTCATGTTTGTTAATTTAGAGGTAGACACCCAAACAGAATGAATAACAAAATTATGTTAAAAATGAAAATGGAAAAACCTAAGATTGCTACATATTATTATATAAAATCATGGATACTTCCTAAAACAAAACAGGGAAAATCCAAAGAACAACCTCAGATTTCCCTACATGCATCCTTCCTCATAGCCTTTTTAAAACATCCTTGGGTGGTAGCAATGAAGGCTACTCACAAGGATGGGGACAGAGGTCATCAGGGATACCATAATCAATGTACTGTGCAAAAATAGTGCAGAGGAGATTGGTTAGTCCTACATAAAGTCCAACTACATGTATGGCTAACTATTCTCAAGTCAGGGTTCGCAGAAGCTAAGGTCCTAACATTTGGATTATTTTTATATTATTATCTGGATCAAATAATATGCCTTCAGCCAAAATCAAACTCTGTTCACCTGTGAATAGTATTCCTGTACCCAAATTCCAGTACACATCACTGAGAATTGTCTAAACCCAAGTGCCTCAAAAGGTCCTAAACCCTTGACTCATAGCCAGGATATTTCTTTTATTTTATTATTATACTTTAAGTTTTAGGGTACATGTGCACAACGTGCAGGTTTGTTACATATGTATACATGTGCCATGTTGGTGTGCTGCACCCATTAACTCGTCATTTAACATTAGGTTCTAATAAGCTCAGAAACTAGCACTGTGAGGGAAATATCTAAATATGGAGATTATAAATGCCTATCATTGCCATTTCCAGAGAACACACCTGAGGCCAAAAACCTTGGAACAGAGGAAAGCAGATAATAGAAAAATATCAAATCTTTATTAAATACCAAAGGGAGAAGAAAACATAAAATATAGCCCTAAACGGACAGGCGCGGTGGCTCATGTCTTTAATCCCAGCACTTTGGGAGGCCGAGGTGGGCGGATCACGAGGTCAGGAGATCGAGACCATCCTGGCTAACACGGTGAAACCACATCTCTACTAAAAGTACAAAAAAAAAATTAGCTGGGCATGGTGGCGGGTGCCTGTAGTCCCAGCTACTAGGGAGTCTGAGGCAGGAGAATGGCATGAACCCGGGAGGCGGAGCTTGCAATGAGCCAAGATTGTGCCACTGCACTCCAGCCTGGGCGACAGAGCAAGACTCTGCCTGAAAAAAAAAAAAAGAAAAAAAAAAAAAAAAAAAATATATATATATATATATATATATATATATATATATTCCTGAACTTCAATTTTTATTTATTTTATTCTCCCTTGCTTTGTTTCTTCAGACATACAACTATGTCCCACATCAACACAACTTGGGTCTCCTGGTCAACAGAAAAAAATAATAATGTGTACTTAATGATATTTGATGAGGAGCTGATAATCTCAATGTCCAAATCAGTTCCTCTTAAAAACGCCAGTCCTCCAACTCCATCAGCCTTTTGATTACTCATATTCTTTCTTTATTGTAAATGCAAGCAAGAATTTATCTTCAAGACTACTCAGATTTCTGCAGAGTTGTAGCAGTCATTTTAATAAAAAAGCAGCTCAACACACTAACAGTCACAATTTGGTTTGCAAGTGCTCACAATCATTCTATTTGCTCATCCAGTTGTTGCTGGAATGACAAAGACAGCAAAGACAGAAAATTTTGTATATATTAAGTGACCATATTGGAACTTAAAACTTTCCATGTTTGTGTCTTTAAGCACAGAAGAGAACTCTAGGTTTCTCCATTTGCAGCAACACCTAATTTGGCAAACTCAAAAAGTTACATTGTCTTTGATAAAGGCTTTCTTTGTTCTAGAGAGGTCAAAAGATTTCTCTCCAGCTTCAGCCTGAAGATCTCGGATCAAAAGAAACAATATAAATTCCAATATATTAAATTTTAAAATGGGGGGTAAGCCCTAGAAGGGGTATTGGCTTTCTTGAGCCCAGTGCTTCCCTGATTCTCACAAATGAGTAATAAACTGCTAAAGAAAGAGAGAGAGAGAAAAGAAAGAAAAGAAAAGAAAAAAAAGAAAGAAAAAAAGAAAAGAGAGAGAGGAAGGGAAAGGGAAAGAGAGAGGAAGGAAGCAAAAGAAAGAAAGGAGAGAGAGAAAGGAAAGGAAAGGAAAGGAAAGAAAAGGGAAGAGAGAAAGAGCAAGCGAGCGAGCGAACGAGCAGATGCCCTGGCCTACCTTCCATTTCATCTGCTTTGTTGCCACTCCTGTCTGGAAGCCTAAGGGAATTCCACCAGAAGACAGATTCTGGAGCTAGGCAACACCTAAGTGAGGTCTGCTCCACCTAGCTTCAGCCCAGCTATAATACCATGGTAAGTGCTTGAAAAATGTCAGCCAAGCTAAACTGTTAATGAGCAGGCCCAGTAGTTTTCTATCTTCCTCCGAGAGAGGATAACCAAGTCTTTAATTTCCCATAAGACAAAAAGAAAATCTGCAAAATTACAGTTTATTCTAGTCTTTAATGGTAACAATGACCTGGCACAGGAGATATTTCCATCTCTTTTGTTTATCACTCTTAAAATTCTCTCTTCAATAAAACTCCATTCTACTTTAGGGACATGGGAGTGACACTCATGTTGAACAAGAGGGACTTACAAAGGGAGTTTTACCAGTTTCACCACTTCGGGCCCAGTGGGAATGTCCTTCCCATCATCACCTCATCACATTAACAAGATGAAGTCCTTTGGAAAACCAGTATAAAAGCAAGGAACCCTCAGTTCAAGCAAAGGGACAAAGGATTTAGTAAATGTGGTTATTAGTGTAGTGCTGGTGATTAAATAATATTTCTCCTCCTCCCCACTAAAGCACACATTACCTCACTGAAAATATTAAAACCAATGCATTGTAATCACTTTGGCTATGAGCCTAAATATATGTTACCACATAAAGTTTCAAATACAAAGTTTTATATTAAAAAACACTAAATAAATCTAGTATCCTCCCCTCCCCCAATCCAATGTAATCTGGCTTTAAAATTGTTAAGAAGAACAAGTTTATAAATTTGAGCACAGTGAGTTTTTATGTGTGCCCACCCACCTCCACGGAAAATACCCCAAAAGCAGCAACCTTCAGAAAATACAAGACTTTACTCTCAAGGAGTAACTCTAATGTGAGTTCCAGAAGATAGCCAGCCATATCCTAAATCAGTTGGCTGGTCAGTTTCTTCAAGTAAAATGAGAGTAACAGGCACCTATGCTACCTGAAGATGAAGCTAATAGGGCATCATGAAGAAAAGCAAGGCATCTGATAGTACTCCACAGAATATATTTAGGATTAACATCTCAGCTTCTAATAGGCAGGGATTTTCAGCTGATTTCCATCTACATTCCTCCACCCAAGCCTACAAAGCATTCTATGGCTTGTGTGAACACCTCAGCCAAACAAATCAGAAAGTCAGCTCACAACCCTCTATTTCTCACTCCTGAGAAGGCTGCTCATAAACAGTGATCTCGTTTGATCCCCACAACAACACTATGAGGCATGTAAATTGGTATTAGCACCATTTTACACAAGAAACTGCAACTCAAAGAAATAAGGGCCTTGCCCAAAGTCACACAAATCAAGATGTCTGAACCAGGACCAGAGCGCAAGTCTTTTACCTACTGACCCAACATTCCTTTCACTCACTACATCTGTAAATACGCAGTTAGAAAAACCTGATATCCACCATAATCTGCAAACTTCCATAATATACATTTGTGACTACAACATTCTCAGGTAGGTAACCACCCACATACCAGCTATGCACATCAAAAACATTTACACGAAAGATCAGCTAATGACCTGCTTATTAAAACAAAACCAGGACTTGCTTATCAAAAACAAAACCAGGGACAAGAGGGGCTGCCAATGCTGTATCTCAGAACTACCACTCATACACATGCCCTAATGACTAACACCCATTGACTAGCATCACCCCTACCTACACAACAAAAGAACCCCACTTTTGAAAACTTGCCAACTCTAGGATTCAACATACTACACTATGCATTATTTCTCCAGGAAAAAAAAAAAAAAACTACCCTATGACTGAAATTGTTTAGAATTTTTTCTTTGTAAAATTGACACTGACAAGATACCATCTCTTCTCAATAATAGAGTAGCAACACAGGAGCAAAAGGAAATTATGGAGTTAGAGATGGAACCAGATCATAAGTATGATATACCCTATCTTGACAAGATTTTACTCTTAAAAATGACGGCCCTATTAAAAGTAGGTAACCCATCATCATTTTATCCAAGTACCCATAATTCAATTGATTAGAAATAAATCCCTCCAAGAACACATCTGCAGTTAAGTTAGTGAAAACTGAACTACTGAACAGAGAAGCATGGCCTGCTGCTCAGAGAAGACGGGTCATAACTAATGTGGTAAACCAAAAATGCCATAAGAGATAAAGTATTTTCTTCATCTGGTCTGCTTCTCTCCAACTAAAGAAATCAACTCAGAGGGGGAAAAAAGACAAAAACTCACCTTCCCAAACCAACAAATAAACGATCCAGACACATACCCTTCATGATGTTGAATCCCAATTTAGGAAACCTCAGACAGCTCAGAGCACTGTCTTATCCACAAGGCTGAGAATACAAGACTTTTGTCCTCCAAAATTAAAAGTATAAATTTTATCACTAAGTTTGGTATACTGTCCCACAAAATGCCACCTTATTCCATGTCCATACCACTAAAGAACTATAGAAAATAATGACATATTAAAAAAGATCACTCCTCTGTTTTCCTTATGGCATTTTTATTATCTGACACATATAGCAAATGTGGATCTTGAAATGGGAGATAAATTAAAATAAAGTTTTAAACTATAATAAGTCTATAATAAATAATATACTCTATAAATAAATTATCAAAATTCAGGGTATTTGGTGATAGAAATCTAAGGAGGAAATGAATTTTTGAAATGTCTCAGGCCAAAAGAAAACTAAAAGGCTATAATCAAGAAAGAAAGGAGATGGGCAACTTCTTTTTAGAGCCCCACTTCCGAAAGAACAGCTGTCTTTGCTCAGCTGTAGGAAAACCACAGGACTTGGAATAACTCACTTCATGTACTGTCCTTCTTATGTTAAAATGACACTGTTGACTCACCCTCAGTAGGATATGTGCTTGGTTAAACTTGTTTTTCCAGTAACAGTAATGAACTGAGTTACTCTACTATTGAAATGATTTGCACCGCCACAACTGAAAAAAATATTTGGAAACACCTACATATCTAGTATGCATGTCCTTGAGTAGTAGGTCTGGTTTGACTATGCAGCCAGAGCTTTATCCTTCTTCAGAGTCTCTCCACAAATGATGATCAGTGTAACAAAAGAATCTTTCACTGCATTTGCTCAGTGAATCATTGTCTTAGCTAATAGCTAATCCCCACAGTCCTGGGCTTCCAAAGTCTGAAATGAAATAAACTGTCTAATTTATTTTTCTTACTTTTAGTTACATGTACTGCTCAAATTTGGGTGATACTGCAGAAGGCCCACACCAAATCCACAACCCTTGCATGCAGCAGTAGCATTCAACAAGGTCCTGTAGGACACTCTGGTAGATTCCCCCTTCTACTGCTCTGTCATTTCTAGCTTACTTGCTAGTTAAGGTGGAAAGACTTTAAAAAAAAAAAAAAAAAAAAAAAAAGGAGCCTTTACCAAGCCCTAACTCTAGCTTATGAACCAAACTAATCATCATATGGGTGGGAAGGCTTAATAACTTCAAACAAGGATTTTTACTTATACCAACCCAGACAATGAAAGGGAGGGTTGTTAGTTCTCCTTAGATAAAAAACAGTATTCCCTCTTAAGGAGAGATACAACCTAATTCACATATATCTTCTATCTTTATCTTTTCTACCTCAAGGATACAGTTTTTTAATTGAAAATTTTAACTCAAAAATTATTTTGCAAAGGGATATTTGAAACGTGGGGAGTAAAAGATAAGCTACAAACAAAAGAACAAATATCTTAGACATTAAACTCTTCAATTTACATTCTGGACCAGTGGTCTGCAAAATTAGGTGTGCGTATCCCAGAAGCAGGGGAGGTGTAAGACCATCCACTGGGGCACTGGAAGAAATTTTAAAACATCTCCATATTTATGGGCTAAAAAACATATAATAAGCTTTACTTAGAGTTAACATATGCATACATGGTTTAATAGCCAGACATTTATATAATGTATAAATATGTATTTACTTGAGGAAGCGTTCATGCTTTAAAAATGTTTTTCTTGGGGTATACATTTTTTAAGGGTTTGAAGGGTCCTGCTTTACCCCCAGATTTCATAAAGTAGGATACATATGCGCTCAAGAGTATACAGTATGCCAGAAAAATGCAAAGAAACTGGATAAACCTGGTATATCTTCCTGGCATCTCTATTTCACTCACTCTAGGGTAAGTGACATTCATTCTTCCCTATAATCAGGTGCTTTGGAAGACACCTCTGGCTAACATGTCATTAGGATAAAAGAGGCCACAAAATGATGGCCTGGATTCTGGGTTCTATGCCTGGCTCTCTATCTTCTAGCCATCTGACCAAGGGCCAATCACTTCACACTTCCAGGCCTTTCCAGCTCCTTCCTACTCAAATTTTGCGATTCACAAGTTAAGTTTTTCATCCCATCTTTAGTTGCTTCATGGCCCTGAACATGTCATTCTTCTAATTAGAATGTAACAGCCACTCCTCTCCACCAATCTCAGCCTCCTTTCCGCTCTCCAATGAGGCCTTGACTTTGCATTCCCTCAGCTTCCCATGATCTGTTTATATGATGTGAAAGGGCACTTTCTGGAAGGCTCTGTAAGTGTTCTCAGGTTATTACCAGTGTCCCCCAGTACTTCTGGACAGACTGTAGAGCTCCTTTGGCTAAAGTGCTAGAGGCAGCATTCTGCATGGGGGACCAACATGTATTATCACCTCACCATGCTGAAAATCTACAGCCTGGCCCCTGATCCAAATCAGCAATATACTAATATTAAGGAAAAAGTAACAGAAACCAAAATCACCCACCTAATGAAGATATATGATCTAACAAAAGAAAATGAGGCTGAGAACATCCACAGGTAAGCCAGGCTATGAGGAACATCGCTCTGAACTCAGCAGGAACAAAATGAGGAACCGGGGAGAGTACAGAGAAGTGTTAACTCACACTGGTAGGATGCCCCTTCTCACTCAAAACAGCTGAGTTCATATCCCAGGCATGGCCGCTGTATCAAAATAATTAGTAATTAAACAAGTTAATATATGCAACATGCTTACAGCTTGGCACTGTTAAGATTATTACCCTCTTTCCTTCAAGCACAGCAGAACACGAGAAATGTCACATCTTTATCTGCAGACTTTGGGGGATCCAAGGCAGAATTTTCACCTACTCAGAGCAGGCTGAGATTCAACTTCCCTTTTCAGGTTTCATCGACATCCCTGAAGGTTCCATAGCATATCTGCCATCATGTGGAAAGATAAAATTCAATTCCCAGGCATTCCCAGGTGCACTTCTAAGGAAGTGGTATGGTGTGAAGAATAAAGCAATGGACCAAGGGCTAAAAAGTCAGACATCTGGCCTGGCACAGTGGCTAACACCTGTAATCCCAGCACTCTGGGAGGCTGAGGCAGGTGGATCATTTGAGGTCAGCAGTTCAAAACCAGCCTGGCCAACATGGTGAAACCACGTCTCTACTAAAAATACAAAAAAATTAGCCGGGTGGTAGTGGCACACCCCAGTAATCCCGGCTACTCGGGAGGCTAAGGCAGGAGAATCGCTTGAGCCTGGGAGGTGGAGGTTGTGGTAAGCCAACATCGCACCACTGCCCTCCAGTCTGGGTGACAGAGTGAGGCCCTGTCTCAAAAAAAAAAAAAAGTCAGTCATCTTGTCTTTGTACTGCCACTGACTATTTTTGTGCTCTTGAAAAATTACTTTACCTTGTTTTTTTTTTTTTTTTTTTTGAGATGCAGTCTCTCTCTATTGCCCAGGTTGGAGTGCAATGGCGTGATCTCAGCTCATGGCAGCCTCCGCCTCCCAGGTTCAAGCGATTCTCCTGCCTCAGCCTCCTGAGTAGCTGGGATTACAGGTGCACGCCACCATGTCCAGCTAATTTTTGCATTTTTTTCCGTAGAGACGGGGTTTTGCCACATTGGCCAGGCTGGTCTTGAACTCCTGATCTCGTGATCCGCCTGCCTTGGCCTCCCAAAGTTCTGGGATTACAGGCATGAGCCACCATGCCCAGCTGAAAAATTACTTACCTTTCTAAGGCCTACAGTTTGTAATCTGTTTTTAAAAAGTGATTAGATGACATATAGTCCCATAGCCAAGAAAATAGTAGCTTACCAACATGTTTTACTGTGACCTACAGTGAGAAATATATCTTGTACCAGACCTCAATATTCACATATATACGTGCATAGCAAAAACAAAAATTTCAAGAAACAATGCTTGTCCATACTATGTGATACTCTCTATTCTACCCTTTTTTCCCCCAAAGTGCTGTTGGAGACCTACCAAATTGGTTTCATGACCCATTCGTGGTCATGATCTGCAGTTTAAAAAACCATGGACTAAAGCGTGCAGTAAAGAATGTGGCTTTGCAATTAGACAGGCCCAATACCACTTTTTTTTGTTTTTTTTTTGTTTTTTTTTTTTTGGAGACAGGATCTTGCTCTGTCACCCAGACAGATGTGCAGTGGCATAATCATGGCTCACTGCAGCCTCAACCTCTGGGGCTCAAGCAATCCTCCTGCCTCAGCCTCCCAAGTAGCTGGGACCACAGGTGTGCACCCCCACTCCTGGCTAATTTTTTTATTTTTCGTAAAGATGGGGTCTTGCTATGTTTCCCAGGTTAGTCTCAAACTCCTGGTGTCAAGCGATCCTCCTGCCTCAGACTCCCAAAGCACTGCGATTACAGGTGTGAGCCACCAAGCCCAGCCCCAGCACCACTTTTAACTAGCTGCATAATCTTGGGTAAACTACTAACCTTTCCAAAGTACATCTTTTAAATTAAGACTAATACACCAGGGTTTTTTCTAAGGATTAGATGAGATAATGTATGTAAAGCACTTAGCCACACTGTGTCTGACATAAAATACACACTCAATAAAAAGTTATAGTGATGACTAATAACATCAATATTATTATTACTAAATTCAAGAATTCCAAAAGAAAGTAAATTAAGTGGAAGAAAGCTAGAAAGAGAAATAGGCTCACCTATAAGCATCAATAAACAGTAGGACTGTTGTCAGGTTAACCCAGGACTATGCTCACTGAAATTCTACAAACAAAGGGGTTTTGCTTACTTTCTTCACAATATCCCCTCGCAACTTAAGCAGTGCCCAGCACACAATAGGTACATATATTTGTTGAATGAATGAAAACATCTGGAGGCTCACCTCTATGCAGTGGAGGTGCTGTGAAGAGATCCCAGCAACGCCTGCACAGCACCCCTGCCCAAAAATCCAAACACCTTGAGATTGTTGTAAGCCAGTGACTCTCAAAGTGTACTTTCCCAAACAGCAGCAGTATTACCTGGACGCTTTTTAGAAATGCAATCTACCAGGTCCCGCTCCAGACCTACCAGATCAGAAACTCTGGGGGTGAGCCCAGCAATCTGTATTCTAACAAGTCCTCCAAAACTTGATGTGCACTCAAGTTTGAAAACCAACATTACAAACTGATGATTTAGGGACCAATAGCAATTCCAGGGAGCTACATGTACAATCAAACGGACTCCTGCAAAGTTTATTGATTCTAGGAATTAGTTACTTACCTAGTTCAACCCAGACTTTTCAGAGTTAGCTGCAACTTCCAAGGAAGTTACCAAGAATTGCTTCTCCTCTCTGCTTCTCCTTAGTGCACCAATAAAGCCTAATTGCTGCAAACTCTCTGAAACAACCACTCTAATATTCAGCACAAAGCCTGATTGCTAAAAAAATGCAAAACCTATTTGTTAAATGTGCTTTTATCTAAGCACATTCCCTGGGCTCACACTATCCATACCAGAACTTCTGGAATGCAGGCTTACGGTGTTTTTTCAAACTCTACATTAGTTCTCAAAAAATGAACAAGGTCCCACAGCCAATCTGCATGCAGCAACTTTGCACCAAAGTTATAACAGTACTGATCTACCAATACCTTGCATTTCACTATTTGCCAAAACAACAAGACCTTATTTAGCATCAATTTTGTGTACATACACTTCAGAAAGAAGATAACCAGATATTAAAGATAACCAGATATTAAAACTCCAAAGTTAAAGTTTGTAATGTGTTGATAAATCAAACAACACATATTTGTATCACTAGATTGAGCCCAGTAATTTCTATAGAACCTTAATTTCCCAAAAGGTACCTTAATCAGACTCTAGTCAAACACAACAAGATTTAGAAAAAACACACTGTTTTTTATCAAAAGGCAGGAAAATATAACTGTCTTCTTTCTACTCTGGTAAAGGATTTCTAAATATACCTTCCAAGGGCAAAAGGGTGCCTTTGAAAAATAAGAAGATTCCTTATTTCTGTCAATAGAATAATGATCCAGTTATATACCAAAGAGCAGATAGAAGACCTGGCTTTGGAGTCATGTGACTCTGCATTAGATCTCATGGGGTCTCTGTCTCAGTCTCTACAAATAAAAACATGGCCTTGTCTCTATAAAAGATACAATGTACATAGAAGTGTTTTGCAAACTATTATATATTATCTTCTCAACATGCAAATTTATCCCTGTGAACTGATTCTTTCCCTCCCACTCACAGTGGCCAAAATAATTTATATTAGAATGTGTCCATAGGTGGCTTAATAGCAGTTGTGACAAAAGTGTAAACTAGAAAAGATACTGAATATTTACACACACATAAAGCAGCATGAAGCCACAGAAGGCTTCAAATGACAAAGAAATGAATTAGAAAAATCACCCACAGTACACTGGCCCTTCCTGGTTTTGGCAAGGATTTCAGCCAGAAAGACATGGTATTTAAGAAGAAAAATTAATAAAAAGAAAACATAAAATGAATTCTTTCAGAACTTCACAAAAGGTTATGTTTAAAAAGAAGTTTGGGAACAAGGGGATGCAGAGGGCTATGTTTTTTTCAGGTCTGACTTATCCTTTGCTATGGGTACACTGTCTTTTCATGTGGCCTCAAAGAAATAGTTGAGCCATTATTGTTGTTGATAATGACGAGCAGATGCTGATGGGATGATTGCACATCAACAGTTCTCAGACTCAGGTCTTGTGTAATTGGGTGTGTCAATCTATGTCACTCCACAGATGGTTATTAAACTAGTTACAACTTCCCTAAATCTTTTCACTAGATCTATGCAGCATTCTGGACAGCTATTCCTTGCCAACTGAGATTAGGCACTATTATAAAAAAAGTTTTGAAAAAACAATTCCAAGGTCTATTCCTCCTCCCAACACACACACACACACACACACACACACACACACACACACACACGCACACACACACAGAGTTAAATCAGAGATACTTAATTCAGATATTCAAATTTTTTAATTTGAAATTTAAAATATTACCAAAGCCATAAATATTCCTTTAATGCAGTGAATGTAAGAAATCTATTAATTTCAACCTGTCTTGAATAAAAATTATAATACATATATAATTTTCTATGAAAAAATTGTATGTATTTTGGATAATCTATGTACCTCAGGAGTAGCCCTTCTATCAAAGCTCTTCTCAGGATGGTGGAGAATGGTGAATCTCAGCTCTCACAACATAAAAGTGCCAAATTCTTCTTAGTGAAAGAGGTGTATAGCCTTGATGTGCTAGATAAAAGTGGCCTTCAGAGAAGAAGCTCTCCACTGACCACGGGGCATGGTCAAATGTCCAGTTGGATTGCTGTGAGAGTCAAAATGATCCACTTGGCATTTTGTTGATATTGAGGTGTCAAACCTTTAACTAGTTGGCCACTCCTTCCAGTAAGCTTCTGTACACTGGACAACTGAAAGAAAGTTTGTTAAGAAGGCTCCCTTAAACAAAAGGTACAACTTATAAAATACACTGTTGTGGAAAGACAAGTATAGCTTCATTATCATATAGATGTAAACAAGGCAGAGACTAGGCTAAAATAAAGTGTAAAATGTGAGTTTGTTAATTTTTCTTTCCCCGTGAACATTTGGCAGAGTTAAAATTTTAGCCATCATACATTTTATTCCCTGAAATGTATCAAGTCACAGTTCCCACAGACTCTAGATACACATTTCCTTGTGGGTGTATGTGTAAAACTACCATAACAAAACATTTTCTATTTCCTCATTTTGATTAAAAGGAAAGAAGAAATGCTAAACTGCACTTACATAAGTGACAGTGCAATAGTGACACACCCATCTGTGTACACAATTTGTATTCTGTTTAAATTTAAAGTTATAATGATAAGGTGAGAAATGCTAAGAGCTAGGAAATAAAAATACACTTAGAAGCAGCCTATGTTGTACGCTCTTGAAAAACCTTAAGGAAGCTTTAAAGAGCAGCAAAATCACTTCAGGCCACTCAGGAAGAACTATGGCTTGAGACATTAAAAATGGCTGAGGAAAAATACTAAGAAATAGACATCAGAAAATTAAAAACGCCTGTAAACGAGGGTGACATTATAGACCCACTAGCAGGACATATGAAAGTTGTGATGAGTTAAGCTGAGTCAGACACATATTCCTGCCTATTTCACATGGATCAACATCCTGTCTAGGAACCAGGGACAACTGATTAACAATGTAAGCACAGAATAGCTTTAAGAAAAGCTAACTGACCCATCTGGGGAAAGAATACTCGAATTCTGCTCCATTTCTGTCATGCTCTGATGCAGCTAACCAAACAGAAATAAAGAGAATCCTTTCACATCATGAGAAATGAAATTCGGATTTAGGGACATTATAAAATTATGCGGTATCATGAAATAAGAACTGCTCTGGAAATCAGAACCTGGGTTCTAGCTCTGGCTTTTCCATATACTAACCATATGGTCTAAAGGAATTCCCTTAAGCTATTTGAGACTGATTATTTTCATCTGTAAAACTAAAATAATGTAACCAGCCCTCCATTCTTACCAGAGTTCATTTGTGGCCCAAATAAATCATGTCTATTAAGGTGATTACAACCTAGAAAGCATTATTTAATGTAAAATATTATTTTATAATAGCACAATTCCCAGTCTAAAAATCTGTGAAACAGAAAATCCTTACCATCTAACCCAGAAATGATAAATGATTACATGATTCAAATTAGATCACAAACACCTATATTATTATTAGATCCATTCCTCCAGCCCAAATGGGGGTGGTAAGTATACGTTGTTAGACCAGTGTAACTAACTTCAACAACTTTTTGTTTTGTTCTGTTTTGCAAATCCACCCAAGAATGCATTAACTTCAACAATTTTTTAAAAACAATTTCCACAATCCTCTCCTTGTGTCTCAACCATGCTCAGGAATTACAAGTACAATAATCTCCTCAACCTCCCCTAGCCTTTCCTAGCTCAGAAATCCGACATAGGCCACTTCGCATGCCTGATCAGATAAGCTTTCCCAATGCTGAAAACCAACTGCTTCTAACATTTTAAACCTGATTTCCATGAAAACTCAGGGGTGAAAGAAACAAATAATCCAACCAAATCAGTTCCTTCTTATTGGAAGAGTTCTTCATCTTTAATCTGAAATCCTAAATAATTTTTTCTATGAATCAATTGCTTCTGAGATGAGAGGTACAAGACACTACAAACTATGACCACGCAAAAGATTTTTAAAAGCTTTTGATTCACAGTGAGTTAACCTACAAACTTGAAGTTACTAGACAATAGTACTTTTAGTCTACTCTTTAGGTGATCCATAATCTTGTGTTGGCCATGAAGCAGAGCCTAAAGGGAGTCATTAAAAGAAACTGAAACAAGGTCTAGAGACAAATGTTCCCAGGCTATATATTCCAAAGGAGGAATTACCATGAAAGTAATGAACTTTAAAGTTCAGGGGCCCCTACACTCGGGTGCCTATTCTGTGCCCAGAACCACGCAAGCACAATTAAATATGTTGCTTTCAATCTTTACAAACAATCCTGCAAGTTAGATATTACTATTATTCCCATTATATAAATACGGGTACTGAGACTTAAAGAAGTTAAGTGGCTTGTCTAATATTCTTAGCTAGTACAAATCAGAGCCCAGTCTCTCTGATTCCAAAACTCACCAGCTATGCTAAAGCAAAAATCAAAATGTAGTAGGGAAGGGTATCTAAAAGTCATTCTGAGAGATAATTAAAAATAAATAATGTTTGCTGTCACTTATCTCTTTTACCTTCTTTAATATCCCTTGGCATCCTCTCCTTCAACATTCAACTATTAACTAACACAACTAAAACCTAAGGAGGAAGTCCAGTATGTTTGAAAGAACCCACATGTCTGAGCATGTAGGTGAAGGACGGTGTTTTAAAATAGCAGGGATAATCTAAGATTAGGTATTGGTGTCAAACACACTTCTCTTATCTATTAGTACAGATGACCACCAGTTTTCAGTAACAAAAGATATGGTAATAAGAAAAAACAAATCCACAGAAAAGGAAAAAAACAAGCTTGTCTTTATGCTTGTTCTGTAATGATATGTGTAGAAATGCTACCCACAGTTAATTCCATAGTTCCTAAGCCAAGACAGGTTAGTACTGGGTAATTTTAATAATTGGCTATGTGCATTGTTCAGATGCTGAGGCATTCCAATCATTTTACATGGTCTCTTACATCACTTTCAGAATGGTACCATAAGAACACAACTGTACAGTCAAGAAAAAGCTATTTGTAACTAAAACGGCTGGCATCAAACATTTCTGAACATAAATCTGGCTCTGAATTGCTAGTTACAATCTCTCTCAATTTTTTATTTAAAAAAATCCACACATTCATTCCTGGTCTTGATCTACTAAAGAATTTCTTTTGGGATCAAAAAGTAACAGGAAAGAATGCTAACCAACTTTCCTTGGATTATAACAAACATAATTCCATTCTTCTTCCCAGTTACAAAAAGATTTAAAAGAACTACAACTCTTCAAAATGGAAGTTTGCAATTTAGATCATTCTCCTATTATGCAAATGTTCATTCAGAATTAAAATATTGTTTTAAAAAGTAAAATGTAAGTCAGTCTAGTGCACAAAATGTTTACATTAAATACAAAATTACACTATCTAAGGGACTACAGGATTCCACCAGACAATGGCATTATTTATTATGGTTAAGTATGTTGGCTTTGGATCAGGAAAGAGGGGTTCCAGTGACTGTTCTTTACCACTGACTGGCTAGGTGATCTGGATGAACATTCCTTAACTTTTCTGTAAACAAGAATCCTAACATCTATTTTAAGGACTAAAGGAAACAAGTAAAGTATTTTGTCCCCAAGCATCTGTCACATAATAAACCCTCAGAATATGGAAGCTACTGATAGTCACATAAACTTCATGAAAACAGAAACATTCATCTGTTTTGTTCACTCTATTAACAAGGAGGCATGGCTTGATCAGTATTCATGCAAATACTTCCAGTTCCTCCAAAGTGACATTCATATTTATCTATATTAACTACATCCAAATTCTGCTATCCTTCGTGTATACTTCTCTTTTATTATAAGCAGCTTCAGCTACTTTTATGGAAAGATTTAAATTATTGGAAAATATTTTAAGGGTATTTAAGTTAACATATGGACCATTTACATATTCTATAAACTGTGTGCTTACACGTAATTATAAATATCTCAGACTGTAAAAGAAAACCTTCCATAATGTTCCCACAATGGAAAAATAAAGTCTTAGAAATAATTATAGAGGGAGCAGAAGGGAGTGGCAGGTAGAGGATAACTTACTAAATCGGCAAAATAAAATTTGGAATTTTTTCTTAAAACAAAACAAAATAAAAACCTGACAACCACTTGTTCAAGGCTGCCAAAACTTGAGAAGAAGCAAACTGTCAAGGGAAACAAATGTTAAAATATAAAGCCCTTTTCTGAGAAAGTAACTCCACCAGTCCAGGCTAATCCAATTCTGAATCACTAATGACACCAGACCTGCCGAGTTGTCTCAACTAGTACAAAGAAGTCCAAAGGGACAGGCAGAGGTTCACAGGCAAATTATTTTCACTGCTGTCATTGAAATTTTAAATATAGCCACACCTCTCCCATCCCAACACCCTTTCTACTCCTCTACTGTTGTTGACTGGCACTAACCCTTTTCAGACCTCAAAAAACAAGGGCCGACATATTGATACATAATTTGAGTACTGAGCATAGTGGAAAAATCACTTGACTAAAAGTCAAGAGATTGGATTCTGGCCCCAACCCTGACCCAGCTCTAGGTACTTGGGCCAGTCACTTTGCTTCTTTGGTTTTCTCTCTTTAAAACAAGGATGGATTAGATGGGTGGTTCCCCACACAAGATCCCAAAATCTCCAGGAGCCCCTGAGGTTGTAATAAAAGACAATGGGATATTTTTATTATTTCAAAATGTCTAACAGAGATAGTTCGTTAACTGCTTTAAGGCTAATTAAAACACCAAGTATTTTGGCTTCACATTAGTACTCTGCATGGTGACACTGGATGGCATGTGATTATGTTTGTCATATCATAGGAAATTTGGAAACAAGAGTGTTAGACCTGATACTGTTCTCAAAGCTGTACCTCAGAAAATCACAATATCTTTACTAAACATAACATCCAATCACAAATGTGTGGTTAATAAAAAATGGGAAAATGATTTAACACCTATCAATGCAATTTGCATAATACAAGCATACCTTTGTGATATTGTGGCTTCAGCTCCAGATCACCTCAATAAAGCAAACAGTACAATGAAGCAAGTCAGAAATTTTTTGGTTCCCCAGTGCATACAAAAGTTATGTTTACAGTATACTCTAGTCCATTAAGCATGCAACAGCATTATGTCTAAAGCATAATGCATATACCTGAGTTTAAAAATACTTTATTGCTAAAAAATACTGACACAGGGACATATAGTGAGTATATGCTATTGGAAAAAATGGTGCTGATACATTTGCTCGACATAGGGTTGCCACAAACTTTCAATTTGTAAAAAATAAAACAAAATCTGTGAAGCACAATAAAAGGGAACACACAATAAAATAAGGTATGCCTATAGATAAAATCTCCCCAAACTGAAAGTGTACCTCATTAAGGGAAGAGACTCAAATATGAAACCCTTAAATAATTATTAGATCACAGGAAACCAGTGAACAATCCACAGGCTGCAAAGATGATGTTCCTATTTCCTCATGAAGGTTCCCAATCACTCATCCACTTTTGATTAAAGAAAAGTGAATGCACCAAGAAGCCAGTCTGTACTGCAACATAAAATAACACCAATACCAACAATAACTACTATTTACTGCACTTTAACTATGTGCCTGGTACTGTCCAATGAATCTAACATTTATTAACTGATATTATCTTCATAACAACTCCAAAATATACTGCTACTATCTTTATTTTTAAAATAATAAAATTGAGGCACACCATGCTTCAGAAACTAGCCCAAAGACACAGGGCTAGTAAATTTAGAGCAAGGCTTGTATGTTTTCCAACCTTCTCCCCACCAAAGCTGGCATCTGCCTTTCAAAAAGATGTCTCCATAAATACAAACAGGAATGCCCCAAGCAGAGCCCAGAGGAGAAGGGCCATTGCTCCTGAGAGCAGTCCTCTGAAGAGTTCATCACTGTGGCCCTTTTCGGCTTAAAGATTCATCCTTAATGGAAACTCCCCTCTTTTCCCTCCAAATTATATTTGCTTGTCCTGGTAATGGAAATCAACTGATAGAAGGTTAAAAGCCATCAATGTATCGGTCAGCTAATGTCCATCCACTTCTTACTTATTCAGAAGATACAAAAGAGTTCTAACTGGCTGACCCTTCAAAGAAGGTAGTTTTTCAAATTAATTTTTACTTATACATATCATAAAAATAGGCATCTGCAGTATCCTGGAATGAGTGAGGGTTATGGAGACAGATCTAGCTCTGAATCTCGACTAAGCCACTTACTAACTGCATTATCCTGTGCAAGTTAGAAGCCCCAGTTTCCCTAAATACCTACCCCTGTCTCTTAGGGTTGTTGCAAAGTGTTAAGTGTATGAATGTACATAAAACACCATGATTTATTGCAGCGGCCCTAGAGCCAGACAGGGGTTTGAATCCTGGCTACACCCCTCACTAACCATAGGCCAACATCCAAAGCTGTGAACCTAAGTTCCAAATTCCTTACCTATAATGTAGAAAAATATTGTCTACTCCAAAGGATAGCCATATGAATTAAATAAAGCAATATTTGCAAAGCCCCTAGCAGAATGACAGACACATAATAATAAAAATCAAAAAAGAAAAAAAAATCTGATGTTTAAAAAATCAAGCTGCAAGGACCAGGCACGGTGGCTCACGCCTGTAATCCCAGCACTTTGGGAGGCTGAGGCGGGCAGATCAACTGAGGTCAGGAGTACGAGACCAGCCTGCCCAACATAGAGAAACCCCGTCTCTACTAAAACTACAAAAAATTAGCCAGGCGTTGTGGTGCATGCCTGTAATTCCAGCTACTCGGGAGGCTGAGGCAGGAGAATCACTTGAACCCGGGAGGTGGAGGTTGCGGTGAGCCAAGATTGCGCCATTGCACTCCAGCCTGGGCAACAAGAGCAAAACTCCAACTCAAAAAAAAAGAAAAATCAAGCCACAAGTTTAAGTACCAGCTCTGTCACTTATTATGTAGGGGTAAACAATGTATACAAGTCACCTAACCCCTGTGAGGCTCCATTTCCACCAAGTTTGTGAGGATTAAAGGAGATCACTGTGTAAGAATACTCTATAAACTATAAATTTCCAACAGAAATGTTGGAGGTTGTTTGATTCTACAGAAGTAATTTTTATATTAATTGTATTTACTGGTCCTTCCAAACAATATCTTCATCTTTAAAATGGAAAAAACTGAGGCAGAGAAATGTTGAGCCATAGAGGGAAGGCTACTGGTTTGAAATGTAGGGTGGAGACAAGGGCTGGGCCAAAATAAATTTAGACCAGGACAAAGCAGAAAATTTCTGAAAGCTTCAAAGGAGAAAAATGAGAATACTCATCAACCTATGTTTTTAATCAACAGCTTCACCTGCTGGTTAAGCCTCTCAGTGCACAGTGTGGGCATAATAATTCTCTTACTTCCTCCCAGAAACAGTATTAGACTTCAGAGTGAGAAAGAACTTCACTATCAAATCTCTTTTCCTATTCATAAATTAATTTTGGGATGGGGCACAGAAACAAAGACCAGTGGACATAAATTTGAGTCTCGGTCTAACTGGCGTTTTCTGAACTACACCATTAAAAAAAAAAAAAAGAAAATATTGTAATCCTTCAAATAGGTTTCCTTCCTTGGTTGATCAGAAATGTCCTCATTCCCCAGGTCTCTTCATGCTAAATATGGTAATAGCTGGCAGACAGCCAGCCCAGTAAATTCCAATGATACTTAAGAAAGCATTCATATGGCCTGAAATTACTCTGAACCAAACACTTGAGACCTGCAGGGCTTCAGCATAGAGCAGTTCAGCTGGAGCAACGAATGTCAAAACCAGCGGGGTGCCTTAAAAACACAAAAGCTTGGAAAAAAAGCAATCTACTCTTCTTTATTGCTACATTCTTTAGCAACAACATTGATCTCCTACCCACTGTGCACACAGCACTGCACTAGGGCAGTGAGAGGCTGGACAGAGGAATGGAAGAAACAGGTGGTGTCCATGGGTTGCCAAAACAACAGGTTGCTTCAGTCAGTTCTGTCCTACAACTAATCAATTTGGTGAGGAAAGGGGGAGAGAATCTTAGTCATCTTGTTCTCTGACCAAGCTAACTGGCTAGACCCACTGTACTGGCATTTATCCATTAGGTCAAAGTGTCAGAATTAGCAGTGCATGGTAGACATAGCATTAGTCCTGCCTTTCAGGGATGTTAAATGCTTCAAAAATCTTGGCTATCTAGAAAAGGAGGACAGTAGCCGATTACGTCACCCACCCAAAATCATGTATTTGACTCCAGAATACACTGCTTTTCTCCAACATATTTTTTTATTAAGTATTAAAGTAAATGTCAATTTCCTAGACATATACAGCTGAAAGCATGCTGATTTACGATACAGTCAGATAAGAACTTTCAAGTAGCTACAGAAAATAGCAGTTAACAAATGAATTAACCAATATCATTAGAAACCAAAGGATTAAAAAAATTAACCTATGAAATGAACAATTTTTATATCAGCATTGGTAGCAATTTGATGTTATGTTATATACTGCTAATTATTTCCATACATATTGTGACATATTTAAGACAAAAGACTAACACCCTTAATATTTAAAGAGCTTTTTCAAACCAGTAAGAAAATAATTAAATGAGTAAAAGACACAATTTACCAAAAGAAGTAGAAAAAAAGGCAATACAAACGCCACTGATGATATGAAAAAACATTCAATATCACTGTAATGAGAGAGGCATATTAAGATTAAGTAATATTTACCACTTATCAAATGGTAAAGATTTTTAAAAATAAAACCTAGTGTTGACAATAGTATATTATGTGTGTGTGCATATATATATATATGTAGATCTGTTCATAAACTAAACATATATATATATATATATAAAAATAAATCAACAGCTTTTCTAAATCTAAGGGTAAAAAAACCAAAGACGTATACCAAAAAATTAATGCCAGCATGATTGTGGACATTTTATTTATGCTTTTCTAGATTCTTCAAACATCCTTAACTACTTTTTCAAACATAATTACTTTTTATTTTACAAAAATAAAAAAATCTTGTAAAGGTGCCAGAGAAAATCAGCAAAGTATAAATACGAGTTAATTATCTGTAAACATAACGAATAATTCTGTTGCTACGTAAACTTACCTTAAACTGTTTCAATGTTTGTTTTTAGTTACAACTATTTTCCTTAACTCTCTTAGAAAGAATATGTCAGAGAAGCCACTACATATTACTTACTTTAAATAGTAACATAATGCCAAAGACTTGCATGAATCTCAGGATACGGTCTTTTACCTAAAATTCCTCATGAAGATTAGAATGCACTTTAAATGTTGTAATAAAGTAAATGCCCTTAATGTTTCTAACTAAAGAAGATCTAGCAAATAAATAAACCCATATTCACAGCAAATAAAAATATAATAAAATAATCGAAATACACATGTCCTCAAACTTCAATGTGTCTTGACAGCGTCTGAACCAAAGCATGTGTAAGGAGAGAATTAAACAAAAATGTCTTTGCTACTTACCACATTTACCATTTAGAGAAGTTGATATATCAGCACTATCTAGTTTTGTGATTATTCATACTTAGAAACTCAACAGAACAGATTAGTGAATAAACAGTATTCAATTATTCTTATTTGAATGTTGGTTAGGTATACCAATAGAACAACCTCTCCCTGCTAGGTACCCGTTAAAATAGATTATTGAAAATATTTGAAGCTTAAAAACTTACAGAATCTTCTCACAAAAAAAAAGATGAAAATAAAAAGAGATGAAAAAGAAGCAAACAACAATTTTAAAACGTGCCTGCCTCAGAACAAGGCAGTTTATTTTAGAATGTAACCACAGCTTCTTGTACAACACCTTATTCATCAAGCACAACTGTATTTTAAAGGAATGCTATTTGTTAAAAAGACAACATATTTAGGATAAGGTATCTAACTCCAACCACAATATTATCATCATGTTTTCCTTACTTCACAAAATACACACATACTTTCATCATATGAATAAACATATATAATAAGGGTGAGAGAGCTACTCTTAACCCAGAAACAGGTTCTGCAACACCCATAGATCCAACCTGTCTTTATGCAACAATGAGTCCATCTTGGCAAGATGTTTGGCTGATGTATTCAAATAACCCAGAGTTCTGCCAGCTGCCAGTATCCTGCAGAAGGAACTGACTCGGAGACCAGAAACTGCCCTAGGCAAGCCTCCAGGGAAAGGTGCTTCAGTCCAATGGGAAGAAAAACCCAGCCCCTCACTGCCTGGCCAGAGGACCCGGGGTACCATGGCTGGAGCGACGTAGCTGGCTGGAAATGCGAGAGGGGCAAGGGACACTAAGGTGAACCCCCAAGAGCTTGTTCAATCATACCTAGTAAAGGCCAAACTATTGGGGAGCTAGTAGAACAGGGTTTTGCCAAGACAAGTACAAAAGGGTGAGGGAGATATTAGTATGATTAATCAATGCCACCTGAGGCAGCAACTCTGGGTGTGTCCACACCACACTTCAGTCACTGCCTGGCTGTGACGAGAAGTTCCTTCAGCCACTGCCACTGAGAACTGCATCTTCCAAGGAAGATATCTCCACCATAACTTGTCCTAGTTCAGGCTTGGCATTCGGGACTAAGAACACAGCACTCTCTCTTGCCGCAAACCCACTAACAGACATAATAGACACCACAACATGTGCCAAATTTATATTTACACCCTCACCAGACAAAGGGGTTTTTGTCTTTTCCCCAAGCCAAGTTCTAATACTTCTAAATTACAACACAGAAAGAGGAAAATGGCAGACAGCTCACGACAGCAGACAAGCCCAGCAAGGGTGAGCTGGAGGTCGCCTTTCCCTGGTGGTATTAAGACCTGAAGTTTACTCCCAAGACCCTATAGCTCCGAGTCACCCTGACTGCAGGAAACTGCTTTCAGAGAGCATAGATAAATGATAAAATAACTGTATTTCATATTCCTAATTGTGTGCTTATCTGTCTTGTCTCCATGATGATGTCAGCTCCTTGGGAGCAGGACCATATTTTCTACTTGGTCAATGATTCCCACACATCTAGAAGAGGAGAATACCCTGTACTTGCTACCACATGATGCCAAGGGAAGCACACAAATTAAGTGTGACAACACACCACAATGCTCCCCCAATACACCACTAAGACAGCAGAGCTACAAAGATAGCAAATGTTAGTGCCAAGGGCTAGTGATCCTACCAGTGAATTACATGGAAACCTATGTATTTACATACACAAATTAATAAAATAATTCCTTTGCTTTTCTTATTCCAAGCTATGGCTTTATCATCCCCCTTTCTTGGCTTTACTCTCCTTTTTAAGACCACAATGTATGTTCTGCCACACAGATAATATTCTCCTCCAAAAAGTGAGACAGGAGAAAAAACAGATCTACGGCAAACCTCCTACCACTACCAGTGATGCAGTTTGTCCCGTCTCAAGCCTATGAGCATATCCTTTCAGATCTGAAGCCACTTCCTTCTTCCTATCAAGGACAGTATTATCAAGTGTCTTTGTGAGAGGAGCAATCCTGTGCCCCTTCTTGTAGATTGTTTTGTTCTGCTCAAGAAGCCCTAGATTCCTCCTTTATTTTCCTTTCCTTATTTCATTTGCTGCAGCAGCCCAGAAACCCCAAAAGCAGGACCACCAGAAATGAGTGACCTTTATATCTCTCCACACTAACACATCTGAGGGAAACTGCCGACACCAAATATGTGTTCATGAGCTAATGAAGCAGAAATCCTCAAAGGAAGCACCATTTGCAACAGCTGAGGACAGAATTCTTTAGTGGACACCAAAAAGGCTGTGGAACTCCTATGCATTCTAACATCTCAGGTAACATTCTAATGGAGGAATAAGGAGGCTTACAACAAAGTCATACAACACAAACAGAAGTCCGAAAATGCTGGATTTCACAAATTTCTTTTAAGACAAAACAAACAACTTTACTAACCTTATACCATAGCAGCTTTCTTCTCTGTACTAAGTGAGGCCAGCAAGTAGGAGGCATTTCCAAGGGGGAAAAATGACCACAGGATCTAGCCAAAGCAACCTGTCTCTAATACTCTCAAAAAACAAACAAACAAAAACAAACACTTTGATTTCCCAGATTCACTCTGCAGTGATTCTAAAACTTTCCTAATGTAAGAATCACCTGGCTATTTCTTGAACACACAAATTCCCAGATGACACTCCAGATGCACTGAATCAGAATCTCCATGAGAACACCTGAGCTATTCTTATCATAAGAGAAGTTAGGGAAACACTGCTTGATAAATGTTATTCTCCCACCAGTGCCCACCTGTGCAGGGAGGTATGAAACAAGTAGGGCTAAGATGCTTTACCTGAGCAATCACCCCAGACATGCTCCTCACTGGGTTTGACTCCTTTTATGGAGAGCTGGGTGTCAGCTCAGTAAAGTCTACAGACAAGCATCTCTTTGGGTCCCTATCACCTGCACAGGTCTCAGGACTCTGAGACAAATTTCTGAGTAGATGTCAATGAGGACAAGTCATGAGGAGACGGATTACAGCTGAATATAAGAAGATCTTTCTAAGAATTAGAGCTGGCCAAAGATGGAATAAACTGCTGTGGAGAGCTGTCTACCACAAGAGATGTTCAAGAAGAGAGAAAATATGGTACCTCTTGACTAGAATGTTGTAAACATCAGATCCAGCATGGGATGGACAGAAAGACTAGATGAATTTTAAAGTTCCCGCCAATGCATAAGTCAACAAAGAGGAAAATTTCAGCCACTCCTTAATTAATTAAGAGAGATAGCAAAAAAAGTCTGTGGGTGGGGTCAGCTTTCAACTGATCCTATCTCTTCAAAGGAAAAAAGAACATAGAAACACACTCCAACTCACCATCAGCCTCTCCTATAGAATGTTCTAAAGGTGGGAAAGCAGGAGTCATAGATGCTGTGACTAAGACCTGCCACTCAGTTGACTCTGAATTTGGGGCACATGCCAGACAAGTTCTGTAGTACAGAGAAGAAATGTGTGTAGCACAGACCTGGCCCTCAAGGATCAAAATCATGTGGCAGAGACAACTCAACACCATGTGATTCTCTCAAGTATTTATTCATCATATTTCACCTTTAGTTTTTGTCAGTAGGGTGTTCAGGGGACTCTCTTGGTTCAAAAAAAAAAAAAGCAAATATACTTTACTAAATGTACATATTCTCTCAATCCAGTACAAGTTTGCAATATCCAACTCAATGAAAAAAATCTCAAAAAAATTATCAAAATAAATATAAACTTAGTTAACTCTAATTTTAAAAATAGTATTCCAAAAATGACTAGTCCCCAAAATGATGAAATTACAGTAAGGTGTGGCTATTCTGGACAAAATAACAGAAATTGCTGGCCTAGTAATACAGTAATACAGGAAGCAGTGGAAGCAAACTTGAGTGAGAGGCAGGGGGTGGATGGCAGTGCCTTTGAAGTGAGATTCCAAAGTCAAAGTGATTTATAAATTGCAGAAGTGATCAGAAAAAGAAAGAAAGAAACCCCACACACAAAGAAATTCAAAATTACAAGTTTAAATGAAACATCTGGGGAAGGGAAAAATTTGGTTTTTCCCCAAATGTAAGGTAAGCATGACTCCTGCAAATACTATTTTTAAAATGTCTAGGAGTACCACAGTTGTCCAAAATAAGAAAGTGGCTAAAAATAATTGTTCGACTGAACAAGTATTTATTGTGTGCCTATTAGATACCAAGGCATCATGCCAGGTACAGGGGTAGGGTATGGGCATTAGAATAAACACATAAATGAAAATACACGATTCCTTCCTCATGTACGCATTAACAATAAGCACTTGAGGATGTTATAAGAGTTTTTGTGCACATAAGCGCATTTGTACACGAGATGGAAGCAACGTGGACAGTGAATGAGGCACTGGACACCAGAAGAAAGGAATTCTAGTCTCAACTCTAATTGGCTCTGTGACCATGAACAATGAACATCAGAAAATGGAGGACCGAAACAGTGGCTCTCCTACAAGGTCACCAAACCAATTAATAACAGACCTGGAGAAGAATTCTGGTCTTCTGGCTCCTAGTTCAGTGATCTGTCCAAAATACTACACATATGGTAGGCTGACAAAGAAAGAAAAGAAGACCTTTTGGTTTCAAGTCATTTGCAGAGAAAGGGGGGGAAACAAAAACAGGAAAATCAGGAAAGCGTGGAAGGAAAATTAATAGTTCAAATTTAGGCATTCGAACTGAGACATCAAGAAAGGAAGCATGTAACTATGGACTGTGAACACAATATAAAGAAAATGATGTAAAATTTCTTATATCCTTATTCAAATCACGCCTTGCAGTTTTTTACTCTAAAATCATTGCAGACGTATATAGATAAAGGGTCAAAAAACAACATGTATGAATGACATTTAAGGAAAAAGAGATAACAGAAGAAAAGGGAAAAGGAGAGGTGGAGAATTTATTATATCATCTAAATATATGAAGCCCTTCTAAAGGGTCAATGCAGACATACTGCACCCAGATAAACAGAAGAAATGACATTATATTCTATATCTCTTATGTTAGCAATTTTAAAATTCTTGAGTCAGAAGCGTTAAACACTGGAATGACTAAGGTTACATTTGTTATGGAAATTTCTTAAATTTAGAAAGACCTCATACACACACCTGAAGGTAAAAAAAAATGTACTTAATCAGTGGGTTGCAACCAAGTTACTTGTCAGAATCACCTGTAAACCTTGAAAAAATATGGATTCTCAAACTTACCTTATCAGAATCCCTGGGTGCTGAGTCCAAGATCCACCCCAACAGATTTTGATGTAGCCAGGACACAGAGTTTTTTTCTACCATAATGGGAGAGGTAGGGAGGAGGATCACTAGGAATGGCAACACAGAGTGGGAACTAGATCAATGCAAATTTTGTGGGCAAAATAGAATTTCTGTGGGTGTGATATTTTTAAGATGTATTGTAAGGCTGCTCTGAACCATCCAAGCATATCCCACTGAATTTAAACATTCTCTAAAGGTCTTGAAGTCAGCAACTACAATCCAGGTGAACCAAAAGTTGCTCCTCTATGTCATAGAAGCCTACAGGAGAGGCAGTAGGGTGGGAATGGAGCAGAGAGATCCCAAGAAGTTATGGGTAAATATTTTTTAAATCTAAACATTCAGAAAAATAAGAGAGACTAGGAATCACTCTTCTCCTCCTCTCCACCACACCAAAAAAAAAGGAATAATAAGAAAGTGAAAGGAAAAATAGTTTTAGGTTAAATTTCATCACCATCTGAAAGAAAATTACTCCGATTTTGTTTAAGCAAGAGAAGAATTCAGCTGAGAAATTATCTAGCAGGCAGCAAAATCAGGGAGTCACTTCCCATTGCAAAGCAAAAGAAAACAAGGAGCAAGAGGATGGTCCTGGATAGCTGTTTAGACAATCAGACATACTGCTAACATCTCCTTGCCTTAGAAACTCCGTGATGTTTAAATTAACAATTGGCCACAAGCCAAACACAGGAACACTCAAAAGTTTAGAAGGGTGTGCTGTAATTGGTACCTTAGCAAAACACAATAATAAATTAGGAGGATTCAAGAAGCCTTCACTGTAGACTCTAAGAAGATTTAAGATTTGTACCAAGAAACGGCTTCTAAATCTCTTCTACTGCATTAGTTTAGCATCTAAAGAACACCTGTCTAAAAATCAAAATATCTAAATCCTATCCTTTGAGTCAACTTGACTAACACTCAACTTGACTACCTAAAAGCTAGCTAATAATCGCAGCACCTCAGCAGAGCAGAGGTGGAGGGCATAGTTTTATGCACTGAGATCCTATAATAAAAGAAGCCCTATGTGTCAGAGTAATCCCATTTCTGACATATTATTTAATACTTAATTTTTCAAATCACTTTACAATCATATTTATTATTCCCTACAATTCTCTAAAGCAGGTTATTCCTTTAGTCCTGCTTCATAGGTGAGGAGACTACATATCAAGAAGATTAAGTTATTTACCAAAACAAGTTAATGATAGACCAAGGATTATTACCCTCAGACTGTCTCATTGATTATACTCCTCTCTATCCTAAAGCTACACTTAAAGCTTTCACTCAAAGAAAAAGGAAAAGCAAAAACACCATCATATATGCTCTTTATTAAATGCTTCAGAAACAACAGCTCTGCTTCATCACTACAAAGCCTCCTGGTCCACTTCTGAAATTCTTAGTGACCTAGACGTGTACGAAATTTGAACTTTCCAAGAAGTATCTAGTTGGTGCTGAACAACCCAGTACTATTTTCGGGTGATAAATAACCTTGTTCTCTTTTTAAACATCTGCGATTGACATGTCGACTGACTGTTAACAATGAACAAAGACCATATTTTTCTGAAGCTCATCATCTTCCTAACCTTTTCTTTGAAAACAGATGTAGTTCATGTACTAGTTTTTTGGTGAAGGTAAAAATCTTTATTCAGATTAGGCTCAGAAAAAGAAGGGGCTGCTTTCCGTTCAACAAATATGCACAAGACAGCATCCCACTGGGAGCATCAATCTCAGAAGCAGTAAAACACAGCCTCGGCCCTGAAAGGACTTTCTGAACACCTTTGGAGTGTCATCCGTTTAATATACATTATTTTAATTAATCCTATTAGCTGGATAATTTCTTTCCCATTTTATTGGTGAGTTCATATAGCAGAGCTGGATTTGAATACAGGATTACAGAGCAGGGCTCCAAAGCCCAAGTTATTTCCACTAAAGGGTCTGAAGAAATGTAGAATCTAAAAGTGTGGGTGGGATGGGGAAGATATGATTTGATTCCCTTTCCTTGGTCCAACCGTGTTAGAAACATCCAACCATAAAGAAGCTTTCTAAGGAAGCCCTTTGAATTAACGTATCCACTTTTTCTCACCCGCCCGTGCCCCACCCCCAGCCATGCCAAAGGAGCAGCAAATGCTGCTGCCAGGTTGGAGGAATTGGTGATCGTCACACCACATTCCTGGGTCTGGACACAGCCTGAAACAGCAGCAGAGCTCCGCGCCTCGGAAAGAATAACAGCAGTTGAGATTTTTAAATCATGTGCCTCAGCATGCAGCCACACCAGTTGCCCTACTTCTCCTGCCTCCACCTTTCAAAGACGCGAGCAGCACACACGGCTCCCCCGGACTTTCGGTGGGGTTGGAGTGTCAAAACTCAGGCGCGCCGCAAAACCCCGTCCCCATCCAAACCAAGCCCACACACCCGGCCCATGTGCCGCCCCCTGGCAAAGGCGAGGCTGGCTGCGAAGCTGCAGGCCGTTTGGCTTGGCGGCCCTGCCCCCGCTCTCCACGCCAGAATCTGGCATTCCTTCGCTCAGCCCCTCCGAGGCCCGCCGTCGGCTCTCGCTCGACCCCAAGAAACGCGGAACCTGAAGGGCAAAACTGCCCACCTCCCTGCACCCTGGCACTACGAAAAAGGAGTTTCTGAGACTTGCTGCCGGCCTCCCTCCTGCCGAGGAGGCGTGTGAGGGGTCCCGGGCCGCGGGGAGCAGAGGCGGCGGGGAACCCCAGCGGTTGGCGGGGCACCACGGGAGGGGCCCCCGGCGATGTCCAAACTCTTGGGAACCCAGCGAGTGGCCTCACTCCGCGCCGGCGGCCGAGCCTGGCCTTCCCACACAGAGAAGGACTGAGGGGGAGAAGGGTCGCCCCAGGTGGCAGCCCCGGGCGCCGCGGACAGCGCCCCTCAGCCCGATACTCACCATGCGCGGGGGCCGCCCAGCACAGCCAGAGCGCCAGCAGCGCCCACAGCAGAGCGGGACGCAGGGCGGGCATCTTCTCGGTCGCCTCCTCCTCCTCCTCCGCCGCCGCCGCCGCCGCCGCCTGGGCAGATCCACATGGGGAGGGGGTCCCGATAGAGGAGCCCCACTCTCTCCTCCCCTCCTCCTGCTTCAAAGGCTCAGGCCCTGGCGCTACGCTCCGAAGCCCAGGTGCAAATGCCTCGACTCCCCGCGCCCCGAGTCCGCCGCTCCTCGGCCGCCGCCTCAGCCGCCGCCGGAAGTTTGGCTGAAACTTTCTCGGGTGTGCAGCGAGGCAGCCTCGTGTGTCCTTCCGCCTCAGCCGCCTCCTCCCACCGCAAGCCCCGCCCCACTGTCGCCGCGGCCTCGGCCCCGCCGCCTTGGGCACCCAGGGGTTTCCCGCAGGAAGAAGCGCCGGCCCGAGCTCCGCGCGGAGGGATCTATACGAGTCACTGGCCCCGTCCGCATCCTTCTCCAGCGGCCCCGGGGGCCGCCGCGCCTTAACTCGATCAGGGCTGCAGCGGCTCGCTGGCTTGACCAGTGCAGAAGGGGCGTGGGGGTGAGGGGGGTGGGGTAGGACTCTGAACTTCAAGCACTGGAGTTTGCCGGGATCGTGAACTTGCAGGGAGAGGCGGTCCTCATCCAGTGAGGTCTGTATCGCCACCTACACCCACACATCCACACACTGCTTTGCTAGCTAGAGGAATGCTCTGGAGTAGGACCAGTGCTGTCAAAGAAGGAAAGTGGGCCAAGGCGCCAAAGTCCATTAAAAAGGAATAGAGCCATTACGGAGTGGTGCTGCCCCATTCATTCATTCATTTGTTCATCCGTGTAGCGAATATTTCTTAAGTGCCTTACTTTGCGTAGCTGTGTGCTTGGCAGTGGGATGATACCAAAGATGCACAAGCAACTTTGAGTACCAAGACTTTGCCGCTGTGGGCTGGGGGATTCAGGGAAGGCTTTCCCAGAGGAGCTGGGATGAAAGCGGGATCTTGAAAGGTCAGTAAAATTTGTATAAGACAAGGAGACCAGCTAAGCTAAGGATATTCGTTGTAACACTGTAATAGCAAAACCTTGAAAACAACATAAATGCCCACCCTTAGAGGAATGGATGAATAATGTATGGTATATTTATAAAATGAAATGCAACACAGTAATTGAAAAGACTATAGCTATTTATGTCAATAGGAATAAATCTTAAAAACTAAATGATAGTGAAAAAACTAATCACAGAGGGAGACAAAGTATACCATTTGTGTATATTTTTTTCAAGACAATACTACACATTATCTGTGGATGCATATATATAGATATAGATATTAAGAGACTATAACCAGAATAGTAGTTACTTCCAGGGCAGGAGAGTAGGGGGTGTGATCAAACCTGGGTACAAGTGGGCTTCTAAGAAAAGAGCTAAAAGTAAGAACAGCAACAATAGTTGTATGGACATATCATTCCAGGAAAGAGCCCTCGTGAAAGCAAAGGTACAGTCAAAAGAGTAAGTAAATGAGTTCTGTCTCTGTTAGCAGTGAGAGGAGTCAAGGACGGAAAGGGGGTTGGGACCAAATTATGCAGCCTTGAATGGCAAGCTGAAAGGGTGGGGAGGCAGCTACCTCTTAGGTCACATAAAACTATTGAAAGTTTTTGAACAGAGTTGAGATTGATGGAAAGGAAGATTGCTCTGATAATTCTGTAGAAAATTGATTGTTGGGAGCAAGAGGTGAACTGGAGCCCCAGGACCAGTCAAGAGTTGGTGAACAGTCCAGGCACAAATTTAAGAAGACCTGAACTAATAAGGTAGATTTCAGAAGGAATGAATCCGAGACAATGTTAAAGAAACAGAAAAAAAAAAAAATGGAGGTGTGACTAATTGGATGTGGGAGTTTACAATCCTGTTGGGATGGGAAATCCTACCCATAGAACCTCTCCCTGACTCCTATAGGATAAAATTCAAACTTCTAAACATGGTACATACAAGGCCTTTTCGTCATTGGGCCCCATCTCCTGTCCTCCCTGCCCCTGTTGTGAACTTCACACAATAACAGTATTGACTAACTTGAGATTCCCCCAAACATATCTTGCTGTTTCTGTCCCTGTATCTTTTGTTCCTTTGGCTTGGAATGACTCCTGTAGTCCCCTTCCCTCCTCCTCTTAATGAACTTCTAATCATAATTCATCCTTCAGTCCAAAGAAGGCTTTGCCGACACCACAATAAATTCCTCCCTCTAACAGACAGTCCCTCCACTGTCTTCCACTGCCGCTTCTTTATCTTAACACCGATACTTATTTTTCACACAGGACTCTTTGTATTTCTGTGTTCTCAACTAAGTTTTGAGGTCCTCATGGGCAAAGACCACAGCCTATTAATCCCCAGTGTCTATCACATAATAGATGTTGAACTAGAATGTAAAACAACACTAAGCAAGTACAAGTCAGTATGGGCATAGACCTATGAAGTTCCAAAACTGCATGTTAACAAGCACTTTAGGTAAGCAAGTACCATTAGTGAAAGTAGTCACATTGAAATACTGGAAACCCTTTTCAAAAATAACGTAGTCAAAATATTTTTGGAATTTGTCTTGTGCAAGTATGTTCAGAGAAAGATAACATTATTTTTCAGTTGTTTACCCACAGTGTTACCAGTTCGATCTTCCTCTTTACTCACTAAAGATAATTCATAGTGACTTGGCTGCATACAAATTTTAAAAATCACCTGCAAAGATAAGTTTTGTCACTATTAAAATATATTCAGAAGAATATAAGATAGTTATCCCCAAAGAGCAACTCTAGAAGCGACTGTAGCTATGACAACATTATTAAAATAAATGTGCAGGCCAGGTGTGGCGGCTTATGTCATAAGCCCAGCACTTTGGGAAGCTGAGGTGGGCAGATCACCTGAGGTCAGGAGTTTGAGACCAGCCTGGCCAACATGTTGAAAACCCGTCTCTACTAAAAATACCAAAAATTAGCCGGGCATGGTGGCGAGCACCTGTAATCCCAGCTACTCAGGAGACTGAGGCAGTAGAATCACTTGAACCCAGGAGGCAGAGATTGCAGTGAGCCAAGATCGTGCCACTGTACTCCAGCCTGGACAACAAGAGTGAAACTCCGTCTCAAAAAAAAAAAAAAAAAAAAAAATAGGTATTCAGTTTCTCAAAGTAACCGTTTTAAAGAAAGCAGCTATTATGTTCACATATAACTTTTGTTGAATGTGTTACAATATGAAAACTTACTGCATACATTCTGGTAAGGACAAGAGAAGTAAAGAGTAAATATGAATGGAAGTAAGGGAAAAATATGACTGAAGACATTTTTTAAAGATAAGTTTTAATGATAGAAAAATATGAATAAGGGCTACCAATTGTTTTAGTTTTAATCAAAACTAAAAATATACATCTATGTCTTTACTGATTTAAACTCACATAAAACTGCCTTCCAAAATAAATGCAGAATTGGGCACTTATTTGTTCTCATGTCTGTCCTCTCAGAGCCGATAAGCTGTAAAAAAACTCTCAAAATAAAACTCTGTTTTATTTTCTGTTTTGCCTCGGTTTCTATCACATAAGTGCTCAATAATATATGTTTTACATAAATGCTGAATGAGGAACATATATATCTATATAAACTGGGGAGCAATGCAAGACTGGAAGAATGTCTTGGTGTGTTGGAGAAGTTGAAGAAGAGATTGTGGGATAGCTATGACACATAGATTGAGCTACACCACGAATCTCTCCATGTAACCCAGGAACCCAAGGATATGTGATGAGATGTTTGTGGAAGCAGGAATTAAAAGGAAGATTTCTTTTAATAATGCCTTGCAGTTGCGCAGTGATTTAGACCTTCCAAAAACACTTTTAATTATATTATCTCATTTGATCCTCAAAACAATCGTGGGAAATAGGCACCCCAGTCATTATTATACCCATTTTGCAGATGAAGAAACTGAGATAGAGCTTTAAGTATCTTGCCCAAGGTTAAATAAGTAATTAGTGAGCTGAGACAAACCCCCCACTATTTCTGTCCTCTTACTCAGTCTCACTCCACTGTACCTTTGTGCAACAATGTGAAGCACATCCAAGATGATATTTAGTGTGGGGACCTCTGTGTAGAGGGACACCAGCTTCTTGTCACTTCCATGTTAGCACAGAACAAGCTGACCCACTGTAACTAGGAAACATAAACAAGTGAATACATTCTTTTAATTTAAAATTTTTTTGAGAGCCTGTTCTCTACAAAGCACATACTAGGCTCTGCGGCAATGCAGAAATAAATAAAACCCAGTCCCTGTTCTTTGGAGATCACAGAGCAGTGAGGCAGGCCAACATACAAATAACATAACTACAACAGAGATAAAGCACAGGGATATGGGAAAGTAGAGAGCACTGGGATTAATTTTGAGTCCACTTTCCCCTCATCCAGTCCCCATCCTGAAAGATATGAACTGTGGTGGCCCACACAGCTGGACTGTAAGCCATGTGACAAGAGTCATTTCTTACCCCTTATTCATGTTTGTAAACTCCACAGTAGTTGGTTCTTTGCCTTGCACAGAGTATGTGCTCAATAAAGACCTACTTTCTGAAAGGTTCACAGAGTTCAGCCAAACACAGGACAAGTTCTAGAAGGCAAGAAGTTAACCTCAAGATTCAAACTAGCTCTGAGAATTAAGAACCAGCCAGACCCTTCCACTGAGCCTGGACCCAATTAATTACCTCTGCTCTAATTAAGGGAATCAGTAATGTAAGTAATTGTAATATGGGCGATATAGTTTGCCTGTGTCCCCACCCAATATCTTATTTTGAATTGTAATCCCCATGTGTCAAGGGAGAGACCAGGTGGAGGTAATTGAATCATGGGGGCGGTTTCTCCCATGCTGTTCTCCTGATAATGAGTGAGTTCACGAGATCTGATGGTTTTATGTGTTTGGTAGTTCCTCCTGCATTAATTTTCCTTCATGCTGCCTTATGAAGAAGGTACCTTGCTTCCCCTTTGCCTTCTGCCATGATTGTTAAGTTTCCTGAGGCCTTCCCAGCCATGCTAAACTGTGAGTCAGTTAACCTGTTTCCTTTATAAATTACCCAGTCTTGGGCAGTTCTTTACAGCACTGTGAAGACAGACTAATACAGTGGGCTTGTTGACATAGTTTTTCCCTTTTATGAATGTGATTATCTCAATTTTATTGATGTTAAGGAAGGACACAGTGGCCCACACCTGTAATCCCAACACTTTGGGAGTCCAAGGCAGAAGGATGGCTTGAGCCCAGGAGTTCAAGACCAGCCTGGGCCACAGAGTGAGACCCTGTCTCTACAAAAAATTAAAAAACTAACTGGGCATGATGATGCATGTCTCTAGTCCCAGCTACTCGGGAGGCTGAGGTGGGAGGACCACTTGATCCCAGGAGGTTGAGGCTGCAGTGAACCATGTTACCACTGCTGCATTTCAGCTCGGGTGACAGAGCAAGACCCTGTCAAAAAAAAAAAAAAAAAACTTACCTAGAAATTTCACATCTTCTGCTATGCTTCAGATAAGCAGGAAAATTCATATAGGAATGCTCACTGTATCACTCCCTTAAAATCTTCTTTTAAGCATTTTATGCTAGGAGGTATTACACTTCAATTCCTAAGTAGGTGTGTACTTTTTGTATATAATGATGTATGAAAGGGTTGACCTGTATGCATCAAGATGTCTCCCCAATTTAACAGTATCATAAATTCACAACTGTGTAATTATCAAACCACAGTATTATTGGATGAGTCTCAGTGCTTTAGTCACTAAAATGGTTATGCAATTTTGAATATTTATTGGCGTTGTTCTCAGGGACTGTTGAATTGTTTTTACTCACATTCTTATATTCTTCCTTCATGATTAGCCAAGACATTCTTGACAGCAAGATTCAGGCATACAGAAAGTTTCTACTTCAAAATATGGAAAATCTTCTTACCATCTAGGTGCAGATCATATCTAAGTCCCCTGAAGAAAAAGAAAATGGAAACTTTTCTTACTAAGTGGAATTCAAAATGGTTAACTAAGTATGAGAGAGGGGACATCAAAAGTAAGGAAGAGAAATCCCATTATAAAAAGTGTGCACAGGCCAGGCACAATGATTCACACCTGTAATCCCAGCACTTTGGGAGGCCAAGACGGGAGGATTGCTTGAGGCTAGGAGTTCAAGACCAGCCTGGGCAACATGTTGAAACCCTAACTCTACAAAAAATACAAAAATTAGCTGGGCATGGTGGTGCACGCCTATGGTCCCAGCCACTCAGGAGTCTGAGGTGGAAGAATCACCTGTGCCTGAGAAGTCAAGACTGCAGTAAGCCATGATCACACCACTCCACCACTCCAGTCTGGGTGACAAAGTGAGACCCTGTCTCCAAAAAAAAAAAAAAAAAAAATGCATTAAAAATCTCCTTCTAAGTAAGTAATTCATTGGGAGATAATTAATGGCTGGAAACAGGTATTTATAATGGAAGCATACATGGCCTTAACGATAGGTTTTGCTTCTGAAAACACTCTAATTAAAAAGGGGAAGAGTAATTTTATAGGAAAGTACAAATCAGTGGTGTGTATGTCTACCAGTGTGTGCAAAGAGACAGAGGTGGTAATTGCTGGACTCAGACCAGGTATCAGCAACAACTAAACATAATGACCTTATAAATATGCAGATAGGATTTCTGACAAAGCTAAAAGTACATCATTATTATTATTCATCAATGTGGAATGGAATGTGAAATTGGAATCAGCAGGTGAGGGGTGGTTGTACCTGAATATCCTGGATACCAACTTGTTTTTGTTTTTAATCATTCTAATCTCTGTTAAGAATAATGTCACATGACTACTTTATCCTCTTTCTCAGACCACTGATCCAACCATTTTTCTTTCACACTTTTGCCTCCTTTCCTCTTATAACAGGTACTAACAGTCTAAGCAGAAAAAGAAGAACAGATGGTGGTAAGACCTAGAATGTTTACCCCATTAAGATCTATATCTGAATCCAGAAGGAACACCTCATTGCCGAGAAGAGCCCTGCAGACAGTTCACACCTCTGTTTCTTTTGCAAGATATAGCTACCTCAAAAAATCCTTTCTTGATCAAACTCTTATGGCCTGGAATCCTTGCGTTTCTGCTGATGACTGTCATTTTAGAGTACTTACTAAAGACAATGGTTGGGGAAATAGATATTTTAAAAATAAGGGAAGAAGTGGGTAGGGTAAACCCAGGCTTACTTATGTAAACTCTGAGTGCTGAAGTTAGAAGACAACCTTTAAGATTAAAAAAACAAACAAACAAAAAAAAAAACGGCAAAGTTAGAACACACAAAAGATAGTATAGTTCCTTACCCATCCACCACTTGGTTTTGAGGAGAAAAGGGAAATAAGAAGAGTTGAAGAGAAGAAAAACAGAACAGAAGAGTGGGAAAGGAAGATGAAAGGGTGCTCTGGAGTACTATGCACCTGTTTAGAAGTGGGGAAGTAGCACAAACACTAGCAAAAGAAGAACCACCATGGAGTTCCTCCTTGCACATCTCTCTCCCCTCCTGAAGGCCTAGGGTGAGCCCACAGCATTGTTCCAGCAGTGAGGGAGTCTTCACTGCCCCCTGAGACTCTCTCACGGCTCTTAAGATACCTCCCTGAAGTCCCTCCAAAGAATTCAATGTGCCCCTAGTCTAAATCAGTTTCCTCCATCATAAATACTCATAGATGACGCAACAATAAAACGTTAATAACGATAATGGCAATTTTGTGTGTCAAACATTGTATTAAGCACTTTACCTGCTTTATTGTTTGTAATGCTTCAACAGCTTATGAGTAGGTATTATTATTTCTACTTTACAGTGCAGAAAATGAAACCTGAGTAAGTTGTCTTAGATCACACAGCTGCTAAGCAGTGGCACAGGGATTTAAGCCCAGGTCCATCTGATCAACTCCGATGGCACATAATTGACCTCTGCATTGTCCCGCCTGCCCACAGGTCACTGCCTCAGTGATCCAGTCCCATCCGTTGTTTAGATAACTGAATAAGTTATCCTCGAATCATTTATTGTAAGCCTAGTCTCTCAAGTTTACTGTGAGTCAAGGGCTAGGTCATATACCTCTTTTGTGCTCTTCTATATCGTGGCATCCAACCTCTTGCTTGTCAGCTTCCAACTCTGGTTCAACTTAAGGACTTCTTTTCCTGGCATCTGCCCCTTATATGGGAGGTGTTCATACAATTCTACTGATTGTTTTCACCTTACAACTTTTTATTTTGAAATACTCTCTTCTAAGTGTTCCTAGTAAATTTTTTAAAGCCAGCAAGGAAAAAAAATTCTATTTATTGCCAACTAATTATAAACATTAAAACATCAATTTAAAATTTAAAGGAAAAATGACCTATAATACCACCACTAATAGCATTTTCATGTGTTTTATTCATTTGTTCTTCATATGTATGTTCTTACAGAGTTGTAATCAAGACATACATATAGTTTTGTTTTGTTTTGTTTTGTTTTGTTTTTTTAAGATGGAGTCTTGCTCTGTCGCCCAGGCTGGAGTGCAGTGGTGCGATCTCGGCTCACTGCAACCCCCACCTCCCAGGTTCAAGTGACTCTCCTGCCTCAGCCTCCCTAGTAACTGGGATTACAGGCGCACGTGACTATGCCTGGCTAATTTTTGTATTTTTAGTAGAGACAGGGTTTCACCATGTTGACCAGGCTGGTCTCGAACTCCTGACCTTAGGTGATCCACCTGCCTTGGCCTCCCAAAGTGCTGGGATTACAGGCATGAGCCACCATACCTGGCCGACATACATATAGTTTTTATCCAGATTTCTTAGGCAATTCATATACCATAAATATTTTCCTTTGTTGTACATAGTTGCCATACATAGCATTGTTATTGTCTGCAAAATATTCCAGCCTTAATTAATATATAGAGCTAGAATACTTTCTATATTAGTATTGGGATCTGTATCCAGAAGTTGTCCATCTTATTTCAAAGACAGCCTTTGGGGACAATCCCTCCATACTTCTTTTATTGCCAATCACAATTGGATGAATAAGTGGACTCTTTCTTTGTCTTGAATCAGGGAGATGGATCAGCCCAAAAGAATCCCCTGCTGTTGTTCTCCAATCCCCTCCCTAGCATTTACAAGTCTTCACCTCTCTGCTGTAACCTCTTTCCTTCTTTCTGTTCCCCATTTTCTTCCCAGCAAAAGGCTTCACTTCCTACTTCACTAAAGACATCTCCTAGTTCAAATATCACCTCCCCTGCAAAACCTTCCCTAGCCCTCACCATTTCTACACTGACAGGCCATCTAAGGACTCCCTACCATCTCCCATCTCAACCTCACAACTCATCACTTATGTACCCACCTTTACTTCCTTGTGTTGTATCTCAGAAAAAAAGAGTCTTTCCTTCTTTCAATGCTAATTCTTCAGCATTGGCCATTGATTTAATTCCCTTCTGCCTTCTCCAGGACCATTTTGCATTCAATACCCACTGATTCCCACTGTCTCATCATTCATCTTTCCCTCTCTACTGGCTTAATCCCTCAGCCAACAGTTTTCTTCCAGACACACACACACACACACACACACACACACACACACACACACACACACATTTTCTATTGTATTTCTATTTCAAATTCATCTTTCACTTCCAAACCTCTTAAAACAGTGGTTTGTCCCTTGCTGTTTTTATTTCTGCAATTTATTACAGCTTCCTCTTCTTACATTTATTGAGCACTTAAGATGTAAAAACAATATGGAAATAGAGATCGATAAAGCAGTCCCTACTCCCGAAGAGCTTCTAGTTAGTAGGGAAGATAGTAAACCAAATCAACACAACAAATAAAATACATTTTATGACATAAATATGTGCACAAGTATCCATGGGGGGCTGCCTGGAGGAAATTGGAGAGACTTCCTAGGGAGGTGACATTTGAGTTAGGCCTTGAACAATGAGTTCAATATTACCAGGCAGAGACTGTACATATATTGCACATGACTGACAGGAACAATTTATGCAGATAACTGAGAAACCATATTAATGATTACTTAGGAAATATCAAATAATTCAGGTGTCATCAGAGTAAGGAACATCTGGGGAAGAGATGAAGAGTCATTTAGGCTAGTTGTTCTCAAACTTTAGCATTTATCAGAATCATCCAGAAGACTTGTAAAAATGCCAATTGCTAGGCTTCATTCCCAAAGTTTTGAAAGGGATGTGGGTTGAGCCAGATAATTTACATTTATAACATTCTCAAGTGATGCCAGTGCTGCTGATCTAGGGACCACACTTTGAGAACCACTGGCTTAGTAATCCAGCTTCTGCTTCAGTCGTTATAGTGAAATTACTTTTAGATGTCACCAAAGATCTCCAACTGTCAAATGCAATGAACTCATTCTCAGTCTTCATTTTCCTTGATGAGTTTGCAGCATTTGACATCATTGGCAATTTCAGTGAGCTCTTAACTGTCTCCCAGCTTTTAGCCTCTCTTTTAGTCCATTCAGTACTCTGAAGCCCACAGGATTGTCCAAAATACAAGTATAAACCCATCACTTCATACTTAAAACTCACCAATGGCTCCCCATTCTCTACAGTTACAGCCCAAACTGGACAGATGGCATGGAAAATCGTTGGCATTCTGACCACATTTACCTCTCCCCCTGCTGCTGCCCAGGATTGCATAGCCTTTGTTCCAGGCACATCAAGCTACCAGCCAGTCCCCAGACATGCTGGGGGCTCATGTCCTCTTCACCTTCATATGTGCACTTCCCTTTGCCTATAATGCCCTTGCTGCCTCCCCTCCCCTATCCCATCCTCCCCTGGATCCATAGTGATATAGTGGACCCATAGTGATATATGGTTTGGATGTGTGTCCCCTCCAAATCTCATGTTGAAATGTGATCCCCAATGTTGGAAGTGGGGCCCAATGGGAGGTGTTGGATCTTGAGGGCAGATCCCTCATGGATGGCTTAGCGCCATCCCCTTGGTGATAAGCAAGTTCTCACTCTTTTATTTCACAGTAGACCTGGTTGTTTACAAGGAGCCTGACACCCCCCCCCCCGTCTTGCTCCGTCTCTTGCCATATGACACACTGGCTCCCCTTTGCCTTCCAGCATGAATGTAAGCTTCCCAAGGCCCTCACCAGAAGCAGATGCCAGCACTCTGCTTCACCTACAGCCTGCAGAACTGTGAGCCAAACATACCTCTTTTTTTCTTTTTTTCTTTTTTTTCGTGACAAATTCTTGCTCTGTTTCCCAGTCTGGAGTGCCCTGGTGCAAGCTCCGCTCACTGCAACCTCTGCCTCCCAGGTTCAAACAATTCTCATCCCTCAGCCTCCTGGGTAAGTGGGATTACAGGCTTGTGCCACCACACCCAGCTAATTTTTCTATGTTTAGTAGAGACAGGCTCTTGCCATGTTGGGGAGGCTGGTCTCAAACTCCTGACCTCAAGTGATCCACCCGCTTCAGCCTCCCAAAGTTCTGGGATAATAGATGTGAGCCACCAGTCCTGGCCAAAATAAACCCCTTTTCCCCTTAAATTACCCAGTCTCAGGTATTCCTTTATAGCAATGCAAAATGGACCAACACCTATGGAATTTTGGGTGAAGGCCTAGCTCCAATGTCATCTTCTCTCCAAAGCCTTCCTCAGCTTCCTGGCTCCTTTCCCTGAGGTCCTCCACGGTTGGTTTCTATGTATTATATATACCACTTAACAACTAGTTGAACATGTGATTACTATATGGGGACTTGCTTCAGTCTCTGAATCTTACTCTGAATCTATCTTGTTATTTTTGTTATTCTCATAAAAGGCTTTCAATATAGGTGTATTGAATGAATGTTGGGAACATAGTACACATTTGATAAATAATGATTTGAATAGGCACTTGCTGCTTACCCAGTGGAACAGGCAAGCAGGCAAAGAGGAGGAGGAGGACACAAAGAGAAACTATGTTAATGAGCAAGAATCAAATGTGCCACCTCACAGCCTCCTGACTCCCTGCCTTAGAGGGTGAACCACAGGCTATTTCCCATGATTCCCTCTTCTTTGATGACACAGTGATTTGTTAGCTCTGTGGACTGGAGAGTTATGCAGCTGCCTTTCTCGCTTTCAACAAGGTACTTGCTGGAGGACTTATCCAAAGCTGAGAAGCAACACCTGTGGGGACTGGGCAGGAAACACTTTAGTAGTTTGTCTTGGTGCATGCACCACAAGCAGACAGCCATTTGCCTTCCATTTAGTTTCTGCAACTGAAGGAATACTGGGGGATTCTCTGCCGTCAGGAAGAAGAGAGCCGCCCCCCCCCACCATCCATTCTTCCTCTCTCTCTCTCTTCCTTAGTCTTACCCCTGCACATTCTGATTGTTGTGGTGACCAGATCCTGCGGAAATAAAACAGGCCTGAGTTCCTATGTGGCTGGGCTGTATCCTCCTCCTTCTCTAATAAAGCTATGACGTTAAGGAAGCCCTATCAACTGATGAGCTCAGAATGCCCATGCCTTTTGTCACCTAGCCTTTCCCCATCTCTGTGCAAATGGCTACTAGAACAGCCATTTATAAAGTGACAACTATGTGTTGGGTGTTTTGCATACATGATCTCATTAGATCCATACAACATTCCTGCAAGAAAGATATCTTTATCTCCATTTAACAAATAAAGATACTGATGCTCAAAGAAGTCAAATAACTTATCCAATGTTGACAAGCTAACAAGTGGTAGGGGTCAGATTTGAACCTATGTTGCAACCATTTTAGAGTCCTATATGTTTTCCATTATTTATATCATCTTGGAGAACTAAAAAAGGTGAAAGTTACAGAGTCAGCCAATGTCATAGCAGGAATTAAATTCAAGGTGTTCTGATTTCCAGGGCAGCTTACAAATATCCACCATATTGAAAGAACTGTTTGAATGGATATGTTTAATGTTCCAAGAATTTATGAAACTTAAAAATATATGTTGATACTACAGTTTGAAAAGGACCCAGAATTGGAAAAGCTGCTTGTTCATGAGTGTCCCTTGTCTCTACTGTCCTGTAGTCAGTGCCCCCTCAAAATTGGATGCATCTGAGTGGAGATGCTTTTCTGTCACCTAAAGTCACACATTTACCTTTGATCCAGACCCTCCCCAGAAGCAGTGCTTTTGAAATCTCTTCTCCTCTTCTTTTTGTTTGACAAAATATAAATGATAGTTTATTTCTAGAATGATGCCAAATTCAATAAAGCAATGATGGAGTTGTGTTTTGTTTTCTGGTCAAGTTGACACCATAAAGTGGGTTTTCCTGAATATTTCCCTGTTCCACTGGTGTTCTTGGCATTGTGAATAAACAGAGATGGTGATAACATCCATCATAGAGTTAAGCACATTGAGTGGGTGATAAAGTCAACAAGAAGCTGAAACAAGAATTACCACGGATAAGCTGCCAAGAGTTGGCTGTAGATTCTAAGTGGACACTGTGGCTCATTCATCTTCGCCCTTCAGCTTTCCACCCCAACATCATCCCTGCCTCAGCACTCATGACAAGAGTAGGAAAGTAGGAGAGAAGGAAAGCACAGGGATCAAGTACAGGGGACAAATACATAGCATTGATCTGCCTGAGATAAAATCTAAAGACGCAGTAGTAAATTCTTAATGAGTACTGAGAGAGAACAAAGAAAAATGTTGTGGGTTTTGTTGTTGTTGTTGTTGTTGTTGTTTTCTGAGACAGAGTCTCCCCCTGTCGCCCAGGTTGGAGTGCAGTGGAGCAATCTCGGCTCACTGCAAGCTCCGCCTCCCAGGTTCATGCCATTCTCCTGCCTCAGCCTCCCGAGTAGCTGGGACTACAGGCGCCCGTCAACACACCTGGCTAATTTTTTGTATTTTCAATAGAGGCGGGGTTTCACCATGTTAGCCAGGATGGTCTCGATCTCCTGACCTTGTGATCTGCCCACCTCGGCCTCCCAAAGTGCTGGTATTACAGGTGTGAGCCACCGCACCTGGCTGAAAAACACTTTTTAAGTCAAAATGAACCAACTAACAAACAAAAGTCATATTCCAGAAGTGCAAGTAGACACAAATGATCACTGGGCTTCTTTTAAGCAACATTCTGTTTTCTTGTCCTAACCTATCTCAAGCTAAGGAAATTCTAGGGTCTATTGTTCAAAGACTTGAAATGTTTTCCTTGGATTATTCCCACTCTTATATTTTTCTTGCCTCTTTCCAAAAGTGTGTTAAAAATGTCCAGGTTTTTTAACTCATTAAGATGCTCATCAAGCATCTTAATGAGTTAGTCACGATTACAACTGCATCTTTTAAATTACCCAAACTGTTGAAAGGCTGCCATGAAAGGAGCTTCTACAAACAAAATCTGGGCTGTATTTCTCATTATCTTATGTTGCAAAAAGTGAATGAGGAGTTACTTCCAAAACAGTAATTAGCATAAAGGCTGCTGAAGCAGAGGAGAGATAGGTGCGCTACTGTCTCAATGGAAAATGTCACTGTTTTTTCTGCAAGGAATATGTACATTACTACTAAAGGAGAAGCTCTTTGCTAACAAATGTGAAAGGGTTTCACACAGTTCATGGCACATAATAAGTGCTCATAATTTGTTTGCTTCATCGGAATTCTCTCTGTAGTCTACTTCTCAGTCAAATAACTGTGACTACCTCCATTTCCTCACAATCCATTCTCCTTATGTTCCTTCTGTTACAGGAATTGCAGCCTCATCACCTATCACAATATTTCTCAACCCTTTTCTTTTCATTATTGCCTTCCTAAGGAGGCTTTTCAGATGTTTTTAAAAATTGCTCTCCTCTATCAAATTTTGGTACCATAGTGTGATGGTTAATTTTGTGTGTCAACTTTAGCGGGCTACGGATTGCTGAGATCACTGGTAAAACATTATTTGTGGGTGTGTCTGGGAGGGTGTTCTTGGAAAAGGTTAGCATTTGAATTGGTAGAGTGAGTAAAAGATCACCCTTGGCAGTGTGAGTGGGCATCATGCAATCCCTTGAAGGCCTGAATAAAACAGAGAGGTGGAGGAAGCACAAGTTCACTCTCTCTTCTGGAGCTGGGACATCCATCTCCTCCTGCCCTTGGATATCAGTAGTGTTTCTGGTTTTGGGGCCTTTGGACTTGGACTGGGACTTACAGGATTGGCTCTCCTGGTTCTCAGGCCTTCTGGCTTGGACTGGAGTCATAATACACCACTAACTTTCCTGGGCTTCCAATTTGCAGACAGCTGATCATGGGACTTCACAGGTTCCATAATTGCATGAGCCAATCTCTCGTAATAAATCTATTTCTGTGTATCTATATATAATATATGCTATCAGTTCTGTTTCTCTGGAGAGCCCTAATACACGCAGATATATTGTGATATCAGTTTATGCATTGTATGTATATCTGCACTTTGTACATTTAAAAAATTAAGTTGTTTTTTATCCCCCAAGATCAATTCTCACTCCCATTGAGAATGTGCAACCTATCAGACCACAGCAGACTGATTCAGGACACAGCAGAAGCAGATCACAGAAATAGATGCTAGACAATTGATTTGGGCAAAAATCAGTGCAGATGTCCGGCATAGAAGTTTGTCTAGATCAGGCTTTGTAAAGGTAAAGACAGACAGTTGGCCATACAGGTTAGCCAAACAAGACACAGGTGGGAGAATACAGCTGACAGCAGTGTTGATGGAAGATAGGAGGGCAAGGTTCAAGGCAGGCAGAGATGTGAGAAATATTTGTCCACTGGGTCAGAGAATGCTTTATATAGAGAAATATCATCATCCAGAAAAGTTCCGTGAAAGAGAAATTATTCTCAGTTCTGAAGCCAGATTTAGACATTTTGCCTTTGTTCCTCAGGAGCCTGGACCACCCAGCCAACTGTGCCCTATTGATGAAAATCTCTGATTATTATAGGGGAATACATTATGTTGGCTTCTGTATTCCCTGAGAACCATCTACATCTCCTAGTACTTTGAAGTCGTGGTATCAGATGAAAGAACCAAGCCTTCCAAACTGACTTGGAGCTGTGCTGAGGTGTTCATGGCCTCAAGCATTCAAGCAGGTTGATCGGATATGAGGTGTGATATTCCTTTTCCTCAAGTCATTTATCCTCTGGAGATCCTAACCTAACCTAATCTCTCCTAACCTAAAAACAGGAGCAGACCCAGGGTCCTGACTGGGCATTCTCATTATGCTTCCTAAAACCATTAGGATCTCTTCGTGGTCACATCCAACAGCCTTTCTCTTTCTCAGGCCTGCAGCTCACTGCATGTGGTTCTGCCTCTCACATTCTCCTCTTTAATTAGAGGTCAGCCACTCTAACTCCAGCCTTCATCACACTCTGCCTCTAGGGTCTTCTGAATGCTGTCTTTGAGGGTCTTCTCAGTCTCTTCCTTCCTCTTTATCTTTTATCAAAGGCACTCTTTTAATCTTTTGGTTCCTTTCTGTTGCCCCTCCATTCTCATCTGTTTATATGTTCGCTTTAAGGTCATAAACATTATTGAGTGCTTGCTACATGCCTAGTACTGATATAAACAAGATATGGCTTTTGTGCATTCTTGTGATGGAACAGATATATATATAAAACCAAGCAAAACACAATGTGAAATATGTAATACAGATCTGTACAAAATGTCTTAGCAACTCAAAAGAGGAAGTGATGAATTCTGTCTTGAGAAAAATAAAAGGCATTGCAGAAGGAAAAAGTTTTGATTTGTGCTTTGAGAATGAATTAGGGATTTATGAAAAGAAAAGTTGGAGGAAGGGCATTACAGACAGAGAGATGAGGATGGGACAGGAACAGCATGACCAAGGAAGGTTAGAAAGGCCATGTGACTGGAGGGGAAGCAGACAAGCGTGGGCAGGGAGAGTGGTAGGCAACGACCCTGCAAAGTTAGGAATGCACCGCAACTGTAGTCACCATTTAAACCTACATGTCTAGTTAACATTCAAATGGATCATTGCACTGCCTGGGACATTCATTTTTAAAAAGTACAATTTAGCTCCTACTACTTGCTATATACCATGTAACATGCTTACTGCTGGTAATACAAAGATAAATAAGCTGTCCCCTCAAGAAATCAAAATATAATAGAGAGGTAGATGTGTTTTAAAAGTTATTATGTGCAATACAAGCCAACCCATGCAGTGAAGGTAGTATGTATATGACACAAAATAGAGAGTGATTAGCTCTGAGCAGAACATGTTTCAGAGAAAAAGTGATAGCAGAGCTTTAAGAGATTAATTGGGGTTGGGTGGTGCAGTAAGCAGAATAATGGCTTCTCAGAGATATCCACATCCCAAACTTGTAAATGTTACCGTACATGTCAATGAGGACTTTGCAGATATGACTACGTTTAAGGAAGATGGGAAGATTAGATTATTCAGACGAACCTGATGTAATCACAGGGGTCCCTATAGAAAAAGGAGGCAGGAGTGTCAGAGAAAGAGATGTGACAATGAGGGACCATCAGCCAAAACCAAAAACAAACAAAAAAAACAAAAACTGTGGTTAGAAGCTGGAAGAGGCAAAGAACAGTATCTCTCCTCCAGCTCCAGGAGGTATGAAGGTCTGCCAATGCTTTAATTTTAGCCTCATGAAATAGCCTCATTTCAGACTTCTGACCTCAAAAAGAGTAAGTTTGTGATAGTTTGTTATAGCAGCAACAGGAAATGAATACAGATGGAAAAGCAGCCAGGGTGTTGGGAGTGAGAGCATTTCAGGCAGAAGGAATAGCATAAGCAAAGGCACAGAGGCATGAAATAGCATGGCAAACCCTTGGGGCAGGGGTTACCAGTTGTTTAGTGTTGGTCTGGTTTAAGAACCACCAAGTAAGGAGCAGAAGAATGCACTGGCATGCAAAGCAAGTGCCAGATGACACAAGGCCTGGTAAGGAGCAGCCCTACCATGAAGCTTAGGTATGCTGAAGCTTAGAAGGTAAATCAGGAGCCATTTCATGGTTTCACACAAAAAAGGAAAAACACTGAATTTTCAATTTTGGAAGAAAAGCTTAATGGGGAAGAACCCAGGGCAGGGAGACCATTTAAGGAAGCTATAACAAAGTCCTGGAGGGACGTGGTGGGGCTTGAACTAAAGCAGTGTGAATAGCAGGAGAAGGCAGGGTAGCGATATTTAGGATTCAGAGAGTGACCAAATATGAGGAGCAAGAGAAAGAGAAGAGTCAAGGATGACCCCACATTTCTGATTTGGACTTTGGTGAATGTCCATGTGCTTACTGACATGGGAAAAAATGGAAGTTCCTCCCAATATTTCTTAGATTCATATTTTCTGAATCTCTGTATCCACTAGGCTAATCCACCCATCAACCTATGTCTAGACAGTCTTTAAAGTCTTCCTAGCCGCTTTTTCTGATTCTAGCCTTTACCCTTCTCAAGCTATTCTCCACGATGTTGTTAGAACAACTAATTCAATATTCATAAAATATTTATTTAGTGCCTGTCATGTTCCAGGTTCTGATATAGACTCTGTTCATATCATATGAACAAAACAATTTTAAGAATAAGTTAGCTTGCATTTAATCTAGAAGATCCTTATAGATGGTAATTTTGGGTAGTTCCATCTCCAATTCGTATCTTCTACAATGGCTTCAAATTTCCCGTCACTTTATATCTAAATTTTTTGGTGTATGCTCAAGCTCTCTTAGTGTTTAGTCATTTGGATTTGATCTTTTGCATGGCTCATAATTATTTTGTATTGGATCCCAGATATTGTATAAGACAAAATTGTAGACTCTGGATAATGTTACCTACCTCCATAGAGTTTCTACTTTCTACTCCTGGAAAGTAGAAAGAATAGTGGCAGATAACTTTGATCCTGAAAAGGCTTGGTTTCAAGCTTTGTTAGATCTATTTTATTTCAGTATTATATTGCTCTTACTCCAAGGATGTGCTGAGATCTCAACTGAAAACCCTGGGTATCTAGGTACCTTATCAAGGCTTGAAGTCCAACTTCTATTGGATGCTGAAATCTTCACTTACCTCATTAGACCCTAAACTGCTGTTTTCTGATTTTTTTTTTTTTTTTGGCATCTTTCTTTGTGCATGCTGAGTGTAGGAACTTAGATCACTATCATGATGGCAATTTGCATAGATTGTTGAGCTCCTCTGCAATTCTCCCCTCTTGGAGTTTGCCCTCAATCAGAGGCACTTTGGTAGCCCTCAACTTTGGCCTTTGATATGATTTGGCTCTGTGTTCCCACCCAAATCTCATGCTGTATTGTAATTCCCACTGCTGGGGGAGAGACCTGGTATTAGGTGATTGGATCATGGGGGCAGATTTCCCCCAGGCTATTCTCATGATAGTGAGAGTGAGTTCTCATGAGACCTGATGGTTTCAAAGTGTGTGGCACTTCCCGCCTCACTCTCTTTTTCCTGCTCCACCATGGTAAAACGTGCTTGCTTCCCCTTCACCTTCCACCATGCTTGTAAGTTTCCTGAGGCCTCCCAGTCATTCTTCCTGTTAAACCTGAAGAACTGTGAGTCAATTAAATCTCTTTTCTTCATAAATTATCCAATCTCAGGTAGTTCTTTATGGCAGTGTGAGAACAGACTAATACAGCCTCTTATTCCTCAGCCCAGAAAAACTGCTGTATTTTTTTTTTTTTGGCTTTTATTGTCTTGCACTTAGTTTTGAGCATTCCCTCAGGAGAAATATTCCAGGGTAAACACTGAGTTCACCTCATGTGCCTTCTCTCCAGGATCATAGCTTTAAGTTCCACCTGCTTTAGTTACTCTTCAATGCCTCCAAAGAATTATAGATATAGATATATAGATACTCCTAGGCTTATGATGGGGTTATATCCCAATAAACCTAAGTTGAAAATATTGTAAGTCAAAAATGCACTTAATACACCTAACCTACCAAACATCATAGCTTAACTTACCTTACCTTAAATGTGCTCAGAACACTTATGTTAGCCTACAGTTGGGCAAAATTATCTAATGCAAAGCCTATTTTACAATAAAGTGTTGATTATGTAATTTGTTGAATACTGTAGTGAAAATGAAAAATAGAGTGGTTGTATGGGTATTCAAAGTACAGTTTCTACTGAATGTTTATCACTTTCACACCATCATAAAGGCAAAAAAATTTAAGTCAAACTATTGTAAGTTGGGGACCATCCGTATATGTATAAAGTCATGTATTACTTAATGACAGGGATACATTCTGAGTAATGCATCATCAGACAATTTTATTGTTGTATGAACATTCAGAATATATTTACACAAACCTAGATGGTATAGCCTACTACACACCCAGCCTATTGCTCCTTGGCTGGAAACCTGTACAGCATGGTACTGTACTAAATATTGTGGGCAATTTTAACCTAATGGTAGGTATTTGTACATCTAAACTTGGAAAATGTATAGCAAGTCATATGCAACTGCATATGACCACCAGTTGCATATGCAGTCTGTCTTTGATCAAAACTTGGTTATGCATTGCATGACTATATATATATATATATATATATATATATACACACACACACATATAAATATATACAAATATGTAAATATTTATGTATATTTTATCCCACTTTCCCCCTGAAGTGGGAGGTTTAGTTTGATATATACTACTACATCTTGGCTGGAGTTGGAGGTCTCAGTACTTCATAGCAGTAATGAATGCTGTGGGTTTGCAGTAACTTCACTGAACTGTTTATCTGCCACAACTACAAAAGATGGCTTATTCTCTTTAAGTTATGGAGCCCTATTCCTTTTAATTTGTGTGTTAGATAAAATCTACCACGTATCTATGGGCAAAACCAAAGTCTGAATCTCTAAAATCTAAGGCCATAATCAAAACTAGGTAATTTATCAATCTAGAGTCATATAATGGGGATTCCTCTTCAGCCTGCGTTTGGATAAACTGCATGAACCCAAGAGTTTAGCCCTACCACTCAAGGCCATTGTTTTTAGTTGTGCAGGCTTCAGTGGGTAAGGTGCTATTTATGTAGGTTAAATGGTGGTTGAGTGCTCTGCAATGTGGTGGCCTTGATACCACAGGTTTTTTGTTTTTTTTTTTTCTTAGATCTGAATTCGTTTGTTGCGGGGAGAAAAACTAGGGGCAACTGATCTGGCATTGCCTACCTATGCCTGACATGAAATTCGCCAGGACCTCTGGGAGAATACCTCTAGTTAAGCAATAGGATTAGAAGCCTGATTGCAGAAAATTAGGAGGTAAAGAATGATTGGGAAGTCAGAAAGTGTGGACATCAAATGAACACAATATATTAAACAAATTGGATGTGAAGGGAAGTGAGAGATATGGTGATAGGTAGAGACGGAAGGACTTTGTTTTAAGAGTGAGGAGAGTTAAGCATGTTTGTGGGCTGGGGATGAAGCTAATGGAAAAGGAGAGGAAGAAGATACAAAACAATAAGAGATAATTAAGAATTTTCTGGTAGAGGTTGTTAGACAAAGAGCCCAGATAAGACAGATTGGACAAAGATAAGGAGAGGTAAAGATGAAGCTTAAGTTAGGAGGCTTAAAAGAAAGAATGGGCCAGGTGAGTGGCTCACGCCTGTAATCCTAGCAATTTGGGAGGCTGAGACGGGAGGATCACTTGAGGTCAGCAGTTCGAGACCAGCCTGGCCAACATGGCGAAACCCCATCTCTACTAAAAATACAAAAATTAGCCAGGCGTGGTGGCAGGTGCCTGTAATCCGAGCTGCTCAGGAGATTGAGGCAGGAGAATCGCTTGAACCCAGGAGGCAGAGCTTGCAGTAGGCCAAGATCATGCCACTGCACTCCAGCCTGCTGGGTGATAGAGTGAGAATCCGTCTCAAAAAAAAAAATCTATCTATCTATCTATCTATCTATAGAGAGAGAGAGAGAGGGAGAGAGTAAAAAAGTAGAATTAATGACTGGATGAGATGGGTAAAAGAGAAATAGGTCCCTGACAAATTCTAGGTTTGGGGATTGAGCAGCTGGGTAGATAGGGCTGGGGTTAAAACACAGAACTGAGCAACAGATTTGGAAGGATGAGCTGAGATGAATTCAGCTTTGTCTGCATTCAGTCAGTCAACAATAATAGCTGTTGCCTATGAACCTTGAGATCCACAGTGCCCAACTACAAAGACAAACATTGCTCCCCCTCCCCTGCTGAACTTATGCTATATGCAATAGTGTTGCAGAAACATTTTGCTTTGCTGGATACAAAAGCAAACTAGTCTCTGTTTTCAAGGACATATGTAGGATATAAGAACTGGATTTTCAGAATGAATATTTATGGGATAATTTATTTAACTGACCAACTTTAAAAAAAGGTTAAAACACTTTCTTGGTTTATGGTGGATACCAAGCTATATATGCTTTACTATGAGTTCATGGAAAACTGCAATCAGTCTCAACTGAAAGGAAAATGTAGGCTGTTTGGGAGAAAGTTTTTACAATTGAAAAACTCAAGGGAAAATTGAAAGGAAAAGATTTTAGGAAAGAGAAAGAAACAGGGAGAGGAAGAAAAGAGGCTAGCCAACAACCTGCAGTAGTGATTCTGAGGAACTAATAGGAGACGAAAAACTGGATAAATTATAAAAGGATGACTGATACGGGGGCGCGGGGAGGAGGATGAAACCGGGGAAAATATTGAGAGAGACAGAAAGAAAAGGAGAAACTTATCTGAGGTTGGAAATAAAGAGAAAGTGACATTGGAGCGGATAGAAAGGAAGAAACGGCGTGGGATCTGGGAATGAGGCAGTGGGTGGAGAGAGAATGGGGAGACGACAGAGGATGAAGGGCAGCTGAGTGTGTCTGCGAGAGAAGGACCAAAGCAATCTGGGCGGAGCAGGTGGCAGAGGCAGCCGCGGAGGAGGCCCAGGGAACTGACGGGGATGCTCAGCCAGGCCCAGAGGATGCGCCCTGGCAGTCCCGGAAGACACCAGGAAAACAAGCAGGAACCGTAGCTAGGACTGGGGTGGCCAGGCCCAGGAAATCCATGAAGGGGACAGACAGCGGGTCCTGCTGCCGCCGCCGATGCGACTTTGGCTGCTGCTGTCGCGCGTCCCGCCGGGCTCACTACACGTCTTACCGGTCCGGGGACGCGACGCGAACCCCTCAGTCCCCACGGCAGACCCCGAGCCGGGAAAGACGGCGCCCGGAGCCAGCCGGGAGCTGGGCAGCAGCGGCCGAGGAGGAAGAAGCAGCTGCGGCGGCCACACCCTGGATGAGGTGAGAGCATGGCCAGCTCCTGCCTCTGGAGCCCGGGAGGCTGAGGAACGCGATGGGGGTGGCAACGCACGGTGCGCTGGGCAGGAGAACCGCGCGGAGGGCTGGGGCCCCGGACTGAAGATCCCGACGCCTGAGAGGGGTTGGCGCTGAGTGACTACTGCTTGGAGAAGGGTAGGGAGGTAATGGGGCCCGTGGTGGAGGCAGGAGGAGGGACAGTGTTGAGTTGCCCAGAAATAAAGGTGTGCCCCTGGAAGGGTTAAAGCATAGGAAGCTCTATCTCGAGGTCTTTGAGACACAGACATTTGCTGTGTTGATGGAGGTGAGATTGCAGGCTGTGTCTGTTGGGTTGAGCCAAAGGAGAGATGAACACATGACTCAGAAGGCTATACCAGGATAGAAACATCAGAGATGGGCATGAAAGATGAAGGATCGGGAAGTGCACCCGGACGAAAGCACACACTGCCATCTCTTATAGCTCTTCTTTTCAGGGTTATTTCTCTTAGATACAGATCGCAGGGTGGGGTGGGTGGTGATTCCCTCTTCCTGGGCTATCTCTTTTTCCCCTGCAGAGCTGGAGCCCTGCCTGATGGCTGGATGGAGGCCATGCAGGACAAGTTCCTTCTAAAATCAATCCTTTGCTTTGGCCTGGAAGACTGAACATATTAGGCTCAATTTTCTTCGTGTAGCAGCAGTAACATAAAAATCTGTCATACATACGATTTTTGGGAGAAGAGATAGATTGTGCTGCAGGCTTTTTAGAAATAAACATGTCCTCATCACAGCATTTTTAGCTTTTTATCTCATGGAAGGTAGTACTCATAAATCAAACTACCAGGCCTAGTGATTCCAGCCTCTGAGCTAACGGGTCTGTAAAAAGTTACTTCATTTCTCTAGGCCTCAGTTTCCCATGCATAAAATTGGAATTTGGATTAAAACAGTGCTAATTATAAAACTAAATGTTCATTGGATCTGTATTCTATGTTCAGGATAGCTATATTTGTGAACTATGAAATTTAGCCTATTCACTGACAATTTTATTTTTTCATAACACTATCCACTGTTTATGTCAGAAAACAGACTCACATTCAGTTAATAGAGCTTAAATAAATCACATGTCTTCTAAGGAACCCATAAGAAATTACTGCTCCTAAGAAAGAATTAAGCAAAAAGTATTCATTGTTTGATTTTTTTATAAAGTAAAATTTTTATTGCCTTATACAAATTACTTTTATAGACATAATTACTTTTTTAAAAAAGCATATCTATGGGATGTTAATTATTTTATAAAATACTTTGAAATTTTATTTAAAGCTTAGAACAAAAAAATTAATCTGAATATGTATTTATAATTTCAAGGCTCCTTAAACACTTTACGCACACGGGGTGAATTCTTCTTATCTGGAAAGCAGCATTAATCCTGCAGAATTTAAAATGAATTATGACTCCTTATCACAAGAGTATGATTTTTCTTCCTGTCTTTGGTTAAAAAAAAGTTTGTAGGGTTAGAATTTGATCCTCTAAATTGTGGTTTAATTGTGAAAGTAGATACCAAACATTCATGGTTTCCTTAATAGTTACTCATCTGACAAACTACACCTATATTCATCTTCGTTGATGTAATGATAAGTCTTGAAATGTTTTTAAAAAATTTCACAATTCCCAAATGAAACACTTACAGCAACTTGACTGAGGTTAGTGCTACTTTGCCCTTTATTTAAAAATCAATTCCCCAGTTTAGCGTACTTTAAAAAATGTAACAACTTTAGCTATAGTGTTAGAGGTTTAATGAATGTTAGCGTATTAGAGGTTATACTTGGGGAGTGGTGTTTTTGGTACGATTTTCTAACTCTCAATCAACTAAAAAATGTAAAAAAGCAGCTTTGCACGTTATCCAAATTCAGTTCAGTTCAGTGTTACTTATTGAGCAATGATGGTGGAGGCCAGCACAAACTGGATACAAAACTACCCTCAGGTAACTCAGAATCTGTAGTTCTGTAATATGCTTCAGTAACTGGAGTATGGAGTAAGTGCTGTAACAGAAAGATGAACTGTAGACCTCTCTCTCTCTCTCTCTCTCTCTCTCTCTATCTATCTCTCCAAGGAAAGCTGACTTCCCTAACAGGCCATAGAAAGTGGCATTATCTTGGAAAATATGTTGAAATCTGGTCTTTAACTTGTTAAGTCTGTTTCTTTTCTTTTTCTTTCTTTCTTTTTTTTTTTTTTCAGAGATGGAGTCTCACTGTGTTGCCTAGGTTGGAGTGAAGTGGTGCAATCATAGCTCCCTGCAGTCTCCAACTCCTGGGCTCAAGGGATCCTCTTGCCTTGGCCTCCCAAGTAGCTGAGATCACAGTTGTGTACCATCATTTCCGGCTACTTTTAAAAAATTATTTTGTGTAGAGATGGAGTCTTGCTATGTTGCCTAGGCTGGTCTCAAACTCCCGGCTTCAAGCAATCCTACCACCCCACCCTCCCAAAGTGCTGAGACTATAGGCATGAGCCACTTCACCCAGCCAAGTCTGCTTCTTAAACTGATAAATCACAGGACTACTATATAAACCCAGAATAACAAATTACTAATTTATAATGAGAATTTTAACATCTTAGGGAACTAGACTCTCTTTTATGATCCCAGCAAAATATCTCTTGGTATATGTGCCACATTTGAGAGCCAAATTACAGCCAAAAGGTTGTTTTTGAAACTTGAATCTAGAGCAAGAGGAATTAATTAGTGGATTCTAAATTTCAAATAATTTGATAGCTTCAGAGCATCAAGGTGTACACATAGGTTCTTTTTTCCTGGACAGTAAGTGTCCACTGATGATTGTCCTCCCTTCTTAGGTACATCTCTTTTTCTATCTCTGATATGCTAATATTTTCAGTCAGATTATAATCTGGTTTGGGGATCCTTGTGACTGTTTCAAGTGTCTACATTTATTCTCTAAATCAGTTTATCTTAATTGTAAAGTTTAAATTCTAAGTGGCAAGCTTATTTTCTTTAAGAAAAAATAATGATGGGGTAGGGAGGTGGGGCTGGGGTACCATATTACAGCCCCTACATGCTGGCAATATAAACCAGGTGGTTAATGGCACCTCTCTATGGTGCTAAAAGGCAGATGAGGCCGGTCACGGTGGCTCATGCCTGTTAATCCCAGCAGTTTGGGAGGCCAAGGCCGGTGGATCACTTGAGGTCGGGAGTTTGAGATCAGTCTGGTCGACATTGTAAAACTCCATCACTAATGAAAATACAAAGAATTAGCTGGGTGTGGTGGTGCGCCTGTCATCCCAGCTACTCAGAAGGCTGAGGAAGGAGGATCACTTGAACCAGGGAGGCGGAGGTTGCAGTGAGCCGAGATTGCACCACTGCACTCCAACCTGGGTGGCAGAGTGAGACTCCATCTCAAAAAAGAAAAATTAAAAAATTTAAAAATTTAAAAAGGCAGATGATCAGAGACGGCTTTATACAGGAGGTGAATTTTTGTCTGGCTTGACAAGATAACAAAGCCAGGTTGAGTGGGAAGAAAATTTTGCCAAAAGAACACAAGCAGATTTATGACAGTGGGAAGATGCTTTATTGAAGTGAATCCCATGCTGTGATAGAAATTTTCTGTGAGGATTTAATTCAAACTCGATCCTTTTTCAAGTATATAACTATTTAAAAAGAGAAATTAAGTGAATTGTCAGCTGTTGGCCATCTGCCTCAATGTGTGCTTTTGAAGCCCAGCAGATTGCACATTCTGTGTAGGTGGATAGCTTGAAACCTGCAGACAACTGTCAGAGGACAATGACTTCAGAGAAGATTCAGTGAATTTCTAACATCAAACTTCAACTACTGTAATATGCTTGTCTAGCCATCTCTTTGTTGTTGCTGTTCTACAGCTTTATTGAGATATAACTGACATACAATAAACTGGGCAAATTTAAAGTGTGCAATTTGAAGTTTCAACGTATGTATATACCTGTGAAATCATCACCACAATCAAGATGACGAACTTATCCATGATCCCAAAAAGTTTCCTTCTGCCCTTTTTAAATTCCTCCTTCCCGCCCCTCTGCTTTTGTCATTATATATTACTTTGCATTTCCTAGAATTTCATATAAATGGAATCATACAGTATCTACTCTTTGTTGTTGTCTGGCTTCTTTCACTCAGCATAATTATTTTGAAACTTATCTATGCTGTTGTGGGTATCAGTAGCTCATTTCCTTTTGTTGCTGAGTAGTATTTCATCGTATGAATGTGCTACACGTTATTGATTCACCATTCTTTGAGTTGTTTCCAGTTTTATGGCTATTACAAATAAAGTTGCTATAATTATTTGTGCACATGTCTTTCATTTCTCTTGGGCACATTTCTCGAGGTATATAACACTAGGCACGCTTTTAAAGAAACTGCCAAATCGTTTTCCAAAAGGGTTGTACCTTTTACATTCCCACTAGCAATGTATGAAGGTTCTCATTTCTCCACATCCTTCTCAATACTTGTTACTGTACATCTTTTATATTATAGCCATTCTAGTGGGTGTGAAATCTTATTATGGTTTTTTGACTTAAATTTCCCTAATGATTAATGATATTGAGCTTTTTTTTCATGAGCTTGATTATTATCTACATATTTTTGGTAAAGTGTCTGTTGAAATATTTTGCCCATTTTCCATTGAGTTGTTTGGGTTTCACTGAGTTCATTGGGTTCATTTCATATTCTAAATGCAAGTTTTATTATATATGTTCTTTGCAAATATTTTCTCCCACTGTGCAGATTGTCTTTCCATTTTAGTAACAGTGTCTTTTGAAGACCAGACATTTTAAAATTTTGCTGTGGTAAATAAACATTATCAGTTTTTTCTTTTATGGTTCTGCTTTTAATGTCATATCTAAGAAATCATTACTTAATCCAGATTACAAAAATATTCTATTTTTTTCTAGAAGTTTTATAGTTTTGCATTTTTACATTTAGGCTTATGATCCATTTGAGTTAACTTTTGTATATTGTGATCAAGGTGTTTTTTTTTTCTTTTTTATCTTTTTTTTTTTTTTGCATGTAGATGTACAGTTGCTCTAACACTGTTTGTTAAGAGCACTATCCTTTTTCCATTTAATTGCCTTAGCACCTTTGTTCAAATCAATTGACCACATATATAATCGTCTGTATCTGGGTTTCTATTGTGTTTGACTGATTTATTTATCTGCCTTTTTTTTTTTCTTTTTCTTTTTTTGAGATGGAGTCTAACTCTGTTGCCCAGGCTGGAGTGCAGTGGCACGATCTTGGCTCACGGCAACCTTCGCCTCCTGGGTTCAAGCAATTCTACTGCCTCAGCCTCCCTTATCCATCTTTAGACTAATACCAAACTGATTTGGTTACAGTAGCTTTATACGTTTTGAAATCACGTAGTCAAATTCTTGAGCTTTGCTCTTCTTATTCAAAATTGTTTTCATTGTGTTAGGTTCTTTGAATTTCCATATACATTTCAGAATTCACTTGTAAATGTAGACAAAAAGCCAGTGGGGTATTTGATTGGGGTTACATTGAGTCTATAGATCAACTTATAGAGAATTGATATCTTAACAACATTGGGTCTTCTGATGCATGAACATGACATATTATTTCATTTATTTTGGTTAATGGTTCTCCGCTAAGGGCAATTGTGCATCACAAGGGACATTTGACAGTATCTAGACACAAACAACTAGAGCATCAGAGCCCTTTTGCTGTACCCACAGTCTTGTATTTACAGTCTATACTTCCATTCTTTCAGGAGGTTTGCTCCCAGAACTGGTGATATAAAGAAGGAAAGTAGCAGTATGAGCACTTTGAGGGCTAAGCAATGGGATAATATCTTTCTAAGGGAACAGTTAAATCAACTTCATTTGGTCTTCCATGGACATGAGTTTCAAGTGGCTTTCTGGCCTTTCTTCTGTTGGCCTCTTCGCTATTATGTGAAGACTTCATTTATACTCAATCTAATTCAGCTACCATGGGCCATATCACCAGTGCCCATTGTGTTCTATGCATCCTAATATTTTCATTAATCTGAAGGGGAGAGGGTTTTAACTTTGAAGGATACTCAAGAGGACTTTCTTATGAACTCAGATGGAAAGTGTCCTGAAATTTGTCCTTTTAAAAATATCTGTGCATTTTTTTGTGCTATGACATTCTTACATGTATCATTCTGTGATCAAATCTCCAGCTTACTATAAATGATACCTACATTCTAAAGAGCCAATTCTAGTTGTACCAGCATGGCCTTAGAGAAAAGTAAGGGAATACAATTTTTATTTATCTTCTATTTGGTTGGAGTTAAGTATTTAAAACAGTAAGGTAGATCTCAGATCCACCACCATTAAAAATAAATAAATAAATAAATAAATAAAATAGTAAAGTAGAAAGAAGAGACAAAGATCCAAACCTTTCAAAATGAAAAATGAATTTTAAATATAAGGTTATATTTTATTACCTACTGCTGAGACCATCATTGCATAAATGAATAAATAGAACTAAATAGTCCAGTCACAGTGGCTCACGCCTGTAATCCCAGCACTTTTGGAGGCCGAGGCACGCAGATCACGAGGTCAGGAGACAGAGACCATCCTGGCCAACATGGTGAAACCCTGTCTCTGTTAAAAATACAAAAGTTAGCTGGGCGTGGTGGCATGCGCCTGTAATCCCAGCTACTCGGGAGGCTGAGGCAGGAGAATCGCTTGAACCAGGGAGGCAGAGGTTGCAGTGAGCCAAGATCACACCACTGCACTCCAGCCTGGTGACACAGCGAGACTCTGTCTCAAAAAAAAAAAAAAGAACTAAATAAACTCTTCTTCCCCCACAAATTTACCAGTTTAGCCATTTTAAGTGTACAGGTCAGTAGTTGCATTAAGTACATTCACATTATTATGCAACAAGTACCACCATCCATCTCCAAAATTTTCTCTTTTTCCAAAACTGAAACTCTGTATCCATTAAACAGTAGCTACCCATTCTCCCTCCCCTACCTCCTGGTAACCACTATTCTACTTTCTGGCTCAATGAATTTGACTACTCTAGCCACCTTTTATAAGTGGGATCATATATTTGTTGTTTTGTCTCCAGCCTATTTCACTTGGCATAATCTCTTTTAGGGTCATCCGTGTTGTAGCATGTGTTGTAATTACGTACTTTTTTGTGTGTGAGATAGTCTTACTCTATCATTCAGGCTGGAGTGCACTGGCACAATCATGGTTCAATGCAGCTTTGACCTCCTGGGCTCAATCGATCCTCCCACATTGGCCTCCCAAATGGCTGGGATTACAAGCAATTTTTTTGATATTTTTGTAGAGATGGGGTCTCAGTTTGTTGCTCAGGCTTATAATGATGTACCTTTTAAAAGGCCAAATCATATTCCATTGTATGTTTATACAACATTTTATTAATCCATTCATCTGTTAATGGAAATTTCAGTTGTTTCCACCTTTTGCCACTGTGAATAATGCTGCAACAGATATGGATGTACAGATGTCTCTTTGTGTCCCTGTTTGCAATGCTTTTGGGTTGCAAAAGAAGAGGGATTTTTGCATATATGGTAATTCTATATTTAATTTTTTGGAACGACCATACTGTTCTCTACAGCAGCTGCACCATTTTACATTTCCATCAACAGTGTACAAGGGTTTCAGTTTCCCCATATCTTCATGAACACTGATATTTTCTGTTTTTGTTTTTTAAAATAATTGACATCCTAATGGGTATAAAGTGAAATATCATTGTGGTTTTGATTTGCATTTCCTTACTGATTAGTGATGTAAAAGATATTTTTAAAGTTTCATATTTACTGACATATTTACCATTTCCAATATTCTTCATTATTTTCATCTGGTATCATTTTCCTTCTGCCTGAAAGAATTTCTTTAATCCTTCTTATTCTTGTGCAGATTTGCTGGTGGGAAAATTCTTTCAGCTTTTGTATGTGAAAAAGTCTTTATTTCACCTTCATGTTTGAAAGATATTCTTGCTGGTTATCAGGACTGACTACATACTTTGTGGGGCTCAATGCAAAATAAAAATGTAGACCCCTCTGTTCAAATATTATTAAGAATTTCAAGTCATCAACAACAGAGCATTAAACCAAGCCCGTCCTTCTGAGTGCAAAGCCCTGTGTGACTACACGGGTTGTATGCACAAGAAACCTACTCTGCTGGTTGTAGAATTCCAGGTGACTGCTCTTTTTTTCCTTCAGCTCTTTAAAGATGTTGCTCTGTTGTCTTTTTTTTTTTTTCTGAGATGGAGTTTCGCTCTTGTTGCCCAGGCTAGAGTGCAATGATGCCATCTCGGCTCACCGCAACCTCGACCTCCCGGGTTCAAGTGATTCTCCTGCCTCAGCCTCCTGAGTAGCTGGGATTACAGGCATACGTCACCATGCCCAGCCAATTTTGTATTTTTAGTAGAGATGGGGTTTCTCCATGTTGGTCAGGCTGGTCTCGAACTGCTGACCTCAGGTGATCTGCCCTCCTCAGCCTCCCAAAGTGCTGGAATTACAGGCACGAGTCACTGCGCCTGGCTTCTCTGTTGTCTTTTAATTTTCAAGTTATGCTCTCATTCTTATCCTTGTTTCTCTCTATATAATGTTCTTTTTTCTCCTGAATACTTATAAATTTTTCTCTTTATCACTGATCTTAAGCAATTTGATTAAAATGTGCCTAGGTGTGGTTACTTTCATGTTTCTCGTGCTTTGGATTTGTTACACTTACCGGATCTGTGTGTTTACAGTTTTCATTATACTTGGACAATTTTCAGCCATTATTTTTTCAAAAATTTTTGTTGCCCTCTATAACTCCTTTCCTTTAGGGACTTCAGTTACATATATATTAGGTCATTTAAATTTTTCCCATTGATCACTGATGCTCTGTTCACTTTTTGTTTTCTTTTCCTTGTTTTATTTTTGGATCATTTTCATTGCTATGTCTTTAAGTTCACTAACTTTTTCTTCTACAGTGTCTAATCTGTTGTTAATTCCATCCAGTGTATTCTTCATCTCAGATATTGTCTTTTTCATCTCTAGAAGTTTGTAACTTTCATGTATTAATTTTTTTTCTTTTTTTTTGAGATGGAGTTTCACTCTTGTCAATGTTACGGTCTCAGCTCCTTGCAACCTGCAATCTCTGCCTCCCGGGTACAAGCAATTCTCCTGTCTCAGCCTCCTGAGTAGCTGGGATTACAGGCACCCACCACCACGCCTGGCTAATTTTTGTATTTTTAGTAGAGATGGGGTTTCACCATGTTGGCCAGGGTGGTCTCAAACTTCTGACCTCAGGTGATCTGCCCACCTCCTCCCAAAGTGCTGGGATTACAGGCGTGAGGCACTGTGCCCCGCCCATGTATTAATATTTTACTTCATTTTATCAATCTTTGTTCTACTTTCTTGAACATTTAAAATACTATAATAACAATTCTAACATTTGTTCAGTTCTGAGTATGTTTCTGGTAATTGATTTTTCTCTTCATTTTAAGTACTGTTTCCTGCTTCTTTGCACACCTGGCAATACTTTGATTTGATACCACACATTAAACATTTTACATATTGGGTGTTAGATAGTTTTGCATTCCCATAAACATTATTGAGCTTTATTCTGGGTCACAGTTAAGTTAGTTGGAAACAGATCCTTCTTGATCTTAAGCTTCATTATGGGGAACCCAAGCAACTTTTTAAAGATGATTAATTTTCCCCATTACTTGGGTGATACCCTTCTAAGTACTCTAGCCAATATCCTGTTAATTATGAGGCTTTTCCCACTTTAGTAGATGATGAAACAAACTACTTCCAGCCTTGTATGAGCCAAGAGGATTGTTTAATCTGATTCTCTTGTGTGGTTCTTACCCCAACCTTGGTAGTTTCCTGATATACCGATCAGTATTCAGCTGAATATTTAAGGAGACTCTCCACAGATCTCTGGAATTTTCTATTCTTTCTGGTACTCTTCCCCATGAACTCTACCTGCCTTGGCCTTCTCAAATCTCTGCATGATCTCTTCAACTCAGGCAGATCACCAGGCTCTGCCTGGATTCCCTCTCTGTGAGCTCTGGGGCAGTTAAGTAGGACAGTTGTATGGCTTACTTTGCTTGTTTCTCTCTTCTCTTGGATAACTTTCCTATGTTGTCTGATATCCAGTGTCTGAAAATAATTATTTTATATATCTTGTCCTATTTTTTAGTAATTTCTGTCAGGGGTGAAGGGGAATGAATACCAACCCTATTACCGCATGCTGTCTGGAAGTAGAAGTGTCTTTCTAGCCACGTTATAAATTAGTAGTTTTCAACCCTGACTACATATTAGAATTATTTGGGGGAGGTCTTTAAAAAGCTGATGTAAGGCTTCATTCCAGACCAATTAAATCAGACTTTTTCAGATTGAGGTCTTAGCATCAGTGTTCTTTAAATGCACTACAAGTTTTCTCATGTATACCAGGGTTAAAGAACCTCCATATTAAAGAAAAGGTTGCATTTATAGATCATTCTGAGAAACTTTTGTATTCTGTCATTTCAGCTAAGACACAGAGGCGGTTGGCTTTTATTTTTGTAGACAGTGTGGAATTATAGAAGCTTTTAAAGAAGAGTCTGGCAGACATAGATCTTTGTTTTAGAGTTGTAAGTGTGGCAATCGTGTGAGAGATGGGCTTAAGTGGATTGAGTGAAGATCACTGAGAAACTGTTGCAAGTGGTTCACGGCCAAAGGTAATAAGGGCCTGAACACAGGCACTGGTATTGGGAATGGCGAGGAAGAGATAGGTTGGAGAATTTGAGTTAGAACTGATAGGATTTTTTGATTAATTGAGTGTGGGAAATGAGGGAGATGGTGGAAACAAATGTTATTCTCCAGTTTATTACTCTAGACAAGTAAACTCTGTCTAAACAAATTCCTAGGCCAGTCAGAGAGTAAATAGTAATTTCATTAACTGAGATAGATAATATGGTATGAGAAGCAGATGTCAGGAAAAGGAGAGAATTAATTTAGTTTGGGATATCCAAAAGGATATCTCATGGAACTGTCTCCTGACCTCTAGTTTATTCTGAATCATAGGACAGAGAAGACATTTAAAAGCATATCTTTTTAGTATGCTGTATAATTTTGAACAGATTTATCTTTCTTCTTTTATTTGACTTAATATTGAAATCTGTTTATATCTTTTTTTTTTTTTTTTTTTTTTTGAGGCGGAGTCCTGCTCTGTTTCCCAGGCTGGCGTGCAGCGGCGCGATCTGGCTCACTGCAAGCTCCGCCTCCTGGGTTCACGCCACTCTCCTGCCTCAGCCTCCCGAATAGCTGAGACTACAGGCGCCCGCCACCACACCCGGCTAATTTTTTGTATTTTTTAGTAGAGATGGGGTTTCACCGTGTTAACCAGGATGGTCTCCATCTCCTGACCTCGTGATCCGCCCGCCTCGGCCTCCCAAAGTGCTGGGATTACAGGTGTGAGCCACTGAGCTCGGCCGAAATCTGTTTATATCTCTTAAACAAACATCAGTTAATACTGCAAGAAAGTAGATGTTGGCCGTGCGCGGTTGCTCACGCCTGTAATCCCAGCACTTTGGGAGGCCTAGCGGGGCAGATCACCTGAAGTCAGGAGTTTGAGACCAGCCTGGCCAAAATGGTGAAACCCCCTCTCTACTAAAAATACAAAAAATTAGCCAGGCGTGGTGGCAGGCGCCTGTAATCCCAGCTACTCAGGAGGCTGAGGCAGGAGAATCACTTGAACCCAGGAGGCGTAGGTTGCAGTGAGCCAGATCGCGCCACTGCACTCCAGCCTGGAAACTCCATCTCAAAAAAAAAAAAAAAAAAAAAAAAGAAAGAAAGTAGTTGTCTTCTAGATGACAAAATGTCAAGTCAGAGATTATTGCAGACTTTTGTTTTGTTTTGGGTTTTTGACTGTGGGTGTGTCCATTCCTCCCTTCTTTGGACAATAGCCCTACTTTTTTTGGGGGGGGGGGTGGCTAGAATTGTCTTCTTTGCCATGGTTTATAGTCTTGGTGGGAAGTTTGTTTAAGGTATCCCGAGCTAAATGATAATCTTGAGACCCACACGAGGATGATCTGATTTTTTATTTATTTATTTATTTATTTATTTTTGAGGCGGAGTCTCGCTGTTACCCAGGCTGGAGTGCAGTGGGGCGATCTCGGCTCACTGCAGGCTCCGCCCCCTGGGGTTCACGCCATTGTCTTGCCTCAGCCTCCAGAGTAACTGGGATTACAGGCACCCGACACCTCGCCCGGCTAATTTTTCGTATTTTTAGTAGAGACGGGGTTTCACCGTGTTAGCCAGGATGGTCTCGATCTCCTGACCTCGTGATCCGCCCGCCTCGGCCTCCCAATGATCTGATTTTTTGAGCATTGCATCATCAGTGGAACAACATGAGAGTAGAAAAAAGTGGCCAGAACCAATCGGCCCCTTCTTGCTACCTAGATCCTAATTGCTTCCCCTGTTCCTGCCGCTCCCTATTCCTGCCCCTTCTGAGCCTGTTCTTTTGAGTCTTCAACTGTTCCTTTGATTCTGTGGGTCTCCTCTTCCAGTAAATCCTATTTTAAAAAATAGTATAGCTGGAGTCTGTTCACTGATCTTTCCAAAAGGTATATATGGAATGGCAGGCACAATACTAGGTGCTAGAATAAAATGAGGAACAAGATTATTGGATAAAGGCTCAGTGAGGACGTAGACAGAAAACAAATAAATAAATATACAAATAAAGTGATTTCTGATATTAATAAAGTTTATTTTAAAAAAACTTCGTTAGAGAGGAATTAAAGCAGGAGGTGAAAGAACTGCAAAACCCCTAAGGTAGAAATAAGCTTAGTGTGTTTGAGGAAGAAAATGGCCAGTGCAGCTGGAGCATAATAAATAAGAGGAGGGGGCAGAGGTGAACCTGAGCCAGGTCACCTGAGACCTCATAGGCCGTGGTAAGAAGTGGATGTTATTCTAAGGACATGGGGAAGCCAATGAAGATTTAAAACAGGAACATCATATGATCTGAAAAATATTAAAAAGTCACTTTGCTATTGGAAAACAGACCTTAGGAGGCCAAGAGTGGAAGGAAGGGAGCTGCTTTGCTGGCTATTGCAGTAAGTAACACCAATGTGAGATCATAGCGATTTACATCATGGCGGTAGCAGCGGGGCTGGTAAGAAGAGAAGGACTGAGCCTTCTAGCAGATAACTTGGTACCCTGCAGATCCCGAAAACAAAACCAACAAAGAAGATAACTGGGGGATAAAAAGAGACAACTTCATGGTTGGAGTCTTTATATTAAGTTTTGTTTGAAGCCTCTGTTTGAGGTTTTTTGCTTCACCCTGGTGGAGGTTTTCTCCCCAGTCATTATGAGGGTGGGAGTTAGATGGTGGGACAAAGAGATAGAGGTCACTCAAATGAAAAGGACCCTGGATAGTATTAGGAATATCTTCACACAGGGTTGCATATGGTGACCAAATGGTGGTAGCGCCCACGGTGGGAGGGGTAGCAGACATGGTGATGGTATTTCCCTAGAACAGGGGTCCCCAGCCCCCAGAGCATGGACTGGTACTGGTCCTGGCCTGTTAGGACCCCGGCTGCATAGCAGGAGGTGAGTGGCAGGCCAGCGAGCATTACCCCTGAGCTCCACCTCCTGTCGATCAGCAGACCAGCAGCTGCATTCAATTCTCATAGGAACGGGAACCCTATTGTGAACTGGGCATATGAAGGATCTAGGTTGCCTGCTTCTTATGAGGATCTAATACCTGATGATCATTCCAAATCCATCCCCCACCCTGTCCATGGAAAAGTTGTCTTCCTTGAAAATGGTTCCTGGTACCAAAAGGGTTGGAGACCACTGCCCTAGGACACTTTAACCTCTTCATGAAGTTGCCTGTTCTCTTAGATTTATTTGCTAGAGCAGCCTCATAACTATAGGTGATTCATACTAGGTCTCACAGGAGTTCCAAACAGAATTCTGTAATGATTTTATATTGTGAAACCTGACATCTCATGGCAGCAACATTATCATTATCACCATAATTACATATATAATTACATGATTAATATTTATTGAGTAAATGATAAATGCTAGGCCCTATCTTAAACATTTCATAAGAATAATATTATTTAATTCTCACTATAATTCTGTGAGAAAGATGCTATCGTGATCCCGTTTTATAGAGAGGTTAAGTAATTTGACAAGATCACACAGTTATGAAATGGTAGAAGTTGTGTTTAATTGGCAGGTGTTGATTTTCTGTTTCATGTGTATTAGAGTAATTGTTTTTGTGCATCTTGTATGTTTTTAAAATTTTTTCCTAGGTTTGCTTTTTGTTAAAAAGTAAACCAAAACAAAACAAATGAAGACTGTAAAACGAAAACCTTTGGTAGAACTTGGGCAAAAATGGTCTGGTCTTCAAGTTAGCATACCAAGTATGAAAATGTCATCTGTTTAAAAATACTAAGCTGCATGATTAAAATTTGACCTTGTGAAAATTTGCTTTCTAATTTATATGGCACACCACCTGAAGGCCAGCACAGAGAAATATATGACCTGTTTAAAACGAAAGGAAGTGTACCTGGGCACGACCAAGAATCTATCAAAAAAGCATCAGAAAGCTCCATATTAAGGTTAATAAAAATAGGTGAACCGCACATTTCAAAGGAGAATCTGGGACACTATTCAAATAACAAAGACTTAAAGCAGGCTGGGTTCACTGCCCAGAATAATAGGCACATGCATTTACAGAATGGGGGGATTTTGTCCACTGTACGCATGCTCATTCACACTCACATCTAACCCTACAACACCAGCTCCGAGAAAGTGGATGCAATGAAGGAAATGTTAACATGAGCGGTGACCCTAGTGTACAAACAATATCAAATTTTAGATTCTTTTTGTTTCCATGATAGTCTAATCTGTATTATCTTTTGGCTATATCAACCTTGACTTTGAAATCTCCAAATAAACATTTCAACCAAAATGTACGGCTGTATTGTAATTTCAGCAAGAAGGGTTTTCATTGTTTGCACATATCTTCAAAAAGAAAAAAAAGTGTGCTTGGTAGTAATCAAAAGCACATTCTCGAGTGAGCATGCTTTGGTGGTATATTCTACAGACTGGGAAAGGTCCTACTTATCACTCTCAAATTTTCAGCATACATCTAGTTTCCTGATGTGCAGCGTTAAAAAACTGCTCTGACTTCTTTGTCTTTCTTTACTGTAGAGAGAATAATAGCTTCTTTGTGAATGGGAGAGCTGGGTCTCTAACTCCACAGAATGACCTTGGATTGGGGAAAGGTTCAGAAGTCTGTGTGTTTGTTACTATTACTATTGCTGCATAGCAAATCACCTCAGTGGCTGAAAACTGCAAGTATTTAGTACTCACAGTTTTGGAGGGTCAGAAATCTGGGAGCAGCTTAGCTGGTTAGAATTGCCTCAAGTTCTCTCATGAGGTTGCAGTCAAGCACTCAGCTGGGGCTGCTGTCATCTCAAGACTCGACAGGGGCTGAAAGGTCCGTTTTCAGACTCACGCACACGGTATTTGGCAGGCTTTAGTTCCTGTCCACACAATAGGTCTGCTTATAACACGGTAGCTTAGTTCCCCCAGCACAACTGATCTAAAAGAAAGAGAGCATGCATACTCCAAATGGAAGCCACAGTTGTTTTTGCTTTTTAAAAAATAATCTAATCTCGGAAGCAACATTCCATCACTGCTGCCCTACTGTATTCATTACAAATGAGTACTAGATCCATCCCAGACTCAAGGCGAGGGAATTACACAAGGGTTTGATGACCAGGGATCACTGGGGACCAACTTAGAGACTGCCTATTACAGTCTGCATCCATTACCTGAGCTCCTGGACACCAGAGGAGCAGCAGAATTAGTTCTCTCTTTCTTCTTCTGGAACAAGACTAGTACAAACTAAGCACAAAAGGGAAGGGGGAGTATAACCAGAGCTGAGGCTGAAGACTATGCCAAGCTATGTAAGCCTTATTAAAGATTTTTGTCTATATCCTCAGAACAATAACAAACTCAGACTCTGCTTGCCTCAGTCATCCCTTCAACCACCGCTGGAAGACATTGCTGGCAGTGACTGGCCCTGGGGACTTCAGTGTCTTCTTGCGTGCCTTAAAGGCTAAGGTTCACATCTATGGCTCCAGTGTCCTACCCGAGGGTAGGTTAAAAGAATGACATGGGTGACTCAAGACTAGAGAAGTGCCTGGCCCTGTGAGGCAGACATATTAATAGTTTGAGAGGCAAGAAGTCGGGTCCCAGGTTCCCACCATGAGGAACTAGGAAGCCATAGAAGGAAGATGCAAATGCCACACACCTGCAGGTGCCTGGCGGGTAGCATAAATAAGTGAACCTGCTTAGGTGTAAGGGCATAGGGAATAGTGTTGGTGACTGTGACTGTGACTTTCTGGACCATTGACCAAACAAAATACATCAGTGAAGGCAAGTCTCTAGGATAGTACCACCAGCAGGGGGCACCTGCAGATGGTTTTCATTGTCACAAAATTAGGTTTGGTACTTGGGGATGAGCAGCTATTCACAGTAGAGAAGCTCCAGTTTGAAGTATCCTACACTACTTGAATTCACTACAGGCTGCATGGAGGAAGCAGCATGGCCACTTTGATTTCCAGAACTACCCGTACACAATGTGAAAAGAAGAATAGAGGTGAGGTGGATTTGGTTTTGGAGGTGAGTGAGCAGGTGCCTCCAAATAAGAGTTGGGGCTCAAGGTTTTCTTTAAAAAGATAGACTCTTGAAAAATTGCACTCTAGTTACATTAGTGCCAACTCATGAGGTCACCTGTTCTTTTTTCCCTCTCCCATTATCTCCCCTTTCTACCCCATTCTACCCTCTCCCTGATGCCCTATACATCACAGAAACTTGCCCTTGAGATGTAAGACTGTTTGGAAGGAGGTTGGAAGAGCTGGCCTTGGCTCAGAGAGTTGCTTTTACCTTGTGGTATCTTAAAGGTGCCACCTGATGTCCAACCATTCATAACAGACAGAGAGCTGTTGCCAACAAGGTCAGCAGAACATAGCACTAGAGAGCACCAGAGGAGACACCTAAAGATGTGGCTTTTGGCACATCATCTGGGGATGAACAAGTTGGGCCTGGACTAGGACGAAGCAAGTAAGACACTCCCTGAATCATGAAAATGCAGGGTCAGATCCTGTCTTTATTTAAAGTTTTGATATTTTGTTCATTGTGGATTTTTTTTGCATTACTATTTTTCTAAAATATTGCATTAAAATATGATTTATCTTGATTACCAAGATTTTGGCACGCTTTAAACTTCGCACCTCAGGTGAGTGCCTTGCTCCTCTCATCCTAGTTCCAGCCCTGAATACCTTAACAGTTGAATCAAAGTTTGAACCAATTGATCTGGTCCATCAGCACCAGACCCTTCTGGTTTGGATTTTTTTTTCCCTCCCTCTATCTCCTAAGAATGTACCGAAGCCAGCAAATAAAGGATGCAATAATTCTCTTCTGTATACCACAAGCTCTGAGCCTGGGCCAGCTTGGGTATTTCTGTACCTCTCTGTCTGTTATTATTATATCACACGCATAGCCTAAAACTGGGATACTTTTATCTGAATAAAAGATTATTCTGGTCGAAAGGAATTGTGATGGTTAATGTTGGATGTGCTTGTTCTTTTACCAAACTGATATAATGTTTTGTTTTGGTTTTTGAGACGGCGTCTGGCTCTTTCACCCAGGCTGGAGCGCAGTGGCACAGTCTCCACTCACTGTGACCTCTGCCTCCCAGGCTCAAGCCACTTTCCTACCTCAGCCTCCTGAGTAGCTGGGACTACAGATGTGCACCAGCACGCCTGGCTAATTTTTGTTGTATTTTTTGTAGAGATGGGTTTCACATGTTGCCCAGGCTGGTCTCGAACTACTGTGCTCAAGCCATCTGCCTGCCTCACCTCTGACAGTGCTGGGATTACAGGCATGAGGCGTGGCACCCTACCCCTATGGCATTAACTCCTAAAGCCACTTGAACTTTGCAAAGATAAAGGACTGTTGAGTTTTGCTCACCTTTTGTCCAGAATTGCCAGATATTTGATACGGTACTCAACAGCTCAGTATTTTGACATTTTATATGCTAAAATAAAAATGAAAACAAAAGCGAATACAGAACATGAGATTTTTCTCATTAAAATTTCTTCCTCGTGTGAAGCTTTCTGAGGCTGTATCTTGATATTTTTGAACCTTTGCCAGCTGGAAGAAAGGACAAAACAGCTGTTCTAAACTGCCAAGAAATTGGCTGGTGCATAGAAGAGGGAATTTGTCTTTGTTGTATATTTTGCCTTTGTCCTGGGAGTGATTATTTTGATCAGCACTTTTGGTTGTACAGATGTGAGCCAAATATCTAGCAGAGGGTAGCTCCTGATTTTAGTTAAGTAATTCACTGCTGAGACTTCAGATTATGATGTAAAGTGTTCTGCTTAATAGTGATAAAAGCTGACCTGAAAAGGGTGTTATATTCTTTTTTTTTTTTTTTTTTTTGAGACAGAGTCTCACTCTGTCACCCAGGCTGTAGTGCAATGGGACGATCTCAGCTCACTGCAAGCTCTGCCTCCCGGATTCACGCCATTCTCCTGCCTCAGCCTCCCGAGTAGCTGGGACCACAGGCACCCGCCACCACGTCCAGCTAATTTTTTGTATTTTTAGTAGAGATGGGGTTTCACCGTGTTAGCCAGGATGGTCTCGATCTCCTGACCTTGTGATCCCCCCGCCTTGGCCTCCCAAAGTGCTGGGATTATAGGCGTGAGCCACCATGCCCGGCCAAGGGTGTTATATTCTTTTACATAATACAGTTATGCAACGATTTTAAATATTCTTCGGAGATACACATTAAATATTTAGGGGTGAAGAATCTACATCTTACTCTCAAATGGTTCATCAAAATAATACTAATGTTTGTGTCTGTGTGCTTGTGTGTGTGTGTGTGTGTGTGTAAAGAGAGAAAACAAATGTGGCAAAATGTGAACGATCTATGAAGCAATTGAAAGATTTACAGGACTTTATTGTGCTAGTTTTACAACTTTACTATATGTTGAAAATTTTAAATTTTTCAAGCTGGAAAGTTAAAAAAATCAGTGTTACTTTTCACTCATATGTGTGTATGAGTGAAAGTTATTATATATGGCTTCAGGGACCAGCTAGTAGATGGCATGATACAAGAAACAAAGGCAAGGACCATGGATATATATGGCTATCTTGTCCTTAGAGGTATTTTTTCTTTTTTTTAAGAGACAGGGTCTTGCTCACTGTCACCCAGGCTGGAGTGCAGTGGTGTGATTACAGTTCACTGTAGGCTCAACTCCTGGGCTCAAGTGATCCTCCCACCTCAGCCTCCAGAGTAACTGGGACTAGTGGTTTGCACTACCATCCCTAGATAATTTTTAAATTTTTTTTTGTAGAGACAAGATCTCGCTATGTTGCACAGGCTGGTTTCGAACTCCTGGCCTTAAGTGATCCTCCTGCCTCAGCCTCCTGAAGTGTTGAAATTATAGGCATGAGCCACTGAACGTGGCAGCAATATTTTTTTTTTCTAATTCAGAATCCAATCCAAGATCTGAACTAGGATCATGCATTCCATTTAGTTATTGTTATCACTATGGATTTTTAAAGCAGTCTGGATTGATTGACACATGCTCCTTTGACTTGTACTGGAACTACTTGCCCCATCCTGGAAAATGACTCGGATTTTAGCGATGGTGTGATTGTCATGAATGCCTTGAAAGCTATTTATGAATTTATTCCAGTATTGTTTCTGGTCCCAGAAATGTATTTATTGACCCCAACATCAGTCCCTTCAATTTTTGAGATCTGATATCTATGTTCAAATCAAGGAGAATTATTCATGTAATTCACACAAGTCTTCCCTCACTATTCCAACCCCCTTTCCAGAAATTTACATACCATATTTCTTGCATGATTTCCCCTCTCCCAACGTCAGATACAGATAAATAGTGGGTGTTGAAAGGATAAAGGGGATTGTGTGAGTAAATTACCACCAGCTATCTGAAGGCTTGGTTGTAATTTCTTTCCTTGAGGTTTGAGGTTTTTGTTATGGCTGACAGACAAGGCTAACCATTGAAAGGGATGGATCTGAATAAACACACACACACGGTTCACAGTAATCATTTATTGAATGAATGAATGAATGAACGAATGAATGAGATAATGCATCAGAAATACTGTGTACATTTTAAGGCATTGTCCCAGTTGTCTATTCCTGCATAAACACACACACACACACACACTCACACACACACACTTCCTCAAGACAGATACAAGATGGGGGAAATGTCCACCTTTTCTGCTCCCTAGACCTCCAGCCAGCAAGTGAGGAAATCCACTTATTCAGCTTCCTTGCCAATGCTTTGGTCTCACATGATAAATCAGAAAGATGAGAAATGGAAAATCTGGGTCACTGGCCTAGCCCTAGGGAGCACTTTGGAGCAGAACTGAAATTAAAATTCATGACTTCTACACAGTATTGGAGTCCTGCCTGGTATGCAAACATTAATGAAAAATAGCTATGATTTATAGAATGCTTAAAATGTGCTAGACAATGAATTAAAAACTTTTCATATATTAGCTCATTTTGTTCTTACAGTGGCCCTATTAGGTAGTTATTATCATTAACCTTGTTTTACAAATGAGGAAGCTAAAGCACAGAGTTTAAGTCATGTCCAAAATTGCATGGTTGGAAATTGACAGAGGAGGAGGATTGGAACCCATGTCCCTGACTGTAGAGCCAGTAATCTTAACTGCTCTGTTGTAATGCCTGCCAGCAACCTCAGCTGCGCTGCACCGCTCTTTCAGATGAATGGGACCTTAGGCACTCACTCACAGGAGACAGGGAATATTTTTCCTTCTACCAGAGAAAAATAAAATTGTTTTCATCAATACTGTTTTTAAGTTAATTTTTTAATTGACAAATAGTAATTGCATATATTTATGGGGTACAATGTTTTGATATATGCATATACTGTGGAATGATGAAAACAAGCTAATAATATTTTTTAATTTTAAATAAAAGCACTGTATTTTGCAATCCCAATGTATGATAAAATTTTATATTGCTAGCATACTTCAGTACTCTACTCAGATGCTACCTTCTTTAGAAAAACTTCTCTGGTGGAATTTAATTAATCACTCCCTCCTTCATGTTCTGCTTGGTGTAGCACTTTACCCGATCTGGTTTGTATTATGGTTTGATGAATGCTTGCCTGGCTTTCCACACTAGATTTTAACACTGGATTTCTACACTAGATTTTAGCAATGCCTAGCACATGCTCTGTGTTTGTTTAATTAAATGAATGAAGGTAACCACACTGTCCTTGAGTTTTACCAACTGTGGAAATAAAATTAAGTCCCGTGAGCATTAGCTGCCTCTGAACTCCTACCTGTTCACTTAGGAAATTAAGTCCCTTACAAATTCCCCTGTACCCCACAAATACTTCTGCTTTTTCCAAGAATTGTTTTCTCTTCTAAACTGCTCCTGGTCCTGATTTTGGTTGTTCCGAGTCACAGCTGGCACTTTGCCTACTATGTATAGTCTTCAGAGCCACACATCCTCCTCCAAACCCTCCTGCCCCATTCCACTCCAGCTACTGAAGGGCAGATCTTTTCATTCTTTTTTTTTTTTTTTATACTTTAAGTTCTAGGGTACATGTGCACAACATGCAGGTTAGTTACATATGTATACATGTGCCATGCTGGTGAGCTGCACCCATTAACTCGTTATTTACATTAGGTATATCTCCTAATGCTATCCCTCCCCCGCCCCCCAACCCCAAACAGGCCCCAGTGTGTGATGTTCCCCTTCCTGTGTCTATGTGTTCTCATTGTTCAATTCCCACCTATGAGTGAGAGCATGCAGTATTTGGTTTTTTTGTCCTTGTGATAGTTTGCTGAGAATGATGGTTTCCAGCTTCATCCATGTCCCTACAAAGGACATGAACTTATCATTTTTTATGGCTGCCTAGTATTCCATGGTGTATATGTGCTAGATTTTCTTAATCCAGTCTATTATTGATGGACATTTGACTTGGTTCCAAGTCTTTGCTATTGTGAATAGTCCCGCAATAAACATACGTGTGCATGTGTCTTTATAGCAGCATGATTTATAATCCTTTGGGTATATACCCAGTAATGGGATTGCTGGGTCAAATGGTATTTCTAGTTCTAGATCCCTGAGGAATCACCACACTGACTTCCACAATGGTTGAACTAGTTTATAGTCCCAACAATGTAAAAGTGTTCCTATTTCTCCACATCCTCTCCAGCACCTGTTTTTTCCTGACTTTTTAATGATCGCCATTCTAACTGGTGTGAGATGGTATCTCATTGTGGTTTTGATTTGCATTTCTCTGATGGCCGGTGATGATGAGCCTTTTTTCCTGTGTCTGTTGGCTGCATAAATGTCTTCTTTTGAGAAGTGTCTGCTCATATCCTTCGCCCACTTGTTGATGGGGTTGTTTGTTTTTTTCTTGTAAATTTGTTTGAGTTCATTGTAGATTCTGGATATTAGCCCTTTGTCAGATAAGTAGATTGCAAAAATTTTCTCCCATTCTGTAGGGCCTGTTCACTCTGATGGTAGTTTTCTTTGCTGTGCAGAAGCTCTTTAGTTTAATTAGATCCCATTTGTCAATTTTGGCTTTCCTTGCCATTGCTTTTGGTGTTTTAGACATGAAGTCCTTGCCCATGCCTATGTCCTGAATGGTATTGCCTAGGTTTTCTTCTAGGGTTTTTATGGTTTCAGGTCTAACATTTAAGTCTTTAATACATCTCGAATTAATTCTTGTATAAGGTGTAAGGAAGGGATCTAGTTTCAGCTTTCTACATATGGCTAGCCAGTTTTCCCAGCACCGTGTATTAAACAGGGAATCATTTCCCCATTGCTTGTTTTTATCAGGTTTGTCAAAGATCAGATGGTTATAGATATGTGGCATTATTTCTGAGGGCTCTGTTCTGTTCCATTGGTCTGTTTTGTTTACCAAAAATCTCTGTTTTGGTACCAGTACCATGCTGTTTTGGTTACTGTAGCCTTGTAGTATAGTTTGAAGTCAGGTAGCGTGATGCCTCCAGCTTTGTTCTTTTGGCTTAGGATTGACTTGGCAATGCGGGTTCTTTTTTGGTTCCATATGAACTTTAAAGTAGTTTTTTCCAATTCTGTGAAGAAAGTCACTGGTAGCTTGATGGGGATGGCATTGAATCTATAAATTACCTTGGGCAGCATGGCCATTTTCACGATATTGATTCTTCCTGTCCATGAGCATGGAATGTTCTTCCATTTCTTTGTATCCTCTTTTATTTCATTGAGCAGTGGTTTGCAGTTCTCCTTGAAGAGGTCCTTCACATCCCTTGTAAGTTGGATTCCTAGGTATTTTATTCTCTTTGAAGCAATTGTGAATGGGAGTTCACTCATGATTTGGCTGTTTGTCTTTTACTGGTGTATAAGAATGCTTGTGATTTTTGCACATTGATTTTGTATCATGAGACTTTGCTGAAGTTGCCAATCAGCTTAAGGAGATTTTGGGCTGAGATGATGGGGTTTTCTAGATATACAATCATGTCGTCTGCAAACGGACAATTTGACTTCCTCTTTTCCTAATTAAATGCCCTTTATTTCCTTCTCCTGCCTGATTGCCCTGGCCAGAACTTCCAACACTATGTTGAATAGGAGTGGTGAGAGAGGGCATCCCTGTCTTGTGCCAGTTTTCAAAGAGAATGCTTCCAGTTTTTGCCCATTCAGTATGATATTGCCTGTGGGTTTGTCATAGATAGCTCTTATTATTTTGAGATATGTCTCATCCATACCTAATTTATTGATAGTTTTTAGCATGAAGCGTTGTTGAATTTTGTCAAAGGCCTTTCTGCATCTATTGAGATAAACATATGGTTTTTGTCACTGGTTCTGTTTATATGCTGATTACGTTTATTGATTTGCATATGTTGAACCAGCCTTTGCATCCCAGGGATGAAGCCCACTTGATCATGGTGGATAAGCTTTTTGATGTGCTGCTGGATTCGGTTTGCCAGTATTTTATTGAGGATTTTTGCATCGATGTTCATCAGGGATATTGGTCTAAAATTCTCTTTTTTTTGTTGTATCTCTGCCAGGCTTTGGTATCAGGATGATGCTGGCCTCATAAAATAAGTTAGAGAGGATTCCCTCTTTTTCTATTGATTGGAATAGTTTCAGAAGGAATGGTACCAGCTCTTCCTTGTACCTCTGATAGAATTCGGCTGTGAATCCATCTGTTCCTGGACTTTTTTTGGTTGGTAAGCTGTTAATTATTGCCTCAATTTCAGAGCCTGTTATTGGTATATTCAGAGATTCAACTTCTTCCTGGTTTAGTCTTGGGAGGGTTCATGTGTCGAGGAATTTATCCATTTCTTCTAGATTTTCTAGTTTATTTGCATAGAGGTGTTTATAGTATTCTCTGATGTTAGTTTGTATTTCTGTGGGATCGGTGGTGATATCCCCTTTATCGTTTTTTATTGCATCTATTTGATTCTTCTCTCTTTTCTTCTGTATTAGTCTTGCTAGCGGTCTATCAATTTTGTTGATCCTTTCAAAAAACCAGCTCCTGGATTCATTGATTTTTTGAAGGGTTTTTTGTGTCTCTATTTCCTTCAGTTCTGCTCTGATCTTAGTTATTTCTTGCCTTCTGCTAGCTTTTGAATGTGTTTGCTCTTGCTTCTCTAGTTCTTTTAATTGTGATGTTAGGGTGTCAATTTTAGATCTTTCCTGCTTTCTCTTGTGGGCATTTAGTGCTATAAATTTTCCTCTACACACTGCTTTGAATGTGTCCCAGAGATTCTGGTACATTGTGTCTTTGTTCTCGTTGGTTTCAAAGAACATCTTCATTTCTGTCTTCATTTCATTATGTACCCAGTAGTCATTCAGGAGCAGGTTATTCAGTTTCCATGTAGTTGAGCGGTTTTGAGTGAGTTTCTTAATCCTGAGTTCTAGTTTGATTGCACTGTGGTCTGAGAGACAGTTTATTATAATTTCTGTTCTTTTACATTTGCTGAGGAGTGCTTTACTTCCAAATATGTGGTCAATTTTGGAATAAGTGCGGTGTGGTGCTGAGAAGAATGTATATTCTGTTGATTTGTGGTGGAGAGTTCTGTAGATGTCTATTAGGTCCACTTGGTGCAGAGCTGAGTTCAATTCCTGGATATCCTTGTTGAGTTTCTGTCTCGTTGATCTGTCTACTGTTGACAGTGGGGTGTTAAAGTCTCCCATTATTATTGTGTGGGAGTCTAAGTCTCTTTCTAGGTCTCTAAGGACTTGCTTTATCAATCTGGGTGCTCCTGTATTGGGTGCATATATATTTAGGATAGTTAGCTCTTCTTGTTGAATTGATCCCTTTACCATTATGTAATGGCCTTCTTTGTCTCTTTTGATCTTTGTTGGTTTAAAGTCTGTTTTATCAGAGACTAGGATTGCAACCCCTGCATTTTTTTGTTTTCCATTTTCTTGGTAGATCTTCCTCCATCCCTTTATTTTGAGCCTATGTGTGTCTCTGCATGTGAGACGGGTTTCTTGAATACAGCACACTGATGGGTCTTGACTCTTTATCCAATTTGCCATTCTGTGTCTTTTACTTGGAGCATTTAGCCCACTTACATTTAAGGTGAATATTGTTATGTTTGAATTTGATCCTGTCATTATGATGTTAGCTGGTTATTTTGCTTGTTAGTTGCTGCAGTTTCTTCCTAGCCTTGATGGTCTTTACAATTTGGCATGTTTTTGCAGTGGCTGGTACCGGTTGTTCCTTTCCATGTTTAGTGCTTCCTTCAGGAGCTCTTTTAGGGCAGGCCTGGTGGTGACAAAATCTCTCCGCATTTGCTTGTCTGTAAAGTATTTTATTTCTCCTTCACTTATGAAGCTTCATTTGGCTGGATATGATATTCTGGTTGAAAATTCTTTTCTTTAAGAATGTTGAATATTAGCCCCCACTCTCTTCTGGCTTGTAGAGTTTCTGCCAAGAGATCCGCTGTTAGTCTGATGGGCTTCCCTTTGAGGGTAACCCGACCTTTCTCTCTGGCTGCCCTTAACATTTTTTCCTTCATTTCAACTTCGGTGAATCTGACAATTATTTGTCTTGGAGTTGCTCTTCTCAAGGAGTATCTTTGTGGCATTCTCTGTATTTCCTGAATTTGAATGTTGGCCTGCCTTGCTAGATTGGGGAGGTTCTCCTGGATATTATCCTGCCGAGTGTTTTCCAACTTGGTTCCATTCTCCCCGTCACTTTCAGGTACACCAATCAGACGTAGATTTGGTCTTTTCACATAGCCCCATATTTCTTGAAGGCTTTGTTCATTTCGTTTTATTCTTTTTTCTTTAAACTTCTCTTCTTGCTTCATTTCATTCATTTCATCTTCCATCACTGATACCCTTTCTTCCAGTTGATGGAATCGGCTACTGAGGCTTGTGCATTTGTCACGTAGTTCTCGTGCCTTGGTTTTCAGCTCCATCAGGTCCTTTAAGGACTTCTCTGTATTGGTTATTCTAGTTAGCCATTCGTCTAATTTTTTTTCAAGGTTTTTAACTTCTTTGCCATGGGTTCGAACTTCCTCCTTTAGCTCAGAGTAGTTTGATCGTCTGAAGCCTTCTTCTCTCAACTTGTCAAAGTCATTCTCCATCCAGCTTTGTTCCATTGCTGGCGAGGAGCTGCATTCCTTTGGAGGAGGAAAGGCACTCTGATTTTTAGAGTTTCCAGTTTTTCTGCTCTATTTTTCCCCATCTTTGTGGTTTTATCTACCTTTGGTCTTTGATGATGGTGATGTACAGATGGGGTTTTGGTGTGGATGTCCTTTCTGTCTGTTAGTTTTCCTTCTAACAGTCAGGACCCTCAGCTGCAGGTCTGTTGGAGTTTGCTTGAGGTCACTCCAGACCTTGTTTGCCAGGGTATCAGCAGCGGAGGCTGCAGAACAGCAGATACTGGTGAGCAGCAAATGTTGCTGCCTGATCGTTCCTCTGGAAGTTTTGTCTCAGAGGAGTTCCCGGCCATGTGAGGTGTCTGTCTGCCCCTACTGGAGGGGGGGCCTCCCAGTTAGGCTACTTGGGAGTCAGGGACCAACCTAAGGAGGCAGTCTGTCCATTCTCAGATCTCAAGCTGTGTGCTGGGAGAACCACTACTCTCTTCAAAGCTGTCAGACAGGGACATTTAAGTCTGCAGAGGATTCTGCTGCCTTTTGTTTGACTATTCCCTGCCCCCAGAGGTGCAGTCTACAGAGGCAGGCAGGCCTCCTTGAGCTGCAGTGGGCTCCACCCAGTTCGAGCTTCCAGGCTGCTTTGTTTACCTACTCCAGCCTCGGCAATGGCAGGCGCCCCTCCCCCAGCCTCGCTGCCGCCTTGCAGTTCGATCTCAGTCTGCTGTGCCAGCAATGAGGGAGGCTCTATGGGCGTAGGACCCCCCGAGCCATGCACGGGATATAATCTCCTGGTGTGCCGTTTGCTAAGACTGTTGGAAAAGTGCATTATTAGGGTGGGAGTGACCCGATTTTCCAGGTGCCATCTGTCACCCCTTTCTTTGACTAGGAAAGGGAATTCCCTGACCTCTTGTGCCTCCCGGGTGAGGTGATGCTTCGCCCTCCTTTGGCTCATGCTGGGTGCAGTGCACCCACTGCCCTGCACCCACTTTCTGACACTCCCCAGTACCTCAGTTGGCAAGGCAGAAATCACCCGTCTTCTGCATCGCTCACGCTGGGAGCTCTAGACTGGAGCTGTTCCTATTTGGCCACCTTGGCTCCACCTCAGATCTTTTCATTCTTGTATATACAACAGTTTACTTGGACAGCCTGGGTAGTCAGGAACATCCATCCAAGCCACACTTCTGCCTATTAGGTTCCTCTGTTGTGCTAAACAACAATTTGAATTTATAAATTCTATTGAACAGTGTTTCATCAAGTGAAACTCCAGTTTCATTGTACCTAGGAACTTGCTTCTCTTACTGCCTATTATTTAATCTTTCTAAGACTCTGTTTTCTCTTCTATAAAAAGAGGGTTGTCTTGCTGGGATGCTCCCTTGACATGCTTCACTTATCTTTATCGCCCTTATCACCATCTGGCATATTGTAGTTATTCCTTTACTTATTATCTATCTAAACCAGTAGATTGTAAGCTCCATGAAAACAGGGTCTTTGCTGGCCTTTTTTTAAACTACTGTGTCTCTAGAATAAAGAGTAGTGCCTGACACATAATGGTTCACAGTAATTATTTATTGGATGAATGAATGAGATAATGCATCAGAAATACTGTGTCCATTTTAAGGCATGATCTCAGTTGTCTATTCCTGCATAAACAATCTACCCCACAATTCAGTAGCTCAAAACAACCATTTTATTGTATCTTATGATTTTGTGGGTCAGTAATTTGGACAGGTCTCAGCTGAGCAATTTGTTTTCCCCATGCAGTATTGACTGGGTCACTTGCTGGTATTCAGTGGAAGGCAGGGCTGCTCTGGAGGTCCCAGGTAACTTCACTTATATTGTGTGCCTGATGCCTTTGAGGACTGCTGGTGGCCTCAAGACCTCTCCTCTCTATAGCTCCAGCAAGGTAGTCGGATTTCTTTCATGGCAGCTCAGTATATCAAGAGGCCTACTGGAAACTGCAAGGTTTCTTATTGCCCAGGTTCAGGAGTTTATGGCCTAGAACTGCATTCTATTGGTCAAGCAAGTCATGAAGACCAGCTTAGATCCAAGGGAGGGGAATTAGATTCTACCTCTGAATAAGAGAAGTAGCAAAAAATTTGTAGCCATCTTGAATCTACCACATTCCTTTTCCTCTGGCCACAGACATTATTACCACAAGCAAAATAAACTCACACTCTCCTAAAGCCCTCAAAAGTTTCCTGACATTTACTGCATCAGCCTAGAAGTCCACTTTCTCACCATCTAACTCAAATTCAGGTGATGATGAGGCTCCTGGCACTCAGCTCCTTGAGTATAGTTCCCCTTGATCTGAAGTCACTGGGGCTCTCACACCCAAGAAACAATGGGACAGAGATAGGATAACCATAATAGGCACTCCCATTCGAAGAGTCAGAGAACAGAGGCATACAGCGGTCAGTAGTCCACAGCAATTTTGAAATCTAGCTGAGTACATATTACCAGTTCCTTGATTAGGGCCCAGTCCTGCTCCTGGGAGTGATTCCCTCTGGCTATCCATCAGTCCTCTGGGCTCTTGGTTCCATTCTTTGAGCCGTTCTTCTTTTTCCCTAAGAAGTAATCCTTGTTTTTGGCTGGGTAACTTTCTCAGCCTGCTTCTCTGAGGCAGGTTGAGGGTCCAAAGGCATCTTTTCACTTTGTACTCTCTTCATCCTTTTCAGTCAGTCCATGCTGGTATAATTCACTTAAAAATGTTAAGGCGTCTTATATACTAATTGATAATGAACTTTACTAGGCAAAAGCCACACCCACATTTCATTCTGAAGCCAGCTTTTTCACCTTGCTTGGACTAACTGTGAGTCCGACATGGGATAACAGAACCTTAAAATTCTTAGAAACTCTTTTGTCCAATGGAGAGGTGCATTGCCCAAGATTGTAGAAGGCTTTTTGTTTAACTGAAAGGATATATGAGGCACCACCTTAATTGAGGTCTTAATCATGGGTCTAGCTGTCACATCTTGGAATTTATTTTTGCCCTGGAGCCATTTCTTATTTTGAAAACTTTCCCTGTCTAGAGAGATTGAGGATGAGAAGTAGTTTGATGTTTGAACCCAGCAAAGTCTACGGCCATGCCACCCTGAATGCACCCGATCTCTTCTGAACCCAGCAAGTCCTGCCTCTTTATAATTCCTCTAAATTCTGCTTAAAAACCAAATGGCTCCTTTTTTAGCCCACTTTTTTTTCTTTTTTTTTTTAATCAATATCTGATAATAATGTGGCTAAAAGAAACCTCTTTGTAGTTTTGAAATTCTGCTGAAAATCTCCTTAGCCAGATCCTCCCATTCATTGGGCACCTTTTCTATTTTCCCACATTATCAAAGACGAAAACTTTCTGCCATTACATAACACAGGTCATTTCTTCAGCCACCCCCCATAGTATTTTCTTTACTGTCCTTCAGTCTCTCCAGCAGTCTCCTCGATGTCCTTCCAGTATTCACTAACATTTTTCTCGAGGCCTTTCTAACTTCTGTGGCAACCAGGTACAAAGTCATTGCCATTTGTTTTCAGTTTTTGTTATAGTGAAAGTCCACTTTCAGATACCAAATTTAGTTCCAGTTATCTATTGTTACTTAGTAAACTACTCCAAAACTTAGCACAATAAGCAATTTATTGTATCTCATCATTTTGGTAATCAATAATTCTAGCATGGTTCAGCAGGGCAAATTTATTCCATAGTGGCCACAGTTAGGGTTGCTCAGTTGTGTCCAGCTGATGGAAGACTGCTTCACACATAATGCCTGGCACCCTGATGGGAACTGCTGGTCGTTGTGCTCAGCTAGGCCCCTCCCCTTGTCATGTGGTCTCATGGCCTCTGCACGTGGTTTATCTAGCATGGTAGTTTGACTTATCCAGCAGCTTAGGCCTTAGAAGACATGTCCCAAGAGTCTCACATGGAAGCTACAAGGCTTCTTACTTACTTAGCCTGGCCAGTCAGACATCTCTTCTGCTGTATTCTATTAGTCAAGTAAGTCTCTAAGGGTAGCCCATATTAAAGGGAGGAGAATTAGATTCCACCTCTCAATGGGAGAAGTAGCAAGTAATTTGTGGTCATCTTTAATCTACTACAGACACTGTATCCTTGATCTCAGAATGATGCCTCTTTGTCTGGAAAGGGCATTTGTTTTTTAAGCCCAAGGTTAGAGAGACAGACATGGAGCTGTGACGGATCAAGAAGACATCATGTTCTGACTAACCAGGTGATCACAGGGATCACTGAAGTGACAGATGTTGCAGACATATTGTCCTCCTATCTAAGTCCCAGCCAATGTTACGTGTCAAAATTAGGGAAGCAGTACGCAAAATGGTTAGGCAGGCCATTCTGAAACAAAACTGATTGGTTTCAAATCTCAGCTTTGCCATCAATCAGCTTTGTGAATGTGGGCAGTATAATTTACCTCCCTGTGCTCCACATTAGTCATTTGTAAAGTGGGCATTAACTAGAGCCTACCTCAAAAGACTGCTGCGAGGATGAAAAGAGTTAGTACACACACAATTGTTAGAGGAGGATCTGGCAAAAATATATTAGACATAGCTATTTTTATTATTGATGTATAGATTATGCAGTAAACTATATCAACATCAATAATCCTTTTTACCCAGAAACAAGTTGGAGAGAAGAAAAGGAAAATGAATTTTAAAAACTGAATGAAAGGTAAAAGTATCATTGGAATATTTGGAGCTGACTGTAAAGACTGTGACACCTTCCGATTTTTTGTCCCTTATCATCAATTCAGGTATTCCCTGAAGCACAATCAGTTGACCAAACTAAGAGCAGTGCCCTCAGGAAAGAATAAAATGAATAGTTTAATTTATCAACATCATTTACCCAGGTTATTTGAGTTCTTTTTATTTATTTATTTATTTTTTGAGACGGAATCTCGCTGTCGCCCAGGTTGGAGTGCAGTGGCGCGATCTCGGCTCGCTGCAGGCTCCGCCTCCCAGGTTCACGCCATTCTCCTGCCTCAACCTCCCGTGTAGTTGGGACTATAGGCGCCCGCCACCTCGCCCGGCTAATTTTTTGTATTTTTAGTAGAGACGGGGTTTCACCGTGTTAGCCAGGATGGTCTCGATCTGCTGACCTCGTGATCCGCCCGCCTCGGCCTCCCAAAGTGCTGGGATTACAGGCGTGAGCCACCGCGCCCGGCCGGTTATTTGAGTTCTAAGCCAGAAAACTGAGAGCAGACACACACATAACAATACTTGGTTGCCAAATGGAAATAAAAAGCAATGTGTTAGGATAGGCTAGATTATGCTCCAGTAATAAATAATCTCCAAATCTCAGTAACTTAATACAACAAAAATGAATTTCTTGCTCATTCTACATGTTCAATTAGGGTTAGCAGGAAGGCTCTGACCATCACAGTAACTCAGGGACTTAGGTTGATGAAAGCTTCATCTTATTGATCTTCAAGGATCAATAAAACAGCAGAAACTGAAAAGGGCCAATTATGTACTAGCTCTTAAAAATGTCTGCGTTCTTCCCAGAAGTGACCACATGAGACTTCCTCTCACGTTTCAGCCAACGAAACAAGTTACATTTCACTGTTCAAAAGTCATAACTAAGTTAAAATGGGATGAGGAAGAATAAAGTTACCATGTATCTACAAGGAGAAAAGCTTAACAAAAAGCAAGAAAGCAGCACATACAGTGACTGGTGGATTGCATTATTGTTCCACAAATATTACTCTCCCCTCCTGCACTCTGTGGGCAGACTGTACTTTTCTGCACCAATGACTTTGGACTTGGCCATGTTACTTACTTTGGTGAACGGAAAATGGCAGAAGCGAGACTGTGCCAGTTCTGAGCAGAGACCAGTCATCATGAGTCTCTGCCAACTCTCTTGCACTCCTGCACTCTGCCATGAAAACGACAGACTTAAACCAATCCATACCTAAACTATAGATCCTTGAGGGAGAAATGGATGTGTGTTGTATAATACTGAGATTGGGGAGTTCTTTGTTGAGCAGCATTGTTTCAGCAAAAAGATGACTAATACAGTGACTCAACACAAGGATTTCATGAGACTGGCTACTACACATATGGTTTCCAAGAAAGGATATGAAATAAGACCTTACTAGCTAGTATTCTAAGAAATGTAAAGCAAAATGAGATGGTGTTACATTATTTGTATACTAGCTGGATATAGAACTAAAATATAACTATCCAATTATTTACAAATTAAATAAGAAAAAAAATAAAAGGAGAATTTCTAGTGCTTTTGAGGCTAAGATAATAAAATTAGAAAGTCCTTTTATCCCAGGAAAATCGTCTTTAGTCCATTCCTGCTGCTATAGCAAAATAGCTTAGACTGGGTAATTTGTGAATAATAGAAATTTATTTCTCACAGTTCTGAAGGCTGGACCAAGATCAAGGTGCTGGCAGATTCAGTGTCTGGAAGAGCTTGCTCTCTGCTCCCAAGATGGCTCCTTGTTGCCACAGATGCTGTGTCCTCACATGGCTGGAGGGACAGAGGACAAAAGGGACCAGAGCAATCCTTTCAACCTCTTTTTTAAGAGCACTAATCCCATTCATGAGAGTGGAGTGTTCATGCCTTATCACTTCCTAAGACATATTCCTAAAAGGCCCCACCCTGTAGTACTATAACACTCGGTATTAAGTACCAATGTATGAATTTTGAAGGCATACATACATTCAACCATAGCATAATTCAAAAAAGGAGAATGATAAAGGCAGAAAGCTCTTCATTAAGGCATTATTTATAACAGTCTAATATCAGAAACAGCATAACTATGCAATAGTAGAATATTTTAAGTAATCTATGGTCCTACTAATATTATAAAATATTGTACACTCATTAGAATAATAACTATGAACTTTCCCTAAAAACATGGACAAATATTTACTAAGTGAAAGAAGGAGAATATAAACATATACCTAAGCTGTAATCGTAATTATGTAAATAGATATTTAATATATATAGATAACGACTAAAGGGAATTTGGAGAAATTTAAACATTTGTGCTGTAGCAGTGGTTATATGGGTGAATATTTTTCTTCTGAAATCTAACGCAAAAAGATTGTTCTTTTGACAATAAGTATAATTTTTAAAACAACAAGGAAATTTCTCTTCTCAAGAATATACCCATGTGTGTAAGAAAGAGTTGGTGTTTGGATTAAAAGATGCATTTTTTAAAGAGTGGGAAAAAAATGCAACACATTTTTAATATTGAAGATCCCTGGGTATTCTGAGTAATCTATATAACTTTCTGTATTTTTCAAATGTTTTTACAATGAATGTGCTATAAACTTTTGAAAAAAGTTATTTTAAAAATACATGAACGTATTTTCTAGCGTCACTTCTGAGACCCCACAGCTCACCTAGTTAGTGCTATCATTTCTTGAATCCAGTGAGCTGCCTGTAGACAGAGTTCCTCTCCACAACTCGGTAGCCCATCATTTGATTTGAGACAAAGCTAAATATAGCCCCAACTTTGGTATGAAGGATGGGAATCTGACTCTCCCTGCCTTTTCTTCCCCCCCATCAGAGGCAACAGGATATTCTTTTCAAGACAGGTGGCCTGTGAGCCTTGTCTAAGATCAAACTGGACCTTGAAATTTTTCCTGGTAACATTTTGAGCTCTGGAGCAGTGTGGTCCTACCAATAAATCAAGTGTTGGAGGAGTCTAGACTAGGGGCTTTTTAGACAGTTCTGCTAAACCTTCAAATGTTTTGTTATCCTCCCCTCCCCACCCCTACTTTGTACTAGTATGTAGGGGAACCAATCCAAGAGATAACAGACAGATGACAGGTTCCCCCAAGAACACAGACTCCCCACAGTCTCACCAATACCCAGGCATGCCAGGTTCTTCCTGAGTTAAATGCCTAGGAGGCCTGAAAGAATAAATTCATCCTGGAGAAGTCTTGTGGGTCGTAGCTTTAGAAATTCAGGGAACATATCTCTGGGGCCACCCAATGGAGAACACAGCCTGTATCAGAACCTTAGCAGAGACTTTGGGCCTTTTGGGGTCTCAAATTTATCATCTCTGAAACAAGTACAACGAAATTAACATTGCCACATGTGGGCACTATAAAGCCTTTTTCAAATAAAAAAAAGGTCAGTGATAGTGCTAATAATAACAGTGATTATGTCATTTAATAAAACGGTCTTATTTGAAAGCTAAAAAGGAGCTTCAGGGTGGCAAGCACTCTAATTATAGTATGTCTGCCTTGTTTAAATCTTGATACATAAGTACATGGTACAGGGCCTGAGGCAATGCCATCTCCAAAGAGGCCTTTTCCATGATCTTAAAACAGTCACAAGGGAGTGTCTAGGTCCTGATGGCTACTGTCTTGAGGCTTTTCTAGTGTTCTGGGAGTCAGGAAGCTTCTCCCTCCTTGAAGCTATTGGTAGAGCCCAGTTGCTGGCGAAACTGAAAAACGAGGAGGTAGAATACCCTAAAACAGGAGATGTCTGGGATACAGGCAGCTAATAGGGCTGTAAGGTTTTGTTGGGATGCTTCCCTTCCTGATGAAGGGTCCTGTCCCTGGATTAATGGTGAAACTGTCATGTCACATCTCTAGGAAGACAACATCGTGTTCCATGACCACGTAGGGTATACGTCTGCATTCAGCCGGGATTGCTCCTAAACCTTCCTAGACTCCATCTCTGGCTCTGGGGTTACCTGTGGGTGGGGCGATGCAGACACACAAGAAAACCTCCTCTACAAATTCTTCCTGTAGTTGGTTGATTGTATTCTAAGACCTTCGTTGGGATGGGCGAGGGACGGGGCTTGGTACGGCGTCCTCTAAGCTCTCTGCCCTCTGCCGTCATCATTCATCTGAGCCAGCGAGAGAGGGGTCGGGGAGACGCGAGGGTGGTTCAGGGGGCGTGCAACCTGGGCCGATTGTGCCCCAGCACACTGGTTGTCGGGAGCCCCGCCTCCGCTCGCGGTTGACAGCTCAGCTGGTGCCGAGCAACTCGTGCCAGCCAGTCGTGTCTCAGCCTGGAGAGTGCGCGCACCGCCGCCCGGGCAGCCGCTGGCTCCAGCTCACGAAACAGCCCCGGGCGCCGCGCCGCTCCGAGTCCAGCCTCCTACTGAGAACAGTCCCTCCCTCGTGCGGGTCTCACGGCTAGCCGCAGGTTCGGCCACGTCAAATCCATTTTCTAAAAAAGCAGGGAGCAGAGCTCTCTCTTCGCCGCCGACGCAGAAAGGAGCTGGGGAGGAAAAAGCTGCTGCCTTTTGCGCTGGAGATTCGTGGGCAAGGCTTCTCATTTTCCCAGGCTGCTTCCCCTCCCGGGTGAGGAGCGTCCTGAGACTAAGGAAAGAGCCTGGAAAATGGAGCAGACCTGGACGAGGTAGGTGGGCTGTTTCCTTCTCGCCGCACTCCAGACTTGGTGGTCCTCCTCCCTCCCCTCCCCCAGAGCCCTTAGGGAGAGAGAGGTCGCCCCTCACCACCAGGGTCCCGTGACAGCTTCCCTTTTCTGTAGCCTCGCCCTGCCTGGTTCCCAGCCCACCTCTCTTGGTCATTTTCACATGTTCTGTTTTACGGGGTTTCCCTTGCTTAATGACTCTCCCCTCCACCGAGTCCTGATGTTAAAAATACCCAGGGAGGCCGCCTGGAACTTTCTGTAGAAATGGTTCTCTGTCGTTTCCTTGTTCGTGTGGCTAGAGGGATTCCAGTAGGTCTTCCTGAGAGATATGTTTGATGTCAGATGCTTTGAACAATATCAGGTTTATTCTCACCCTGCCACGTTTTCCTTCTCAGCCTCATCTGTCACTACTCACACAAAGGCAAAGGGACTGAGTGAGCAGAGCCCAGCAGCACTCATCTCCACAACCTCCAGTTGGAGCCCACTTGGGGGAGGAATGGAGAAGGAAAGAGATCAGGGCACCACACTGCTCAGGCTTTATTGAGGCCGGGCAACAGTTGGCTTTTAGGTCAGATTTTGGAGATGGCCTGTGAAACTGCGTTTTCTTCCAGTCCTTCCCCCAAACACACTTTAAAATGAAGCCCCATTCAAGGAAAGGGTAAGGATAAGAGACCATGTATTGAGACAAAGACTTCGTTTCTGTTTTTTAGTGGGTGGGAGGGTAGGGAGACTATTCCAGCGGTGTCTCTATAACAGATACGCTTCCATCTGTGGGATTTAGCTTTGGAGAATTGGGGTGGGGCCAAATGAGCGCTCTGACTCCTGAGAGAGTGAAGACCGTACAAACACAGAAGGTAAATTTGGGGCTTATGCAAAAGACTTGGGTGTTTTAGTTGATTGCTAAGCTCAACAGGAGTGAATGGTATAATGTGAATATTAAAGAAGGAGCAAATTGAAGCTTAGGGTTTGTTGACAGAAGAAGTAGGCTGTCTAGATTCTGTCTAGATCAAAAGTGATGATTTTACTTTTGGCTCCTTTCTGCTCCTCTTGGGCCTCTCCGAGAGGGCTGTGCTTAGTTCTGGGCATCATTAGATAAAATAAGTACAATCAAGAGACAGGAGGGAACTCAAAGCCATGCCTTGAGGGATGGCCAAAGGAAGGACCTGGGACTCCTGAGTCCGGAGAAATGACGACTGGGAGTGGGGAGGATGTGGTAGCTTCCTTCAAATTTCCGAAGAGCTATTGGTGGTAGAGGGATTGAATCACATTAGAATCTCTTAGGAGGACAGAACAACCGATGCAAGCGAGTTGTTGGGAGGCGAGTTATGGCTCAGTGTAAAGAAAAAGCTTTCTGGCCAGGTGCAGTGGCTCATGCCTGTAATCCCAGCACTTTGGGAGGCTGAGGCAGGCGGATCACCTGAGGTCGGGAGTTCGAGACCAGCCTGACCAACATGGAGAAACCCCATCTCTACTAAAATACAAAATTAGCCGGGCGTGGTCGCACATGCCTGTAATCCCAGCTACTCCGGAGGCTGAGGCAGGAGAATCGCTTGAACCCGGGAGGAGAAGTTTGTGGTGAGCCGAGATCACGCCATTGCACTCCAGCCTGGGCAACAAAAGCGAAACTCCGCCTCAAAAAAAAAAAAAAGACCGGGCGAGGTGGCTCATGCCTGTAATCGCAGTACTTTGGGAGGCTGAGGGGGGCGGATTACGAGGTCAGGAGATTGAGACCATCCTGGCTAACACAGTGAAGCCCCGTCTCTACTAAAAACACAAAAAAAATTAGCCGGGCGTGGTGGCGGGCACCTGTAGTCCCAGCTACTTGGGAGGCTGAGATAGGAGAATGGCGTGAACCCGGGAAGCGGAGCTTGCAGTGAGCCGAGATCGCGCCACTGCACTCCAGCCTGGGCTACAGAGCGAGACTCCGTCTCAAAAAAAAATTAAAAAAAAGCTTTCTAACAAGTTAGCTGCCTGGGCAGTATGGGCAGTAAAGAGATTGTTGACCCTGGAGTTACTCAGGCAAAGGCTAGATGACCACTTGATGGTGATGGGAGTGAGTGTATCAGGGCCTTTTGCTCTCTGCCAGTGTTTTTCACACTTGAAGAAAAAAGTATTATTTATTAAGTTTTAAAAATTTTATATTTACATGTAACAATTTCAGACAAATTCAGAAATGATTTGGAAAAATCGCAAATTATATATTTACAGTCCAATTAATTTGACAAACTGAGTATACTCATGGGATGGGCATTCAGATAGAGAAAGGGAACATTACCAGCATCCCTGAAGCCCTCCTGATGACTTCAAGGATAATCATTATCCTAATTTTTAACACCATAGAATAATTTTGCCTAGTTTTGAACTTTATGTAAATGAAATTATACACCATGTACTCTTTCGTACGTGGCTCCTTTCACTCAATCTTTTGCTTTTGGAGTTCTATACTGTTATATGGTACTGTAGTCCATTTATTCTTGCTTTTAAATAGGCTTCTATAGTGTATAAATATATCAAATTTATTTGTCCATTGTATTCTTAATAGGCACTTGGGCAATTTCCAGTTTGGAGCTATTATAAACAGTGTTGCTATGAACATTTCTGTACAGGTCTTTTGGTGAACATATGTACACATTTCTGTTGAGTAAATAAGTAGAAGTATGATTTCTGCGTAATAGGAAATGCATGTTCAGATTTAGTAAATACTGCCAGATTGTTTTTTTTTTAAACAGATTACAAAAGAGATTTCTAAAGCGGGTATCCAGGCCAGGCGCGGTGGCTCACGCCTGTAATCCCAGCACTTTGGGAGGCCGAGGCGGGCGGATCACGGGGTCAGGAGATCGAGATAGTCCTGGCTAACACGGTGAAACCCCGTCTCTACTAAAAATACAAAAAATTAGCCGGGCGTGGTTGCAGGCACCTGTAGTCCCAGCTACTCGGGAGGCTGAGGCAGGAGAATGGCCTGAACCTGAGAGGCGGAGCTTGCAGTGAGCCGAGATCGCGCCACTGCACTCCAGCCTGGGTGACAGAGCGAGCCTACATCTCAAAAAAAAAAAAAAAAAAAAAAAAAAAAAAAAAAAAAGAGGGTATCCAAAGGGAAGAACATAGTGAAAAGGTGCTCCACATCACTAGTTATCAGGGAAATGCAAATTAGAACCACAACACCATGCTGCTATATACATATCAGAATGGCTGAAATTAAAAAGATAGAAAGTAGCAAATGCTGGCAAGGTGGAACATTCAGAATGTTCACATATTTTTTAACCACTACTCACAATAAGTAATATATTTACATTGCCACCAAGTACACTTACATATGTAACAAAGTTTCTTGTAACAATACTTAACTTTACTATGTGTTTTGCACTCTGATATTTGCTATTCTATTCTTTTTCTTTAAAAATAAAATGTTGGCTCTGATTCACTGAATTTATTTCTCCACCTAATGGGTCACAGTTGGAAAAATCCTATAATCACAGATTATGGCTGACATCTCAGATCCTTCCTAACTCACAGATCAGATTTGTTCATAAACACTTATTAAAAATTTGAGGGCCGGATGAAATGGCTCACGCCTGTAGTCTCAACAGTTTGAGAGGCCAAGGCAGGTGGATGACTTGAGGTCAGAAGTTCGAGACCAGTCTGGCCAACGTGCTGAAACCCCATCTCCACTAAAAATACAAAAATTAGCCAGGTGTGGTGTCTGCACCTGTAGTCCCAGCTACTTAGGAGCCTGAGGCAGGAGAATCCCTTGAACCCGGGAGGCGGATGTTGCAGTGAGCTGAGATTATACCACTGCACTCCAGCCTGGGTGACACAGTGAGACTCTGTCTCAAAAATAAATAAATAAATAAATAAATTTTGAGAGCCCCAAACAGGTCAGACGCTGTGCTAGATGGTAAGAATAAAACAATGAATGCAATGAATGAGACTGGGTCTCTGCCTTTAATGGCTTTACATTCTCATCATCTCTAATTTTAATAGAGAGACACTAAGGCAGAGATACGCATTGGCTGCTCTGGGTACACAGTGGATAGGGGATTGAAAGAATAAAAATTAACCATAATTGATAACATTTATTAAGCTTTAATTGTGTGCTAATCTCTTTGAATACTTAATTCACCTAATCCTTACAACCCTATGAAGTAAATGTTATACTCATTTCTAAGAAAAGGAAATTGAGCTTCAGAAAGATTAAATAATTTTCCCAGAGTGACACACACAGCTGAGAAAGAAATATAGCCTTGAACCGTTTAATTCCAAAATCTATGCTTTTACTTTATTTTAGTAGAGTTTTGTAGGTGACTCAGTTTATGACTTGTTTCTGAAGCTAGCTACTTGCTCAATTTACCCACAAAGGACAAGGTGCTTGATATTTTAGTTCTCAAAGTTAGATATGCTCTACTCCCAGCTACACATCATCTGCCCCTCTACAGCTCAATGGAAAGGTTCCCCCTACCCGCTGGGGCTGTTACCTGACTGTTGCCAAACTCACTGGTTAAATCATTTGGACAGAGCATGGTTGGCTCTGGAATAGCAAATTTTCTATGAATATACTGGCATTACAAAAAGCTGATTTGGTCACCAGCTTTCAGATTTATTTCCGTGAACAGGGCGAGAGTTGTCAAAAGAATAAGCTCATGGAGCTGATGAAGAACTTGATGATGAGGGGAGGTTTTCTCACCCGGCAGGTCCAGTGTCAACCAGGCAAACAGCTTCTACTGCTCTAAATTTTTAACATCCACCTGTCTGGACTAGCAACTCCCTACACCTTCTGCTTTAAAGATTATCAGTACTTCAGGATTACTGTTTGTATTAATTTCCTATTGCTGGTGTAACAAATCACCACAAACTTTTTTTTTTTTTTTTTTTTGAGATGGAGTCTCACTCTGTTGCCCAGGCTAGCGTGCAGTGGTGCAATCTTGGCTCACTGCAACCTCCGCCTCCCAGGTTCAAGGGATTCTCCTGCCTCAGCCTCCCAAGTAGCTGGGATTACAGGCACATGGCACCACACTCAGCTAATTTTTGTATTTTTAGTAGAGACGGGGTTTCACCATGTTGGCCTGGCTGGTCTCAAACTCCTGACCTCAAGTGATCCACCCACCTTGGCCTCCCAAAGTGCTGGGATTACAGATGTGAGCCACTGCGCCCAGCCAAATCACCACAAACTTAGTGGCTTAAAACAGTACAAATGTATTGCCTTAAAGTTCTGGAGGTCAGAAGTCTGAAATTTGGTCTTCTAGGTTAAAACCAAGGTATCAGCAGGACTGTGCTCCTTCTAGAGGCTCTAAAGGAGAATTTGTTCCTTGCCCTTCATGGCTTCTAGAGACTGCCCACATTCTGGGTTCATAGCCCCTTCCAGCAATGCCATCACTGGCCTCTGCTTCTATCATCACATCTCCTTTGATCATTCTGACCCTCCAGTGTCCCTCTTACTAGGACCCTTATGATTACATTGGACCCAACCAGATAATCCAGGATAATCTCCTCATCTCAAAATCTTTAGTCACATCTGCAAAGCCCTCTCTTGCTATGGAAAGTGGCATATACACAGGATCTGGGGATTAGGAATGTGGACATTCTTATAAGGCCATTATTTTAGCCTACCACATCGTTCAATGCTGAAAAAGTCATTACTAATTATCTTCCCCATTTCAGTGGAAATGTTCTGGTTTCTAGCATATGAGAAAGCTGAGTAAACATCAGGTGAATCATATATGAACCTTATACAACTTCCCCGAACACATAACTCAAGAAAAGAGTGAACTAGAAATGTTTAAGGGCAAACTATAAGACTGAAGGTTAAAAAAGGAAAGCAAATTAGTCTGTTTTGTTTTGTTTTCTATTCCCCTGCAATTTGATTTAATAAAATGCAAGCATTAATTGCATTTGCTTGCTGTATCTGTGAAAATTTGGAAAATGGAAGTAACATTCAAGAAAATTAATGATCTGGTTTCAAAATTTAAGAATTTTTTTGACTTTGTTTCTTTTCTGGAGTACAGCCTTCAAGCAAGACAAGGTGTCCATTTACCACAGCTATATTGTACTTAACAGATCTCCATTGATAGCTTATTTGAATTTGTTTTTCTCTATATAAATGTTTAGCCTAGAGGAATCAGGGACATTTATTTTTCTCTGAATTTATGGTGAGTTAGTAGAGAGTCCTGTTTACAAAGACATAGTTACAACCAGAGATATATGGCCACTGAGGTTAAAGTGGTTAAATGATTTGCTGGCATTCACACAACTAGTATGTGTTGTATGAAGGCCTAGTTAATTCCAATACCTTTACTTATTATGGTGCTGGTGCTTTGCATGTAACACTTCATATTAGGAAAATGCTTGTTTTCAGAATTCTATTATTGAAACATCTTTGGAAGTTGAATTTCCTGTTTAATATTCAGCACTGCTAGCAACTAATTATCTGAATTTTAAGAAGGAAATTCTGCCTTGGCAACTCCAGTCTACTTTTAAATGGGCCTATACTTGGATTTCGGCTTGGGGAATTTGCCAGAATCAATGCTTTCACTCCTACTTGCTTATTTTCCACATACTAGATCAGTCTGGACCTGACTCCCCCAACCCCCATTTTTTCAGCTACATGCTAAGACTATGTTTAAAATACCTAAAGACTGGGAAGGGGTTGTTTTTGTCTCAGAAAGGATAAGTAACACCTCATGGTGCCCTCCCCATCCTGGGGGGCTCGCCTGACTGTGGCTGAGGGATCATATTTTCAAGGCTAAGTGGAGCATCCATCCATTCAGTGGATGCCCCAGGACACTACTTCTATTGAAATCTACCCCATTTTGTAAATAAAATTCCAAACTGGGCTCAGAACATTCCACAAGTTGTCTCTGGCAAAAATTCAAATAGCATTTAAAGTTAGAAGAAAGTCCAGAATACAAGAGATGTCATATTGACCCAAGGTGGCTCTATGTGATTCTATTTTAAAACACTCAAATGCACTGAGGACTTGTTTTCCTCTGCCTCAGAGCATTTTCTGAGTTCTGTGGCCAGCAAGACAAGCATGATCTGAATTTCTTTTTTCTGAACGCTTATGGCTAAAGTGCTAAATTAGTCATAGACTATTTATAATGAATTGTATAATAATACTGTTTTATTTTCATAGCAGTTTCACAGCCTGTGATTCATCTTTCCTTAATCTGTCTCATTATCTTCAGTCCTTTTCTGCTTGTTACATTCCACAGAAACGTCTTTCTTTCTTGTCTTTTCCAAGGCCAGTGAGGGAAGAGGTAACTTGCAACTAGTGTCTTCTTATCATGGTCATGGTGGAAAGGGTGGAAAGAAGCAATAACTTCTGACATACAGAAAGCATTCACTGGCCAGGCACAGTGGCTCTCGCCTGTAATCCCAGCACTTTGGGAGGCCAAGGCAGGAGGATCACTTGAGGTCAGGAGTTCGAGACCAGCCTGGCCAACATGTTGAAACCCCATCTCTACTAAAGATACAAAAATTAGTGGGCATGGTGGGGGGTGCCTGTAATCCCAGCTAATCGGGAGGCCGAGGAATGAGAATTGCTTGAACCCAGGAAGTGGAGGTTGCAGTGAGCCGAGATCACACCACTGCACTCCAGCCTGGGTGACAGAGCAAGACTCTGTCGGAAAAAAAAAAAAAAAAACAAAAAAAACAAAAAAACTAGAAAGCATTGACTCACAAAGAAAATTGAATAATTTCTAGCATTTCACACAATTTAAGAATGAATTTATTTTCCACTTCATAATGTGGTATATTATCATTCATAATGTAGAATAACATGCTGTGGATTTACAGTGTCTTTTAAATCATTACGCCTAACCCAAAGGATGTAGACTTCCAATTTTTAACTATTATAAATAATACTTGATAAATGTCTAGGTGCATAAAGCATCTTCTTCCACAGCATTATTTTTTGAATGAGAGATGTTCAGAAGTAGAATAACTACGTCAACATTTCCAGTTCTTGAAAGTACACTGCAAATTACTTAAAGTTATAGTCCCATAAGAAGGATATTGCATTCAATTTAAATATCTTTTTCAAGACCTGAATCCCTGTATTGTAAAGGGGAAAACTGAGGCACACTGACATTAAAGTGGCATAACCTAGGTGAATCAATAGCAACATTTCCAACTTTTACCCTTCTCTGGGGTAAAATGCTTCACTGTTGCTGTTAATCTCTATTACTATCCTGAAACGTTTCCTGAAATGATAATAAACAGAAAATTTTAACATAAGAAAGTAAAAGATAGGTGTAAATTACATCAAAACTATGTATACCTATTAGGATGTCTATTACAAGGACAGAGAAAAGAGAAAATAGATGCCGTGTTTGGTTAGGGGATTATGGGCAACATCCTTTATATGCTGCTTTTAAACTAAGTCAACATAGGTTTTTATTGCAGGAAGAAGTTCACATTTGTGTCTACCAAATGACAACATGTAAAGTTTGGAATTGAGTTGGTTTTAGGTTTTTCTGTGTATCACTTGGAGGTTTTCTGTGTATAACTTTCTTGTATTACTTGGAGATTTTCAGGTTATTGGCACCACAGGAGCAGCATTATTGCCAGCAGACCCGGGGAGCTGGTTGGAGAGTCATTGCGACTTAATTTACCCTGAGCTAAAATTATTATGAGTGGGCCTTAATATACCAGTTGTTCCCACCTACACATCTAGCCTTGCCTTTGCTGGGATAAATTTGTATACCCTTCAGAGGTTAGATTCAGAAGTACCTCCTTTAGGAATTATTTTTAGAACCTAGATCTGGGTGTAGCCAGAACACGCTCTGCCTACTCTGTTGTAGCATGTAGCTAGTTGGTTAACTTGATATTTTCCATACTCCAAGTTTATCGGCAGAATGAAACGTTTTTGTCTATAAGTCTTCAGCATCTAACATTGCCTCTAGCACTTAGAAGGTCATCTATTAAGAGCTTTCCAGAGAACATTCCCCAAAAGGCCGATGGGAATATCTGTTTGGTGGGTGTCTCCTTATTGTAGAATGGATACAACAGGTTATCAAACTTGACACCATTATACATTCAGATTGTATTTATCATTGTTTAAGAAATATGTGTCTTGTTTCCTCAGTTACGGGAAAAGAAAAAAAAAGAAATACGCATCAAATTCCTATGATCTAGACTTCTTTAATGCTGGACAGACGATAGTGAATGATCTAAAAACCCTCCCTTCCAGAGACTGACATTCTAGAGGGGTCACTAGGCATGGACATACATCACTGTTATACCTTGACCTGACATAGCCTTAACTCGAATTCACTTCAGTATGCTATCAGCACAGCCATCTTTTGTAGCTCATCTTTCTTCCAGATTTTCCACCCTTAGGATCCTTAATGCTGAAATTATACTTCTTGACCACAGGTCAAGTCCCCCACTTCCTCGTTCTTTCTGAATGTTGTTTACTGCGTCATGTATTCCAGTTCCTCAACTCTCTGTATCTTCCAGGCCATCTGCTGTTTATTCACCTCCATACTGAACCTAGACGTCAGAGTCAGCTCTTTGAATCGTGTTCTCAACGCTGCTTTAGAATCTCTAACTGCCTTAACCATCTCCCGGCTTGGTAACCCTTAGTCAATTTTATTTTAAAATCCTAGAGGATTCTATGAGTGTTGTTTTAGTATGTTATAAAACCGCACTGAGAAGAAAGACTCTAGATTCATTCTTGCTAATCCTCAACAGGTCTATAATGCTGCTGAGAAATTCTCCTCCTCCTCCCACCTGCCTCTTTCTCCTGCTCCTCCTTCCCTGACTCTTTCTCTTCCTCTAAAAATATATTCCTCACAACCTTTGATTTCCGTAGTGTAAATAAAAGCAAGATGCAGAACTGTTATATTCAATATTATTTCCATTTGCAGAATTCACACAGGCAAATAAACTGAAGAACAACTAAATACATAAAAATCTTTATCAATGTTGCCTTCAGGTGGTAGAATTTTAAAAATTATTTTTATTTTTCTCTGTACACTTTTCTCTTTTCCAAAATTTCTACGAGGCATGTACTTCTTTTAAAATCATCAAAAATAGACATTGTAAAGAAAAGAAACTGAAAGATTATGTGAATATAAAAGTAGGTGGAAAGGGGAAAAAATCACCTGTTTCTTAACATTCAGTCTAGGGCTCTAGAAAGATTGAGCCAACTGCAATATACTCCAGTGCCTTGTGGATATTAGTTGTTAATGAAAACTGAGGATTGTAGGGTGCATTGCCAGGACCAAAAGCAAAATGCAAAAGGTAAGTTTCAGAGGTGGGTGGAGAGACCATACACCATCCCTGGGGTAATGTGACTGAATCCAAAGCAGGTTATTTTCATGTCTTCTTTTGAAAGAGTGATACCTATGTCTTGGCTGATGCAGGGGAGGTAGAGGAAAATTTATTAGATATTTGGATATGTGATGACCTCAGAAGGTAAAGTGAGGAAAAATAACTACTTACTTATTAAGGGGTTTCTCTGAACCTTGATGATAGCATCAAGAAAGTAATGTTAGTTTCCTTATTTTCTTTAGGATGAAGACTTAGTGCTGGACCAAAAACAAAACAAAACAAAGATCCCGAAACTTAAAGAAATTGTTGTGGATGCACGATGATTTTGTAGCTCACTGTAGCTATTGGGGACTTAGCACTCCAGAAAACAGCCTCTCAGAGTGATGGTCACTGTCAGTGAATAGACTTTGAGTGAAGGGTGTAATTGCAGCCTATACTGGAATAAAGTGGATGTTTCTGTATCGGTGCCAAGTCGGCCCACACTTAGTCAGCATGCAGAAGGAGGCTCACCGTGATGCTCTCTCTCCTCTGGGAGCTTTGCCAATTAAGCATCCTCACTTGCAGAGGTTATAATGACAGATCTTGAGATGAGAAAAAATGATAATTTCACTGTATTATATAATAGTCTTAACGTTCTGCATCTGGGGCTTTTACCCTATTTGCATTTGAATATGTGCTTTTACAATTCGGGTGCCACATTGTGGGAGGGTATTTGGCAACATTTGGAACATAGAAAATATATCCAGTGTCTCTCCTTGGCAAGAGGAAAAAAAAACATCTGAGAAGTCTCAGAGCTTGTTCACTAATGCCTTTTCCACTTTGATTGTTTCTGTTTCCACCACCTTTCCCGCGTTTCAGTTTATTCCCTTGGGTAGGGACAATGCCAAGTGTTATCACGGGAGGGGTTGGAGAAAGATGTAAATATTCTGAAAAAAGTGGGTTAGAGATAGAGAAGTATAAAATGATGGATGACTCACTTTTCACGATAGGACCTATATAAAAAGTCACACTAGCCACTTCCGTTTTGGGATTTTAATTATTTTGTCACATGGCATCTGTTACACCAGTACTCAAATACTCAAGTGTAAGCTGTGCCCATCAGGGATAAGTTGATAGTCTAAGAAACAAATTTGTGTCAGGGTTTGAGACAAAAATCCCATCTCATTAGCACAGCAAACCGTCCACCCTTCCTTTCACCTCAGCTTCTCAGGGGTGAGTTCCCTGGAGTCAAGGCAGGTACAAAGGAGGTTCCCTGTAAATGTGTGGTTAGAAATAGGGCATATTGGGAAGAGTAAAAGTTTGGAGTCAAATAGACAGTTTTCAAGTTCAGGCTCTGACACCAACTAGCTGTGCGATCTTGGGCAAATTACTTTATCCTTCCAGGCCCCTTGTTTCCTCATCTGTAAACAGGGATTGTATGACGTACTTCACAGGATTCTATGATGACTGAATGAACTGATGCCTAGAAAGTATCAGGCATTCAGTAAATTGCAGAGGCAGCATTGGTGGTGAGTGGTGATGGTTGTCCATGATAATAATATGTTCATTTAATACAAGATTAGTATTGAGGAAAATTCCAGTGCAAGAAAACCTGTGGAATTATAAAATTATGCACCAGCAGTCCAGAAATTGTTAACTGTAGATGTCTTTGTTTTTAAGTTGACACTATTTCTAAAATCTTACCATTTATAAACTGTCAGGGCCAGAGCTTCCCATATTAAAAAATAGGCCACAGTTCTTCTCATTCTGACCCTTTTGTGTTTGCCACAGTTGAATATAGCTGTAAATTAAAAATAGGAAAAATGCATCTTGGAACGTTTGAAAAATTTATTTCATTTGAAACAGAAACCAGCAACTCATGTTAAATGAGCTCCAAGAATATGGGAATTGGAACAGAATCTGCATTTGGTTCAATGCCTACTCCTGTGAGGACCCCAAGAAAGAGCAAACTTCAGCAGTCTTGCTGTCATGCCACATGCCCCTCACTGTTTGAGAGGCCACACCGAGCCGAATCCTTTCCATAGTTCATCTTTTATCAAGGTCATTAATTAGGAAGAGCAATGTAAATTCAATAAAAATAGATTATTCAAACTTTTTAAAAATAAGAATTAGCCTTTTGGCAAAAATAGTAAGAAAAAAAGGGGGAGGATGCTCAGTATATTTTCCGCCACTCTAAACCTCCAGACTTTTCATTTCTCTGGGTTCTTTTCTAGTTTGTTTCTATGGGTATTTTCACAATAGTGCAAATCTTAGCCCCTTTCTTGCTGACATTATTTTAAATCATTTTGGGGGTTTCTAAGCTATAGTGTTTGAGGAGGGAGGTGCAAATGAAGAAACAATTTCACCCTTGGCTTCCCTTCATATTCCCACCTGAGGGTGAGCGCTTGGGGAGGAAGGCTTGAGGAGGGGGAAAGGTAAACAGGAAGTTGGAAGATGTCCTAGGAGGCAGTTTAGGGCTCCTCAGGGTGGGGGGAAGATGGAGCGGGGTGGTTGGGAAGGGGAAAACAAAATGAAAGCCCCCTGAACACACCGTTCATTTTCCTATAATTGGGTCTTTGCTATGTTTCCTTGTGTATTTACACCCATCCTTTAAGACCTAGATTCAGTGTTATCTGTTTTCTGTAAATGTCCTAGACCCCTCCACCAACCACCCTGTCCCAGCCCACTCCCCACCAGGACAAAATTAATTGCTATCTTATTTATGTTCTGAAATCTCTGTTAAATCTAATTTTTCTAATAATTATCTCTCTGAATCATGTGCCTGCTTCCCTCAATAGATTCTGAGTACTTTAACCACAGGGTATATATACTTTTTCACCTTTGTATTTCCAGTACCTGGCATAAAAGCAACTTCTCAATAAATGTTTACAAAATGGAATTATAAAAACCCTAAAAATAGCAATGAAGGCCCAGGTTTTCGCTCTAGGTATTGCTATAGCAGATTGTTTTTTCTCCTTCTGAATTTTTGTTCATAATAATAATATATATATATATATATATATATATATATATATATATATATATATATATAAAGAAGCTTGAAAGCTAGAAAATGCCTCTGGGAGATGGCCCTGGTCTTCAGGCTTAGAAATGTTAAGCAAGGGTGGTGGTTAGTGATGAAGTAGGAGGGCCAGACTATGTGGTTCTCAGAACAAACTAAATACATGTGATTGGCCTGAAGAGAGGGCCTGAAAATTACCATTCCTTTGGGAGTTTAGACACTCATATGGGAATAAATAACCTTAGGTTAATTATTTTAGTAGGTGAGACTGGAGAGAAGAAAGTATGGAGCCTAGACAGGCATCAGTACCTTAGAAATAGTTTTAGTGGTGATTTTGGTCCTACAATACAAATATCTCATACTGTTCAAAGACTCATAGAACCTGCTTTGTAATGATGATTACCATCTTGTCATTGCTTTTGAATGAGATGATTCATTCATATGATCTGTTGTTCCTCTCAGTCCACAAATTAGACAGACTAAAATACAAGAAAATAATACCAGAAATAACAGTTTACGGAGGAAGGTCTATACCTGCCTTATAGAAAATATCTCTCTCTGCAGGCTCCTAAGCAAGAAGAAACCCAAGTGTCTACCCCTCCCCACAATGTTATGAGAAACTAGACTAGTGGGACCAATGAGATGCTTGAATCTTGAAAGGAGCTATATCAGTGGCCAGTTTCAAGTAAAGCAAAACTGAGTGTTTTGGATAACCCTGGCCATAAATGAAACTACCATTCTTAGAAAATTACTGGAAGAAATCATCACAGGACAGTTTGAGAATGTCAGAATATCAGGGGGTGGCAGATGGCCTTCAGAGAAGCAATTATTTCCTGATCATTCTCAACTTAATCACCCTGGAAAGCCATAGAAAAACCAAGTAATATGGGATATTGAATGTTGATGTATTATTTGAGTCTAATATCTTAATAGCTACTTATCAGCAACTCAAGAAAATATGAGTGATATACCATGCAGAAATCAAGCAGGTGAACAGCTTGTGAGTAGGTTGTACTTGGAAAATGCTTGGTACTTCCAAAAGCAAAATAATGTCCTGGTGAGAATATTAATATATGTGGTTTTAGTGGAATTGGTATTGTCATTAGCAGATTGATGACGTAGGGAGAAAGACAAGGTAAGACACTGAGGAAAAATATAATTCATTTATACAGAAAAAGCAAAATTTTAAGTGAAAGCATCATGGGAGAAAGATTATATATGGAAATGCAGGAGAGCTAAAAGTGGCCTGGCGAACCACATATTAGCTGAGCATGAGTCATTCATGGATTGATATTTTAAAAAGCTAGAGACACTTGAATTTGAGAAACTAGGACAAGGATATAAAATTTTTTTCTGAACTTGGGTAATACGAAAGAATGTACCAACATATATTACCACTTTGTGTGTGTGTGTGTGTGTGTGTGTGTGTGTGTGTGTGTGTGTGTGTGTCCATGCTTGGAGTCTGTCTCTACCATACCCCAATTCTCCTTGCACTTTGGTTTATCAAATGTTGTCACAAATTGCAACCCCTTAGACTTATACTCTGTGTTTCTCCACTCTGAGCCCCTTCCCTTGGGGAGCGTCAGATTCCTTTGTAACTTGTGGAGCAGCTGAGTGAGCCCCTTTCTCTGGCAATAAGAGAGGGAACTTGAGCTGTTAATAGAGCTAAAGTGATTTCTTAAAAATCTCCTGAGACACTGCGAGTATGCTTATTAACTCAGTACCCATCTAAAGTGACCTCTCTATCCTTCCAGTTATTGATTCATATCAGGCAGGCAGTGTGCTCAGAGTGGGTGTGGGTGATGCGGGAAGGGTGAGGTGTCTGGTAGGGCTGATATGTATTGCTGTGTTGTAGCTTGCTCTTGACCTATAATGTGCAATCTGCAGAGCAGAGAAGATTGAGTGAGATCATGTCTGGAAGGTATCCTGGATCCTTGGACAGTATTAAAATGGGTTTTATGTTTAAGCATCTATTAGAATAGAGTTGCATAATTACTGCAAGGAACCTTAGAAAGTCATGTCCTTCTTTTATAAATATTAGAGAAAACTAATGCCCAGAGAGGTGAAAGTGACATGCAAGCCAATATAGTAGCTTGTTGCCACAAATTAATTAATTGTGTGTGAAGCCAATGGGTTTCTCAAGACTGTGTCTTAATAAAGCAGAAATGAAATTCTGTCTGCACTTGGTCTATACTGGGGTAACAGCATCAGAAACCTGCAAGATGCCAGGCAAGTATCATAATTAAGTGAATGAGGGACGACAAGGACAGGGAGTGGCAGGGACTGTGGCAAACTGGAAAACACATCCCTGTCCTGTGTAAAGGGGGCAAGTTCTCCCGCTGTGTGGGAAGGCAGGCCCAGTGTTGGCAGACCCACTCATTTCCCAAGAGCAGTTAGAAGTGGGTCAAACTTGTGTGGGCTAAATAAAACATGTCGGATGGGCTGAATTTGGCCCGAGGGTTGACCTTGCTCCTGACAGCAGATGCAGCCACCTTTGTCTGTGGACTAGGCAGAAATGCTCAGTGAATAGCAGCAGCTAAGTATAAATTTTTTCCCCACAGATTTTTTTAAGACATTGTTCTGGTTGATGGTTTTGACATCCTTCTCCTATTTTACCTCCACAGAGGGGAGTGCATACGTAGTACATTCCTCTTTGGCATTGTTTACTCTCAGGGAAAGCTTTTAAGGAGGAGAAGGGAAAGAGGCAGGGGGCCTGGAAGAATCACAAGCTGGTGATCTACTTTTGGATACGAAATAATTGTCAGGTGGCATGTGTAGCCCGATGTGCCCTGTCTGGTATTTTCATGTCCATCTGGGACTTAACAAAGTGAAGATTTCTGCCAAGATCCAGCCCTGAGGCAGGGAAGAAAAAACCACCAATTTCCAAGCAAATGCCAGGTCCTCCTCTGCCTCCCTGTGAATATCTTCTGGCTTTTAAAAAGAGAAGTCCTGTAGGCTTGGCACAGTGGCTCATGCCTGTAACCTCTGCACTTTGGGAGGCCGAGGCGGGCGGATCACCTGAGGTCAGGAGTTCGAGACCAGCCTGACCAACACGGAGAAACCCCGCCTCTACTAAAAATACAAAATTAGCTGGGCATGGTGGCAGGCACCTGTAATCCCAGCTACTGGGGAGGCTGGGGCAGGAGAATCGCTTGAACCTGGGAGGCGGAGGTTGTGGTGAGCCGAGATCGTGCCATGCACTCCAGCCTGGGCAACAAAAGCAAAACTCTGTCTCAAAAAAAAAAAAAAAAAAAAGAGAGAAAGAGAGAAGTCCTCTACATCTCTGTTTACAGAATTCTTGGGAGCCCCCAAGAGTTTAAAGAATAAGCTACCTATTGAAAGCATCTTTCTGTAGGTTTATTGAAATCATCTGTTTCTGACATCCCCATCAGACAGTCAGTTGTCAAGACAGTAGACAGTCCCCCTTTAAAATATTAGTCACTGAGTCCGTCTTTCTTTTTGATTCACAAGACTCTAGTGGCTAAATGCCTCTCCATGTCTTGAAAGGCTTCAAACAGTCTGCGCCCCCTGCCCAGTCTTCCCATTACTTCCCTGACCTCACCTCCTACTGCTCACCACGTGCTCACTGCACCCAGCCACTAACTAGTATGCTCCCTCTTATGGACCTTTGCATTTTATGTTCTCTGCTTAGAAGACTCTTTCCCTAGAGACCCCCATGCCTGTCCTTATGGCTTCATAGAGCAGCCTTGTCTACTGAAAATTGCAATCCCCTCTACCTCCTCCTACCTCCAGCTCTCCCTATCCACATTCCCCACTTTACTTTTTTTATAGCACTTGTTCCCAACTGCTACTATACAATTTATTTATTTGTCTCCCCTTACTGTAAAAATTCCATGAGTGCAGGGATTTTTGTCTGTTTTGCTCACTGCTACATTTGTGGAGCTTACAACAGTGCCTAAAAGCACTTGTCAAGCATGGGCTTGAGAAGTATTTGTTGAATACATTTTGAGATACTGTCCCCTCTCTGCTAGGGATGGTGGTATTTACTATGCTGAACAGATACACCTCTTGCTACTGAATCATGGTGTTATTAACATTTCCACTCATAAACTTTGTCTGTTTTTCAAGGTTTCTGTGTCAATTCTACTTTCTAAACATATCTCAAATTTTTAAAATTTCCCCTTTGTTAAACCATCACAACTTCCTATTTGGAATATAGATTCTCACCATCCATTTTTGCCCCTCCACAGTCTCACTGTGTAGAGCCAGAATGCAGCTGGAATGACCTATCTAAAATATAAATCTGATCATTACCATTCTTTCCTTAATTTAAAATCCTTCATTGATTTCCCATAGCTTTTCACATTAGACTCAGTGGCCTTACCCCATACCACAAGGTCCTGCGTGGCCTGGTTGCAACATTGGCTTTCTTTGTTCCTCTAACAGGCCAGAGTCCTTTCTGACTCAGGGCCTTTGCTGTTCTCTCATGATGGAACACTCTTCCACTCCCATTCTCCCATTCTACACCTGGTTGACATCCTCCCATCTACGTTTAAATGTTCCTTTCCCTGAGTTTCTCTGAGTCCCTGTGCTAGTTAAGTTCCCTCTGCATTTTCCTTCACAACATTTACTACAATAGTAGTTAATTCTTGTGAAATTATTTAATGGCTGGCTCTCATGTACTTATTGAGAATAGGAACTCTTCTGTGGTGTTTGCCTTTGTATCCCTAGCACTTGACACGGTCCCTGATACATAATAGAAGCTTAGTAAATACTTGCAGAGAGATAAATAGAAATGACAAATAGGTAGGTGTCTTCTCCTCGATCCCTGGGATGGGAGCCTTGTGGGGTAGTATCTCATTAATTAATGATGTGTTTGCCTCCACAGAGATTATTTTGCAGAGGATGATGGGGAGATGGTACCCAGAACGAGTCACACAGCAGGTAAGGATGCTGTGGGCCTTGCTTTGTTAAATTCTTTGTTTCTTTTGTTTATTCATTTGGTTTTCTTTTGAGACAGGGTCTCACTCTCTCACTATGGATGTAGTGCAGTGGTGTGATCATAGCTCACTGCAACCTCAAACTCCTGGGGTCAAGCTATCCTTTCACCTCAGCCTCCCGAGTAGCTGGGACTATAGACATATGCCTAATTTTTAATATTTTTTTTTAGAGGTGGGAGTCTTGCTATATTGCTCAGGCTGGTTTTGAATGTCTGACCTGAAGCAATACACCCACTCCAGCTTTCCAAAGTGTGTGAGAGAAATTGGCACTTGGCCAATTCTTGGTTTTCTATTGATCTTAATTCTCTTGAATTATGGCCTCTTTAAATTCATCATGGCAATATCTTCAAACTTTTGTGAATTTCCAAATTAGCACATACTACTGTAGCAATTTCACACGAGAATTATCAGCTAGCTATAATTCTATGTACTGAGAAGCAGCATAGTACAGTAAATCATTACAGATACTTATGTGAATTCTTCATACTTTTAACGATTCTGTAATTGCAAGGCTAAACTCACTTGTACAATGATTAAAATAAATTATGTTACTAAAATGAAATCTTTATCTTAATACACCATTAAAATGGGTATAATAGGCCGGGCATGGTGTCTCACGCCTGTAATCCCAGCACTTTAGGAGGCTGAGGCGGGCGTATCACCTGAGGTCAGGAGTTCAAGACCAGGCTAGCCAACATGGTGAAACCCCATCTCTACCAAAAATACAAAAATTAGCTAGGCATGGTGGCCCACGCCTGTAATCCCAGCTACACAGGAGGCTGAGGCAGGAGAATCTCTTGAACCCGGAAGGCAGGGGTTGCAGTGAGCTGAGATCGTGGCACTGTACTCCAGCCTGGGTGATAGAGCAGACTCAGTCTCAAAAAAAATAAAATAATAATAAAATAATAAATAAATAAAATGGGTACAATAATAATGTTAATCTCATAGGTGAGATTGAGAAAAGCTTTTAGTACAGAGGCTATCAAGGAATAAGCACTCTGTATCTTATCTATTGTTACTATTAATGTATTCCTAACAACAGCACAATTATTACTGCACTAACATTAGCCAGAGATCTACCTGAATTGCAAAACCAAAGGGAAGATAATATTCTTTGGGGGTCTATTTTCCACAAAACTTGTTCTCGACCTGAGGGTTTTACTTCCTTGCTAAGTTCTTTGCCTTTTTCATAACAGCCTGGAAGCACAGATTGTTTATATGCACAATTTGGAAAAAAGTTTTTAATTTGAATAAGTTAAGAATTTCAGAGTCACTTAAAATTAGTATTTGAAATGTGTGTTAAATCCACAAATTCCAAGGGTTACTGTGCTCAACATTTTAAATGTCAATATTCTACATTTTGAGGCAAAAATTGAAGGACTAGGGCAAAAATGTGAGGGGAATGGATAAAATGCTTACTACATATAATACATGTGGCAAGGTGCTTTTATTATTTTATTTAATCCATAGAACAGTTCTATAAAGCAGATATTATTACCCCTGTTTTACAGAGGCAATATATCAGCAAAATTAAGAGATTTGCCTAAATTCCCACAATTAGCAAGTGGTCAGGATTCAAATCCAAGCCTCAAGGCATTGCTCTTTCTATCATATCCACCAATCTAACTGTAATGTATTGTTATTCTGTTTTATCAGATTATCTTCCCCTTAGTAGTATATTTAATTTCACCTAAATGTGGAAGAAATCATTTTTTCTAATTACATTTATTTATTTATTTATTTTTGAGACAGAGTCTTGCTCTGTCACCCAGGCTGGAGTGCAGTGGTGCCGTCTCGGCTCACTGCAGCCTCCGCCTCCCAGGTTCAAGCAATTCTCCTGCCTCAGCCTCCCGAGTAGCTGGGATTACATGCGCTTGCCACCACGCCTGGCTAATTTTTGTAGTTTTGGTAGAGATGGGGTTTCGCCATGTTGGCCAGGCTGGTCTTGAGCTCCTGACCTCAAGTGATCCACCTGCCTCAACCACCCAAAAAACTGGGATTACAGGTGTGAGCCACCATGCCCAGCCTCTAATTACTTTTAATTAAAAATTTTGCATTTACGTATAAACATTCAGAATATCACCAAAACAGGGGCAATATCATCATAATTATTTTATTATTATTATTTGCTATCACAGAGTAGTGTACAACTAACAGAACAATTATATTGGGTAAGCTGCATGAAAAACAATTGAAGAGGGAAAAATAATATCTCCATATATATGTAATTGATTTGTACTATGCACTAATAAAGCCTGCCTTAGATTTCTGTTCTAGTTTAAACCCCGAAACAGTACCAGGCAAGGTTAGTGGCTATTGAAAATATCATTAAGGACAGGGTTATCTAAAGACACACTGGATACTACATTAATTTTGCAAAAATAAAAAGACAGTATACAGTGTTCAGTTTAAAAACAAATCATATGATCTTACATTTCAGCTTTTTTTCTTTGAAATCAGTGGTGTAATGGGGAGTTAAATACTTTTAGGCAAAAAACAAACACATACACACACACTCACACAAAAACAAATTAATAAAACAAAAGCCTCTTTTAAAACCACCCTATTGACTATCATCATTTTTTTCTTCACCCTTTTCATCTTTCTATTCACCAATGTCTTTCCAGTCCTTTTTTTCTTTTCTTCTTTTTTCTTTTTCCAGTTTTTCCAACTTCCCCTTTCCCTGCATCAGACTTTCTTTTATCCCAGAATACAGCAATAGCCTTTATATCTATAATCTTAAAAGCCTTTCTTTCCTCAAGGCTGTATATTATCTGCAACAGTAATTCTTCATTTCTTTCATTTCTCTCAGTTTTCTTACATCATCGCCAATGAATTAGCCAAGATGTTCTCCTGTGCTCTTTTGGTGAAATTTTCAGAACAAAACAAGAAAAAGGAGATCCCTTTGGTACATTAGAATCCTGGAACTTCTTTCTTCTCTCTCTTTCTCTCTCTCGTTTCCTTGTAGACAGAATATAGATTTTTGTTTCTTTCTTATAATGGGCCTGTTCACCTTCACCCTGTCTTCAAATTTTTTCTTTCTCTTTAGCAGAAATGAATTTCCATCTTTTCTGAACATAAAAAAAAGAAGAATTCTAAGAAGTTGACTGAAGCATCTGGGTGCTTTTTCTTGGGCTCCTTCTGGCAAGTTGGCAGAACGAAGGAAAGAAGGCAGGGAAGGAGGGAGAGAGGAGGGAGGGGAGGAAGGAAGGAAGGAAGGAAGGGAGGGAGGGAGGGAGGGGGAAGGGAGGGGAGGGGAGGGAAGGAAGGAGGCAGGCAGAGAGGTGGGGGAAAAGAGAAAAAAAAAGAAAGAGAAAGGAAGAAAGGAAGGAAGGGAGAGAGTGAGAAGGAGAGAAAGAAAAAGAGATCGGAAGAAAAGCATGCAAAGGCATTTTGCCTCTTACTCCCTTGGATCTCCTTTCCCCAAGTGTTTAGTTAACTTTTCCTCAGCCAGGCAGTCACCCAGTACCTGTTTTGCTCTTACTTGCCCTGACACTGTCTGTAGCGCTTAATGCTTTGCCATGACTGTCTTCTTATTTAAAAAATAGTTCCATAATAAAAGTTCATTATTTCCTTCTGTCAGCCAAGAAAGTATGTAGCTTTCTATGTTTTCTACCTGTCTGTAACTCCAACCCTGCCCCAACATGAGGCAGGGTTGATTTCTCATTCTTTAACAATGTTACTTCTCAAAAGCAAGCATAGGGTTAATTACAGCTTAGATTCCACTAGGTTCTCCCAAAGCAATGCTTCCATTGGTTAATGGAGTGATTGAGTCTCTGCCTCTTTACCTGTTTTCCCCACTCTCAGACCTATTGCAATCCCTTTAATTGCTAAAATAACACAGTAGTAGCATACTGCTAAGAAAGACAGATGGAGAAAATATGGCATTGGTTCTGCCACTTTTTAGCAATGTGATCTTGGTCAAGCAAACTTTCTGAATCTTTACTTATTCATCAGTAAAATGGACTTAATAATCACTTATGTCTATTTCACTGATTGCAGCGACTTCATAAATGAAATAATTCATGTGAAACTATTTTGTAACATGTAATGCCCTTTAAATATGTTGGCTGTTATAATTGTTACTATTACTAAATAGTAACCTGAAAAATTATCGGTAGAGATAGTTTGCTAGCAGCTTGGTTCTTTCCTTTAGACTGTTTTGGTTACCTTTTGTTATGTGACAAACCATCCCAAAACTTAGTGACTTAAAACAGGGGTCAGCAGCAAACTACAGCCCATGAGCCAACAGTCAGTTTTTATAAGTAAAGATTTATAGCCACACAGTGACACTCATTCATTTACACATGGTCTGTGTCTCCTCTGTGTTACAGGGTAGAGTTGAGTACCTGTGCCAGAGATGATATGACCCACAAGCCTAAAACACTGTCTGGTCCTTTAAGAAAATGTCTGCCCACACCTGGCTTAAAACAACAATGATTTATTATTTCTCACAATTCTGTTTTGGCAAACTGGGCATTATCGCTGCTGGTCTCACTTGGGATCACTCAACTGGCTGCAACTTTCTGATGACTTGACTGAGACTGAAGGTCTCAGACAGCCTTGCTCACATGTCTGGCAGGTGGTGACTGTCAGCTGGGGCATCTTCACTTCCCTGAACAGCCTTTCCTTCTCCAGTGGGGTAGACCGACTTCTTCACAGCATGGTTGTCTTGGGATGCTAATAAGGCAAGAGCAGAAATGCAAGGCCTCTCAAAGCTAGTCTCTGGAACTCATACAGTAGCATTTATATCATATTCTGCCAGTCAAGGCAAGCCACTTTGCCAACCCAGATTCAAGAGTTGGGGAAATAGGCTCTACTTCTTAATGGCAGGAGTATCACATTGCAAAGGCCTATGGACCCAAACTAGTTTGATTCACTGGGGATGGCTATTAATATGATCTACCACAGACTACTTTAAGTAAACTGTTTCTATGTGGCCTAGATTGAGTTTGTATTTTGCAGAAACTGAATTCTGCTGGAATGTGCCAGTTAGAATGATCCTAGTGCTGTTATTATATAAACCTTTTTTTTTTGTTGTTCTGTTTCATTGACAGCTTTTCTTAGTGACACTAAAGATCGAGGCCCTCCAGTGCAGTCACAGATCTGGAGAAGTGGTGAAAAGGTCCCGTTTGTGCAGACATATTCCTTGAGAGCATTTGAGAAACCCCCTCAGGTACAGACCCAGGCTCTTCGAGACTTTGAGAAGGTAAGTCATGTGAGTGGATAATTGTTATCCCAATTAGAAGCAGTACTATGGAATAGTGATGCCTGATAAAAATATGACCCATGGATTGGTCCGGATTATGGATGGTATTATCATTATGGTGTCTCTTTCAAGAGCATGTCCCAATAAACATATGCTCTGTCAGCTGTGTGCTGGGGGGTGTGGTTATGGACCCTTGCCTGTACAGCAGTCCCTCCTTTGGATGCCTCAAACTGCATAGTACTGAACCCTATATTTACTATGTCTTTTTCTATACATACATACTTAGGATAAAGTTTAATTTATAAATTAAATGTTAATGAGGCTAACAGTAGTTAATAATAACATAGAACAATTATAACAATATACCAGCATTACTACTCTTGCACTTTTACATTGTTAAGTAAAATAGGAGTTACTTGAACACAAGCGCTGTGATACTGCAACAATCTGATAACCCAGACAGTACTGAGTGACTAACTGGTGGGCGATATATACAGCCTGGATGTGCTGGACAAAGGGATGATTCAAGGGTGAGATAGAGTGGATGGCACGAGATTTCATCATGCTGCTCAGAACAATGTGCAATTTAAAATTTATGAGTTGTTCATTTCTAGAATTTTCTATTTAACATTTTCAGACTGTGGTTGACTGTGGGTAACTGACACCATGGAAAGCAAAACTGTGGATAAGGGGGGACTAACTGTACCAGTAAATGCTGCCTCATCACCTACACCCTTGGTTTACTTCTCAGATAAACTCAGGAAGTTTAAATGGCATTCTGAGAATCTGTAGCTGCAACATAGTGAGCCCAGGAGTCCCGGTCCAGCAGCTAGTATTAAATTCTCTGTTGCTAGCTTGGACCTCTCTCGATATCTAGGAATTGTCTGCAGTGTGCGGTGGCACAGTAACAACCATTTGTTTCTCAACAAGAATCTGATAATGTTGCTTGAACCTCCTGAACCAGTGCTGCATGCTCTGCTTCTTCATATGTTTGTCCTTAGATTTGACCAAAAACAATAACTGATAATGTAATACAGATTCCCCAGCTCCCTGTGAGCTGGGTTGAGCCCAGGAAGTCTGTACAAGAGAGCATGTCTACTGGGATTTAAATAGCCCAGAAACAGGCAGCCAGAATTTCTTACACGCTTGTGCTCTAAAAAAAAAAAAAAAAAGGAAGAAAGAAATAGCTCTTTGGTGCCCCCTCAGGGATACCCAGCAAGCAGGTCCCACATAAATAATGTGTAAATAGTCTGTGAGATACTGGGGTTTCTCTCATTCTGGAATTGGAATTGATAACTTTTGACAGAAAAAAAAAAGTAAAATTCTAATCTCAAAAAATTTTGTGTTGACATGGGTTTACCCCATCTTCCCTCAATTTGTAAGTAGAAATATTTCACCAATACTTTCTGTACATCTTACCAGATATTTCTGTGGGCAAAGGATATGCACCATATAACATGTGCCTAAGAATTAACAGCCTATTCTTCAAATTTTATGCTTAGCATTCTCATGTATACTGTGTGTATTTTTTTTTAAGACATGGAGAGTTTGCATGGTAATCAAGAGGCTTTTGAAGACTAAACCTCCAAACAGCTGTGTGGTGCTGGTGGGGGAAGCAAGGATGCTAACACCCCAACCCCCTCCTTTTTTTGTTTTTTTTTTTTTCACCTTTTGGATCTGCTGTGATGCAGAAAGGGCAAGCAGAGCTGCAGAGCTCCTCAAAACTGTGTGGGGTGCTCTCCAAAGGCGAGCCAGTCTGCATGTTCCTTTTCATTGAGAGATGACTGGAAATATAGAAATGAGGGGTGTCACCTCCATTGAAAGAATGGGTGGCAGATATAAGGCCCAAAGTCCTTTTCTTTTAGAGTTTAGATCTAATATGACAGATTAGTCCTTATTTCTCGATGCTGGGAAACACTGACAGAAACCAAGCTAAGACGCAGGGAAAAGGCCAATAAGAGATAGTTTAAATCTCTCTCTGCTATGTGTCAAATAAAAAGTAAATAAAGAGGCTACAACCCACTTCAGGCTTGATCAGAAAGTCATTGCCGGTAAATCATGCAGTGTTGTGTCACACGTTTGTTCATTTTCATATCCATTCATCCATCCTGTGGACTCTGAATGACAGCACCTAAAATACAAAACGCCTCCGTGAAAGGGTTTAAAAATTAGAGAAAACATTGGTTAGAAAAAATATAGGAGAGATAGGAACACATTACTATGCCCTACCCTAAAAATGGTAAAATACTAAATAACATGGTATTTTCTGTAAAGTTTAAAATATGCATTCGATAGCCTTGGGATATAGGATAGGTAGCAGTACTCAGAGAGAGGAAGGGACATGCTAAATGTTTTTTGCCAATGTAGGGTCGACTCCTCCAGGGCTTAAAGACAAAGGGATACAGGCCTGGAAGAAGCAGCCAGGAATCCCTTCTTATTTCATTTATCCATGCAACAAACACATGATCACATTAAATGAGATACTTTAGTTCCTGCCCTTAGATAGTTATAGTCTATTTGGAAGTACAGACATTGCATTAAATACAATATAGCATGGCAAGTGCTTTCATAGAGATAAGGACAGTACACTCTGAGATCTTGAGAGAAAATGTCTACTTTTATTAAAGGAGTAGGGAAAGGCCTCTTACCAGAGGACATTTCTCCTGGGGGCTTCACGTTGAGCAGGGTCTCCAAAGCTGAGTTAGATTTTACTAGTCAGAGAAGTAGAGTATAATATTCCAGACAGAGGGGAGATTTGGGGGAAGAAAGAGAGATATGTTCAAATAAGAGACTGGACTATAGAGAGGTAAGAAAAAGAGAGTTAGAACAGGAGAGAAGTAATATTAAAAGTACTCAATCTGTCAAAAGTAATTATAATTGTTCAGTAATGCAGTTACCTCTAAAATGTTTGCTGATGTAGGAAATTCTAGAGAAAAAAAGGCCCTTTGATTACAGGGAAAGAGATAACAGACTAAAAATGCAAATACTGGCACATTATGGAACCAAAACATAATTAGTCAATTAACAAGCGAAAATGACAATTATCTTTATGTTGGTGTAGAAAAAAGGGACAAAGAAAGCAACATTTCCAACATACAACAGTGTTTCTTTTCTTTCATTCTCCACCCACAACCAACAGCATGGTTGTATGTGTATACAAACTCCAATTGTATGTTTGTCAGGTTGAGGTCAATAGGTATTACACTCCATGATGAAAGGAGGGCATTGCTTAGCATATATGCTTCATTTGTATTTTTGAATGAGTGAGTGATTTAATTAATTTCCCAACCTTACCAACTTCGTTATGTAGGCGCTTTTCCCCACTCAGAGAATCCACTGATGAAGGGATTCTCTGTGGGTTTAGTGTATTGAGCAGTGGGTTTAGTGTATTGAGCAGTGGGTTAAGTGTATCTCATAAGTTGTTTTATTTTGTCTTTATAAGACACGGAACAAGCATCACTCTCCCCATTTTTTAAGTGAGGGAACCAGGACTCACAGAAATTGTGACTTTTTCAGGGCCATAAGTTTATGTACCATGATCATAAATCTGAACACATTATTGGATCAGAAATAAATTTTACCTACAAATGGTCACAATGATGTGTTGAGAAAAATCCCTTGCCCTATGCTTTCTCACTGATCACAGCACCCAGCTGCAGCATCTCTGGAATGAGCAAGACTTCAGCAGCACATACATAATACTGGCTAGCATTTGATGATCACTTTCTATGTGGCAGATATTGCTCTAAGTATGTGACAGCATGATCTCATTTACAACAACCTTGTGAAAAGGCATGTTCACCAGTTAGAATGACGATCATTAAAAATCAGGAAACAACAGGTGCTGGAGAGAATGTGGAGACATAGGAACGCTTTTACACTGCTGGTGGGAGTGTAAATTAGTTCAACCATTGTAAAAGACAGTGTGACAATTCTTCAAGGATCTAGAACTAGAAATACCATTTGACCCAGCAATCCCATTACTGGGTATATACCCAAAGGATTATAAATCATTCTACTATAAAGACACATGCACACGTATGTTTATTGCAGCACTATTAACAATGGCAAAGACTTGGAACCAACCCAAATGCCCATTAATGTTAGAATGGATAAAGAAAATGTGGCACATATACGCCATGGAATACTATGCAGCCATAAAAAAAGAATGAGTTCATGTCCTTTGCAGGGACGTGGATGAAGCTGGAAACCATCATTCTCAGCAAACTAACACAGGAACAGAAAACCAAACACCCTATGTTCTCACACATAAATGGGAGTTGACTAATGAGAACACATGGACACAGGGAGGGGATCATCACGCACAGGGGCCTGTCAGGGGCCGTGGGGCAAGGTGAGGGATAATATTAGGAGAAATACCTAATATAGATGACGGGTTGATGGGTGCGGCAAACCAACATGGCACACGTATACTGTGCAACAAACCTGCACGTTCTGCACATGTATCCCAGAATTTCAAATATAATAAAAAAAAGAAAAGCCATGATTATTATTCCAGTTTACAAATGATGAACTAATGGCAAAAAGAATAACAAAGGAACTTGCCCAATAACTCATGATTGAGCCTGAAAACACCTGATGTCTTTGTGACCTAAAGATAGTGGGCATGTCCTATGTTGGGGAACTCAGCTGGTGAAAGTTTGGTGCTAATGAAGGTGTTGGCTTATTTGGAAATGGAATCACTAGTTCCTCCTATTTAGATTGATGCAGATTGAAATTCTACCAGATTCCTGCCTCTCTAGGTAAACTGTAAATCCACTTTTTTCTTCCAATATTCTCTATTACATGATTTTTACTCTATTAATTCTGAACTGCTTGCAATTCAAAGCTGTTTCATACTTTCATTTATTTGTACCTGCTGTTCCCTCTGCCTTGAAAACCTTTTCTCTCCTATTGTTTATTTGGTTAAAGTTTACTCATCCTTCAAGATTCAGCTCAGGTGCCTTTTTAAATTTATTTATTTTTTAATTTTAGGATGCCTTCTCTTACTCTCTAATCCCAGAATATATACCAAGACTCTAAGCTCCTTGAGGGCAGAAAACACCTCTTGCCCATTCTTTTCTAGTCTCTAGAATATAGCATAATGTAGTACATAGTAAGTGCTCAGTAAATATTCATCAACTAAACTAGCTGAAAAGTATTAAAAATTAGATATCCTATTGGATTTGTATCTCTTCTGCCTCTACCTGGTATTCACAATAAGTTGAACAGTTTTAAGGAGGGTATTGGCGTGTTAATTGATTGGGTAGGATGGGAAACTAGGAAGTCAAGAAATGTACATTTCTTTTCCACTTTATTTTTTTATTGTTCATTTTTTTTGAGAAGGAGTCTTGCTGTGTCACCCAGGCTGGAGTGCAGTGGTGCAATCTCAGCTCACTGCAGCCTCTGCCTCCTGGATTCAAGCAGTTCTCCTGCCTGAGTAGCTGGGACTACAGGCTCCCGCCACCACACCCGGCTAATGTTTTGCATTTTTAGTAGAGATGGAGTTCCGCTATGTTGGTCAGGCTGGTCTCCAAATCCTGGCCTCAAGTGGTCCACCCTCCTTGGCCTCCCAAAGTGCTGGAATTTCAGGCGCGAACTACGCGCCTGGCCTCTTTTCCACTTTAAATGGAACGATAAAACTAAAAATGAAAAGGACGGGAGAGAAAGAGTCTTTTTGAAATAATATTTGACAGGATTTATTAAGAAGATCACAATAGTAGCTAATAACAATAAATACTATTTGAGTGCTCATTATGCACCAGGTACTTTTCTAGATATTTGACATATTTAATTTAGTGTATTTTCAGTTCATTTTCCTAACTTATGAGATAGATATTATTTTTACAACCATTATACTAGTGAAGAGATCAAGGTTCAAATAACTTGCCCAAAGTTATATAAGAATAAAGTAACGGAACCACTGTAACTCCAATGATTCCAAAGCTCTTGGGGAAATGAAAGGACTCTCAGAGAAGGAGAGCATTACATTGGTGGAATGCCTGCATTTGGGTTTTTTACATAGAATCAACATGGCAGACGGTACAGAAAAGCCACGGAAGGGTGGGAGTCTTTGGCTATAAAATCAAGAGGGGGCCTCCACTGCCCTGTCCTGTTTACACATTTTTCTAATAATGTTGTCTTTAACAAGAAAATATCATCAAAACCAGCTATAGTGTATGCCTAACTGTACTCTGCAGCTTTCCTTGGCAGTCTGAATCTAACCGCAGTGAGTCAGCCTGTTCAGGTCCCACCCATCCTGGTGAACTTTTCCACTTGAATCTTGAAGTCTTTGGGGAGAAAAAAGAAGAAAAAAAGTGCTAAAAGCAGAAGGCTTTTTCATTTTGGGGAGTTTCTGGAGCTCTGAGTTATCACAGTCTGGGTAACCTGTGCTAATTTAGGTTAATTGGGGTCCTGTCACTGCCCTCTTTATGTTCCACAATTTTGGTGCTTCTCGAGTGTTTCTCTCTAATTACAGCCTTGGAAAATGAATACTACTAGTGAAGTGCATTTTTATTTTAAAAAAATGCATTCATTCTTCCAAACCACAGTGTCCCAAACATACTGGTTTTGTTTTCACTGGTATCTTAAGACATTCAAAAAGTTACTAGGAGGCAGGGGGTAAATATTAAACTTTCAGCAATCACAAGTGCAGTTTGTTTTCCCTTTTCAATCTCATGTTTAAAAAGGGAAACAGAAGGCTTCCACACACAGGCATTCCACAGACTTTCCATGCAAAGTTTTCTTTCCTAAGCAACATTACCAAAGATATGAATCAAATCAATTACTTTTTTTCTTATAGAACTACAGAGTAAAAGGAATGCTTCTGAGTGCTGTAGAATATACAAAGATGGACATGAGATTCCATTCTCAAAGAATGTACAATCTGATTGGGGCATAAAAAAATTTAAATTATACAAGATTTAATTTAAATAACATCTAAGGCAATATTGAAAGAGATATTTCAAGATGGGAGTACTTGCCAAACTAATGTATGTTTTTAAAACTTAAATATGGCGAGGTGTGGTGATCATGCCTGTAATTGCAGCACTTTGGGAGGCTGAGGTGAGCGAATCACCTGAGGTCAGGAGTTCGAGACTAGCCTGGCTAACATGGTGAAACCCCATCTCCATTAAAAATACAAAAATTAGCTAGGCATGGTGGCACACGCCTGTAATCCCAGTTACTCAGGAGGCTGAGGGAGGAGAAGCGCTTGAACCCAGAGGGCAGAGGTTGCAGTAAGCCGAGATCGAGCCACCGCACTCCAGCCTGGGCGACAAAGCGAGACTCTGTCTCAAATAAATAAATAAATCTTAAATACTGGGATAGAACATTTTTTTCTAATTTGTGCACGCGCGTGTGCGTGTGTAAACTTTTCAAAGTTGTAAATATTAGCTTACATTTGGTCATGCAATTAATAAAGAAACTTTATCAAAAAGAATGAAATTACAAAAGTTGGAAAACCCTGAACATTCTGAAAGGTATGATTACCAACACAGAAAAGAGAGCAACCACTTTCACAGAGAATGTAGCACTTGAATTAGAATAATTCTTTTCGTAATTTTAAATTATCTCCTTTCTGTCTCCTCATTAAAACTTGTTTTCTTCTCTTCTCCCGTTGTTCAAAGAGAAGCCTTATCTTTCTTTCTGTGGACTTTGCAAAGTTTCCATTCTAATGATAATTTCCATTCCAATACTAAATTTAAAAAATAGCAACAAAGATCATGATACCAATTAATATTTGTAAGTGCTTACAGTGTGCCAAGTTCTGAGAATGCGCTTGACCTTATTATCTTATTCAGTTCTCCTAATAGTCTTTTGAGGTTGGTACAACCATTGTCTTTGTTTGTAGAGAGACACTGAAGCTAGGAAAACACTAGTAATTGATGGCAAGTGCTGGAGCTGGGATTTGGACATAAGTGTACTGGTTCTAGTGCCTAAACTCTTAGCCACAATTTTATTATGCTTACTGATAGCTGACCCCCTTATTCATTTGTTAATCCACTCATCCATTTATGAGTGCATCGTGTGTGCCAGGCCATGTTCTAGCTGTTAGTTGCACAATGATCAAGAATGAATGTATGAAAATATGTATTTTCGGCCGGGCGTGGTGGCTCACGCCTGTAATTCCAGCACTTTAGGAGGCTGAGGCAGGCGGATCACCTGAGGTCAGGAGTTCGAGACCAGCCTGGCCAACATGGTAAAACCCTGTCTCTCCTAAAAATACAAAAATTAGCCAGGTGTGGTGGTGCACACCTGTAATCCCAGCTACTCAGGAGGCTGAGGCAGGAGAATCGCTTGAACCCAGGAGGCAGAGGTTGCACTGAGCTGAGATTGCCACTGTACTCCAGCCTGGGTGACAGAGCTAGACTCCGTCTCAAAAAAAACAAAAAAAAGAAAATGTATGTTCAAGGATGAGTGTTTATATTTCAGTATTCTCTATACCAATACAATATTAGTACTCAAGGTGAGGATTATTTCAAGTGTGGAATATATATACAATAGAACATTATAGAGCAATGTACTGACTTGGGAGGATGTCCATTATAACAAATTTAAGATTAAACAAAACAACGGCAACAACAATTTGACTGAATATTACAAAAAATAAGATCTCATTTTTGAGGGAGAAAAGATGGAAATGTCTGGAAGGATACATACCAAAACATTGATATTGATTATGTCTGGATGATGGAATTAGCCTATTGCCTTCTTTATAACTGAGTATTATATTTATTTTAATTATCTATTCATTGAAAAAATATTCTAGTGCTTTTACTATGTGCAGCATACCTTAAGCATTGCAGATACAATATTGAATAGGCAAACATGGTTCCTGCCTTCATAGAGTCTACAGATTAGCAAATTCCAACAGAATGTAATTATTATTGTAATAGAAATAAAGAGTGCTATGGAATATATAACTGGGCACTTACTCAATCTGAAGAGATTGGGGGATTCAGGGAAAGTTTCCTAGAGGAAACTGCATCTAACCAGGGTCCTGAAGAAGGAATAAGAAGTAGCCACTAATAAGGGGGTGGTAGTGTGAGAATGAAGAAGGTTCCATGCATAGGAAATAGCTTGAATCAAGATCCCGATGAGAGAAAGAACCATAGTCAGTATTCCTAGAGAATGGGATGTAAGGAATGCAGAGAACTGAAACCAGAGAAAAGAGAGAGGAGTCATCATACAGAGTCTTGCAAGTTATGTAAAGGCTTTTAAATTTTATCTGAGCTCAAGGGAACTGCTGAAAGCTTTTAGACAGAGAGGTGACATGATCAGATTTTCCTCTTAGAAAGATCCTTTTGGCTTCCTTATGGCCTCTGCATAGGAGGAGTAGTCTAGAGGCAGAGAAAACAGTTGCAGTATTCCAGGCAAAGGTTGGTGGAGATGCCAGTATAAAAATTAGAGAAATGGACAGGTGAAAGAAATTTCAGAGGCAGAATTGATAGAGCTAAGCCATTGACTGGATGTAGAACCAGTGAGGCTGAAGAAACCCAAAGATGACAGATCACCAATTCATCTCTTCACTCACATCCTACCCACTGTCACCTTGTCGTAAACTTTCAGACTACCTTCACCTCTCTCTTCAATAACGTGAGTTATTTGTTCAAAGTCTGCCTTTTCTGTTAGAACATGAGCTCACTATAGCAGGGACAGTGGTTGTCTTTTCACTTCTAGATACAGTGATTAGCATAATGCCTGGTACATAGTAGGCATGCCCTTTTCTTTTCTTCTTTTTTGTTTGTTTTGAACGAATAAATGATGTCAAGTTTTCTTGCTTGGTCAACTACTAGGTTATGCCCTCCACTGAGAAAGAGAACAACTGGAACAGGCACATGTAGTACTTTTATGACCATTGAAGCAACAGCAACACAAACAAAAAACAGTAAAGCGATTTCTGTTTTTGGAAGAAAAGTAAAGAAGATTCTTCCTGTTGTTAAGGAACTCCAGATCTACTGGGGAGAGAGTCAAACAGATAATCCCAATATACTGTGAAATGGGCCACAATAAGAGTAGGTCCGCAGTGCTGTGGAAGCATTCAGGAGAAGCCCTTGCCCAGGCATTAAGGCCAGATAGGTTTCTTTTAGTAGGTAATATCTGACTTAGATCCTTATGGGTGAGTTGGGATTAGTTAAGTGAGAGATGGGTGGGAATTGAAGAGAAGTGAAATTCTAGGCTAATGCTGCTACCCATGCAAAGTCCTGGAGGCAGCATGAGCCTGGTGAATTCAGAAATAGGAGGCTTTCTGTCATGGATGGAGCAAGGGAGGGTCAATCGGGGTTCATGTTGGCTCTATCTTTTCCCTTATCCCCCTACTTCTGGTCAAGGCATTATTGTTGCAGCCATGTGCATTCATGGTATCACTGTGGACTCTTGGTTTTTGGTTTTGTTTATTATTTTTTTTTTTTTAGACATGGTCTTGCTCTGTCATCCAGACTTGAGTGCAGTGGCACAATCTTGGCTCACTGCAGCCTCGACCTCCCGGATTCAAGTGATCCCCCACCTCAGCTTCCTGAGTAGCTGGGACTACAAGAACATACCATCACGCCTGGATAATTTTGACTTTTTAAAACTTTATTTTATTTATTTATTTGAGATGGAGTTTCACTCTTGTTGCGCAGGCTGGAGTGCAATGGCGTGATCTCCACTCACTGCAACCTCTGCCTTTCGGGTTCAAGCGATTCTCCTGCCTCAGCCTCCTGAGTAGCTGGGATAACAGGCATGTGCCACCACACTGGCAAACTTTGTATTTTTTGTAGAGACGGGGTTTCTCCATGTTGGTCAGGCTGGTCTCGAACTCCTGACCTCAGGTGATCCACCCACCTTGGCCTCCCTAAGTGCCACTGCGCCTGGCCTGTTTTTTTATTTTTTGTAGAGATGGGGTCTCACTGTGTTGCCCAGGCTGGTTTCAAGCTCCTAGCCTCAAGCAATCCTCCTGCCTTGGCCTCTCAAAGTGTTGGGATTGGCATCTCAAAGTGTTTGAGCCACCACACCTGGCAACTCTTAGCTCTTGTGGCCAGAGCAGGTCGTAGTCATGCCTTCAAAATTGCCTTCACTCCTAGAAAAAAATGGAGAAAGGATTATTTAAAATCTAGAGAAAAAGGTGAGCCCATAAGTCACTCTCTCTGAATTCCAGAAGCTCAGCAAATAATCTGAGTTGGACCAATTGTGAACAAATACCAAGTCCTGCTGATGTTGATTGGACCAAAGTGATGGAGAATCTAGTTTGGAGTCTGGTAATCCTTGGGAGGCCCCAGCATCACTGCAGCTCAACTGTCATTCCTGCCTTGCAGCTCATTTAACTGCCTCTGGCAGCACTATTTCTGGCTGGGCCATCTATTTTTGGTGGCCAGGGAAGTTGTTATTTGTTTCATTTTGTTTTGATGTGGTTTACAGTGCTCTAGTGTGATGATGAAGCTAACATCTGGTTATTCCAGGATTGGGGGTGTTGTGGGTGTGTTTCTATGTTGGGGAAGGCAGCAGGAACATCATCTTAACTCCTTTTCTTTATCCACATGATGAGGCTGCCTAAGACGGGGTTTATTAATCAACCTGATGCAATAGCTCTGTCATTAGTGCTCTTGTTATCAGGCAAGAAAAGGCTGTGTACAGGATGGGTATCAGTATGCTTCTGAGTGTTAGGGGAAAAAATGGAATGGTATTGTTAATATTTTAGCATTTAAGAGACTCTGGAACTTCAGGAATTATGTTAAAATTTCAGAAACAGAGTTTTAGAAGGGTGACTTGTTTGTTGATTGTACAATCCAAAAGAAAAAAGCAGGACTTTGTGGAATTCATAGTCAGTTTTCTGAAGCAGGTATCAGTAGTTGGCTTCTGAGACAAGGGCAGAAACACCATGTTGGCATAAAAGAGTTGATGAGTGGAACACCAAGTTGGTTGGCTCTGGTTGACATTTTCCTTGGTAGAATGTGGTGTGTGAAAATTACACATATTTTTCAGAACAGGCCAAATACGTATGTTTTATGTCAAAACATAGGTCATGTGTTTCTGTTTTATCTGAGGGTTATCACAAAACTTTACCTTTTTGTAAAACTTAATCTGTGAATATTCAGTACTGAGAGCCACTTAGAGCATACTTTGTCTGACCCTTCTTTTAGGGCCCTATAATATAGGTAGGATTGGTATACAGAATATTTAGACATGATTCATTCTAAGCCATTTAGCTTTAACTGAACTGAATCAAATTGGACTTTAACTGAGTCTTTATCATTAAAAAAACTCTTATAAAAGATAAAGGATTGGGTTAGTTACTTCTCTCAGCTTTGGTTTATTTCTTTGTCTTCTTTTGAAAACAAAGCTTTATTCAAACGATTAACACGCTGTACAGCTCATCTTCTGAAATCTTACAATTCTATGATTTTAGTGTATTCACAGAGTTGTGCAACCATCACACTGTCTAATTCCAGTACCTGTTTCTCACTCCAATAGGAAACCTCATACTCATTAACACTCACTTCCCAGTTTCCCTCTCCCTGGTTCCTGGAAACCACTAATCTACTTTCTGCCTGGATTTGCCTATTCTGGACATTTCATATAAATGGAATTATACAGTATGTGACCTTTTGTGTCTGGCTTCTTTCACATTATCGTATAATGTTGTCAAGGTCATTTATGTTGTAGCATGTATCAGTACTTCATTCCTTTTTATGGCTGAGTAATATTCTATGATTTGGATATGCTAAATTTTGTTTATCCATTCATCAGTTGAAGGACATTTGAAATACTTCCAATTTTGGCTATTATGAGTAATGCTGCTATGAACATTTGTATATAAGATTTCACGTGGCCATATGTTTTCAATTTTCTTGGGTATATAACTAGGAAAGGAATTGCTAGGCCACATGGTAACTCTTTGTTTAACCCTTTGAGAGCCAACTTTAGTTTATTCATCTTGAAAATGAAGAAAACAATTTTTTTTTTTTTTTTACATAGATCCAGGTTGTCAGATCCTTTAGGGTCACCACCAGGAAGATTATTTACAGTGAAGGACACTTTTTGAAAAGGTATAGGGGGCCTGAGGTAGAAGAGGGAATACCCAGTTGCAAGTGAATCCCAGGCTCAGAAGGGTCATACAGTCTCATGATTAAGGCCCTGATGCGTATGCAGTATGGGGTCAAACTGTTGGAGTTATAGTCTGTGCTCCTCCGCTTTCTCAGTGAACAAGTCAGTTAACCTCCTGATGTCTCTCTGTCCTAGGCAGTAAAATGGGGATCATCATGTCTTCCTACTTCAAAGGTTGTGGTAAAGATAAACGAAATAATACACATGGAAGTACTTTGTACATTGTCAAAACCAATGTAGATGATTGTTGTTGTGAAGATAGCATAATTGTATCTGATTAATTTTGTAATACAGGCCCAAGTCATTCAAAACAGCCAGGAATTAAACTTTTTATTTGTATAATTCAGATTTTATGAGAACAGCATAGAGACGCCTAGACACAGAGATGTATTATAAATAAAATATGTGTATGTAAAATAAACCAGCCGTCTCTTCTTCCTGCCCCATCTCTTCTTGTCTATCCCCATCCCCAATCCAAAATAAGCTGGGCTCCTGGTTGTAGTTCCCTGGGTGCTAAAAAGCAGGAAATACTCCCCAGACATTTGTGTACCCTTCCCATAGGGCTGTTTTGAAAATATGACAATTAGCAAAGTTATAGGTTAAATCGTCTATTGGGCATCATCCTTGAGTCATTGTTACTGCTTTTGTCTTAGAAATATGGCGTCCTTTACATGCACTTACTGCTTCTGTAGCACAAGGCAGCCAGAGCTCTCAGTCTGAACAGGTAGACTCTCATTACCTTTTAGGGCTACAGGAGAGCTAGTGGGCATTCTGAAATTCTTCGCAAAGTGATAGTTCTCTCACTGGCCTTTGGTAGGAGCGTTTCTATGAGAAAATGTGTTTCAAGCATAGAATTTCGGGATGGCCAAAGATCTTAAAAGCCCTCTAGAGCTAACTCCTAGCTGATGTGGGAAAACTTTTAACAGTATCCCTGAAAGGCGATTCTTGAGTTTTGGTCAAGCACCTTTTGTGACAGGAAGTTTATTTTGTCTCATGATGTATGTACTCAGTAAAAATTTGATGTATAAACATATGGATAGAGTGTGGCAATATCTTTATTACATCTAACTCTACTAGAGAATTCATCCTTATATCTAATTGATAACTGCCTCCCTGTAATTCCTACTTTCATTCCCTTTAAAATAGTTTTAAAAATTATAAGCTGTTTTACAAACAACAGGAATATACAAAGAATAATTAAACACTTGTCCATGTGTTGAATATCTAAATGTTAGAAAACATTATTTTTAGTTTATTTTCCTCAGGTGAAAAAACAAAAGTTACCATTACAGATACAGTTGCAACCTTCTTAGTATCCTGCCCAGATCCCAGTCTTCTGACTGTCTTCCTATACTTAACTATTAAGTAGTTTCCCCAAAACGACCCAATGAGAAAAAAGGAGAGCCGGGATTTGAACGTTGGTCTTCATGGTTCAAAGCTATTGCTCTTTTCACAGTTCCACGCTACCCACCCTAGATAAATATGTATAATAGTGATCATATTTATTGTCTATGTGTAAATTGATGTAAAGTGTCAAGGGTTACTTAAAGCACTACTCTTCTGTTTTTCTATTTGCCATATTAACTTATTTTTAAAATATTTTTATTTTCAAGGAAGGTAAAGGTAAGAATTATCCACAGATATCAAATTAGTACAGTTAAAATTGTGGAAGTTTGATTATATTTGAAAAGAATGTGTCCATTAAGAAGATTAATCATTTTTTGTTAGTGAAGCTTTATTTTTAGGAGAAAGATTGGTAAACAATTAATATGTTTTCAAGTACGTACATTATATGAGCTAGCTGGGGGGTCTGAATATGATGAAGCAAATGTCAAGCTGGGTTTTTTAAAGGCAGACTTGACAGTTGGTTGTGTTAATGGGGCATGACAGGCAACAGCTGGGTGGTAATCCTCCTCCTACTGTTGGCATTGATTGAGTCTTTATTTACGTTGTATTTCTAGTCTGGACTAGAACGTTATTCCAGGGGTGGAATGAAGAAATTAAGGAAAAAGAAGGGGAGAGCCATTAAGGTTTGGAAGAAACATTCTGAGACCAGAGTAAAGATGTTATATGTACTAGGAGAAAAAGGAAGAACAAAGATAGAAGCACTTCCCCTTGCTCAAGAATCTGCAGTGTTTTATTTCCTAAGCAATGCAGAGGTTATCAACATATAGGCCTGTTTGCCATGAGCTAGTAGGTTGCTGTGTGCATCTCAGGTATGTGTGTTTTTGTTTGTTAAAGCTTTTTTTTTCTTTTCCAAGTTTCCACATGCAGCGCTGATGTTTGTTAAAGCTGCAAGAAAACAAATAAGTAAAACGAAACCTAAGCAATACACAAAGAAAATAATCTTCCCAGTCAGCAGTTCCTGGCCCTCCCCACCCCCACTGCCCTCCTCCCCACCTCCACTTCCCTTCCCCTCACTCTTATCCAGATTGAGAGCCAGGATCCTGGAGGGGCAAACTCCAGGCTTCTCACCCTGGCTTTCAAGATCTCCTTGAGATGGCTTTTTATTTCCCCTCATCTCTGTGGCCTATTTCAGGACAGTATGTGCCCTTTGCTTTGGCCTGGTGGGCACACTGCCCTTTCGCTTATGTTCCACCTGCCTGGACTGCCTTGTGTTCTCCCCACTGCCTATCCAAGCTCAACTCATCCTTTGAGACAAGCTAAAGTGCCAATTCTCTGTGGTACCTTCTCTGGCCACCTCTCCTTCCTAATTTTTATAGTTTTTACTTTTTTTTTTTTCTGAGACGGAGTCTTGCTCTGTCACCCAGGCTGGAGTGCAGTGGCATGATCTCCGCTCACTGCAACCTCTACTTTCCAGGTTCAAGCAATCATCATGCCTCAGCCACCTGAGTAGCTGGGACTACAGGCACATGCCACCACGCCCGGCTAATTTTTGTATTTTTAGTAGAGACGGAGTTTCACCATGTTGACCGGGCTGGTCTTGAACTCCTGACCTCATGCGATCTGCTCACCTGGGCCTCCCAAAGTGCTGGGATTACAGGCATAAGCCACCGTGCCTGGCCCAGTTTTTACTATTTGTACCGTTCATATTGTCCTTTATAATTTGTCATATACGATTCCATATTTGTTCGGAACTGTTGTAGAAAGTCCAGATTCTGCATGGTGTATTAAAATGAGTCTGTTAGAATAATTTATTTTACTTATAATCTTTTTATAAGGAGGAATGCTATTAGGTATGCTTTTTATCCTAAAACATCTACATAATCTTGTGTATCGATTAAGTTGTATTACTCCAATGAGAAATAAATCAGCAGGTTAATTACTCATCCATTGTTTAATTCAACAAATATTTATTGAGCACCAGCTATGTATCAGGCACCATTCTGGGCACTGGTGACACAGCAGTGAACAAACTAAGAAAACATCCCACTTTTCTCAGGAAGTTTACATGCTGGTGGGGAGAGACAGACAAGAAACAAAATAAATAAGAAAATGTATTTTAGAAGGTGATAGTGCTACGGAATAAAAAACAATGAAGGGGGATTCGGAGAGCTGGGATGAGGCATGGGGTGCCTAAAGAGTATTCACTTCATGAAGAAGGTGACATTCAATCAAAGATGAAGAAGGTGAGGAGAGAATCGTGCACCTCCCTAGAGAAAGGGCAGCCAGGCAGAAGGGTCAAGTTCAAAGGCCTCGGAAAAGAAAGCTTCTCTTGCTTCCTGTTTTTGAGAAATAACAAAGAGAAACAGTGTAGCTACAGCAGAGAACAGAGAGAGAGTGGTAGGAAGAAGTAGAGGAGGTAATAGGAGAGGCAAGAAGAGGGTGTAGGGCCTCAGGCCTTGCAGTCTGGTGAAGGGACATCACCTTTCACTCTAAGTTAGATGGGAAGCCAGGGGGCTCTCCAGCAGAGGAGTAATCTGACGTATTTTGAAAGGGTCACTGTGGCTGCTGTGCTGAGAATAGACTACAAGGGAACAAGAGTGGGAGCAGGAACACCAGTTAAGGGGCTATTCAGATCATGTAAGGAAAAGATGGCAGTACTGTGGGTCAGGGTGGTAGAAATACCAGTGGCAGTAGTGGTAGTATAACATATATATAAAATATATATATAGTAGTATAATAGTATATATAATATAGTATTATATATTACATACATAATACAACAGCTACAACATATATATTATACTACCATATATGTTATTAATATATATACTATAATGTATAATATACATAGTAAGATTTACAGACAGATGATATGTAGGAGAGAGAATGAATCAAGAAATGATTCAAAGGTTTGGGCTCAAAAATCTGAAAATATTGAGTTGTTACAAATTGAAAAAAGGTGTAGTGAGGGAGGAGCATGTTTACTGGGAAAGATCAGGAGTTCAGTTTTAGATATCACAAGTATGTGATGTCTAAATTCAAGCAGAGATTTCTACTAGACAGTCAGATATCAATTGGAGTTCAGGGAAAAGATCAGGGTGGGCATGTAAACTTAGAAATGTAAGTGAACAAAACGTCATTTTTCTACGTATTCTAGAATAAGTGTTCTACCAAATATAGTTTATTTAGGACTATTAAAACAAACTTTTTTCATATTATTGGAAATCTATGAGAATAATACAGGTGAGCCAGCCCATATATAACAAAGCAAAACGTACAATGTTTATGGAATATTTTCCTGTTCATTGATTCCACAGATATTTAGGGAGTGCTTCCTGAGTACTATGCAACAAGAATACAAGGACACAAAATATGCCTTGTCAGCTCTCAAAACACTCTAGCCAGGTTGAGGTCATCGTAAACAGACTGTGACAGCACAATGGGATGAATGCTGTTGGAGAGGTCTCAGGTTGTTATGGAAGCTGTAGGAGTTTATGAAGATGTATTAGTTAGTCATTGACTTTTTCCTTGGGCAGCTTCAGACTAGTTGGAAAGATCAAACACACAAAAAGTCGCATAACTCTAAAAGATGTAAATAACCCTTGAAGATAACAAAAGCCACGTCATAAGGCAGCATATGAACACTTGTTGAATGTTAATATCTGCCTTAGAGTTCAAAAGAGGAAGAAGTCTTTCCAGGCTAGGGTAAGAGGAAAGGCTTTGCTTGGGTGGAATTTGGGAACACTCAAGTTGAATGATCTAAGCCAAGAGTTGAATATGTACGGCTAGATCTTGGGTGAGAAGACTCGGTTGGAGATTTGGGAATTGTTTCGAAGGTGAAAGTATAGCCCTAAAAGTGGATAAAACCTCCATGGATAAAAATGTGAAGAGAAAAAAAAGTAGAAGGCTAAGGACTTACCATCATTTAAATACCCACTTTCAGGAGCTGGCAAAAAACACAGAAAAGGATCCAGAGAGATAGAAGAACAAGATATCATGGAGGAAATAAGCATAAATGTCCAACAGAAATCTAGGATGCATAAGAATACCCTGGATTCATACACAGTTTTACTTCCGGTAAAACTTTTATGAAATTATTTTACCTGATAAAGGAATCTAAGTAGACAGCCAAAGCATGATTAAACACTTATCTAAACTCTGGCAGCCTGGCTCCCCTTGAGCAAAATGGAGGTGATATTAACTGGGTTATCACCTTGAAGAGCTTAGACCAGGAAAGGGCCTTAAAAATCACTAATTTTGGCCAGACGCGGTGGCTCATGCCTGTAATCCCAGCACTTTGGGAGGCCAAGGCGGGCGGATCTCAAGGTCAGGAGATCGAGACCATCCTGGCTAACGCTGTGAAACCCTGTCTCTACTAAAACAATGAAAAATTAGCCGGGCGCGGTGGCGGGCACCTGTAGTCCCAGCTACTCAGGAGGCTGAAGCAGGAGAATGGCTTGAACCCGGGAGGCAGAGGTTGCAGTGAGTTGAGATTGCACCACTGCACTCCAGCCTAGGCAACAGAGCAAGACTCTGTCTCAAAAAAAAAAAAAAATCACCAATTTTTAAAGCCATTTCATTTTTTAAGTGAGGACAGTTAGGCTTCTAGAGAAATGGTCTATAACATAGCTATTTAGTAAGAGAACTGGGAATGGAAAAGGATATTTTGAGTTGTTTTAACTTAGACTTTTTTCTTCACTGTCTCTAACTAAGCCTAGTTGGCATTCTCAAATTCTAAGAATTCAGATTTAGTGAAAATAGTTAAATGGATTTTAAATGTGTAGTTTTTTTTTTTTCAAATGGTAAATATTTGGGCTTGCCTATTTTGCCTATTTATAATCTAAATCTATTTGGGAGAATGCTTCACTCTAATTATGTCCTCCTGAGGCCACTTTATCCACTCAAACATTTTTTATTTTTCAAGGCAAAGTGCAAATTCAACTCCTAATGAAGCTTTCTCTGATCACCCCAGTAAGAACTGACTACTCTTTCTTACGGGCTCCCCCAGAGTCAACGCTTTTTAAACTCAGGCTGAAACTTATTAGTGGGTCATGAAATCCGTCGGGTGGGTCACTGGCAGAAAAAGAAATAGGAAATATCAGAGGACATCACACATAGTGATGGTGACAATTACTTTTTGAAACATTTACTTCAGTTAAGAGTGTATGCATATGTACTAGATGGCAACGTAACATATAAAAGTTGAAAAACACAGGTTTGGAGGATCATAATGTAAAACACATATCTTAACATATCATGGCCAGCTGTATGGCCACGTAGCTCTTTGAGGGTTGGGACATTCTTGATCTATATATCCCTCATGCCCAATGTCCTACCTGGTGAGTACTCAGGAGTTGTTGACCGGAATGATTATGAAGGTTTGAGAAGGAATTGGAAGAATGAAAAGCAGGTAGGTTGGGGAGGAAATGAGGGCTTGAATTAAGTGTAAATTTTGTAGTTTCCTTTATCTTGAATGTTAATATATATTTTTTCAACCTAATATTATTGCCACAAAGAACCCGTGTTTGTTATCTGTGCTCTGGGGTTGTCTCCCATCACCTTCAATGTAATGTGGTATAAATAATACTTCCTGCTAATGTTGCAGCTGTCACTCAAGGATCTTAAATTACTTTAGGAGCAAGATCTGGTGATGAGTGCCCGGCTCCACTTGGCAGGTGCCAGAGTTAAGAACCAGTGACTGCCTGAAATCTTTGTGCTCCAGGATGACGGCTCCCTCTCTGTCATCCTCCCACACTCTCTTCTGCCCATCCCTTCTTCCATGGAGGGAGGATACCTTGACCCTGCCTCTTTCTGAGCTTTGTAACTGGTAAATAGAGTCTGCAAAGATTCCGCTGAGCTAGAAGATTTGCTCTTTCTTTGCGGGTAGCTATGGTGTGTTTCGGGGGAAGACTCATGGCAATAAAGGCTATTAGTTGAACTGCCTCAGAGCTCAAAAAGCTTGGGGCTGAAAACTGCAAAGGAACTCATTAGAAGTGAGCTCTGGATTATCAAAGGCAATTGAGACTCCTCTGGTTAGAAGCTCTTTAAGATTTGCACTGGACAGAAAGGGGATATTTGACATGCGGTTACCTTTGTGGGCCATTTTATGTACATGGTCTTTTCTATAGCAACCTTATTTCTTGCTTCTGGCCACACTCCTTTTGGTCTTATAGTCCAAATCAGCCACAAGTCATTTAAATACCCCCTCCCCACCCTCTATTTCCTTCTCTTCTTTGCAAACCCACTGTCACCTTGAATATCTCCCCTCCCCCTTTCCTGGAAGCTCTTGGGGGTCAGTCTCTCTTTTCCGAGAAGCTGTTAACTGCCTACAGTTGGGCCTGGGAGGCTCCAGGAGGGTGACAGCAGAGTCCTGGCTTGGAGTCGGGTTACACCACTTGTGTCTGAGTTCACGCAGCATGTTCCTCTGTCAGGGATTCCGCAAATATCTCCCTGAGGTAAAAAAGGAAAGTGTGCTGCGCTCCAGCACCCAGAGCAGTGAGCCCAGTCCCGAGTCCCGGAGAGAGCTCCAGCAATAGGGGCCATGTCGCCATAGCCCCAGCCTCTCGGTCCGCAGCCTCAGCAGCGTCCCAGCCGGCTGGCTTCATGCTGCGGTGCAGCTGCACCATGTTCCTGGGTTGAGGGGGCAATCGGGCACGCTCCTCCCCATGGGTTGCCCATCATGTCTAATGGATATCGCACTCTGTCCCAGCACCTCAATGACCTGAAGAAGGAGAACTTCAGCCTCAAGCTGCTCATCTACTTCCTGGAGGAGCGCATGCAACAGAAGTATGAGGCCAGCCGGGAGGACATCTACAAGCGGGTGAGTGCAGGGGCCCGCTTCTCCGAGGCAGGGGCAGGGGCAGGGGACGGTTTGGCCTGCCAGTTGGTCGCTATTCTAGGCTCTTCCTAGCTGGCGCTGTGCTAGTCAGCGAGAGAGGTGGGGTTTCGTCCAGCTCTGGTCACCTTAACAACCTGTGACCTTGGACAAGCTCATTTCACCTCTCTGGTGCCTGCTTTCTGCTTTCCTTCTCTGTAAAGAAAGAGGACTGGAATAAATCAGAGCCGCTCTCAAACACTGACGTGGAACTGTGCGGAACAATCACCTTGGGAGCTGGTTTAAAATGTAGATTCCATGCCTCACCCTAGGGATTCCGATGTAGTAATGTGGGGGAAGGTGGGGGGAGAGGGTGGGGCTGGGGTGGATATTTGCATTTTTAAAATTTATTTATTTTAGAAACAGGTCTTGCCCTTTGCTCAGGCTGGAGTGCAGTGTCACCATCATAGCACTGCAGCCACCAACTCTTGGGCTCAAGTGATGCCTTCTGGCTCAGCCTCCTGAGCAGCTGGGACCACAGGCACAGGACACCAGGCCCAGATAATTAAAAACAAAAAAAATTGGCAGGGCACAGTGGCTCATGCCTGTAATCCCAGCACTTTGGGAAGCCAAGGAAGACAGAAGGCTTGAGGTCAGGAGATCGAGACCAGCCTGGCCAACATGGTGAAACTCCATCTCTACTTAAAAAGTACAAAAATTAGCGGGTGTGGTGGCATATGCCTGTAGTCCAAGCTACTTGGGAGGCTGAGGCAGGAGAATTGCTTGAACCCAGGAGGCGGAGGTTGCGGTGAGACGGGATTGTGCCGCTACACTCCAGCCTAGGTGACAGAGCAAGAGTCTGTCTCAAAAAAAAAAAAAAAAATTCGTACCAAAGGGGTGGCACTATGTTGTCCAGGCTGGTCTCAAACTCCTGGCCTTTAGATCCTCCCACCTCAGCCTCCACTGTTGTTGGTATTATAGGCATGAGCCACTTTGCCTGGGAAAATATGCATTTTTAAGCAAGATCCCTGAGGTGGCTCTGAAGCAGATCATCTCCAGGTCATACCTCTCCTAGAGAAAGTGCCCTCCTAGCTCCGGCTTGGTGGGGCAGAGAATGATGCTATGGAGAAAAGGGCAGGGGCTAAGGGTGTTTCCGTTCCTTGAGAAATTCATGTTTGCTTTTGAAGATGACTATGCAGATAAGCTTTTAGGACAGAATCTTAGGCATTTTTAGTCTTTGGAATAGCTTGCCTTAAAATGAAGAAGAGAGTAACCTGTGGGATAGCAGTTGGCCTGGGTGGAGTGGGAGGGGAAATGGCCTCTTCCTTGGATGAGAGGGCTATCTTGATTGATGGGTCAGTGATCAGGGTGGGGAAGGAAGACCTACTGGATTGGCTGAGCTGTGGGTGAGATAGGACAGCACCTTGATAAGAGGACATTGGGCTATGGGTTATGAGGATTAAGCCTCGTAGCTGGTCACCACAATATTGGTTTCCTCAGCCCTCTCTGTGTCTGGACAAGCAGGACCTGAAGTGGCCCAAGTGACCGGGGACTGGTTGCCTCTGACCTTATCAGAGATTCTAACTCTCCAACTGTTTACCCCAGAGGACTATACAAATACCATTTTCTATGTGTGCTCTGTCCTGTCAAGAGGATGGATGACTGGGAAGCGATACAGGCTGCTAGATAACATCTTGGATCAGGGAAATAGCTGGTGTCTATGAGACCCAAATGATTATTTAGTTAATTCAATTAATGTGTATAGCTAAATCTGGGGGATTTAACTCTATTTCCTGTCTCTCCTGCATTTCCATGTTTTAAGTCCAAATTTTCCAGAAGTTGGTCCAGATTCACCTTTTATCTTTTACGTGGCTATGTAATGAGTGTGCCTCATTGGAGCTGCCACGTGTCAAGAAGGATATTGCCAAGTGAGGGTTGGTAACAGAGAGATGGCGAGAGACGGAGGATGAGTGGGAGGTTTTGCCTTAGGGTTAGGGTAGGAATAGTGGATGGATGTATTCACTGTGCAGAGGGAGGAACTTTCCCCATTAACTGTCTTCAGGGCAAAGAAGGAAAGGACAATTTCTTAGGTAATTTGAGGGAAAGGATTTTGTTGTTGTTGTTGTTGTTCTGAGACAGAGTCTCACTCTGTCGCCCAGGCTAGAGTGCAGTGGCACGATCTCAGCTCACTGCAACCTCCGCCTCCTGGGTTCAAGCGATTCTCTGGAGTAGCTGGGACTACAGACGCCTGCTACCACACCTGGCTAATTTTTGTATTTTTAATAGAGGCGGGGTTTTACCATGTTGGCCAGGCTGGTCTCAAACTCCTGACCTCAGGCGATCCACCCGCCTCAGCCTCCCAAAGTACTGGGATTACAGGCGTGAGCCACTGCGCCCCACCAGGATTTTTTTTTTTTTAAAGCTGAATCAGATGGCTGTCTGAATCATTTGGTCTCACTCTCTGCTCTGCCCTAGCGAAAGATCTTTAGGAAACAACTTTGGGTGGGGTGTGAGAAGGCACCATTTCTCACCTGGAGAAGTGTGATAAATGAGATTATAGGAGCTGCACAAGGTGTATGTGGGGGGAGTGGAACACAGCCTGTTGTCACATGCAGAGAGGACAACCCTTTTGCTAGACTCTAGTATTGCCATGGGTCCCATACAGGAAGTAGATATGGCCCTGTCTCTATCTAGTCTTACGTGTTAGCAGAGTTGTCAGGCAGCTACTGCATCATATGATTTGAGGGATCTCAAACTACTGTATCCCCTCCTCTTCCTTCTCACCAAATGTTTGTTCAATCTGCCTGTCATATTAATTTTCTCATTTGGCTATGATTATTTGAAAAGCGCTAAAGGCTTGTGCTAAAATGTTCTTATTACTTGGGAAACAGAACACATAAAGCCATTATCAATCATTCAGAGTTGAAATTAGTTTACCACACTATGTCATGATGAGTGATTGATAGGAACTAGAGCCGTTCTGGTTTATTTTATTTTTTGAGACAGGGTCTCGCTCTGTCACCCAGGCTAGAGTGCAGTGGCACCGTCACGACTCACTGCAGCCTTGACCTCCTGGGCTCAAATGATCCTCCCACCCCAGCCTCCCAAGTAGCTGGGACCACAGGTGTGCCACCACACCTGGCTAATTATTTATATATATATGTGTGTGTGTGTGTGTGTGTGTGTATGTATTTTTTTTTTTTTTTTTTTTTTGGCAGAGATTGAGGTCTCACTCACTATGTTGCCCAGGCTGGTCTCAAATTCCTGGGCTCAAGTGATCTTCCCACCTTGGCCTCCTAAATTGCTGGGATTACAGGCATGAGCCACCACACCCAGCCACAGTTCTGTTTTGATGTAAGAACGAGGGATTCGGAAAACACTGCATTAAGACCTATTGTCAACAAGGAGACTTAGTTAGGCAAGTTACTTAGCCTCTCTGAGCCTGTTCCAGCCTCTATAGGATTGACATTAACAATAATGCTACAGATACTGAGAATTATTTTTCTATGAATAAATAGCAGCCATGAAGATGAAATAAGAAACATATCAAAACACTTTATAAACTTAATAACATCACATATATATGAGAGGGTAGTAGTTATATTTCTACTAGTAGTTATAGTTATAAAATTTAAATATGGGGACAAGGTTTGACTCTTTATAATCTCCCCCTCATAATTCCCACAGATGTGTCTTATGTTCATTCTTGTTATTCATATTGTGATCCCACGAGATTAGGAAGATTAATTAGCAGCAATGTGCCCAGCATCACATGGTAAATCAGGTGGTTCAGAGGATAATTTAGAGTACTGTTCTGTTACCAAACTTAGTAACAGAAGTTTGATTTTTCTGTTGCTAAGAAACAGAATTTTCTTGATTCTGATTTTTTTCTTTAGCGTTGGAAGGACACTTCTTTAAAAAAAATATTGTAAAAACATTAAATCAAACTCTACTGAGTTAGAATCTGCAATAATTTGAGTGCTGTATGCGTGGTTCTTTTTAAGAAAACCAATGCTTGTGAAACATATGTAATGGAAAGTCTATTGTGAGTAGTAATTATTTTATTGATGTGCATATTTATGCTACCGGGAATTTTTGTTGAGCTGTTTGTACTTAAGAGTGAAAAATTACTCTTAGCGAGAAACAATAAAGTATTTGATTGGCTTCAGGGAAGGGAAATACGGGCAACTTTGGGAGAAGAGAACTGGAGAGTGGGTGCTATCTTTCTCTTTCCAAGTGGCAAGTCTTCTCCTAGGTAGCTGATTGAGGAGACTAAAATAGATATAATCCTTACTTGTAAATGGAAGCTATAAGGATTTTAAATTATAAGAGGAGTTGTCAAAGCTAGAGAGTTATGTTAAAAACCTAAGAGTATCAACCTCAAAGCAAGTAAATAAAAAAGAAGGAGTTTCTCTCTTTTAAGCTGTTCAGAGAATTAAGAAATAATCTTAAGAATCATCCTGGCCATGGATTAATAAAATAATATTAATTCATACATAAAAATTGGTTTCTTGAGACTGGCTACTTTTTTGTTGAGTGTTTATCCTGTAAGCTTCAATTTTTGTAAATCATCATAATAAATTTTTTAAAAAGGAAGAGGCTGCTTACCCTCTGTACCGACAGAGTGGGACATATGCCTACATGACCAGGCACTGCTACCCCCTTTTGGTAGCAAACATTAATTTTAAGTTCAGCTTTTAGGGAAGACAATTTTAAACATATAAAGCAAGCAAAGGAGAAATCATTGCAGTACACTGACTCTGAAGCAAAATAAAGTGAGAAAATGTTGTGAGTGGTCCACAGCTGAGTATGGCCCACTCCTAGGGAGACTGGCTTGTTAGCATTTCTGGACTGCAGCTGCTGTGGTAAGTAATTTTTGGGTGGCAACTTGGCTGACTTCCTCATTGTTGATTGCCTAATCCTGCATTTTCTCATATTAGTCAAGTGTGTCGCTACTGGAATCTTGTCTGACCCTGGAATTTATGAAATCCACTGCTGTGTGGTAAACACCCAGTCTCCAAACAGCACACAAAACCATCATCCACTGGGTTTTGCCCCCTGATGACTACTTGTTCAACTTGTGTGAATTAAGTTTCCATTCTAAGAATGAAATTGAAAAACTGACAAGGCCAGATCTGATAGCAAAAGGGTCAGGAGAAATAAAATGTTGTCGTCCTTGACCAGATAGAGTCAATGTTTAAATATGATGTAATGATATTGGAAGGTTAAAGTGGACTTAGCCCTTAGATATGAGTTGAGAGAGTTGTGTTGCGTTGTTTTATGACCCTTAAGCTGCCTGACTTCTTTGAGATTGAAACTTCTTTGGTTTTCTCATCTTTGAGATTGGATGATACTTTTCCTGCGCAATCTTTGAGGTTTATGCATAGCATACTTCTATAGCTATGGTAAACAGCCTACTGATTTTACTTGCCTACCAAATTGTCATTGTTTTTACTATTCTGTTATTGCTGGGCATAACGGCTAAGAGCTATAAATTGGCGAGACCTGGGGTGAAATCTTGATTTTTCTACTTACTATTTGTGTTGGGAAAAATACCATAATTTCTCTGAGCTAAAGCAAGGGCAGTAATAACACCTATCTTACAGGGTCTAGAGGAGGATGAAATGAGTCAATTAGCTGAACTCAGCATAATGCCTATCACATAGTAAGCTCTCAATAAATATTTGCCATTATTGTGACAAATTGAGAGACGGCAAACTTATCCGGATAAGTCTTAATTACTGACACATTCATGCTGGACTATTTTTTATTCCAAATCAGTTTCTTTTTCCTCAATAGTGGACTTGGGACCATTTGTCCTATTTGTCTCAATTCTCAATTGTTGTTTGCTTGTGTGTAAATAACATAATATAATCCAAGTGTCCCTATTGCATCAAATTTACCTTGGCATTCTCAGATACAAATGTTCATTCAAAGAAAATAAATAAGAAAGGCTGGGTTGATTAAATTTCTTTTTGGCTCATTGACTGATTTTCTTTGGTCCTAGCCTGATTTCTTTAGGCTTTGGGCAACATGATGAGGAACAATATACCTGCAGACTTACAAGGAAGCTCAGGAACTCCATCAGGCGGTAGGATTTAGGAAGCTGGACTTGAACCAAAGGAAGGCTATTAGAGAAGGATGAGTATCTTGGGGGGTTATCAAAAATGTTGTGATAAAAGTTTTGAACTCTAAGGAAACCTGAATTCTTAACCTGCCGTTTCTAGCTACATGATCTTGGGCAAGTCACTTAACTTCTGTGAACCTTAGTTTCCTAAATTAGAGTCATCAATTCCTGTCGTGCTCTCCTCCCCCATGGGTAAACATGTTTTAGTGTATTAGACGTTAGATAAATAGAAAGGATTGTGATTTCTATCCTGCATAGCTGGAGACACATACTAGAAAGCATGCACCTGCTCAGGTTATTGTCTAAAGTGGCTGTGTGGCTGCTGTTGCCAGAATTAATGCTTGTCTTCTTATATGTAGCAGAGTTTGCTCTTCTTTTACAGTTGGATGCCTTATTTAATTAGTGGCTATGTTTTTTTCTCCTATGTTTTACTTACACGAACTTTAAGAAATGTGGATGATGGGAAAGGAGGAACATAAGAGACAGACAAGATTACATTAGCCAAACTATTTTTAAATGGTTCTCTGGAAGCCTAGTATGAACATGGTCCATGTGTGTCTGTGTCTACGCACACTGTGTGTGCCAATTCCCCATTCTCAGCCTTCTGAGGTTCGTGAGGTCATGCTTACCTATTTCTTCTTTCAGGGAATGAAAGTTGGCAGAAATAGAGGGAATCCATCCATTAAATATTTGTAACCAATATTTATGATTTTGGTTAAATATTTTTTTAAACTTCACACTCATTAGGATGGCTATTATACTAAAAATCAAACAACCCAGAAAATAACAAATACTAGTAAAGATGTGGAGAAATTGGAACCCTTGCACATTGCTAGAAAGAATGTGAAATGGTGCAGGTGCTGTGAAAACCAGTATGGAGTTTCTCAAAAAATTAAACATAGACTTACCGTATAATCCAGCAATTCTACTCTGGGTATAACACAAAATAAATGAAAACAGGAACTCAAATAGATATTTGTATTTCTGTGTTCATAGGAGCATTGTTTACAGTAGCCAACAGGTGGAAGCAACTCAAGTGTTCATTGACAAATGAGTGGATAAACAAAATGTGGGCTATATAGACACTGGATATTATTTAGCCTTAGAAAGGTATGAAACTCTGACATGTGCTGTAACATGAGTGAACCTTAAAGATGTCATGCTAAGTAAAGTCAGTCCCTAAAGGACAAATATTTATTATTTCACTTAAATGAAGTACCTAGAGTAGTCAAATAATGAAGACAGAAAGTGGAACTATGGTTGCCAGGGGTTGTGGGGAGGAGGGAATGGGGAGTTAGTGGCTACAGTTTCATTTGGGAAAAAGTTCTGGAGATGGATAGTGATATTTGAACAACTATGTGAATGTACTTAATGCCATAGAACTATATACTTTAAAATAGTTAAAATGGCAAATTTTATTATATGTATATTTTAACACACACACACAAAATGTTTAGGCCTGGCATGTTGGCGCATGTCAGTAATCCCAGCACTTCGCAAGGCCAAGGTGGGAGGATCACTTGAGCCCAGGAGTTTGAGACCAGCCTGGGAAACATAGCAAGACTGCATCTCTGTAAATTTTTTTTTTTTTTAATTAGCTGACATAGTGGTGTGTGGCTGTGATACCAGCTACTTGGGAGGCTGAGGTGGGAGGATTGCTTGAGCCCAGAAGGTTGAGGCTGCAGTGAGCCATGATTGTGCTCCTGCATTCTAGCCTGGGTGACAGAGTGAGACCCCATCTCACACATACACACAGAAAAAAAAATGCTTAAAGCAACTTTCCCCAAAAAGTCAGTTGCTTATAAAAATAGTGGAACTCTTAACCAAAGGCAACTCTGTTTTCTGCTTTTCCTTAACACAACTTATCTCATTTTTTCAGAGCTTTTAATTAGAATTCATAATACTTGCCTGTTGAGAAATGCTTCTTCCCTTTGAATACTTAGGAATTTTTCTTTCAACCACTGGAAAACAAATCCCAGACTAAATTCTGGGCCCTAATTTAATTCTAATCCACTTTCAGTTATCCCCCTAACAATGTCTACATAATTTATACTTCTGCATGAACTTATTACAAGGCCACTTCTTTCTATAGTGTATGTACATTCAGGTTTATGCACTGATAGAAGTAGCATGTTACACTTGAAAAAAATAGACATTCTAAATTTCTGTCTCAAATGTTTCCCTTGTTTGCAATATCATTTTAGTCATTTTTTTGCTCATATTTGCACATATGCATTGGTATATTCAGTCGAATGTCTATTGATTATCTACTATATGCCAGCTACTGTGCTAGATTCTGGTGGAGAAGACATCAACAAATAAATAAAAATGGTATAATAAGGGCTACCATAGAGGTATGGACAGATTATGCTATAGTGCAATAAAATCCACCAGGAAAGGCCTTGCCAAGTGTTTGAAGTTTGCATTGAATCCTAAAAGGTAGTAACATAACAAGAAATGGGAAAAGGCATTTCTTTTTTCTTCTTTTTTTTTTTTTTTTTTTGAGATGGAGTCTCACTTTGTGGCCCAGGCTGGAGTGCAGTGGCGCCATCTTGGCTTGCTGCAATCTCCACCTCCCAGGTTCAAGCGATTCTCCTGCCCCAGCCTCCTGAGTAGCTGGGATTACAGATGCTGTGAAACATACGCTAATTTTTCATATTTTTAGTAGAGACGGGTTTTCACCACGTTAGCCAGGCTGGTCTCAATCTCTTGACCTCGTGATCCACCCACTTCGGCCTCCCAAAGTGCTGAGATTACAGGCATGAGCCACCATGCCTGGAAAATCCAGAAATTCTTTTTTTTTTTCTTTGAGACAGAGTCTTGCTCTGTCAGCCAGGCTGGAGTGCAGTGGCATGATCTCGGCTCACTGCAACCTCCGTCTCCTGGGCTCAAGCGATTCTCCTGCCTTAGCCTCCCAAGTAGCTGGGATTACAGGCGTGTGTCACCATGCCCGGCTAATTTTTGTATTTTTAGTAGAGATGGGGTTTCGCCATGCTGGCCAGGGTGGTCTCAAACTCCTTACCTCAGGTAATCCACCCACCTCGGCCTCCCAAAGTGCTGGGATTATACGTGTGAGCCACCGCGCCTGGTGGGAAAAGGCATTTCAAACAGAAGAAACAATATACAAAAGCAGAGGTGTACAAAAGCAATGTGCACTTGGCACACTGGAATCATTCTGTATGGCTAGATCATGTGGTTTGGAGGGCTTGTGGTGGTGGTAAGATGAGGCTGCAGGGGAGAAATCATGGAAAGCTTTGGACTTATCCATTCATTCATTAATAAACATTAATTAGGTACCTGCTATGTTCCAAGTACTAGAAGTTGGGACTTCAAAGATGAGCAAACCACAGGTGCTAGAGTATAGTAAAAGGCAGTAACAGAGCTGTGTACAAAGTGTAAGGAAACTCAAAGGGGGCACTTCTATCCCAAATGAATAGAGTGGATGGAAAGAAAATCTGCAAAGGATTATTCGTGATGACCCCTGAACTTCGTCTTCAAAGGGGAATAAGCACTAATCAGTCAATGGATGATGAAGTGGAAGGACAGAGTTTTTGTCACAAGCAAAAGCCTTGAGGCAAGAAACCATAGGGTGCTTGCACAGAATTAGAAGTGGTTTAGTGTTGGTGGATTTAAGTACTAGGCGAAGAATGAGACTGATATGACGGACACAGTCTTTTGTGCCATTTTAAAGATTGTAGACTTTATCCTGAGGAAGACAAGGCACCACTGATGGGCTTTAAGCTGCAGGGAACCTGCTAGATCCCTCTGATGCATGGGAAAGGTGGATTCAAGAGAGTCAAGGCAGGAAGTGAGTGAGAACAGACTTGCCAAGCCAAAGAAGATGAAGGCCCGAATGAGGGCTGTGGCAGTAGGAATAGAGGGGAGGCAACTCATCTTTAAAATATTTAAGAGGTAAAATATTTGTAGGACTTGATGATTGATCAGGATGGGAGAATTGAGGGAAAGGAATCAAGAGGAAGGCCAGGCTAAGGCAAGTCACTTTTTCTGGGCTTCTGGTTCTTTGTGTTTAAATGAGTGGGCTGGACCAGGATTGACGCACACATCCCTCCCAGTTCTGAAGTCCCGTGATTCTGGGCAGCCTTTCTCTGGGCGCAGAGAAAGGAAGCTCTATGATACATGGGTGTTCTCACCACAGCTTAGATAGTTGCTTAAAAGAGACTCATAGTTTCTCAGCTTCTCTGACAGCTTCTCAGGATGGGAGGTGGCAGGCAGAGCTGAGATGGCTTTAGAACTGCCAGCCAATGCAGGGAAATCTAGTGCGGTTACCAGGTAGCCGGAGTTATAATTAGCCTCGTTGCTAGGGCAAGGCTGAGATTCTGTAAGCATGGACTGCCAGCAACAGCTTTTCCCTGCTGGGTGAATTTACTTGTTTGAAAGAACAAAGTGGGTATGGATGGGGTGTTTTTAAATGTGTTTTAGATAATTTAAATTTTGCCCTAGGTATAGGATATGTTTAAAGCAGAAAACAGGTTTGTGTTGGGGCTGATCAACATCTTGCCTGGGGCAGAAGGAGTGAGGAAAAATTCCACTCTGTTATATGTTTGGATAGCTGGAAAGAGACTTACTTTCACCTGAAGGAAGATAAGTAAGAACATAAAATCATTATTCAGAGGTAGAGAGGATCTTGAAGATAATCTACATAATCCTTTCACTTTTTAAGAAAACCATTTATTTAAAAATAATTTTAGACTTATAGCAAAGTTATAAAAATAGTACAGAGTGTTCCCATATGCCATTCACTCAGCTTCCTCTAAAGAATAAACCCTTCATTTTAAAGATAAGATGACTAAAGCTCAGAATAGTAATTTGCCTAACGTCACACGGTAAATTAGTAGCCAAGCTGAGACTAGAATCCAGGAGCCCTAACTACCTGTTCAGGCTGCTTACAATGACCTCTGGGACCTTCAACAAAAATTCAAGAAATGTAAGTGCTTGTCAGAACTTAGTTTTTCTTTCTTTTTGCATTACTGGGCTAAAATAGAACTCACACAGCAGGAGCTAGAGTAATTACAGAGAGATGAATCTGCACTCTGTGCCTACTGCCAAAAGAAAAGGTTTAGTTCCTCAGCCTCCTCAGGAGTTTCATCCATATGTTTTCAAAAGTCACCGTGAACATATTTTTCTCTTTTGCCTTGCTCCCTGCTCTGGCTTTTGCCATCTCATCTGATCAAGTTCAACTGCACAGAGAGAGGAGGCTCTATGATACATGGAGTAGGCACAGAGCGAGGCTGGTGCAAACTGGAAAGGGGCCCGCCCTATCATGTTCAATAGCAGCTAATCCACCCACACACCGACAGCAGTGATCCGACTTGGTACATGCCGTTCTGTGGAGAGCTAAGTAATAGTCATGTGGCTTTTTGCCAAGCAACTTTAGAAGTGACATTGGGCCACAGTGGGCAGTTACTATCCCTGTTATTTAGAAACTTGGCTTGATGAAGTGGGGAGTGAATGCAAGGCACAAGCTGCATTGTAATGCCAGCTTTTCATATCCCAGCCTCATGTAAGCCCTGCTGCTGCAAAGGGCTACAAGCCACCTCTTCATGCACACAGGGCTTTAGAAAGCCCACCCAGAGGCTTGGGAAGAGGAAGCCCTTCTTTAAGGTGCCTGGATGAGCGGCAGGGAGGCTGCCAGCATGATGGCTATGATCTGGAGCTGCAGAAAGAGGGTCTAGGCACTGGTCAAGGGCCTGAAGTCAGCCAGTTCTTTCAGGTCACTTTTTCTTGGTAAGTCTCAGATCTTCTCCCTGAGACCACACAGGTAGCTTCCTCTATCAGAGTTACTCCGTGAGACCTCACACTCCAGATTCTTATCAGTCAAGCTCAGTATCTGCTCAACACAAAAGTAAATCTAGTCTTGCCCACTGTGAACTCCGAAAATTTGAGACAGGTCTCAGTAAATTTAGAAAGTTTATTTTGCCAAGGTTGAGGACACATGCCCCTGGCATAGCCTCAGGAAGTCTTTATGACATGTGACCAAGGTGTTTGGGGCACAGCTTGGTTTTGTACATTCTAGGGAGACATGAGACATCAATCAATGTATGTAAGAAGTACCTTGGTTCGGTCTGGAAAGGCGGGACAACTTGAAGCAAAGGCAGGAAAACTTGCAGTGGGGGAGGCGGCTTCTAGGTCACAGAAGAGAGACAAAAGGTTGCATTCTTTTGAGTTTCTAATTAGCCTTTCCAAAGGAGGCAATCAGATATGCATTTATCTCAGTGAGCAGAGAGATAACTTTGAATAGAATGGGAGGCAGGTTTGCCCTAAACAGTTTCCAGCTTGAGTTTTCCTTTTATTTTTTGTATTTTCATTTCCATAGGTTATTGGGGAACAGATGGTGTTTGGTTACATGAGTAATTTCTTTAGTGGTGATTTGTGAGATTTTGGTGCACCCATCACCCAAGCAGTATATACTGCACCCTATTTGTGATCTTTTATCCCTCACCCACTTCCCACCCTTTCCCCTTGAGTCCCCAAAGTCCACTGTGTCATTCTTATGCCTTTGTATCCTTATAGCTTAGCTCCCACTTATGAGTGAGAACATACAATGTTTGGTTTTCCTTTCCTGCCTTACTTCACTTAGAATGATAGTCTCCAATCTCATCCAGATCATTGTGAATGCGTTAATTTATTCCTTTTATTGGCTGAGTAGTATTCTATCTCATATATATATATATATATATATATATATATATATATATATATCCATCATATATATATATATGTGTGTGTATACACACCACAGTTACTTTATCCACTCATTGATTGGTGGGCACTTGGGTTGGTTCCACGTTTTTGCAGTTGTGAACTGTGCTGCTATACGTATGCGTGTTCAAGTATCTTTTTTGTATAATGACTTCTTTTCCTCTAGGTAGATACCCTGTAGTGGGATTGCTGGATCAAATGGTAGTTCTACTTTTAGTTTTTTAAGGAATCTCCACATTGTTTTCCATAGTGGCTGTACTAGTTTACATTCCCACAAGCAGTGTAGAAGTGTTCCCTGTTCACTGCATCCACATCCATATCTACTATTTTTTTATTTTTTTGATTATGGCCAGTCTTGCAGGAGTAAGGTGGTATCACATTGTGGTTTTGATTTGCATTTCCCTGATTATTAGCGATGTTGAGCCTTTTTTCATATGTTTGTTGGCCATTTGTATATCTTCTTTTGAGAACTGTCTATTCATGTCCTTAGCCCACTTTATGATGGGATTGTTTGTTTTTTCTTGCTGATTTGTTTGAGCTTGTTGTAGATTCTGGATGTTAGTCCTTTGTCAGATGTACAGACTGTGAAGATTTTCTCCCACTCTGTGGGTTGTCTGTTTACTCTGCTGACTGTTCCTTTTGCCGTGCAAAAGCTCTTTAGTTTAATTAAGTCCCAGCTGTTTGTCTTTGTTTTTATTGCATTTGCTTTTGGGTTCTTGGTCATGAAATCCTTGCCTAAGCCAATGTCTATAAGGGTTTTTTCGATGATACCTTCTAGAATTTTTATAGTTTCAGAACTTAGATTTAAATCCTTAATCCATCTTGAGCTGATTTCTGTGTAAGGTGAGAGATGAGGATCCAGTTTAGTTCTCTTACATGTGGCTAGCCAATTATCCCAGCACCATTTGTTGAAAAGGGTGTCCTTTCCCCACTTTATGTTTTTGTTTGCTTTGTCGAAGATCAGTTGGCTGTAAGTATTTGAGTTTATTTATGGGTTATCTATTCTGTTCCATTGGTCTCTGTGCCTATTTTTATGCCAGTATCATGCTGTTTTGGTGACTATGGCCTTATAGTATAGTTTGAAATCAGGTAATGTGATGCCTATAGATTTATTCTTTTTGCTTAGTCTTTCTTTGGCTATGCGGGCTCCTTTTTGGTTCCATATGAGTTTTAGAATTGTTTTTTCTAATTCTGTAAAGAATGATGGCGGTATTTTGAAGGGAATTGTGTTAAATTTGTAGATTGCTTTTGGCAGTATGGTCATTTTCACAATATTGATTCTACCCATCCATGAGCATGGGATGTGTTTCCATTCATTTGTGTCGTCTATGATTTCCTTCGGCAGTGTTTTGTAGTTTTCCTTGTAGAGGTCTTTCACCTCCTTGGTTAGGTATATTCCTAAGTATTTTATTTTATTTTATTTTTTGCAGCTGTTGTAAAAGGGGTTGAGTTCTTGATTTGATTCTCAGCTTGGTCGCTGTTGGTGTATAGAAGAGCTACTGATTCGCATGCATTAATTTTGTATCCAGAAATTTTGCTGAATTGTTTTATGAGTTCTAGGAGCTTTCTGGAGGACTCTAGGATTTTCTAAGTAAACAATAATATCATCAGCAAATAGTGACAGTTTGACTTCCTCTATAACAATTTGGATCCCCTTTATTTCTTTCTCTTGTCTTGCTCTGGCTAGGACTTCCAGAACTATGTTGAAGAGGAGTGGTGTGAGTGGGCATCCTTGTCTTGTTTCAGTTCTCAGAGGAAATGCTTTTAACTTTTCCCCCAGTCATTATTACGTTGGCCGTGGGTTTGTCATAGATGGCTTTTATTACATTGAGATATGTCCCTTGTATGCTGATTTTGCTGAGAGTTTTAATCATAAGGGGATGCTGGATTTTGTCAAATGCTTATTCTGCATCTATTGAGATGATCATGGTGATTTTTGTTTTTAATTTTGTTTATGTGGTGTACCACATTTATTGACTTGCGTATGTTAAACCTCCCTGCATCCCTGGTATGAAACCCACTTGATCACGGTGGATTATATTTTTGATATGTTGTTGGATTCGGTTAGCTAGTATTTTGTTAAGGATTTTAGTATCGATGTTCATCAAGGATATTGGTCTGCAGTTTTCTTTTTTGGTTATGTCCTTTTCTGGTTTTGGTATTAGGGTGATGCTGGCTTCATAGAATGATTTAGGGAGGGTTCCCTCTTTCTCAATCCTATGAAATAGTGTCAATAGGATTGGTACCAATTCTTTGAATGCCTGGTTACATTCTGCTGTGAATCCATCCGGTCCTGGACTATTTTTGTTGGTAATGTTTACATTACCATTTCAATCTTGTTGCTTGTTATTGGTCTGTTCAGAGTATCTAATTCTTCCTGATTTAAGCTAGGAGGGTTGTATCTTTCCAGGAATTTATCCATCTCTTCTAGGTTTTTTTTTTTTTTTTTTTTTTTTTTTTGAGATGGAGTCTTGCTCTGTCGCCTAGGCTGGAGTGCAGTGGTGTGATCTCGGCTCACTACAAGCTCCGCCTCCCGGGTTCATGCCATTCTCCTGCCTCAGCCTCCCGAGTAGCTGGGACTACAGGTGCCCACCATGGCGTCCGGCTAATTTTTTGTATTTTTATTTTTATTTTTTATTTTTTATTTATTTTATTTTATTATTATTATACTTTAAGTTTTAGGGTACATGTGCACAACGTGCAGGTTAGCTACATATGTATACATGTGCCATGCTGGTGTGCTGCACCCATTAACTCGTCATTTAGCATTAGGTATATCTCCTAATGCTATCCCTCCCCCCTCCCCCCACCCCACAACAGTCCCTAGAGTGTGATGTTCCCCCTCCTGTGTCCATGTGTTCTCATTGTTCAATTCCCACCTATAAATAATGCCGCATATCTACAACTATCTGATCTTTGACAAACCTGAGAAAAACAAGCAATGGGGAAAGGATTCCCTATTTAATAAATGGTGCTGGGAAAACTGGCTAGCCATATGTAGAAAGCTGAAACTGGATCCTTTCCTTACACCTTTTTTGTATTTTTAGTAGAGACGGGGCTTCACCATGTTAGCCAGAATGGTCTTGATCTCCTGACCTTGTGATCCACCCACCTTGGCCTCCCAAAGTGCTGGGATTACAGGCGTGAGCCACCACGCCCGGCAGCTTTATTTATCTTTTCAAAGAACCAGGTTTTCATTTCATTTATCTTTTGTATTTTTTGTTTGTTTGTTTCAGTTTCATTTAGTTCTGCTCTGATCTTGGTTATTTCCTTTCTTCTGCTGGTTTGGGTTTGGTTTGTTCTTGTTTCTCTAGTTCCTTGAAGTGTGACCTTTGATTGTCTGTTTGTGCTCTTTTAGACTTTTTGATGTAGGTGTTTAGGAATATGAACTTTCCTTTTAGCACTGACTTTGCTGTATTCCAGAAGTTTTGATAGGTTGTATCACTATTTTTGTTCAATTTGAAGATTTTTTTAATTTCCATCTCGATTTCATGATCATTCAGGAGCAGGTTAATTTCCATGTATTTGCATGGTTTTGAAAGCTCCTTTTGGAGTTGATTTCCAGTTTTATTCCACTGTGGTCTGAGAGAGTGCTTGATATAATTTCAATTTTCTTAAATTTATTGCGGCTTGTTTTGTGGCCTACCATGTGGTCTATCTTGGAGAAAGTTCCAGGCACTGTTGAATAGAATGTATATTCTGCAGTTGTTGGATGGAATGTTCTGTATATATGTCTTAAGTCCATGTGTTCCAGGGTATAGTTTAAATCCATTGTTTCTTTGTTGACTTTCTGTCTCATTGGCCTGTCTAGTGCTGTCAGTGACATATTGAAGTCCCCCACTATTATTGTGTTACTGTCTATCTCATTTCTTAGGTCTATTAGTGATGGTTTTATAAATTTGGGAGCTCCAGTGTTAGGTGCATATATGTTTAGGATTGTGATATTTTCCTGTTGGACAAGGCCTTTTATCATTATATAATGCCGCTCTTTGTCTTTTTTAACTGCAATTTCTTTAAAGTTTGTTTTGTCTGATATAAGAATAACTACTGCTGGGCCAGGCACGGTGGCTTATGCCTGTAATCCTAGCACTTTGGGAGGCCAAGGCAGGCAGATCACCCCTGCCTGTACTAAACCTATCTGTACTAAAAATACAAAAATTAGCTGGGCATGGTGGTGCACACCTGTAGTTCCAGCTACTTGGGAAGCTGACACAGGAGAATTGCTTGAACCTGGGAGGTGGAGGTTGCAGTGAGCCAAGATCGCGCCATTGCACTCCAGCCTGGACTACAAGAGTGAAACTCCATCTCAAAAAAACCAAAAAAACAATAGTTACTTCTGCTTGCTTTTGCTTTTGGTGTCCATTTGCATGAAATGTCTTTTTCCACCCCTTTACCTTAAGTTTATGTGAGTCCTTATGTGTCAGATAAGTCTCTTATGTGTTAGGTGAGTCTCTTAAAGGCAGCAGATAGTTGGTCGGTTAATTCTTATCCATTCTGCAATTCCGTATCTTTTAAGTGGCGCATTTCGGCCATTTACATTCAATGTTAGTATTGGGATGTGAGGTACCATTCCGTTCATTGTGCTTTTTGTTGCCTGTATACCTTGGTTTTTTGGGTTTTGTTTTTGTTTTTTTGAATTGTATTTTTGTTTTATAGGTCCTGTGAGATTTATATTTTAAAGAGGTTCTGTTTTGATGTGTTTCCAGGTTTTGTTTCAAGATTTGAAGCTTCTTTTAGCAATTCTTGTAGCGCTGGCATGGTAGTGGCAAATTCTCTCAGCATTTGTTTGTCTGAAAAATACTGTATCTTCTCTTCGTATATGAAGCTTAGTTTCACTGGATACAAAATTCTCAGCTAATAATTGTTTTGTTTTAGGATGCTGAAGATAGGGGCCCAATCCCTTCTGGCTTGTAGGATTCCTGCTGAGAAATCTGCTGTTAATCTGACAGGTTTTCCTTCATAGGTTACTGGGTTCTTTTGTCTCACAGCTCTTAAGATTCTTTCTTTTGTCTTAACTTTAGATAACCTGATGACAATGTGCCTAGGTGACGATCTCTTTGCAATAAATTTCCCAGGTGTTCTTTGTGCTTCTTGTATTTGTTTAGGTCTCTAGCAAGGTTGGGGAAATTTTCCTCAATTATTCCCCCAAATATGTTTTTCAAACTTTTAGATTTCTCTTCTTCCTCAGCAATGCCAATTATTCTTAGGTTTGGTCATTTAACATAATCCCAGAGTTTTTGGAGGCTTTGTTCATATTTTCTTATTTGTTTTTCTTTGTCTTTGTTGGATTGGGTCAAATTGAAGACTTTGTGTTCAAGCTCTGAATTTCTTTCTTCTACTTGTTTGATTCTATGGCTGAGACTTTCCAGACCATTTTGCATTTCTATAAGTAAATACTAACACAGTATTTGGTGTGTCTCCTGGGTCCTGCAGGAGCCATCTGCTTCCTTCAGGGGGCCTGTGGGTCCTCTGAGGTTTTGTAATTTATTCCTCCAGTCGTTCTGGAGCAAAAATTCATGATACGAGCCTCCACATGCTTCTCTGTCCATCCGAGTCGGAGCTGCAATCTAGTCCTGACTTCCATCCAGCATGATCCTGAGTTTTCCTTTTAGCTTAGTGATTTTGGGAGCCCAAGATATTTTCCTTTCCCACCCACCTAGCACAGTTGTATTGATGACAACAGGGTTGTCAACTCTCTACTTCAAAAATCAGGAAGTGCTGGGTCCAGAGCTGGATTCCCAGAGTCTTCCTGTAGCAGAAATCAAATGAAGGTGGTGAACTTCTGGGACTCAGAGGAGCAGATCCCTTAGAGGTGGGGAGCAGTATTGTACTAAGGCTTGTTCTTTCCAACCCCTTCTAGTCTGTGGGATTGTGGGGAAGCTCAGCTTGCTGACAAAACCATTTGGAGCCTCAGAAGACTAGGAGGCAGGTTAGTAATAACCAGTCCCTGCCATCTTCTGTGAAGCTGGGGTGAGAGCAGACAGGTTCCTTCAGCTGTGTGGAAGCTTGGTTCTGTAGGGAGCACATAAAAGGGCTGGAGAGAATTGCTGCAGTTAGAGGATGGTGATGTCAATTAGGAATGGAATTCCACCTGACGCTTTCTGAGTTGGCCTTCAACTGCTAGCTTCCAAATTTCTACCTCCCGTCTCCTTCCTCCTGTTTTCTCTACTGCTGCAAGGGGACAGGGTCTTAACCAGTGCCTAACGTTCTTGATGTAAGGTGCAGGAAAATAAATGGTTATAAGGAAAGCAGCCTGAGGACTCCTTCCCTATAATTTGCAGCTACTTTATCTGCAGAAGAGGTTTCTAGACCCAGGTCTTGTCCCATCTTCTGGTATTAAATTCTTCCTACTCTTAGGCCCTTTCTGTCCTTCTTTGCCCCATATCCTCCCCCCACTTTTCCCAAATTCACTCATGCACATGGCAAGTAAACGCTAAACACTTCCCATTTAAATGCTATAGAGGAAGAAATCTGTTTTGTGTTTACTGTGTGCCAGGCACCATGTTATGCATCTTACACATATTTAATTTCAACCATATAATAGTCCTATGAAGTGGGTGTCTTGTTCCCATTTTTCACAGGATGAAATTTGCCATCAATAGGCTCAGGGAGAGTACCTGGTATCCCAGCAGCCGTGTGGCCTCATTCTACAGTTAAGCAAGGCTTTGGTACATTCTTTAGAATTTAGTTAGTAACTCTTTCAAATGCAAATGATGTTTTCCAGTGAATAACTACATTGTGTTATTCACTGGAGAGAAAGAAAGGACTCTAGTAAAATGATATTTACTTTCGTAGTGACTTTTGCCAAGATTGTGGCAGGAAGGGGTGGCATTGTCTCATTGAGGTACCTGCAGTACAAGGTGGCATTGACCTCATTTTTACTCTTAAAACAGGTGCAACTTGCCGTGTGCAATGTGCCTGGGCTGTCCTTATCTGTATAGGTTGCCCTGTTAGGCTTGTGCTGAGTCTGGTTTGGAACTCTAGAATTCAGAGGAAATAGGAAATTCATTAAACCAAACTAAAAAGGTTAGAAAATGAGGCTTATGTGAAAAGGGCAATGGAATTGGGATTTTTACTTTGGGGGAAAACAGACTTACAGGTGACCTAATAGTGCCTTTTAGGTACTGAAGTCTCAATATGTGACAAGTGGTAATTAGTTATTCTCTGTCCCTGCCGAGGATAAGAATAGGTCAATCCTAGTTTAAACTAAACATTAGTCTTCATTCATTTAAAAATATGTACTAAGCCCCTACTGTGTTCTAGATTCTATTGGAGGTGACTGGAGTATATATCAATATATTCATGTATAAGTCTTTGTTTTATTTCTTTTGGGTAAATACCCAGTAGTGGAACTGTTAGGTCATATAATAAGCACATACAGGCATTCCCATCCTCATAGAACTTATAGTCTGTCATGAGTAGACAGAAAATAAACAATAAATATTATAAATAAAGTATGTAGAATGTTGGAAAGTGAAAGTCCTCTTGGGGCAAGGGAAGGAGAGCATTTAAATGCTTCCCATTTATTTCTGATCAGCTCTTGATAGAAAAAAAATTGCTCCCTATTTAAATCCTATGGAAGAAGAAATCCATTTAGTGTTTACTATAAGCCAGGCACCATGTTATGCATTTTACACATATTTAATCTCAATCAAGTAATAGTCCTACGAAGTGGGGGTCTTGCCCCACTTCAAAAATGAGCAAAGGTGTGGTGGCTCAAATCTGAAACTCCAGCACTTTGGGAGGCAGTGGTGGAAGGATTGCTAGAGCCTAGGAGGTCAAGGCTGCAGTGAGCTGTGTTTGCATCACTGAACTCCAGTGATCAGACTGCACTCCTGGGCAACAGATCGAGACCTTGTCCCAACTAAAAAATGGGCAAAGGACATGAACGGAAGACATACATGGGGCCAACAAATATTTGAAAAAATTCTCATGCTCAATATCACTAATCATTAGAGAAATGCAAGTCAAAACCACAATGAGACACCATTGCACACCAGTCAGAATGCCTACTGTGAAAAACAAAAAATAAGGTGTTGGCAAGGTTGTAGAGAAAAGTGCTTATACGCTGTTGGTGAGAATGTAAATTAGTTCAGTCACTGCGGAAAGCAGTTTGGTGATTTCTCAAAGAATTTAAAAGAAAACTACCATTTGACCCAGCAATCCCATTACTGGATATATACCCAAAGGAAAATAAATTGTTCTACCAAAAAGACACATGCACTTACATGTTCACTGCAGCACTATCCACAATAGCAAAGGCATGGAATCAACCTAGATACACATCAACAGTAGACTGGGGAGGAAAAATACGGTACATATAAAGCACGGAATACTATGCATCCATTAAAAGAATGAAATCATGTCTTCTGCAGCAAAAGAGATGCAGCTGGAGGCCATTATCCTAAGCTAATTAACACAGGCACAGAAAACCAAATACTGCATGTTCTCACTTATAAGTGAGAGCAAAACTTTGAGACATGGACACAAAGATGGGAACAATAAGCACTGGGGCCTACCCCAGTGGAAGGTAGAAGGGGGGAGAGGGTTGAAAAGCTAACTATTGGGTACTATACTTACTACCTGCGTGATGGGTTCATTCATACACCAAACCTCCGCAACATGCAAGTTACCCATGTAACAAACCTGCACATGTACCCCCTGAACCTAAAACAAATGTTGAAAAAAAAATTACAGGAGTGGAGAGCAGGTTGCAGTATTAAGGAGTGGCCAGGAGAGGCCGTGTTTAGAAAGTGATTTAAAACACCCTTCCATACCCAAATGCACAGCCACCCCTACCCCTATCCCTCCTTCACCCCCCAACACATTTATTATCTCACAGTGTGTGTGGGTCAGGAATCCAGGCACCGCTTAGCTGGGTTGTCTGCTTAGGGTCTCCCTAGGCTACAGCCAAGGTATTGGCCAGGCTGCATTCTCCTCTAGAGGCTTGACTGAGGAATCTGACTCAGAGCTCACTTGGGCTGTCAACAGAATCCATTTCTTTGTAGCAGTAGGACTGAGGGCCTTGACTTCTTGCCAGAGGTTGGCTAGAGGCTGTCCAGGGTTCCTTGAAGTCACCTAGTGTTCCTTGCCATGTGAGCTTTCCCCATATGGCCACTTCAAGTCAGCAAGGAGAGGCTCTAGAGCAAATCTGCAAGCAAGAGAGCCTTGAAATTTAATATAATCACAGGAGTGACATTCTTTCACCTTTGCCATATTCTATTGGTTAGAAGTAAGTCGCAGGGCCTGCTCATACCCAAAGAGAAGGAGTTACACAAGGGCACAAACACCAAGAGGCGGGGATCATGGGGAGCCACACTGTAGTTTGTGGACCACACTACCTTTTACTTTTTTTTTTTTGAAAGGATGGGATGGAAAGAGAAGCAAATAAACATGACAGTTACCAGTGCAGGAAGATTTGTTTCTAGGTTTACCTTCACAGCCTTTATGGCCTTCCAAGCTGACCTGAGGCAATGAAAGCATCCTAGACTGGTAGTCTCCATGCCAACCAAGCTCTTTACTCATTCTTTGCACTTGGCAGTTTGCATTGCCACTTGCTATGTCATTTTAGTTTTTCCTTTCATGTTTTGTTTAAATAAACTTTATTAAGTATGCAGTTAGATAAATTTTAACAAATGTATACCACTGTATAACAAACACCACACAATCAAGATAAAAAAATACTTCCATCACACCAAAAAAGTTTCCATATGTCCTACTGGTGCCACATGTTTCAAACCTTTCATACCTCTGGCTGCAGAAAACCACTGATCTGCTTTCTGTTGATAGATAGTTCTGTCTATTGTAGAATTTCATTGAAAGTGAATCATAAAATACAGACTATAGTATCTGGCTCTTAGAATAATGATTTTGAGTTTCATCCATGCTATTTGTATCAGTAGTACATTCATTTTTATTGCTGAGTAGTATTCCATTGTATGAATATAATACAATTTGTTTATTCATTCATTTGTTGATGAATGTATGAGTTGTGTTCAGTAACAGGCTATTATGGATTAAGCTGCTATGAATATTCATGTAACAAGTCTTTGTTTTATTTCTTTTGGGTAAATGCCCAGTAGTGGAACTGTTAGGTTATATAATAAGTATATATAGATTAAATATCTCTTATCTGAAATGCTTGAACCAGAAGATTTTCAGATGTGTTCAGATTTTGAAATATTTGCATATACATAATGAGATATCTTGGGGATGGGACCCAAGTCTAAACATGAAATTTATTTATGTTTCATATACACCTTGTACACATAGCCTGAAGGTAATTATGTTTTTCTCTTGGGGATGCTGAATAAACTGGGTGTTGTGCCTGCATTTTTGCTGCAACCTTTCATGAGGTCAGGTATGGAGCTTTCCACCTGAGGTATCATGTTGGTCCTCAAAAAGTTTTGGATTTTGGAACATGCTGGATTTTGAATTTTTAGATTAGGGATGCCCAGTCGGTATTTCTGCCTATTTTCTGAATAGATACTGTCTAACTATTTTTCAAAGTGGCTATGCCATAGAAAATAATTTTCAAATAGCAACTTGAAGGAGATGACGAAGTTGGTCAAACAGAGAACTGGGGGAAGAATATTCCAGGCAGAGAAACATCAGGAAAGCCACTGTGGCTGATGCAGCATAATCAAGATTAAGCATGCTGGAAGATGAGGCCCCAGAGGGTATGGGGCTTGTGTAGTAAGTCCCTGTAGATGATTTTAAAGACTTCAGCTTTTACTCAGAGTGACATGGGAACCTATTGAAGGGTTTTGAGCAGAGGAGGGGTCTAACAAATGCCAGTCCTGTCTGACTTGTTGAAATGATAAATCTGGTTACAGTATTGCAAATAGGCTGTAGAACAAAAGTAGACACCAGGAGGACTCTTAGGAAGACACTGCAGTAATGTATGTAGGGGCTGATAGTGATCAGACTTAGGTAATAGTGATGCATGTGGGAACAAGTGGTGAAGGTAGCAAATCTAAAAGGATTTTGTCAATGGATTGGATACAGAATGGGAGAGAAATAAAGGAATCAAGGAAAATTCCAGGGTTTTTGGAGTAAGCAACTGGAAGGATGGAGTTGCCATAACTGAGATAGGGAAGGCTATGGATGGAGCAGATTTGAAGGTGGAGAGTAGGGGTTCAGTTTTGGAAATTTGGTGTGTAAGCTATTTGCTAGACATTTTATGTGGCAGCATTAAGTAAGCAGTTGAATACATAAGTCTAAAGTTCAGGAAATAGAGTAGGGCTAGAGACATAAATTTGGGAGTTATCAGCAAATAGATCATTAAATATTAAATTTAAATATTTAAAGCCATGAAACCATAGGAGATCACCAAAGGAGTTGGAGTTAGACCTTTCCAGGTGGAAGAGAAAAGGACCAGAGACTGGTCCTGTATAGCTCCAACATTAGTAATTTGGAGAAAAGAGGAAGAATCAGAAAAGGAAGATAGAGAAGGTACAAACCAGTGAAGTAGGAGAAAAAGTCTGGAGTCCCGGAAGCCAAATGAAGAATGTGTGTAGTGAAGAGGACAGGATCCACCTTTTGAAATCCTGCTGAGAGCTTGAGTAATACGATGATTAAGAATTGACCTTTGGCCCGCCAGACGTGGTGGCTCACGCCTGTAATCCCAGCACTTTGGGAGGCCAAGGTGGGCCAATCACTTGAGGTCGGGAGTTTGAGACCAGCCTGACCAACATGGTGAAACCTGGTCTCTACTGAAAATACGAAAATTAGCTGGACATGGTGGCGCATGCCTGTAATCCCAGCTACTCAGGAGGCTGAGGCAAGAGAATCACTTGAACCCAGGAGGCGGAGGTTGCAGTGAGCCGAGATTGCACCACTGCACTCCAGCCTGGGCAACAGAGCAAGACTCTGTCTCAAAAAAGAATTGACCTTTGGATTTAACAACATGGATGTCATTAGTGATCTTGATTAAAGTAATTCTGGTGGAGTGGTGAAGACAAAAGCCTGCTTGCAGTGGGTTTAAGAAACAATGTGAGGAGAAGAATTGGAGTCAATGAGGATGAATAATTACTTTGAGTTTTGTTTCAAAGGAGAGCAAAGGAATGGGGCATACCTGATAAGGGTATGAGGTCCATAGGGGATTTCTAGAAAGATAAATGAATAATAGCATGTTCGTATGCCAACAGAATTTTCCATTAGAAAGTGAAATATTGATAAAGAGAAGCAGGGGAGACCTTCTAGGTGTTGCCTTTGAGAGGTAGGGGGAATAGGACTTAATTAATACATAAGTGGAAGGTTTGGCTTTAGATAGGAGCATGGATAGTTGATCTATGGTTATAAGTGGAAAGACAGAGAATGTAACCCGAGATGTGTAGATGGATTGATATGGCGGTAAGAGACTGCCAGTGCTTTCTTCTGGTTTTTTTGTTTGTTTGTTTGTTTGAGACGGAGTATGTCCCTGTTGCCCAGGCTGGAGTGCAGTGGTGCAATCTCAGCTCACTACAACCTCTGCCTCCTGGGTTCAAGCGATTCTCCTGCCTCAGCCTCCCAAGTAGCTGGGATTACAGGCACACACCACCACACCTGGCTAATTTTTTTGTATCTTTAGTAGAGACGGGGTTTCACCATGTTGACCAAGCTGGTCTCGAACTCCTGACCTCATGATCCGCCCACCTCGGCCTCCCAAAGTGCTGGGATTACAGGCGTGAGCCACCACACCTGACCCAGGTGGGCCTTTTCTTATCACCACTGCCTGAAATCTTTCCCTCTCTGTGCTCTTCCAGCAATTGCCTACCCAAACCCTAGGCCCAGCCGACTTTGGAGGTCTCCAGTTGAACCTTCACCTTTTACTGGAATGGAGCAGTCTCTGCAAGAGGGGTTGGTGGAAGTAGGAAGCAAAAAAATTGAGAAAAGAAACAGTAAGAAGAGGAAGTTCTTGCAGGGAGAATTGTTTTTCAAGAGAGCTATATTTTTATTTTGAACAGCATCCATTTGTTTGATAAATATATCATTATCTTCTGTGTGTGGGCATTGTGCTAGCAATGCTACAATGGTGAGAAGATAGAGGGAGTCCCTGCCCTCATGACACTTAGAGTTTAGTGTCTGAACATAGTCCGAGCAGCATTGTGATACGCTGACTCCTGTTAAGTACAGTGCCTGTTATCATCCCTGCCCAGTGGTTTTGCTTCACTTATAATTACCTAGAGTCATTTTGGTATTTTGTTGGTTGATGGATGCCAGCACCCCACAAAACTCTCCAAGATGCTATGAGACCACAGGATTAACTGTGATTCAGGTCAGACTATGTCTTAATGCAAAGTACTTAAAGCAAATACATCTTTTTCCTAACATCTTATAGAACAGTGCTGTCCAACGTAAATATAAGCCATACATGTAATTTAAATTTTTCTCATGGCCACATTAAAAAAAGTAAAAAGAAATATGTGAAATTAATGTTAATAATACATTTAAAACATTATCATTTCAACATGAAATCAACATTTTACAATTATTAATGAGATGTCACATTCTTTTGTTGTAGTTAGTCTTTGAACTCCTGTGCGTGCTAAGTCTGAAATCCTTACAGCACATTTCGATTTGGACTAGTCACATCTCAAGGGTTCAGTAGCCACATGTGGCTCATGCCTGCCATCCTGGATGGTACATCTGTAGAGTCTACAGGGTAAGTGCTGTCCCTAGTGGAAGCAGAGCTTCAGAAGAGTTGCCTGATCATAGGACCTGGCTTCAGGACACAGCCAGGCTTCCAGGGAAGGAGTGACTGCTAGATATTAGAACTTAGTTTCTAATATCTTGTCTGTTTATTGTGTGAGATTCTGTGTAGGAAAAATGGTCCCAGACTTTGCAAAACACCAGTGACTGGCTTTGTCCTTTTTAGAGAACAGATCAAAGTATGTTTCAATCCAGAATTGAAAGCTGAATTTGGGGATAAATGTCAGATTATGTTAGGTGTTACAGATAATTTAAAAATATTTAGCAAGTTTCCTATGCAACAATTTATCTGTAGAAAAATTAATATAGTTTTTATATTCCAAAGTAAGGTTTTACTTAGTTTCCAGTTCTATAGCTGCTGCCCAAAGAAAACATTTATGTGAGAAGTTAAGGAAGTAAAGGGTGGTTCCCGTGAGCTCCAGTTCCTAAATAGCTGAGAAAAACAAACATTCTGAACATCCCCTTTAGCTCCTTCGGCAGGGCTGGGCTCCTGTCTCCACACAAGGTGTCCTGGGGCATTACAGGGGCTCCAGACTTACCCCTGGCTTTTGCAGGGGGCCTGCCCTTTGCTAAATTAAGCCCAGCCAGGCCTATCTGTGAACAGAGAGGCTCCAGCCGAGTGAGAGAGATTGGTTCTGCTAAGGAATGTCCTGGGGAGGGGAGAGAATCGCTGAGATCATGGGTATTTATGTGTATGTTTTCTCACTTGCCAGCTCAGTTGGGCCACATCAACAGAGGCCTCTGGGACACGACCAAGATTCTAACAGAGTGACTATAGGGAATGAATAGCTCATGACACACTGAGAAGGGTTTAATTGGAGATCAGTGTGAATACCACAGCAGAATGTATCTTGGGAACTCTGTGCTCAGAGTCTAAATAAAACAAGCAGAACACCTCATTTTCCCTCATTTTTCTTTTTGTTTAAAAAAATGGATTTTGTTTTTTATTTTATTTTTTATTTTTTAGTTTTTTAAAATGAGATAGGGTCTTTCTATGTTGCCCGGGCTGGTCTCAAACTCCTGGGCTCGAGGGATCCTTCTGCTTCAGCCCCCCAAAGTGCTAGGATTACAAGTGTGAGCCACCAGGCCTGGTCAGATTTTGTTTTTTAGAGCAGTTTTAAGCTCACGGCAAAGTTAAGCAGAAGAGCCAGAGATTTCCCATTTACTCCCTGCCCCTACATACATACCTGTGTATATACAGCCTCCCCCACTATCCAAACCCAAAGATGTCTCATTTTGATATATCTTTTCTTGGATTCTTAAGCTTAGTGTTGACCAGAAATACCTCTTATTATGATTCATGCATCTGACTGTCTTTGGGAAAACTAACATTTATTGAACACCCACTATATGTCAGGTATTTTTTTTTTTTAACATCTTTTCATTTACAACCCTGAAAGGTAGGGGTATTAGCACCATTAAAAAAACTAACAACAGAAGGAAATGAAACTTAGGTTAAAATGATTTACCTCTAGAATACAGAGATGAACTACGTGAAACTGTAAAAAAATGATTGAATATCTCCATTTTTATATGGTTCAACCTAATAGAATGTAAGAGGGCTCATATTTGAACCCAGGCCAATTTAGTTCAAAAGCCTATACTTTGCATTGTACTGTACTACTGCCCTAAAATTACTAGAATAGCACTGGATTCTTTGTTTTCCCTTGGGGGTGCTGTAGTTTCACATAGATGTAGATTTATATTCCTGCTCCTTAGAAGACTAGAACAGCGATGCTTAGAGAAAGAGCAAACCAAGGTATGGTATATCTTGAGTTAGAGTAGGAGTTGAGTTGAGTGGGAGCCTAAGTTTAGAGACTAAAGCTAGGAGTTATATGATGGACCCGCACTGATTCGTGTATCTGCTGCTATTTATATCTGCCACCTGTGTGCATTTCCATACAGCTGATTCTGGGTTCTCTTTTGTTTGTTACATGCTATGATAATCATTGGTTTAATTAACCCCATAGGCTGTAAATTCTCTGAAGACTGTGATTCTGTCTGTCTTGCTCTTTCTAGTACCTATTAAAGTGTCGGCACATACCAAGTAGGTGCTTACTAAGTATTTTATGAAAAAGCAAATGAATAAACAAATGATACTATCTCAGCTACTCTGTCCTCTGCCCAATGAGCACTGTCTCTGTCTTTGCCTCTGTCTCTCTCTCTCTCTCTACACACACACACACACACACACACACACACACACACACACATATACACACACCCTAGCTGTGTCTATCCAAACACCTAATCTCCTTAGCACTCATCCATGGTCTCAGTGCTTACTCAGACATGGGTGTCTGTGTTTGTCTAATCAAGGTAAACCAGGCTGGGAAAGGACTGGTATTGCTTTGAAGCTTTTACTAAGGACTGACATAGGTTGGGCTTGAAATATGACCTGAACAGAGCAGTTTTGCCATTTGAATGTGGAGCCTTATATTGAATAAACTGAAACTTTTCCACTTGGTTTTTTCCATCTCTTTGGAGAACAGCACTGGACACTAAAGCAGGCTCTGGCAGGAGAATGTCCTGGTCTTGCAGAATCTTCTGGTTGCTAAGGCTGAGGACACAGCCCCACTGTCCTTTCTCTGGCAACAAAGGACATTTGTCACATGTTGGGGCGACTTATGTTTCTAATTTGGGACTTAACTGCACTAGTAAAAGACAGCAAATGTGGAATCAGTAGAAAGGTAGAGATTGTGCATTTGAATCAAGACTTTCTTCCACTTCACATTAAAGTGTAAAAACTTAATGCTTTGCATTTGAATACCTTCTGATAGGTGGCTAGGTGTCTCACATAAGCGTAAAAGATGAGTAATGCAGGTGGTATTATCATTCTTATGGGCAAGAAGGAGAGGCTGTAATTCAAGTTAATTGTATAAAAGCATAAAGCTCTGGGGACGACCAGTTTAAGGTCACACAGGGAGTTAATGTTAGCCAGATATCTAGACCCACTAAGGCTTCATTTTTGCTCTAAAACTTATGAATGGAGAGAAACTCCATTTACAAAAGAATTCACTTGGAAGCTACTAAAATGTATTTCTGGGGATCCTGCAATGACCAGTCCTTTGTCTTTTGGTCAAGACAGATAGAGTCCTTTCTGAAAATGCTCAGTGCTTCTCCCTGTTTTATAGAGTTATGACCTTGCCCCATTGATGTCAGAGAAGCCTGGAGAAGAAATTCACTCTGCATACAAAAAAGATGTATGTACTACACTTTTCCTAGAAGAGATAAGATTCTAAAAATGAAACGTTTTAAAATAAAACCCATTCACTAATAGTTACTTTTCACTTTGGGTGAATAATCAGGAGTTACATCAGGGTTTCCCTACAAGATTTTGAAACTCTTCCTCCTGCTAAATTATTTTTTAAAAATTCCTTTAGTTTACAGAATTGATTAGGATGGGATTTGGTCATATTGATTTTTGTCCCAAATAAAGACTCTTTTGTGGAATGCCAGCTCTTCTCTGGCTTGCTTCCTACTATCTTGCAAAGGTGCAGTACCCATTTCCTTCACTCACTGACCTTAACACAACTCTGATTACACTGAGAACTCCTTGAGGTCAAGGACAATGATGCCAAGAAAAGCACTTAGGTTTTGGCAATCTTTAATCTCCAATACTTTCTTGTCGACTTTATCAATGAATGTATGCTGGTATGCTGTCAAGATTTTTTAAAAACTATTTATTTCTTTTTTGTTTTTATTTATTTATTTATTTTTTTGAGACGGAATCTCACTCTTGCCCAGGCTGGAGTGCAGTGGCGCAATCTTCGCTCACCGAAACCTCCGCCTCCTGGGTTCAAGCAATTCTCCTGCCTCAGCCTCCTGAGTAGCTGAATAGCTGAGTAGCTGAGGAGCCCTGAGTAGCTGGGCTCCCACCACCACGCCCGGCTAATTTATGTATTTTTAGTAGAGATGAGGTTTCATCATGTTGGCCAGGCTGGTCTTGAACTCCTGACCTCAAGTGATCCACCAGCCTCAGCTTCCCAAAGCGCTGGGATTACAGGCGTGAGCCACTGCGCCTGGCCTATTATTATTTTTTGAGTGGCTGCTCTTAGCCCAGCAGCAAACTTTGAGGGATATAAGCTTGCAGATGAGTTGAAATGCATACACATGAATGCACAAATGTGAAGTTAAATGCCAAAACAAAAATGTAAGCCATCAATTCAAAAGTGATAACAAAGTGTTTATTTCAGAAACTTATACTAAGAGTTACTGTGAGCCAAGAACTTTTATAAAACCTAGAAGGGGAGGCAGACATTTTAAATAAGCAATGTAAGGCAGAGTCGGGTGAGTGCTATACTAGAGGTAAACATCAGATGACCTGGTATGAATCCTGGTTTACTAAGGACAATCTTGATTTTTGCCTGTTGCCCAGAGGTAATTATGATAGCACCTGTTTGTACTATCAGAAGAGTCTCAGTTATTAAATTATAGTCATATAAATTATAAACTAAGTACAGTTGAAGTGAAAAGAAATTATTAGTTCTGACTGGGAGGTTGGGGAAAGGTTTCTATAGGAGAGGATGTTTGAGCTGAACCTAGAAGAACAGGTTTAGAAAGAGAAACCATCATAGGCTGAGAACAGTTCAGGCAAAGCCTTGGTGGCCTCCAAGGACACTTGTATGATTGATTTCTCAATCAGCAAATGCCCTTGTCTTTAATGGAGAGTAGTACCACCAATGGCTAGCGAGGTCTTGGAAATTATCTCACCATGAACTATCATCACTCAGAACTCTAGTTATCAGAAAAAATGGCTGCTGGGTAATGACTGATGTCATTGTCATCCTGTGTCAGATCAGAGGGCACAGTTCAAGTTGGCTAAGGTGAGCAGGTGAAAGGGAGAGGAAGAGAGTGAGTGAAGCAATGTGAAAGTTGAAGAGACTAAAGGATAAGAGGTGAAGGGAGAGAACTGTGCTTTTATTGGTTCAATCTGCCCAATTAAAGAAGTTGCAGTTCCTCTTTAAACAAATCTTGTTTTTAATTTATTTCTGCATCTCTTCTTTCCTCCCTATATCCCATACTCTGTTGTATTCTGAGTCTCCCAAGTTTGAGACGTGCCTAGAGGCAGGTTTAATTTTCTTTATCCCTCAGTATTGGGAAACGGACTCTGCACCACTGAGTCTATGTAAGTCTGGTGGCTGAAAGAAGCTGCCACAGGGAGCCGAATTTTCATTGCTATCTATAACCTGAGTTTAGGTAATTCCAGAAATGAAAATGAAAAAATAAAAAAGAATATGGACATTTGCCTTTTTGGGATGAAAATGCCCCTTTTGACTTCTCATTATGTAAGTTTGAAAATTTTCAAATATAAACAAAGACTACGAAAATAGTACCTCCCGATGTATGTGTCCCATTTACCAGGGAGCCATGTTCCCATCACTCAGCTTTAACGGTTCCCAACATTTTGCTGTTCTTTTCAGTGATCTCCCTGCACTGTTCGTTCTCCATCTTGTCCTCTTCCACCCCTTACAGCAACTCTCTGACATCATATAATTTTATTTGGGAAGATATCAGAATATAACTCTCACAGAGAAGGCTTTGTTTTTAAACATAACCACAATACTATTATTGTACCCAAAAAGCTTAAAAATAATTCCATAATACCATCTAATACTGGGTCCATACTCAATCTTCCCTTTAAAAGTCCGTGTTAAGATCTGGAGATTTTAAGTCAGTATTTCTGAGCTCCAATGTAGTGCACAGGAGTAGGATGTTTAGCCCTTCTTACGGAGAGCATGAGCAGTAGAAGAGGAGGCTGGAATCCTAAAGTGTATTCAATCTTCTATTGTCAATGGGTCAATAATATACCTATTAGAGAATATTCTTAGCTTAAAACTGAAAAAGTCAGCCAGGCGCGGTGGCTCACGCCTGTAATCCCAACACTTTGGGAGGCCGAGGCGGGCGGATCACGAGGTCAGGAGATCGAGACCATCCTGCCTAACACGGTGAAACCCTGTCTCTACAAAAAATACAAAAAAATTATCCGGGCGTGGTGGCAGGCGCCTGTAGTCCCAGCTACTCGGAGACTGAGGCAGGAGAATGGCATGAACCCAGGAGGCAGAGCTTGCAGTGAGCCGAGATTGCGCCACTGTACTCCAGCCTGGGCGACAGAGCAAGACTGTCAAAAAAACAAAAACAAAACAAAAACCTGAGAAAGTCTTTATTTATCTACTTATTTGAGATGGAGTCTCGCTCTGTCACCCGGGCTGGAGTGCAGTGGCGCGATCTCAGCGCATTGCAAGCTCCGACTCCTGGGTTCACACCGTTCTCCTGCCTCAGCCTCCCGAGTAGCTGGGACTACAGGTGCCCGCCACCACACCCGGCTAATTTTTTGTATTTTTAGTAGAGACGGGGTTTCACCGTGTTAGCCAGGATGGTCTCATTTCCTGACCTTGTGATCCGCCTGCCTCAGCCTCCTAAAGTGCTGAGATTACAGGCGTGAGCCACCGTGCCCAGCCCTTATTTTTTATTTTTTTGAGGTGGAGTTTCTCTCTGTCACCCCAGCTGGAGTACATTTTTTATTTTTTCGAGATGGAGTTTCGCTCTGTCACCCCGGCTGGAGTACAGTGGCACAATCTCGGCCCACTGCAACCTCTGCCTCCTGGGTTCAAGCGATTATCCTGCCTTAGCCTCCCGAGTAGCTGGGATTACAGGCACCCACCACCACGCCTGGCTAATTTTTGTATTTTTAGTAGAGACAGCGTTTCACCAGTTTGTCCAGGCTGGTCTGGAACTCCTGACCTCAAGTGATCCGCCCACCTCAGCCTCCCAAAGTGCTGGAATTACAGGTGTGAGCCCCCGCGCCCAGCCAAAAGTGAGAATGTCTTTTAAAGACTTCAGATAAAAAGTTTTCCACATAATCTCACAGCATTATCTATTACCTTCTCACTCATTCAACAAACATATCATTGTTAGTCCACTTCCGCCTCTTGTCATCTATTCCTTCTTTGTTCTCTTGTTGGTTCACTCTTTCAATGCTTTTACTGCACCAAGAGGTGAGAGACACTGCGAGGACCTCAGATTAGTCACAGCTGTCGGTTATTTGTTTTTGTTGTTGTTGTTTTTGAGACGGAGTCTTACTCTGTCGCCCAGGCTGGAGTGCAGTGGCGCGATCTCGGCTCACTGCAAGCTCCGCCTCCGGGTTCACGCCATTCTCCTGCCTCAGCCTCCGAGTAGCTGGAACTACAGGCACCTGCCACCACGCTCGGCTAATTTTTTTTGTATTTTTAGTAGAGACGGGGTTTCACCGTGTTAAGCAGGATGGTCTCGATCTCCCGACCTCGTGATCCGCCCGCCTCGGCCTCCCGAAGTGCTGGGATTACAGGCGTGAGCCACCGCGCCCGAGCTGCGGTTATTTGTATCAGACATTGTGCTGGGTACTTTACATAAATTCATTTATTCCTCACTACAAACTTTGAGGTAATTTTTGCAACCCCTATTTTATAAATGAGGAAATTAGGTTGTAAAAGTTGAAGTAATTTACACAAAAAAGGTCCCCCAGTTAGGAAGTGGCAGAAAGGTATGTGAACCTAGGTTTACTTATCCTGAAATTCCTGCCCCAGCATGACAACGCTGAGAGGCAGTATCTTAATAACCAGCGCACCTGGGTAGTTCTGCCACACCATCATTTCCTCTGTCCTTAGGGAGTTTGCAATTTAAAAGGGTAAATAAGACAGGTGTAGAAATATGAAGCATTTACACAGGATGCCAATGTTGCAGTATGAAAAGAATATTTGAAAGCTCATAATGTCATCATGAGAAATTACTTTTAATTTGGAGAGATAAAGTAAGGCTTCACAGGGGACGTAGCATTTAACCATGAAGCTGAAGGGCACACAATGATGTGGCACCAAGAAGCATAGGGCATGTTTGGGAAATCCAGTTAGGCTAGCAGATAATAATGGAAGATAAAGCTGGATAGGTAGATTGAGGTCAAATTTTGAATAGACTCTATTATCAGGCCAGTTGTGTATAATTTAATCGCTGTACAGTTAAAAATCGTTAAAAGGTTTTTTCTTTCTTTCCTTTTTCTTCTTTAGCTGGACCTGCATCACATATTAAATGCTTTTTGGACAGACGGAATGAAATAACCAGAGCTATGCTTTAGGGAAAATTTAAGTAGTAGAGGGACTGAGGTTGGGGAAACCAGATATGAGACTATTCATGTACTCCAGTCCTGGGGAGAAGGAAGAAATACCTAATAGAAGTTTAATTTCAGCTTCATCATTGAAACTTTTTCTTGAGTTAGATGGGCGAACACTCCTTTGGAGGCATGAAGAAAGAGAAGTGCTTTCTTCCCATCTCCCCTTTCTTGAGTACATAAATTTCCTTAGATATCTTGACAAAGAGCCAAGAAGACTTGGTGATAAAATAAGCAAATGCAGTTAATTTGGAATCTACTGATGCTATAAAAGAATTTAACAATTTACACATGAATATTTAGTAATGGAGAATGAATAAATGTGATAAGCTATATGATGATTTTTCTACAGAAAGAAGGTGCAAGAAGGTTAGACTTTGATGTAAGATTATTGCTTTTACCTTGAAAACCCTTCTGGATTTCAGCCATCCTAGTTAGAGAGGGTAAATTGTTATTGTTTTTATAGTTAATAATAGTTATCATTTTCTGAATACTGACTGCATGCCAGGCACTGTGCGATGTGATTTTTGTGCATAATTTCATTTAGTCTCCCTAACATCCTTTGTAGATTGGTATCATTGTTATCTCCTTGATAGATGAGGTGAATGAGGCTCTTAGAGAGGGCAGGTGACTTGTCAAGCCCCCTTCTCGCCTTCAGAGCCTATGCTCTTGACCACTATACTTACTGCCTCCATATATTCTTTCAAGACTAAATGCAGCACATTCTCTAATTCTATAATTTACCACATTCTACAAAATCAGACAAAACTGGGCAGTGTTTGCTAAGCTGGTCTCTCTGATAAAAGGCTAAAGCAAGAGTGGAGTGTTGGTTTCAGTTACGGCTTTTACCTTGGAGGTAACCCTTCTGGATTTCAATTTCCTTGTCTTTAAACTAAGAGAACTAGAACACAGAAATGCTGAGGTCTTCAAATCTGTGAATCTTTGGGCAAATTGGTCAAAGCATTGACTTCATTTTCTTCAGTAGGATTTAGAACAGATAGAACGTACTAATTTATGTCCTCTGTTTTTCTTCCTTTTAGATCTAAGTATTTTTCCTGGTAAGGCTGAGGTCTCTGACTGGCACTAGTTAGCCTGGACATGAAGGGAAAGTGAATCAAGGTTGTTGCACAGCTGTGTGCAAGGCATTGTTCTATGCTTATCATGCACATTGTCTCATTCAATCCTCACAGAATCCCTCGTGAATACTTATCTTCATTAAAAAGCAAAGCAACCACACTATACTTATAAGAAAACTGAGGCTCATAGTGATTAGTTAACCTGCCCAAGGTCACCTAGCAGGAAAGTGATAGAGCCAGGATTTGAACCTAATTCTTTCTGGCTTTAGGTTGGTTTCATAGTGCCTCTCACTTTCCCTGTTGTTTGTTTATTTTTATTTGAATATTCAAAGATTCCTCATGCAAAAATAGTATTAATAGTAAGGGACTTTTCAGGGAACTTTCTGTTGATCAGTTTATACCTGATAGAGATTCCCTATGTCACATCATGAGACTAAGAACTAGGCAGAGGACATCCATATAGCTCCAGTCATTTGAGACCTCACGTATTTTTAGATATGAGATTTTTAAAAAATCTGCTCAAGCAGTTTTGGCTTATCTGAGGTGGTTTAGCATATCCAGACTTTTCTGATTTATATAAATTAGCCAGGCATAGGAATATCATTGATAATAACACTTCATAATTATAGATTCCATTTTCTTTCATATGAGATTTAAATAGCTTTTTGCCCAGTCTTTGTCATTTTCCAGGTGGAGAAGCCTTAGCAGAATTTTACCCAAGGTCACAGAAGTGAATCAATTGGTGGCAGAAATAATAATAAACTTAGGAGTCCTCTTTCTCAGCACCATATCCTGAACACTGAATCCACTTGAAACATTATGGTCTCATGGAAAGCAAACTGCTGTTCCAAATGATAATGCTGTTGTTCTTGATGATGATGGTGATAATAATATTATTATAATTAAAATTATAGTTATACCTGTGTTAGAAACACTGTCCTAAGTCCTTTACATGTATTGATTTATTTATGCCTCACGATCCTCTCAGTAGGTTTATGAATGAGGAAAATACAATTATCTGCCTATTACAGATTAGGAAATTGCTCCCTCTTTGCATTTCCCACATAATTGAATGCATATTCCTTCACCTCTATGAAGGGCCAGTAGCTTAGGGACCATTTTTTATGAAGACATTTGAATTCCTTTAAGTATTGACCACAAAGCTGGGGACATAGCAACTGTTTAGCAAATCTTCTATTTTACTGATTCATCAATTGGTACAGATGAATTATTCTTGCAGTGCCAGGCCATGGAACTGATATAGAGATCTTAGACTTGTTCTTCATACAAAATTGAAATATGCGTGTTTCCATTTGTTAATCTTTTGGTATTTGTATTGCAGAATAAAATACAGGGTACTCAATTCAATTTAAATTTCAGATAAACAACAAACAATGTTTTAGCGTTTAAGTTATGTCTCAAATATTGCAAAGGATATACTTCTAATGAAACAAATTATTTGTTGTTTATCTGAAATTTAAATTGAAGTAGATATCTTATATTTTTATTTGCTAAATCTGGTAATGCTATTTAGTGTTCATAAAATAATAACTTTAAAGGATATCCTGAAAAGACAGGGCTATCATTCCCTTCTTTTGAAGAAATTAGGATATTTTCATCTCACTGGATCTGAATCTATGTTCTAACCTTGGTCAAAAGGTACCTACTTATGAGGGGAATAAACATTCTTCTCAGTATGTCACTAAAAAAGTACTAGTAATATGATCTAAAATGCCTTGAGTCCAACTGCCTTCCAGCTCTAAAATTCTTTAATTCTAAGTAACTCTCAAATATCTAAACCAGGTTTCTACTTTTCCCAATTAGTATTTGTGTTTCAACCACCCTGCATGGAAACATGGGTTATGAAATGCCTTCACAAGTATGGTAGAAAATATGCTGCTATTGTGTGTTGCCTTGGACTTCTAGAAGTCTAGGTGTTGGTGGTTATTATATGGCGATAGTAAAGTAAAATCCTCCCTACTGTTCTAGTACCCACAATACTACTTTTCATACTTTAGCTACTTTACCTTCAGTCTCTCTGTCAACCTCTGATCTAAAGACTTCTTTACTAAATAACATTCTTCTTGCCTAATACTGTATTATGGACTTCATCAGGGAAGGGACTAATCCATCTTTGCATGCTAACATTTAAGCTGAAATAAAGTAATCCCACAATTAACATTTTGCAGAAACCTCCTTAGGTTCCCCTACAAACCTGCCCCTATTTTAGTTAATAGAATGCATTCCCACTGACATGCTGGAAATTTCAGCATTGTCTTTGGTCCTCCCTCCAGTCTAATCTGAATCTCACAAGTCATCAAGGCCTGTGGCTTCTGTCTCTGAAATGTCTTTTGAGTCTTTCTCCCTGTACCTCTTGTCCTTAGACAGTCCCCCTCCCTATTCTGGTTAGTTGCCCCTGACCCACCCACCTTCTTCATAATTCCTTCTTCAACATGGACCCGATCATGCCAATACTTTGCTTAAAGCTCCCTGATAAGTCTTTGATTTCTACTGATTATTATCCAGTTTTTTACTTTTTTAATTTTTTTTATTTTGAGACAGAGTCTCTCTCTGTCACCCAGGCTGGAGTGCAGCAGCATGATCTTGGCTGACTGCAACCTCCACCTCCTGGGTTCAAGCGATTCTCCTGTTTCAGCCTCCCAAGTAGCTGGGATTACAGGCGCATGTCACCACGCCCAGCTAATTTTTGTATTTTTAGCAGAGATGAGGTTTCACCATGTTGGTTAGGCTGGTCTCGAAAGCCTGACCTCAAGTGATCTGCCTGCCTTGGCCTCCCAAAGTGCTGGGACTATAGGTGTGAGCCACCGTGGCCGGCCTATCTAGTTGTCTTAGCAGGATTTTCACAAACTAGTTGCAAACTATTTTCTATACTCCTTACCACACACTAAGCCACTTAACCTGCACCAGACACACTTGGGATGTTTTTATTTCCTTATTTCTGTTTCCCCAAATCTTACTTGTTGCATCCTCACCTCAATAAAAATTAATTGTTCCCTGTATAACTTTACCATCAGAGTCCCCTCTCACCTTAAGCAAACCTAATTTATAAAATTCCAATTTTATGATAAAAGCATTGTTTTTAAAAATGTTTACAACCAAATTTCTTTAAATAATTGAATCCCCAGGCATTTAAAAGTATTGTTCTATTACTATAATTCTATTAAAAGTATTATTCTAGCAATTTCGTTTTCAGGAACAACCTGTATTAGATAGGAAAAATTTATTTTAATATATACTCTGTCCTGCAATGGTTTAGAGAACGAATAGACTTAAGCAGTGTTCATGATCCAGGGGTAATGATAAATAGGTTGGGAAAATTGATAAGTAGCTCAGGGGAAACCCTGAAGCTCTACAGTTTATTCTTCCTTGACTAGATTGCTGATCCAACTAAATCCCTAATTATGTCAAGGTTCACAAAGAGGGCAGAGATGAGGTGAGAGGCTGTGGACCAAGGCAAGACTCAATTGATTGAATAAATTTTGGTATTACTACACTGTGGACTATTATGCAGTTATTGAAGAATGAGTTAGCTCTATATTATTGTCCTAGTGGGAATTCCTTGATTAAAGTAAGGGGGAAAAGTTGCTGAGTGATATTTATAGTATACTGAGGAAGAGTGAGATCACAGTCCGTGATAGGGAGAAGACTTGATATTTTTCTTTATATACATTTATATTGCTAAAATGGTTACTTTTATAATTTACAGTTTTTTAAAAGCTTAGTGTTAAATGACAAGTATTGCTAAAATTATTAAAAATATTTTCAGACTTCAATAAAGTTTCAGAATACAAAAATTAATGTACAAAAATCAGTAGCATTTTACCAGGCACGGTGGCTCACGCCTGTAATCCCAGCACTTTGGGAGGCCGAGGTGGGTGGATCACGAGGTCAGGAGATCGAGACCATCCTGGCTAACACGGTGAACCCCGTCTCTTCTAAAAATAGAAAAAAAAAATTAGCCGGGTGTGGTGGCAGTCGCCTGTAGTCCCAGCTACTTGGGAGGCTGAGGCAGGAGAATGGCGTGAACCCGGGAGGCGGAGCTTGCAGTGAGCCGAGATCATGCCACTGCACTCCAGCCTGGGCGACAGAGCCAGACTCCGTCTCAAAAAAAAAAAAAAATCAGTAGCATTTCTACACACCAATAACATTCAAGCTGAGAGCCAAATCAAGAATGCAATCCCATTTACAATATCCGCTAAAAAAAAAAAATACCTTGGAATACATCTAACCAAGGAGGTGAAAGATCTCTACAAGGAGAACTATGAAACACTGCTTAAAGAAATCATAGATGACACAAACAAATGGAAAAACATTCCATGCTCATGGATTGGAAGAATCAATATCATTAAAATGGCCATATTGCCGAAGGCAATCTACAGATTCAACACTATTCCTATCAAACTACCAATGTCATTCATCAAATGACCAAGATCAAAGCCAGAGGCATCACACTATCCAACTTCAAACTATACTACAAGGCTACAGTTGCCAAAACAGCATGTTGCTGGAAAAAAAAAAAGACACATAGACCAATGGAAGCAAATAGAGAACCCAAAAATAAAGCTACACACCTACAGCAATCTGATCTTCGACAAAATCAACAAAAATAAGCAGTGGGGAAAGCACTCCCCTATTCGATGGTGGTGGGATAGATAACTGGCTAGCCATATGCAAAAGAATGAAACTGGGCCCCTACCTTTCAGCACATATAAAAATTAACTCAAGATGGAGTAAAGATGTAAATGTAAGACCTCAAACTATAAGAATCCTAGAAGAAAACCCAAGAAACACCATTCTGGACATTGGCCTCAGGAATTTATGACTAAATCCTCAAAAGCAATTGCAACAAAAACAAAAAGAGACAAGTCGGATTTATTTAAACTAAAGAGTTTTGCACAGCAAAAGAAACTATCAACAGAGTAAACAGACAACCTCTAGAATCTAAAAAAATTTGCAACTAGCATCTGAAAAGGGTCTAATATCCAGAATCCATAAGGAATTTAACAATTGAACAATGAAAAACAAATAACCCCGTTAAAAAAATGAGCAAAAGGCATGATCAAACACTTTTCAAAAGAAGACATACAAATGCCCACCAAATATATGAAAAATTGCTCCACATCACTAATCATCAGAGAAATATAAATCAAAACCACAATGAGATACCATCTCACACCAGTCAGAATGGCTACTATTAAAACGTCTAAAAACAACAGATGCCGGTGAGGCTGCATAGAAATGGGAATGCTTACACGCTGTTGGTGGAAATATAAACCAGTTCAGTCACTGCAGCAAGCAGTTTGGAGATTTATCAAAGAACAACTTTAATGGTTCCACTGGCTAAACTGCATGTCTGGCTCTGATTGGCTAATGCTCTGTGGTTTTAGGGGTGATGTGGAGAATCTCAACAGTCAGAATGAAGCTGAGCTCCGACGCCAGTTTGAGGAGCGACAGCAGGAGACGGAGCATGTTTATGAGCTCTTGGAGAATAAGATCCAGCTTCTGCAGGAGGTGAGGAGTTCCCAAAGTCCATAGGTAGGGGTTCTCTTTTATTAACACTCCTCTTCCTACTGCTCTGCCTTCTGGCATTCACCTTTTCCGTCTCTACTTTCCCTCTGAAATTCATCAATGTTCCTGGGTCTTAGGGCTCCTAATCTAGGTAGAAATTTTGCAGCCTCTCAGTTTTTGTTCTTTTTCCAGGAATCCAGGCTAGCAAAGAATGAAGCTGCGCGGATGGCAGCTCTGGTGGAAGCAGAGAAGGAGTGTAACCTGGAGCTCTCAGAGAAACTGAAGGGAGTCACCAAAAACTGGGAAGATGTACCAGGAGACCAGGTCAAGCCCGACCAATACACTGAGACCCTGGCCCAGAGGGACAAGTAGGTGCCTTCGGTGCTCTTTTTGTCGCTTGTCTTTTGCCCATTCTCAAGGCATACAGCAGCTGTCCTGTTCCCTTTCAAGGACTGACAGTAGGAGCTTCACTATTTCTAAGACTTTATGGTCCCACAACCGAAGACATTCTTTTCAGGGTTGAATTTTCAGTGGTATCCATTATGAAAACTCACTTCATGGATTCAGTGGGCAAATAGCGGCAAGCAAGAGACATGGATTCACTTATTCAGCAAACATTTACTGGGCATGCCACATGCCAGATACCGGGCTAAGTATCTGGCATGTGTTACAGAAACAAAAGACCTAATTCTTGTCACCAAGAAACATGTTACATGATTTTAATAAGTTCCCTGATAGAAGAGCATGGGGTGCTCTGGGGAAATATTGGAGGGTCATCCATTCCACATTAAAAGAGCAAGTTGTCTGCTGTGGTCTGAATGTTTGTGTCCCATCCCCACCTCCCTCCCCCACCAGTTTATATGTTGAAATCTTAACCCTTAAGGTTAATACTTCTGCCTCCAGAAGTATTATGAGGTGGAGCCATTAGGAGGTGATTAAATCATAGACATTGGAGATGGAGCCCTCATAAATGGGATTAATACGCTTGTAAAAGAGACCCCAGAGAGCTAGTTAGCCCCTTCTACTATGTGAGGATATAGTGGGAATGCACCGTTATGAGCCAGAGTGTGAACCTTCACCAGACATTGAACCTGTCAGTGACTTGATCTAGGACTTCCCAGCCTCCAAAACTGTGAGAAATACATTTCCGTTGTTTATAAGCCTCCCAGTTTATGGTGTTTTTTTATAGCAGCCCAAAAAGACTAAGATAATGCCATTGAAGGTTTCCTAGAGGAAGCGAAATCTGAGCTGAGCTTTGAAGGATGAATAGGAGGTAGAATAAATAGGTAGAAAGTGGATAGGGAAAGGAAATATTCTATGCAGAAGGAGAAACTATGGAGGGAAGACACAGGGAAAGGAATATTTCAAGAACTTTAAATAATTGTACATAACTGGAGCAAGTGAGAAGACAAGTGAGAGGTAAGCTGTTTTGAGAATAAGGGTCTGATTGTGCCAGCTTTGTATACCATTATAAGGAACTTGGACTTTGTCCTGAAGGTAACTGGGCAATTATTGAGGTCACCACCATCTACTGTCTGGATTACCGAGGAAACTTTCTAAATGTCCTCTCCACTTCCAGTCCTGCTCCTCTCATTCAATCTCAACCTAATAATTCAGAGTAGTTCTGAAATAGATAATTCAACCACAACAAATTGGCAAATAATTTAGCCTCTTAGGTGCATAAGACTGTGGTGGTATAAAAAGCTTTAAGGAGCTTTTAACTGAATAGGCAAAAACCACATGTGCATACCATGACCAATGTGATCTTTCCAAGACATAAATTTAATCGCACCATGGCAGAGCCATTTAAGAACTTTGCAATACCTTTAGGAGATAAGATCCATACTCCTAATGTGGCCATCAAAGCCTTTTATGATGTAACCTCTGATTTCTCCCACACTCATCACCCACCACCATTCCTTAACTTCATTCATGCCAGGCTAGTAATAATAATGATGGCTAAGCTTTGTTGAGCTCTTACCATACAGCTGAGTACTTTATGTTCTTGTTTAACAGCCCCATGAGATATGAATTATTATACTTTATTAATGAAAAAATTGGCATCTGGAGACTTGTGAAACATGGTTTCAGGGATTGCTGACATCCAAACCCTGAAGCCATACTGCCTCCAGAAGCATAAGAAGCTATGGCAAGTCTCCAGAATTTTGCTCATGCTTTTCCTTCTGTGGGAAACATCTGCCAACTTTTTCCCTTCTAGTGAACCTCACTAAGGCATCAATCGTCATTTCTTTGAAGGCTTTGTGATAGCAGAATGAAGTTTCTGTATTGTTTCTTTTATATATATATATATATATATATATATATATATATATATATATATATATATATATATATATATACATATTGTACAATTCTCAGTATGGTACTGTATTTGCTTTCAGATTTTCCCTACTAGGTTCCCCAAGACAGTGTCATATTTGAACCCCAATAAAAAAAAACTGAACTAAAAACCAAAACAAAGCCCCAAGTAAAGCACATGCACATCTGAAAATAAATTGAGGCCACTCATCAGATGACCTTGAACAATTTTGGAGAGTAGGAGAACAGATCCTCTGTAGAGACTAAGGGTCAAAGAGATGAGCAAAGTTTGAGGTTTAAGAAAAGTAGAGATGTTCTAGTGCAGATACCACGAGGGAATTTCATACGGAGTCCACATTCCTCCTTCTCGTCATCATTGCAGTTTACATTTGTATAATGTTTTTAATTTTTTGTTTCTGTTTTTGTTTTTGTTTTGAGATAGAGTCTCGCTCTGTTGCCCAGGGTGGAGTACAGTGGCAAGATCTCGGCTCACTGCAACCTCTGCCTCCCAGGTTCAACCGATTTTCCTGCCTCAGCCTCCCGAGTAGCTGGGATTACAGGCGTGCACCACCACGCCCAGCTAATTTTTGTATTTTTAGTAGAGACAGGGTTTCACTATGTTGGTCAGGCTGATCTCAAACTCCTGACCTCAGGTGATCCACCTGCCTCAGCCTCCCAAAGTGCTGGGATTACAGGGATTACAGGCATGAGCCACCATACCCAGCCCAATGTTTTTAAGTTTTAAAAGTTATTTCTCCTGGGAATCATGGCTCACACCTGTAATCCTAGCACTTTGGGAGGCCGAGGCAGGCGGATCACGAGATTAAGACCATCCTGGCCAACATGGTGAAACCCCATCTCAACTAAAAATACAAAAATTGGTTGGGCATGGTGGCGCATGCCTGTAGTCCCAGCTACTCAGGAGGCTGAGGCAGGAGAATCGCTTGAACCAGGGAGGTGGAGGTTGCAGTGAGCCAAGATTGCGCCACTGCACTCCAGTCTGGTGACAGAGCAAGACTCCATCTCAAAAAAAAAAGAATCACAACTGGAAACATTTCATTTAGTACCCAGCAGATTTTCAAGGACCTGGAAGGTTCATGTTCCAATATATACAAACAGAGAATATGCCTAGCACATAGATGATCAATAAGTTTATTTGAACCCATAGTTTGTATACCTCAGCACAGTATTTTACAACTTAACCCTAGTCTGAGGGTCTGAATTTTCAGTCTCTTCTCCAGCCATTGCCTCTTCCCTGGGCCTTTGTTCCAGTGACTCTTCCCAAATTGTACACTGGGTCTTCATGCCTTTGTTCCTTTGTTCAATCTCCTCCTTCTGAGCCTGGAAAACCACCCAAGTCTTTGCTATTGTAAATAGTGTGCAGTGAACATTTGCATGCATATGTCTTCATGGTAGAATGATTTATATTCCTCTGAGTATACCCAGAAATGGGATTGCTGGGTCGAATGGTAGTTCTGCTTTTTGTTCTTTGAGGAATCACCATACTGCTTTCTACAGTGGTTGAACTAATTTAACACTCCCACCAACAGTGTATAAGTGTTTCCTTTTCTCTGCAACCTCACTAACGTCTGTTATTTTTTGACTTTTTAACCATAGTCATTCTGACTGGTGTGAGATGGTATCACATGTGGTTTTGATTGCATTTCTCTAGTGATCAGTGTTATTGAGCTTTTTATCATATGCTTGTTGGCTGCAGGTACGTCTTTTGAAGTGTCTGTTTATGTCCTTTGCCCACTTTTTAATGGGGTTGCTTTTCTTTTGTATATTTGTTTACATTTCTTATAGATGCTGGATATTGGACCTTTGTCCAATGCATAGTTTTCAAATATTTTCCCCCATTCTGTAGGTTGTCTGTTTACTCTGAAACCACTCAATCTTTAAAATTTCTTCTCCTGAGCATCGCTATACTCCTTCAAGTCAAATGAATTATTTCTTTATCTTTCATCCTATAGCTCTATGGCAGCACTCAATGTACTATATGGTGCCTCTATTCTGGTAGCATTTATTATATTCTATTACTATTATTTGCTTATATACAATCATGCATCACAAACTACAGGGATATGTTCTGAGAAATGTATCTTTAGGCAATTTCATTCTTCATTGTGTGGCCATCACAGAGCATACTTACACAAACCTTGATGGGATAGGCTACTGCACACCTAGGCTATATGGTATAGCCTATGGCTTCTGGGCTACAAACCTGTATGACATATTACTGTACTGAATACTGTAGGCAATTGTAACACAATGGTAACCATTTGTGTATCTAAACATAGAAAAGATACAGTAAAAATACTGTATAAAAGATAACAAACAGTACACCTGTTTAGGGCACTGACCATAAATGGAACTTGCAGCACTGGAACATGCTGTGGGTGATTTAGCGAGTGAGTAGTGAAGTGAATGAATGTGAAGGCCTAAAACACATTTTGTAGTCATATAAAAATATTTTCCTTATATCCTTATTCTAGAAAAGGTTTATTCTGTTTTTAAATTTTTAATTTTTTTTTTTTTACTTTTTAAACTTTTTTGTTACAAACTAAGACACAAACATACACACAAGCCTAGGCCTACACAGTGTCAGGATCATCAGCTTCACTGTCTTCCACCTTTACATCTTGTCCGCTGGAAGGTCTTCAGGGACAATAACACACATGGAGCTGTCATCTCCTATGATAACAATGCCTTCTTCTGGAATAGCTCCTGAGGGACCTGCCTGAGGCTACTTTACAGTTATTTTGTTTAATAAGTAGAAAGAGTACACTCTAAAACGACAATGAAAGTATAGTATAGTAAATACATAAACCAGTAACATTTATTATCAAGTATTACATACTATACATATGTTATATTTGTATACAACTGCCAGCGCAGTAGGTTTGCTTTACACCAGCAACACCACAAACAAGTGAGAAATACATTGCACTATGATGTTACTGCAGCTAGGACTTTACTAGGTGATAGGAATTTTTCAGCTCCAGTATAATCTTATCGGACCATCATCATACATGCAGTATGATGACATAATGTTGACAGAAACAGTATATGGTACGTGACTGTAGCTGTGTGTCTTCTTACTCTCCAAATCACTAGCAAACACATGCTGGTGGAATTTAAATTTTTGCAAAACAGCGATTGTTTCTTTCCCAACTTCATATTTCCAGTACTTGGTAGAGTGCATTGAGTACACAAAATAGTTATCCAAGAACCGTTTATTGAATGGAACAGCCACTACCACCACCACCAAAAAATTCTAGGCCCTTATTCCAAGAGTTAAATTCCTATGGTCTAAAGATCCATGGATGAACTTCAGGAGGTCCATGAATGTGGTGAAAATGTAAGCAAAAAGTTGTTTGTGTATATATTTGGGGGCTGAGCAGAAAATACATGCTTTTCTAAAGAAATGTATCAAAAGGTTCAATGATCCAAAAGGATAAAAACCTGCTATACTAGACCATGCTATCTTTGGAATGGGCTGAAAAAATAAGGTAATAATAGTATCATGATCATAATTATTGTCCTTACTTTTCCTTTGCTTCAGGAGAATTGAAGAACTGAATCAGAGCCTGGCTGCCCAGGAGAGGCTTGTAGAACAGCTATCTCGGGAGAAACAACAACTGCTACATCTGTTGGAGGAGCCAACTAGCATGGAAGTGCAGGTAAGGTTTGGTCAGTACATCCAGAAGCACTTGCTTCATGCTTTCATAAGCCCTGCTTTTTAATATCTAAGTGTATTTGTTATCTATTGTTGTGTAACAGATTACTACAAACTTAGCAGTTTAAAACACCTTATTTTTGTTATCTCACAGTTTCTGTGAGTCAAGAGTCCAGATATGGCTTAGCTGAGATCTGTTTGGAGTCTCATAAGTGTGAAATCAAGGTGTAGACTGGGCTCTTTTCTCATCTGGAGGCATACCTAGGGAAGGATCGGCTTCTAAGCTCCTCAGGCTGTTGGAAGGATTTATTGCTGTGTAGCTGTAGAAGTTATGGCAGCTTCCTTCTTCATAGCCAGCAGCAGAAAGAGTCTGTTACTTTTCTCACTTCTAGACTTTCTTTTAAGGGGCTCATTAGGGCAGGCCCACCAGCATAATATCCCTTTTTGTTAACTTAAAATCAACTGATTAGCAGCCCTAATTACATCTATATGACCTCTTTACTTTTTTCATATAACATAGCATAACTATGCAGTGACATTTCATGACCTTTGCCATATTGGTTAGAAGTTACAGGTTCTACCCATCCTCAAGGGGTGAGGATAACACAAAGATGTGATGGCCAGTGGGTGAGAATTATAGGGACCACCTTAGAATTTGCCAGCCACATCAAGTGATTTATAATTATATAGAACATACAATGTTTTAGGGGTTTTTTTGAGGGTTAAGTTGTAAAATACTGTGCCGAAGTACACAAACTGTGGGTTCAAATAAACAGTTATTGATCATCTATGAGCTAGGCATATTCTCTGTTTGTATATATTGGAGTATGAACCTTCCAGGTCCTTGAAAATGTGCTGGGTACTAGTTGAAATGGTGATTACTATTTCCGTACAAGTGTATCAGATAATGATAGAAATTTGCCTCCAAAAAAAAATTTTTTTTTTGAGTTGGAGTCTCACTCTGTTGCCCAGGCTGAAGTGCAGTGGGATGATCTCGGCTAACTGCAACCTCTGCCTCAGCCTCCCGAGTAGCTGGGATTACAGGTGCATGCCACCACACCCAGCAATATTTGTATTTTTAGTAGAGATGGGGTTTCACCATGTTGGCCAGGCTGGTCTCGAACTCCTGACCTCAGGTGATCTGCCCGCCTTGGCCTCCCAAAGTGCTGGGATTACAGGCGTGAGCCACCACACCTGGCCATAATGTAGTTTTAATATTGAAAAGAGAACTCACTGTGGTAAAAAATAATTGCATTGATTTTCTGGGAAGTTACCTCGAAGGGAACTCCTCTCCTTCATTCAACTTTTAATTTACTAAAAAGATATTTTCTAAAAGAACTTTAGAATATACCTGCACCCAAACAACAAAAGCAATTACCTGGTATCCTTACATTCTTGCACTGGTCTTAGACTACTGATAAGACAAAATGTGGGTGGTTTACTTTACTGGTTCACATATGGAAAGGTTGGGGTCAAGATAAAAGAGCAATGATAAGAATTAGTTTAAACCATTGCTTCCCAACCTTTCCATTTCATGGCAAATGATAATATTTGTAAGGTATAGAGGTAAATGGATGAAGCTTCTCACTTGGAGGTGGCCAATTTGGGTGCTTAGGCCACTATGAGGGCAGGAAAAAATTACTATCTTGGCCACAATTACAAACTTCTTAGACTGCAGCTCCATTTTGGTTGGAAAGCATTGGTTAACAAACTCAAGAAATAATGTGTGAACATAATTTTACAAGTATGAATACAAATTGAAGTTCATAGGCTTTTTGCAAGATACATGTTGAAATATGTGGAAATTTTCTTAAGGGACTCTTGAAAATATTTCGTAATGCATTTAATTAGAAAAAGCTCAACTGAGAATAAGAAGAATTGAATTTCCATCCTGATTATTTAAGCTGATAAGAACAGATACTACACTTGATCTTAGCCAAAAGGCCGAGAAGCGATTCCATCCTGATTATTTATTAGCTGTATGACTATGGATATGTCACTTCTCAGCTTCCATATACATAAAATGAGAAGATTAGCTCAAATAATCTCCATAGTTTCCTATAATGCTAACATTCTATTTTTATCTTATTTCAGAATTTTATTTCATTCTATTTTAGTTCAGAATTTACATGAATATTATTTCTTTCAAAATGTTCACCTTCTGAAATGAAATCACTTTTATTGCTCCTTTTGTATTTACAGGCACATAAATACTAAAATATTTTGTACATATACTTATTTTCATCATCTTTGGTAAGCACTGAAATGAATATATTTAGTTCAGTATTTTCAATGCTAATTAAGGAATTGGTTTGGTACCAGTTTTCAGAACAGACTTAAAGAACCAAAAGATTATAATTTCAAAGAGACTAAATTATTTATATTCTACTCTAAAAGGATGCTTAGAACAAGAATAAGTACAGCATCCAGGGGATAATATTGCATGACCATTGGGCAGAAGAAATGCATCAAATCATATAAACTGTACTAAATTGATATGCTTTTTAAACATTGCCTAATGAAAATTTATTGTTGTTATTACCCAATACATTGTACATTTCAAAACCTGATACATTGCGCTGTTTGTTCTATAAGACAATGTTTCCTACCCTTTTTCATAGAAAATTCATTTTCATAGGAAATGAGTGTACATCTATGGTATTCTGAAATAAGTGCCCATGGCTGCTCATGGTTTGAGGCAATTGCTTATGGCCACCTCAGGACCCATGCACCACCCTGAGAGCTGAGGGGATCAGCGTCTTTGCACAGTGGTGGACCATGCTGAGGTACACTGTGCTGGAATACCCAAGTTGGAAAGCTCTGCCACAGGAGGCCGCTGATAGTTGGTCCTCTCAAGTGTGGAGAATAGAAAGCCTCCCATAGCATATTTCCTTGTTTCTCCCTTTGGGTCTACGTCTTATGGGAAAAAAAATTGGGCCCAAGGACTGGTAGTGTCTTCCCTCAATTTACATAGTAGTTTAATTCATGGAAAAATTTAGTGTAAATTAACATCATGCTCCTATATATATATTAAGTTCTAGGTTCAGATGATTGTAAACAGTTTTATCATCACCCAATGGAACATTCAAATTCCAAAAGTCATTTGGAATTTGGTACAATACTTTGTCCTGTAACATCCCTTGCCTCACTTATCATCGTGACAACATCAAAAACAAGAAACACCCCCACAAAATTTCAAAATGCTCTCTAGGAGATGAGACAGTTGCTCAGTGAGTACCACTAGTATAGGGAGTCCTAGCCTTCCAAAGGTTTATAGTCCAGTGAAAGACTGGTATGTAAACAAAGAACTAAAATACAGTGTGATAAATGAGGAGACAGAAATACACGCATGGTGCTAAAGGAACCCACAGCTGAAAGGAATTAACTCCAAGGAGGAACTCACCTGGAGGTCACCCTTCTGTTGGGCCTTAAAGACTGGATACACCAGGCAGAAAATAGGAAACGGAGCAATATATACAGTGATGTGGAACACAGCTAAGGAATTGGGAGTAATCGATGTTACCAAAAATAAGTATTGGAGAATGATAAAATATATAGCTGGAAAGTACCATAAATGTTGAGCTAAGGGCTTCATGTTGTAGGCACCAGAAAAAAAAAAGCAAGGGGAATAAAAGCATATGATTTGCATTTAGAAAGGTAATCCTAGTTGTCGTGGAAACTGAGGATTGCTTGAAGAGCATCTGAGATAATTGATGTCACCTCCTCAGAGAGCAAATCATAATCTGACACAGCTATGAACTGCTTTGTCAAGTCTGTTCTTTGAATTGGTTGGGGAAAAGAATATTATAAAACCAATTACAAAGCACTTTGTCTCTCCCCTCTGCATAGGTAATGTATGGTGAACCTTGCTATTTGTGACACTTGGAGCCTATGTTGTGGGTGTTATCCTTCTCTGCTAACAGTATACTTTCACTGTAACAGTTATAGTTCCACTGTATTCTACTCAAACCTTGTCTGCCATGCCAACTGTCACCACAGAAGAAAGACCCTTACAATGTGGAAGGTAAAAGTTCAATTTCTAAGCTCTGGGCCTGTTCTTCAGAGGCTAAAGAATCTCCTCATCTCCAGTGAAGCCATCCCTGGAATCCCTCACTGATTCAGCTGGAATATGGAGGAGCTTAAGTTCTAAAGACCTATTCACTTCCTTTAATTCCACCTATACTTCACAACTGAGAATACCACAAACAGTTGGGCCCTAGAAGAAAGAAGAGCTCACAGATCTTGCACTTCTAGGTCTGAATTGTCCAAGTGAAGAACGCTCATTTACTCCACATCCCACAGATAACTATCTCTCAAGTGATCCCAGTATGAAAGTCTGGAGTATGAGTATAATATACTCACTGTAATATCTGAGTACAGGAAGTTCACTTCAGAGTCTTCATTCTCTCAAATAAGACAGACACTTTTGATAAAGATTATTTTATTTAATTGATCTTACAGTCTTTCTAGCTGTTTTCCTTTTCCATTCTACCAAAACATTCTACAACATTCATTTTAGTGGGAGTGCACTTGCACAATATTTATGAACGTCTATAATTAACTTCTTGTAAAGCAAAAAAAGTACCACCAACTAGATATGCCATTGACTGACATCATTCCATATCTCCTTCCAATCCTTCTTGATGTCCATTCAGATCAATAGTATGTGTGATCAGAGTGTTGAGGAGCTTTTTGATGTGAGGCTGTGACATCTTGTCCACATCTTTTTCACTAGGGAGTCAGAAAATCTAATAAAGTTTACAAAGCATTTTTCTCTTCCTCAGTAAAGGTATCTACAAAGTTGCAGGGAAAAGCTAGCAATTGTTTCAGTTATTGATATTATTTCCTTCTACAGAATGTTAGAAGCTTCATCTCAATGAAGGTTTTAAATGAAACCAGACCTGGAGGGTGTGAAGGCAGAAAAAATGATGCCCTTGCAAAGGGAGGTCTGGAGGAATTCTTGTTTTGTTTGTCGCCTTTTTTCTCTCTCTGCATTTCTCCTTCAGTATAAGATGAGCAAAATTTATTAACATGTAATCTCACTGTGGTTGGCTTATAAAATGAAACAGGATAACACAATTAGGGAGAGGCCCACATTAAGTAAGTGAGACCTTCCCACTCACACAAATTAGCACAGTCAAGCTGTTGCATTTATGCCTTGTTTGGAACTTAATGTAAATAGTACTGCATGCAGTGAGGCATATTTCCTAAAATAGCAAACATTCCTGCGTTACCATGGAGAGATCTGACTTGGAGGTTAAGGCAAGAATGTGCTCTAAATGCTCAAGGCAGAGACTGAAAACCTTGCAGTGATTAGTAGCTCAGGCAGCTCCGGACAACTTCATATGAGATTTTTTTTTAGAGTAGCTTTTCAGTATCCCCTTCTTTTGCTGATGAATGTTGAAGCTGGAGACTCATTTACAAATCCCCGTTCAACATTACTGTCTCCCAGACAACCTTCATTAATAATGTGTCTCTGAAGCAGGCCTTAGCAGCTAAAGCAATCATTGCTCTAATCCTTTTGAGCAGCAAAGGAAGTGGAAAAATAGGCAGCTGCTTTACAACTTAATCAAAAATATTTACTGAGCACTTGTAATGCACAAGGTACTGTTAGGTGAAGGAAGAAGAACACAAAGATGTGCAGGATTTAGTCTCTACCTTCTAGAGATTACAATAGGAGAAAGTCACTGATGAAAAAAATACAAGGCAGTACAGAAAGGAAAAATCATCATGGACTGGGGTCAGAAGCAAAGATTTTGGTCTCTGAGGAATGAGTAGGATTTTACTAAGTAGATATGAAAAGGAAAGGCATTTCTTTATTCATTCATTCAATGATTATTGAGATCTAGAAAGATACTGTTCCAAATACTTCAGAAGCAGTCTTAGTCCACTCAGGCTGCTATAACAGAATACCATAGACTGAGTGGCTTATAAACAATAGAAATTCATTTCTCACAGTTCTGGAGGCTGGGAAGTCCAAGATCAAGGCACTGGCATTTTCAGTGTCTGGTGAGGGCCCACTTTCTGGTTTATGGATTTCCTGCTGTGTCTTCACATGGTAGAAGGGATTAGCTAACTCTCTGAGGTCTCTTTTTATAAGGACACTAATCTCTCCCAAATCCCCCACCTCCTAATACCATTATGTTGGGGGTTAGGATTTCAACATATGAATTTGGAGGGGAATACAAACTTTCAAACCATAGCAGATACCAAGATGAGAAAGCTGTGGTTCCTTTTCTTAAGTAGCTTACCAGTTAATGGGGAAAACGCAGTATGGAGAAATGACATACAAGTTACTATAGGTACAAAAAGTATTTTGGAAGATGGAAGAAGAGAAAGATGTCTTTTGGTGGTACTCAGAAAGGCAGCTTGGAGGAAATACTTGAAGGGTGGATAGGATTTTGACAGGTGGAGGTGGTAGTGATAGAAAAGAATATTCCAAGTGTATGAAGTATAGAGGTGGGGAAGTTCAGGGTAGAGAAGTAGTAGCAGGAATAGAATATAGGGGGACAGAAAAATAGAGTGGAGCCAGATTCAGAGAACTTTAAGAAGCAGGTAAAGAAGTTTAGGATTAATGGACAAGTCATTGGGTCTCCAGGTTTCTTTGAGGGAGAGTGATATCTGAGCTCTGTTTTAGAAAGATTAATCTGAAAGGAGGATAGAGTAGAGGGCAAAGAAATTGAGGGGACTCATTATTTTAGCACTCTTGTTACTTAAGATATGAAGTCATTAGGGCCAGGCATGGTGGCTCACACCTGTAATCCCAGCACTTTGGGAGGCCGAGGTGGGAGGATCATGAGGTCAAGAGTTTGAGACCAGCCTGGCCAACACGGTGAAACCCTGTCTCTACTAAGAATACAAAAATTAGCCAGGTGTGGTGACGCGTGCCTGTAATCCCAGCTACTGGGGAGGCTGAGGCAGAAGAATTGCTTGAACCCGGGAGGTGGAGGTTGTAGTGAGCCAAGATAGTGCCACTGCACTCCAGCCTGGGCAACACAGCAAGTCTCCGTCTCGGAAAAAAACAAAACAAAACAAAGATATGAAGTCATTGGAGGGTAAGGAAGGATGAAAGTTTTGTGCTAAGGCAAAAGACCAAAATAAAATTTTAATATATAATAGTTCATTTTCTCATTCATACATTCTATTCAATAACAATTGAGTGCCTACCATGACTAGGCAATGGTGCTGTCATGGTAGGCACTAGAGAATTACCTTCTATGGAAGGAGGCAGATAAATAAGCAGATAATGAAACAAATATATAACTTCAAATTGTGATAAATACATTGAAGAAAGCAAAGAGCAGGAATTGGTAGACTTTTTCTGTATAGGGCCAGATAGTAAATAAGCTTTGCAGGCTGTAAAGTTTCTGCCATTGTTGCATAAAAACAGTCACACACAACACATAAGAATGAACATGGCTGTGTTCCAACAAAACTGTATTTGCACAAACAGGTGGGGGCTGGATTTGGTCCACAGTCCATAGTTTTCTGACTCCTCATATAAAGTATTAGGAGGAAAGGGAGGCACTTTAAACAAGGGGAAGACAACAGTCAGGAGATCAGTCTTTCCTACGGTAATTTTGAGATGTCTATGACACATCCACATGCAGATATCAAATAGGTAACCAGGTATTTGAGAGTGGCACTCAGATGAGAATTCTACAATAAAAACATAAATTGGAAGCCACTGGTATAAAGATGGGAAAGGATGAGATGACACCAGAAGAGAATAGAGAGGTGAAAAGGGTCTAGGACTGAGCACCAACGAACAAAAGTTCATAGTGTATGACTCTTAGTTCATAAATCTAAGGTAGTCATCAATTTAAAGCCCCTGTCTGAATCAGGATGGTGAGAAATTCAATTTCATACGTTTGATATTTCCTCCTCTCCCTACTTTCTCAGCTATTTAAAGGTCCCTAGGTTTTACCTGGTACCAAAGCACCAAGGAGACTACTCTGATCGTTGATCTGCCACTAAACCACCCCTGCCTCAGTAAGCATGGTTTTGCCAACCCTAGAAGCTTGCTATATTTAACCTTTTATGGAGCCAGAATCCCCTGCTAAAGTGCAGCCTCTCCAAGTCACCCCATTACTTCCCTCTCTGAGGTCCTGCTGCTTCTCCAGGGCACTGATATGGAATGGAGGTGGGTACTTGTTACTCTTTGACCTCCAGTCTCTTTCCATCTGTGTGAAATGTCACTCTCTCCTCTTCGCTGACTTCAAAAACTTTTCTGTCTCCTCTCTTCCCCAATGGGACATCTGGCTCAATCTTCGCAGTGGGCTTAGAATTTCATAAAAGTCTAGAAATGCAGTTGGCTTCAAACAGCCTCTGCTCTTTGCTCTGCAAAAGTTCCAGAGTCAAGGGAATGCTAAGGGCTTAACCATCAGATTAGAAAAGAGGGAAGCAGAGGGCCAGGCGCGGTGGCTCACGCATATAATCCCAGCACTTTGGGAGGCCAGGAGTTCAAGGCCAGCCTGGCCAACACGGTGAAACCTCATCTCTATTGAAAAAAATAAATAAATAAATAACAAAATTAGCTGGGTGTGGTGGCGCATGCCTATAATCCCAGCTACTCAGGAAGCTGAGGCAGGAGAATCTCTTGAACCTGGGAGGCAGAGGTTGCAGTGAGTCGAGATTGTGCCATTGCACTCCAGCCTGGGGGACAAGAGCAAGACTTCATCTCAAAAAAAAAAAAAAAAAAAAAAAAGGAAGTACCATCCATCCTGTTGCCTGGGTAATCTTCCTAAAAAAAGGTTTTCATCATGTCATTGTCTGCTTAAATCCATAACATTAAGTCCAAATTCTTTTGCCTTTGTCAAAACATTAACCAAATTCTAATTGGCAAGGCACTCCATAGCATAGTGTCTGGCTTACAGTTGGCTCTTGATACATGTTCTTTGAATGAACAACTATAGAGGATTAGATGTATGGATGGATGAACCTGGTCATTCAAAAATCCCCAACATCTCTCTTTACCTACAGGCTAGCACTGTGTTTAACCCAAGTTCCGTGGCTTTTAATGAAGCTATTTTATTTTGCTGAGTCCCTTCCTTGGCCTTCTTCATCCTAACACCCATCTCAAGTGCCACTCTTGTCCCTTCAACTATACCAGCCCATACTAACCTCAACTTTTTCTGTATTCACACTAAATTTAATTCAGTACCATTTAGTTTACCAGTCAATTGTTCTAACTGTAGCGTGCACCTTTTCTCCCTTTTAACTAAACTGAAAGCTCATTGAAGAGATAAAAAAAGGTATGTTTGCATTCTTGCTCATTGATTGATTTAACAAATACTTTAAAATTTACTTAACAACCTATGCGTATTTAATAACTTGAAAGACTCTAATGTTTACTATTAGATGGATTTTGCTGAGAAGCATACTACTATAATCTGCAGATGAACCGGAAATCTCCTGGCTTTAAAACAAGCATTTCAAGATGCTGTGTTGTTAATTAATGGAAAGCATGATTGTTTCTGACTTCTTAAAGGTTTCCAAAGAGCACAGGGAAATCACGCAACTGCCTGTGTGTTACCACAAAGCCTAACTGGCTTTACTTTGACATTCTTGCATTTTCTCATCTGCCTTAGTTTCTCTGCCAGAATCACATTTTTCTTTTGGTGCATAGTTTTTAGTAATTAGAATAGCTATTTCCAATGTCATAACTAGGGCAGTGAAACCTAATACAACTGGTTTGGGACATGGGGATTTTCCACCTCTCCAATTCTTTTGGAAACTCCCTCTCAGCCCAGCAGTAGGTCTTAGAAACACTACAACCCAGTTGCCACACAGGGGGTGCAAAAGTGACTATGGTGACTGCAAAATTTAGAGGTCAAAACAGAGATAGTGCAAAACACCCCATACCACAGTAATATTTAGAAATCTTGTTCCACATGCGGATACAGTTCTCTAAATTCAACATAGATTTTGTAAGTAGTTCTTCATTGGTGTGCTTTTCTGTCTATCTGCAGAAGTTCTGATCTGTTGTCTGATACAGCTTAGGATAGTTCTCATTCAGTGGTTTTCAAAGTGTGATTCCCAGATAGCAGCATCAACATGATCTGGGAACTTGTCAGGAATGCAAATTCTTGGGCCCCACCCCAGACCTTATTGTGTCAGAAACTCAAGGGGGTAGGTCCCAACAATTTATGTTAACAAGCCCTCCAGGTGATTCTGATGCATGCTTAAGTTTGAAAACTGCTGTTTAAATTCAACATATTTCATTGTAGATTAGGAAATTAAAAGCCAGATATAAGTGACTTAACCTAGGCCATAAAGCAAGTAAGTGCTTGTAAATGTATTTATTAATCAATGTTCAGGGTGAACTGTTGATATATAAAATTAATAATTTGTTTAATCATAATATGAAGCTTATTCTCAAACTTTTCGTTATGTGCCTTCACTAGGTTTTAGAAGTAATAATTTTATACTACATCATTACAAAAGCCCTAAGTCTCACCTTAACAACATGCCTTGCTCCAATCATAAGTGTTTGGTGTACACATGCATATAAAATATTATCCTAAGGTGGGGCGCAGTGGAACCCGGGAGGCAGAGGTTGCAGTGAGCCGAGATTGTGCCACTGCACTCCAGCCTGGGTGACACAGTGAGTCTCCGTCTCAAAAAAAAAAAAAAAACTCATATGGATAGGCTTAAGTTTTTAATTTGCAATTGGGTCTTTTACAGAATTTCTTCTGGGCTATATTTTATAGCATTTCCCTAATTTTCAAAACTGTTCTTAAAGTGCGGGTGACTTTCTACCAAAGAAATCCCTCAAATTAAAATTTTGAGGGAAACACATAGTTTTAATTTATTTACTCCTTTTAATCTTTTTAATTGAAATATACTAATATGTATACAATCTACAGATCTAAGTGCCCAGTTCAATGAGCTTCAACAATTCTATACACCTATGTTATCTTCATCCAAAACAAGATACAGAACAGCTTCATCACCTCAGAAAATTTCTTTGTGCCCCTTTGCAATCACTTCTCACCCTGTCTCTCACCGTTCAACCACTTCCTGACTTATATCACAATAGATCTGTTTTTCCTATAGTCTGTTATTAGACTTCAGACAAGATCAGGTGCATTCAGGGTAGTACGGCTGTAGACCTGTTGTCAGACTTCAAATAAATGGAATCACACAGGATGTACTCATTTGCATATGGCTTGTTTCACTTAAAATGTTTTCAAGATGTATCCATGTTGCATGTATCTGAGTTCATTCTTTTTGATCGCTGGCTAGTACTGTATTGTATTGTATGAATACACCAAAATGTGTTTCATCTACCTTTTTCTTAGTAACAATTATATTTTTTCTTTTTATATACTTAAGTACAAAAGCAGTAAGTACTTAAAGTTATTTAAAGTATGTAATACATAATGTAAAAAATTATAGAAAATAAGGAAAAAAGAAAATAAATGTCCATAATTCCACTCTCTAGACATAACCATTACTAATAACTTGTGGATCCCCTTTGAACTTTTGTTTATATAAGTTATCTTCTTATATTATATATTTATCATAGGTAGTATAAAAATTCTTATTTTAGGTTCAAGTTTTACCACTTAGACCCTGACATTAGTGTGTTAAATTGGCAGCCCTTATTTTAACTATAAAATGTTTTCTAAATTAAATAAAATCTAAAATTAATACCTGAATAAACATTCATTGTCCAAAATTCAAATGATACACAGTATGTAGAATAAAAAGTAAATGTCCTTGTATAGCCCCACCATAGGTAACCAGTTCAACTGCAAACTCTTGACCACAAGATAATAATGATAAGGACCAAGGAGTGCAAAATTTATTATCACATAATTTTTGTTTTATTTTTAAATTTTTATTTTCACATTTTATTATCTACATACCAGTGATCTTTTCATTGGGAACATCTTATTTTATAATGCCAAATGCTCACACAGGGACTAATTCTAGTACAATAGCTTATATCCACTTTGAGATACAGTTTTGAACTATTTTCTCTGGAAGTGAACAGAGTGCCATCTTCGAATATTCTGATTGCTGAGTAGTTTATTCCCATCTGTTTTTGGAAGTCTAGATATGTATAGCTTTCTTAGTATATTGATCTTTACTTAAAGCAAACATATTCTTCAATGGCAAATTGCCTTTTCTCCATTTGTATTGACCTGTATGTCTACACCAAGCTATCTATATACTGTCATTACAATTTGGAGACTATCAGTTAGATGCAAAATCCTTTTGAGGAACAGAGAATAACCCAAAGTATAATTCAGGGTTTGCTCTTGAAGAGCACTTTGTTTCATTCACATTTTCCTAATAGGAAAATGTGGCTTGCATTGACAGTAAAAAATGAGATCTTTATTATACTTAAGACTGGGTACAGCAGGGTAGTGTCCTGGCAGGCAGTCTGTCTTTCCATCAGTCAGGGTGAGTCCAGAAACTTTGCCTTTCTATAGATCACCATAGATTCCAAAGCATGTTGCTTAATTTCTTCCAACTTTGAAGCTCACATACCTAGAGGCAGGCAAAAATGCAGCTGTGGTTTTACTTGAACTGCTTTTCTATTCTTGGTTTTTGAGACAGAATATACATAGTAGATGAAATTACATATGCAAAATTCTATAGCCTGATATTAGGCCATTCTTGCATTGCTATACATACTTGAGACCAGGTAATGTATAAAGAAAAGAGGTTTAATTGGCTCACAGTTCTGCAGGCTTTATAGGAAGCATGGTGCTGGTATCTGCTTGGCTTCTGGGGAGGCTTCAGGAAGGTGAAGGGGGAGCAAACAAGTCACATGGCCAGAGCAGGAGCAAGATGGAGCGGTGGAGGCACCACACACTTTTAAATGACCAGATCTCAGAAAAACTCACTCTCTATTGCAAAGGTAGCACAAACCCATGAGGGATCTGCCCCCCGCACCGCCCCAAACACCTCCCACCAGGCCCCACCTCCAACACTGGGGATTACAATTCAACATGAGATTTGGTGGGGCCATATATTCAAATCATATCACCTACTAAGCCCAAAGCTCTAAGAACTGTCCTTTTCTCTTACAATGGAGCTACAAGATTTTGCTTTGGTGATTAAGAGAACAATACAATCTTATGTAGGCAGGGCCCCATAATGTTTTAAAGTTACTGAAAATATTCCAATTCATAGTAAAATAATAATATTAGCTATTATTTAATGAGCGAAACACGGTTAAAGCATTTCCTCAAAATCATCTCATTTAGTCTTCAATAAGAAGTTTGGGGGCTTATTATGAACTCTCAGAGATGGCATTTGGATGTCTTCAGGCTTAGGACTATGGACTCTGTCCTGGGGATGAGGTTCAGAAAAACTTAGATGTTGCTGGCCTTAGCTTACAAGGTCAAGTTAGTAAAAATTTAGCATGATTAGAACTGGGAAATGTCCTGCTCTAGGGGACTGCAAGTGATTGCTGAGGTTGTTCCTCTTGTTACGTGTCTGAATGCCTCTCAAGCCAGGAAGATAATTCCTTATTAAAAATGGCCGGAGGTACCAGCATTCTACCTAGTCAGGGCTCCAGCTTCCCTCCTCTTTGTGTGCAATCTAAGTTTTGGACCCAAGGGTGGAGGACCTATCACTGTACAATGCTGAGTAAGACATGGTTTTCACCGAAGTCAGTGAAGTTCCCAGTCCTTTCTGGCGCGAGCTGCATTCCCAGACACTCGAGCTCTTACGGAAAGAAGCTCTGTCTTTTGCGCTAGTGTTTGTCTACCGTCCCCTGTCCTAAAATAATGACTGCCCTCTACCTGAGGGAAAGGGACTTCAATGGTGGTAATCTACTCGCGGCTGGCTGCATCCTTAAAAAAGCCCATTTCTCTTCTACTATCTTCAAGATCTTGGTTAACCAGATTCACATTGTATGTGCCGGACTCTTAGGTGACTGCTCTGTGCTTTTTTATCTAAAGAAGGGCAAGTCACCCACGGGTACTAACCCTCCCCCACCCACATCAAGGGAGAAACACTCCTCTACTCTTTTCTGGACATTCCTGTTCAGAGTCGAGGTAAGGGTTGCACGGCCCCGCCCCTCCGTTACCAAGCCTTCCCTCGCCTGCCTCGCAGCCTCAGGCCCTTAGAACCCAGGCGGGGCGGGGCCGGGAAAGGTGAGGCTGCTGGCGGGAAGCGGGGGCGGCGCGCAGCGGTACCTAGCGGCGCTGCCCCGCTGGCAGCCGGAGGACGTGGCACTGTCCGAGAATGCAGGGAGGGGATTCCGCTTTCTCCTCCCGGCGAGGAGGAGCCTCGACATCCTGCAGAGGCGGGAGGATCCTTGAGGGCACTGGTGCGCCTTTCAGGTGAGGTCTTAGCAGATGAAAGCGGCTGGCTGTGGCCCGCGCCAGTAGTGCTTTCTGCTCCGCACTCGCCGTGAGCCAGGTGTGCAACCGGATTTGGGGCGAGGGTCGCGCTGGCTACCTCGCATGCGCAGAGCCGGAAGCCCGCTGACCGGACTACAGCTCCCAGAAGAGCCTTGTGGAGGCCGCAGACGCGAAGCCGCTGGCGCCATCTTGAAATCTGATCCTCCATCCCCGAGGCTTTGCGTCTGGGCGGCCGGCCGCTGCTGCTCCGGGAGCCCAGTCTGCTAAAAGGGGAGGACGTTGAGGACGCGGCGGCTGGCGGGAGAGACAGCTGGGGAGAGACATGGCAGGGTCGGAGCGCGGCCTGCGCCTCTGTCACTCAGCATCCTCTTAGGCGTTTCCACGCCCGCCCCCTGCCCGAGGGGCGGGGCTGACGGCTCTGGTACCCGGAGTCGGCGCGCGGGACAGGGGCGCGCCCCTGCAGAGTGGGGACCCCACTGGGCTGTGCCATGCTGACCGGAGACCACCGAGGCGGGAGACAGAGCGCGGCGAAGAGCCATTGAGTGGTCACCCAGTAGCCGCCGCCGCCGCCGCCTCGGGAAGCTTGCCACCCGCTAGGAGGGAAGATGAAGGAGATTTGCAGGATCTGTGCCCGAGAGCTGTGTGGAAACCAGCGGCGCTGGATCTTCCACACGGCGTCCAAGCTCAATCTCCAGGTTCTGCTTTCGCACGTCTTGGGCAAGGATGTCCCCCGCGATGGCAAAGCCGAGTTCGCTTGCAGCAAGTGTGCTTTCATGCTTGATCGAATCTATCGATTCGACACAGTTATTGCCCGGATTGAAGCGCTTTCTATTGAGCGCTTGCAAAAGCTGCAACTGGAGAAGGATCGCCTCAAGTTCTGCATTGCCAGTATGTATCGGAAGAATAACGATGACTCTGGCGTGGAGATCAAGGCGGGGAATGGGACGGTTGACATGTCCGTCTTACCCGATGCGAGATACTCTACACTGCTCCAGGAGGACTTCGCCTATTCAGGGTTTGAGTGCTGGGTGGAGAATGAGGATCAGATCCAGGAGCCACACAGCTGCCATGGTTCAGAAGGCCCTGGAAACCGACCCAGGAGATGCCGTGGTTGTGCCGCTTTGCGGGTTGCTGATTCTGACTATGAAGCCATTTGTAAGGTACCTCGAAAGGTGGCCAGAAGTATCTCCTGCGGCCCTTCTAGCAGGTGGTCGACCAGCATTTGCGCTGAAGAACCAGCGTTGTCTGAGGTTGGGCCACCCGACTTAGCAAGCACAAAGGTACCCCCAGATGGAGAAAGCATGGAGGAAGAGACGCCTGGTTCCTCTGTGGAATCTTTGGATGCAAGCGTCCAGGCTAGCCCTCCACAACAGGAAGATGAGGAGACTGAGAGAAGTGCAAAGGAACTTGGAAAGTGTGACTGTTGTTCAGATGATCAGGCTCCGCAGCATGGGTGTAATCACAAGCTGGAATTAGCTCTTAGCATGATTAAAGGTCTTGATTATAAGCCCATCCAGAGCCCCCGAGGGAGCAGGCTTCCGATTCCAGTGAAATCCAGCCTACCTGGAGCCAAGCCTGGCCCTAGCATGACAGATGGAGTTAGTTCCGGTTTCCTTAACAGGTCTTTGAAACCCCTTTACAAGACACCTGTGAGTTATCCCTTGGAGCTTTCAGACCTGCAGGAGCTGTGGGATGATCTCTGTGAAGATTATTTGCCTCTCCGGGTCCAGGTATACAAAACGTCTACATAGTGCCTTTCTGATTATAGCTAGCTGGCCTCTGGCTTCACGTGATTTCGGTCTAGGTGGAGGTTAGAAATATTCTGGACTTGAGAAAATTAGTCATGACCCCATTTTTGCTGCACCTTTTGCTATGTCTCATTTAGTAAACGTGATTTGCACTCAATTTGATTTTCACAATCCTTTTTGTAAAATCTGTTGGCTTTCCCATTATCAAAATTGTATACCTTTTAAAACAAAAAGGTAAAAATTCCTACTTCACTTTTTTCCTATAAAAAGAAGACATTTAATCTCATTTCTGGCACTAGAACTTTTCCTCTTACCTCTTTTTTTTTCCAACTTTTAAGATTTGTTCTTGTTTTCAGATTTATAGACGTTTCCTCCCAATGGTTTTCTGTAAGGCAGTTAGTTCTCTAGTTAGTTCTTCCTGGAGCATTAAAGCCTTCATCCGCAAAATGCCTGTAAATGATTAGAGCATAAGGTAAAAGGTTTGGGGAAAGCCTATTAATCCACCAGTAAAGTATTATAACATCTGGACCATATTAATTAGAATTAATAGTTCATTTGAGGATTAGTGATGACTCATTCATAAAAGAGACAGGAATTCAAGTATTCAAGTACAGTATTGTCAGTCAAAAGGTTAAGGCATAAACTGTTCACAGCCAGAACTCTACTGAGTTCTACTGGAAGATATTTGATATTAAGAAAGGATTAACCCATTATTGGATCAGAGGAGAGTTTCATTCATTACAGTCTTGAATTCTTAATTGCTTAATTTGAGCTATTCGTGTCTGCCCAATTGATTCTGTACCAACCTTTTAAATTCAACTATGGTAGTTTGTTTCTATAGCAACAGTAAATGCTAGCTTCAATAAACTTTGTGAAACATTCTGGCATGTTCCACTTGATACAACTTATTTAACAATACTGTCACAAAGGTAGATGTGATCTAGAAGGCGTTTTTTAGAAAGCCTGCTACTGGTCAACGTCATTCCAGAAATTTAGAGCTTGATAAGTGACATTGTTGATGGCCACTTGAAATTTTTGGAAAGTAGTTCTATGGTATGTATACTGTCTATCACAATAAGAACCTAAGCAGAAAACAGGAGAAAAGTTTTTAAATTTACACAAAATTATGAGAAGCAGCATAGATGAGAAACAGCATAGATGAAAGTGTCATGAAAGGTAAAAAGTCAGTGCATTTTCATTTTGTATAAAATGTTAAGCACTGTATGCTTAACACTGTGTACTTCTTTTCTTTTGCTTTTTCTTTCAGTGGAGCCTCGCAGCTAAATTTGGGCTTTACAGTATTTCTGTGATTAGACATAGGTGTTACAAATTAAACATGGTGTTTTCATATTAGGGTCTAAAATTAGTTGGGCCAGGATGGATGGGAAATAAACTCGTCCCCCCAGCCCGCCACCAAATATGACCAATATTGTAGAACGTTACATAAAGACTGAGAAAATAACAGCCAAAACAAGATCTTTTTTTCTCCGTATTTAAATAAAATACTGTATTTTGGTGACTGGATTTTGGAGTGGAGAAGGATTTTAAAGATCATCTTCAGGCAGTCTCTCAATTTGGAGATATAGAAAGTTCCTTGTTTAACTAACGTAGCCCATGCAGAGACAAAGATTTCTGACCATTCTCAGGCAAGACACTTTAATTCTATACATTAAACCCCATTGTCTGAAGTATATTAATTTAAGTAAGTACTTATTTTAAACCAGGAGCCCTCTTTCTCTAACCTAAGGATGCTCGGAGGATTCTTTAGAGATTATGTGAAAAAAATTGTCATCTGAATGAACACATATAAACTATGGTAACTGTATCTTTAGGTCAAGTCCCTTTACTTCACTAAATTTGGACATTAGAGCTTTAAGATGGTAGTGTATGACCTTTCTGCTGTGACTTGACTTACATTGTTTACTGTTTCTAGAAAAACAAAAATTAGGAGGTGGGAGAAAATGTCATTCAGCTTCAAGAAATGTGGCATTTAATTATTATGCCATTTTCTCTAATAATTTAGGATGTCAGGGAAAATAGATGAATTGGGCCCAACATGTTTGTAAATAAAATGGGCAGTGTATCTATTGTTTAAATCTGGTTACTTTTAAGCTCCTTAAGAGCCTTATGACAAAACCAGTGCTAGATGGGACAATGGCAGACTGGTTTTTGTCTATTTCTCTGAACAAATATGGAAAGAATAGAAATAATGTAATTTTTTTTGGTAGTTCTCTTTTTTAGTTTGTAGAAACACGAAACCATGAAAGAAAAAAATGTTTCCTTTAGTTCAGTTCTGCCACAAATATGGAGAAAACCTTTTATCTTAAAGAGCAAGATTGTTCTGTAAGGTTATTTTGATTCCTTTGTTTAATCCTCCACTTACCATATTTTATGCACTATTAAATATTGACATCAGGATTCCTCCTGATTGCTTTTCCTCTTTTTTTCTTTCCTTCTTTCCGTCTTTTTCTTTGTTCCTTTCTTATTTATTAAAGAAAAATAGCAACAGTGTAGTTCTGCTTACTGATATTCTGATATTATACAAAGTAATTTATTTTCCTTCTACAGAATTTATGTATGAGGACCTAAGGCTGTTCAGATATCTAAAGAAAGGTTTGAAGCCTTCTTCTAGCTGGTAATTCCCTTCTTCATTGTCTGGCCCTGAACTAGAAAAGCTATGATGGGAGGGATGTGGTCCCTTAGTAAACAGCAATGAGCTCTGGCCCATGTGCAATTTCCCTTTCTATCTAAATTCAAAGAACAGAAGATCTTTGCCTTAAACCTTGCAATGCCAAGGTCTGCTCCTTTGTGACTATGGTAAATTTATCCCACTCTTATTTTAGTTATGTGAAGTGGATCAGGCCCTTTGGAAGATGTTGGCATTAGATGCTGGTAAAAGATTAGGCCTTTAATTTTATGGTAGTCAATGGTTCTTGTCTGTCTCCTATTATTAACAATAGGGTTGACAATTATAGCAGTTTGAGATCTATAACTCACTACTGTGAGGACTAGAAAGTGCCAAGAAAACTGCTGTTAACACAAAAAGTCTAAAAACTGGCCTTAGCCTAAAAAAAAGTCTCATATTGTGCAACACTAGGCCTGGAAGCGGTTCTCTTTTCTGATACTGGAAAGCCTTTGTCCTAATTCTGAGTCAAAAGTGACTTAATTTAAAATTATATTATCATTTCCACATGATTTTAGTACCTGAGTGTCTAGAGAGTAACACTGATTCTACCAAATCAGGTATTACTTATTTCATGGGCTACACTATCATTGTAGGAGTGACTGTTTTATGTACTTGATACTTCACAAGAATTCATTATGTTGTTGGCTTAGTGGGACTTGCTAAGTGCTCTTTCAGCAGACTGTTACCTGCAAGGACATTTTTCTGAGATGCAAAATAGTAAATTATTACAAATAAAGAAGAAACAAATATCTTCCAACTTTTAGGTCAGTACATTATTTATAGAAAAAGAGGTTTCTTATTATTATTCATGTCAAGATTGATTCATATGAGATTCAAATACATTATGTATTTTCCTGTGGCATTCTTTGGCTTTAAAGTTGCTGTTCGAATATATGTTATATACAGTCTTATTTCTAAGAGAGCCACTAAAGGCCCGTTTTTGTTTGTTTTTATTGTTCTTATTTGTTCATTAAACAAAAACTTTTGATCTCTGCAGTATTCCCGGCATTATGGTAGGCAATGGGTTTATAGAAATGAGAGATACATTCCCAACCTGAGTGGAAATCCAGTTCAGTTTAATTGGATCTTTTTCCTGATTTCCCATGAAACCTTGGACTAATTACTTCTCTAAGTTTCCATTTCCTTGTATGTAAAATAGGATTGGATCAGATGGTTAGTTTATAAAGTTTCCTTCACCACTGTAAGATTGTTTGGTTTAAAGTAAATAAATATGACCACCTTCCTTGCCATTTTAAACTTGAAGCTATTTTCTTTAATTCTGCCTGTTGTAGTTTGAATTTCAAAGTATCTTACTGTAGGTGTTACTGTTGTTTTACGCTGAAGAAGTAAGAAGCCAAATTTTATAGAGATGGTTTTATCATTAAGTAAATGATGAATTTATTTATTAGTTAGAATCATTGTAAACATCTGTTAATGTGGTTACTTTGCCCATGGTGTGACATAGTTCATATTGCCTCAGGTGAAGGCTTCCTGTTATACCCACAACAACAAATATCTCAAATAATTTTTCCAGAAGTCATTATCCTTGCTGCTTTTTTCCCTCTCCCTCTATCCAGTCCACCAGCAAGTCCTGTTAGCTATACTTTCAAAACATATCCATATCTATCCATTTATTTCCCCCTCCCTTTACTAACCACCAGGATCCAAGCTACTATTGTCTTTCACCTGCACTACCGCAGCAGCCTCCTACCTGGTCTCTCTGCTTCTCTTGGTGCTCCCCAATAATTCATTCACCATAGCATGATCTTTTCAAAACTTCTGTATGATTACCTGTTAAAAAACTGCAGTCTATTCTCATTTCAATTAAAATGAAATCCAGTTCATTAACTTTGTTGTCTGAAGCTGGATGTGACCTGGTGCCTGCCTGCCTCTCCATCTCATTGAGTTTCCCTGTCCCCTTTGCCCACTATGCTCTAGCCCTGTGCTATCCAGTAAGCTAGCCACTAGTCTTAGGAGCTGTTGAACCCTTGAAATGTGGCTAGTCCAAATTGAGATGTGCTGTGAGTATAAAATATACCTTGAATTTCAGACTTATGAAAAATCATGTAATATTATCTCAGATAATAATGTTATCTCATTAATAATTTTTATATTATTTACATGTTTATGATAACATTTTGGATATATTGGGTTAAATAAAATATTTTGTTAAAATTAAGTTTACCTATTTATTTTGTACTTTGTTCATTGAAGCTACTAGAAAATTAAAAATTACATACATGGCTCACATTATATTTCTATTGGAGAGTGCTATTCTAGCCACAGAGGCCTTTCTCTTTTCCAGGCTCATATTCCATTAGCTGTTCTTTCTGCCTGGATTGTTCTGCTGATCTTTGCAGGACTGATTCTTTTTCCTTCAGATATCTATTTAAATGCTGCCTCATAAAGACCTTTCTCTGATCAAACAATTTAGGGTAATTTAACCACCCACTCTGTATTATGCTTTCCTGTTTTGCCACACAGGGCTTGTCCATAATATTTTTTGCATTTCCTTGTTTGTTTATCATGTACTCCCCACTCCAACCCCTGCAAAATATAAGTTTCAAGAGCACAGGGACTTTGTCTTGCATGATACTCTATCTTCAAGACAGTGCCTAGCACATAGTTAGTGTGCAACAGATATATGTTATGTCAGCATTGTATTCCTCACAGTGCCTCACATGGTGCTTTGCTTATTATAGCATTTAGTAGGTGTTAGAAAAGTTGATAAATAGCACTGGAGGAATAGAAGAGATTTTTCTTCTGCAATTTTTATGCTTCCAGTCAGTTGCTGGCAGGAAGGGATTTAAGGTAAGCTGTAACTCCACTGCCTTGAAGGTGGTAATCAAGTCTGAAAGTGTGAGGGAAACAAAAAATGAATAGCAGTTGCCTTTTCTCTCTTAATGAGTTTATATTCCTAATTGGAATGGAAGCAGGTATGGAGGCGGGAAGATCAAATTTAATTGCCGCAGTAAATTTGTAGTTTTATTTTAACATCCTTAGCTTGTAATGATTACTAAGAATAGTTCAATAAGTTTATCTTATTGTCCCATATATAAATCATTGTTCCATATATAAATTATCCCATATATAAAATCATACTTTTTTCTCCTGAATCTTTTAAGTGAATTGATATTCCTATAAAATATATCTCTTTCCCATTTCACTATGGATTATTTATCTGTGCTTATGCTATAAATCTGCCTTTAGGCACATCTATTTTAAATTTATTTTAATTTTTCTCTTTTTATTTTGAAATAATTTCAAACGTACAGAGATGTTATAAGAGAAATACCAAGAACTCCCATATACCCTTTACCCAGATTTACCAGTTGCAAATATTTTGTCACATTTGCTTTATAAACTCTCCCACTGTCTGTATTTGCACAGTATTTTTTAAAAATTCTTGAACCATTTGAGAATTAGTTGTAGATAGTATACTCCTTTACCCTAAATACTTAAGCATTATTTCTTAAGGACAAGGACATCTCTTATATAATTACAGTACAACTATCAAATTTAGAAAATTAGACATTGATAAAATACTGTTACCTAATATATAATCCATATCAAAATCTGCCAATTTTTTCCAATAATGTGAAACAAGCATGTTGTAAGAAAGGTAGCCGGAATGTAACTTCTCTCAGGAAGTGTAAGTTTGATGAGTATGCCTTTTCAACTCCTTGATTAAAAATAGAATAAAGCAAATATTTGGTCATTGTAAGCATTTCCTTTATTAAATCCTCCCCTTCTCATTGAACTCTGAATTACTTGCTTTCGCTGAATAAACATGTAGTGTTTGTGTGAATTGGTACAGAAAAGTGGAGAGGGAAGCTGGGGAGCATAGTACAAATGGAGGTGAATCAGTGTTCTTAATAAGGAACAGACCTGTCTTTAGGAATTCATACTGATAATTTATGCAACAAATCTGATTCTCTAAATCTCTGGCAAAAGATGCAACAGACATTTTTGAAGACAAAAAAAAAATTTTGTTGGCCATGTTTAACTCACCTTACTCGTTTTGCCGTTTCTTCCTAGCCCATGACTGAAGAGTTGCTGAAACAACAAAAGCTGAATTCACATGAGACCACTATAACTCAGCAGTCTGTATCTGATTCCCACTTGGCAGAACTCCAGGAAAAAATCCAGCAAACAGAGGCCACCAACAAGGTATGATTAGTACTATGCCCTAGGAGATGACAAGGTTTTCCTGAGGATGTGACTGGCTCTAGCCTGAGTCTGTCAACCTTTGTAGGACTTGGGAGATGAATACTGTGTACTCCTTGTGCTCTAGGGAATATTTCATGTAAAAGTGTAGTTCTTCCCTTTATTCTTATGAAGATTTTAGCTTGTTCTATACAGATCATAATTTCTGGTGCTTTTCAGGTGTGTAATTAAAACTTGCATGCAGGCCGGCGCAGTGGCTCATGCCTGTAATGCCAGTGCTTTGGGAGGCCAAGGCAGGAGGATCACGAGGTCAGGAGTTCGAGACCAGCCTGGCCAACATGGTGAAACCCTGTCTCTACTAAAAAATAAAAAAAAAATTAGCCAGGCGTTGTGGCAGACGCCTGTAATCCCACCTACTTGGGAGGCTGAGGCAAGACAATCGCTTGAACCCAGGAGGTGGATGTTGCAGTGAGCCAGGACCATGCCACTGCACTCAGGCCTGGGCAACAGAGAGAGACTCTGTCTCAAAAAAACACTTGCATGCAATCTTCCACTGTAAAAGGCACTGAGATAGGAGGTCTGTGTTTTTTATTTTAGCTTAACTTGTTACTACTTTCTAGCCCATGAATTTTAATGTCTGGCTTAGAAGAAAATTGCTACAATTTGGGATGCTGAACTTGTGGCCTGGGTGCCCTTATAGTGCCCTCTCCTATGCTAGATAGCAGAAGCTCTTTGGTCCTTGTATAAGGGATCCATATTAGAAACCACTTGCCTACTTGGTCCATGTGGACAAGTTCCTAGTATGGCTACCATCATAGAGAGATCACAGTGCATGAAAATTGAGACAATTTAGTATTGAAGGAAGTATTTCATTTCTCCTGCTACTTTTTGTTGCTGATTGACTTACCACTTTAATGGTTACTCTATGTAGGAAAAATAACAAGGTAATATCCCCTAAGAAATTCTTTAAATCCTAGATTTGAGGAAAGGCTTTATTCATTTGAGGCTAAAAGACATCATTGACCTAAAAAACTGTTTTTCTTTGCTGAATTCAGATTCTTCAAGAGAAACTTAATGAAATGAGCTATGAACTAAAGTGTGCTCAGGAGTTGTCTCAAAAGCAAGATGGTACAATTCAGAACCTCAAGGAAACTCTGAAAAGCAGGGAACGTGAGGTAACATATTTACCAATCAAGGACCTGTGTGGAAACAATTGGTCCCTTCAAAGTAGACAAGTATTTTATATTTTGTCAAAATGGATATTGTCAGACTAGCATGTCTTAGCCTGGAGAAGTTGTAGCTTAATCTCAATTGATATTTTGGAATAGTCCTGTTACTAAAATGTGTACAGGTGATATAATGGAATTTATAATTAGTTTACTAACATATTTGATATTCCCTCTCTCATTTTCAGACTGAGGAGTTGTACCAGGTAATTGAAGGTCAAAATGACACAATGGCAAAGCTTCGAGAAATGCTGCACCAAAGCCAGCTTGGACAACTTCACGTATGTGAGGGTCACATAGGACAGGAGAGACTTCAGTTGGGGATGTGCCATTTTGGTTGCAGTCTTGATTTTATTTTCAGTCTTTGTGGGAGCTCAGTGCTTGCCCTCCTTGTGATTGTGATTTCTACTCTCTTTTCAGAGCTCAGAGGGTACTTCTCCAGCTCAGCAACAGGTAGCTCTGCTTGATCTTCAGAGTGCTTTATTCTGCAGCCAACTTGAAATACAGAAGCTCCAGAGGGTGGTACGACAGAAAGAGCGCCAACTGGCTGATGCCAAACAATGTGTGCAATTTGTAGAGGCTGCAGCACACGAGAGTGAACAGCAGAAAGAGGCTTCTTGGAAACATAACCAGGTAAATCATTAACTATTTTATTGCCCTAAATGCTGACTTTGCCCTGATCATAACTTTTTAGCAGGACAGTTTGTGTTGAACCCTTGAGTCAGTTGCATAATCTAAGTATTTCAGTTCAACACTTGCTGCCCTTGTACCATATGCTAGTTACAGTAGTCCCTCTTTATCCACAGTTTCACTTTCCATGGTTTCAGTTATCTGGGGTCAACCACAGACAAAAAACATTAAGATATTTTAAGAGAGACCACATTCACGTAACTTTTCTTTTTTGAGACAGAGTCTCGCTCTGTCGCCAAAGTTGGAGTGCAGTGGCGCGATCTCCGCTCACTGCAAGCTCCGCCTCCTGTATTCATGCCATTCTCCCACTTCAGCCTCCAGAGTAGCTGGGACTACAGGCGCCCGCCACCATGCCTGGCTAATGTTGTTTTTGTATTTTTGGTAGAGACAGGTTTTCATCGTGTTAGGATGGTCTCGATCTCCTGACCTCGTGATCTGCCCACCTCGGCCTCCCTCACGTAACTTTTGTTACAGCATGTTGTTATAATTCTTCTATTTTATTGTTATTGTTAATCTGTCAGTACGTGTAATTTGTATGTAAACCTTTATCATAGTTATCTATGCACAGGAAAAAACAGTATACACAGGCTTCAGTGCTATCTGGTTTCAGGCATCCACTGGGCGTCTTAGAATGTATCCCCTGTGGGTAAGGGGCGACTGCCGTATTGAGTTGTGCCCTGGAAATACAAGGATGAATAGCACAGGCTCCTTTCTTTTAAGTTACTTATAGTTCAGTAAGAGAGACAGTCACATAAGCTGAGTTTCAGTGTGGTAAATTCTGAAGGGGATGTATATATGGGGTCCTACAGGAATATCTAGGAAAGGAGTCAAGGAAAAGGAATCAAGGAAAACTTCATGAAGGAGGAGACATCTGAGGTTATTCTTGAAGGATGGGTAAAACCAGGCAGAAAAGTGGGGAAGAACCACTAAGGTCAGAGGAATGACATGCATAATAATCAGCCCTGTTTTTTATTTTTTATTTTTGAATAATAAATATACGATTCTTTTCTTTTCTTTTCTTTTCTTTCTTTCTTTCCTCTCTCTTTCTTTCCTTCTTTTTTTTTTTTTTTTTTTTTTTGAGACAGAGTCTCGCTCTGTCGCCCAGGCTGGAGTGCAGTGGTGCGATCTCGGCTCGCTGCAAGCTCCGCCTCTCGGGTTCACGCCATTCTCCTGCCTCAGCCTCCCAAGTAGCTGGGACTACAGGCACTGGCCACCACCATGCCCGGCTAATTTTTTTTGCATTTTTAGTAGAGACGGGGTTTCATCGTGTTAGCCAGGATGGTCTCGATGTCCTGACCTCGTGATCCTCCCGCCTCAGCCTCCCAAAGTGCTGAGATTACAGGCGTGAGCCACTGCACCCGGCCTCTTTCTTTCCTTCTTTCTCTCTCTCTCTTTCTTTTCTTTTCTTTCTTTCTTTCATTTTTTTTTTTTTTTTGAGACAGAGTTTTGCTCTTGTTGCCCAGGCTGGAGTGCAATGACACAATCTCGGCTCACTGCAACCTCCACCTCCCGGGTTCAAGCGATTCTCCTGCTTCAGCCTCCTGGTAGCTGGGATTACAGGCATGCGCCACCATGCCTGGCTAATTTTGTATTTTTAGTAGAGACAGGGTTTCTCCATGTTGGTCAGGCTGGTCTCAAACTCCCGACCTCTGGTGATCTGCCCACCTTGGCTTTCCAAAGTGGTGAGATTACAGGCGTGAGCCACCACGCTGGGCCAAAATACACAACTCTTAAATGGTTCCTTTATCTTGTTAGGTCAGAGTGTATGTGTTTGTTTAAGATTTAAAAGATTTTTTTGTGTGTGGTCTCTTCTTAAGCTCTTTAACACTCAGGTTTAAAAGTAATTTTTGAAGGATCTCCCTGGTTTAGTGGTTTGGAGATCAAATATTAGCCCTGAATTTCCTTTTGAAATATTAAAATTTTGGCTGGGCACAGTGGCTCACGCCTGTAATCCCAGCACTTTGGGAGGCCGAGGTGGGTGGATCATGTGGTCAGTAGTTCAAGACCAGCCTGGCCAAGATGGTGAAACCCCGTCTCTACTAAAAATACAAAAATTAGCCCAGTGTGGTGGCAGGAGCCTTTAATCCCAGCTACTTGGGAGGCTGAGGCACAGAAATGCTTGAACCCGGAAGGCGGAGGTTGCAGTGAGCCGAGATTGTACCACTGCACTTCAGCATGGGCAACAGAGTGAGACTCCATCTCAAAAAAAAGAAATATTAAAATTTCAGATGTCTGGGCAGGGTCGGGGAGTGGTGGAGGGATGGAGGTAGAAATAATTCTTAACTTTTTGTTATTTAGCTAAAGGAAACATTTCCCCAAGATTTGTTTAGTTGAGAATATGTATTTGGTAGCTTTCTAAAGTAACAGATGATTTAAAGATTACTGACTTTATTATTAGAAAAATAATTATGGCAAACTAAGAAAGAAGAGTGATGGTCTCTATGAGATCTTTAGAAAAAAGGATGATAGGAATAGTTTATCCTTGAGCTTATTGTAAATAATCCAGGTTTACCGTAGGACAGATTCTCACTTAATGGTTCTATAGATGTATTCTTTTTAAGCCAAAAAATAAGTATTGAACTATAATATCAAGCTTACTTCCTACCCCATTCACAACTTTTACAATTTTCCATATCCTATTCAATTCATGTATAATACTTCTATAGCAATTTTAATAATGGCACCCTCTACTCCTCTTTCAGTTTATATACCTTGAAAATTTTAAGGCCTCTGTATCTAATAACCATGTGACAATTTTAGATCTCTTTAAAAAGGTAATATGTTTAATTCAGGAATTGCGAAAAGCCTTGCAGCAGCTACAAGAAGTATTGCAGAATAAGAGCCAACAGCTTCGTGCCTGGGAGGCTGAAAAATACAATGAGATTCGAACCCAGGAACAAAACATCCAGCACCTAAACCATAGTCTGAGTCACAAGGAGCAGTTGCTTCAGGTGAGTTTACATGATTTCAATGAAAACTGGGCTCATAGAACTCTGAAATTTGTTTATATAATTTTAAGATATTAATCCACCTGTGCTGAGTCCCTGCCATATGGAAAACATTGAGAGAGGTGGGAATCAGGAGGATTTAAAATAAATAGAAAATATAATTTGTGAATTAAGATGCTTACTAACAAGTATAAGAAACAGTACATATAGCCCTGACTTAAGCAGTCTTTTATGAAGTCTTTTATAAAGACTTAATATTCAGAAAATAGTTATTAAGCACCTCTGTGAATCAAACACTTTTCTGGGTGTTGGGAAGACAAAAGATTTGGCTACTGATCTCAGTTTAATAGATGAAGACAAACTGTACAGAAACTTCCACAGAGTAATTTTGATGATAGAATAAAAGTTTGAGGGGAAGATGGAGCATTAAGAAGAGACTGATCTGTTCTGCCACCTACTCTAAGCTTCAGTCACATTGAATCCACTACATTTCACTGAATGTACAATTTTTTCATTGTATGCATAGTGTGCATATTTTTTTTTCTCTAACGTATCCTCCTCTCCCTTCTTCACTTAGGAAATCCTAGTCCTTTAATTAAGACTCACTGCAAATATTACCTCCTCTGTGAGGTCTTTACTGACACCTTCAGGCAGAGTTAGGCAGTGCATCCTGTGTTCCCCTGGTGGCTAGCGTATGTTGCAGAACAGTTAATTCTATGTGTTGTGTCTGTTGTATGTTGCAGAATAGTTTACAGTTTATATGTCTGTTATCTCTGCTAAACTTGTTACTTTTGAGGAGAGTGATCACATCTTGTTTTTTTTTTATCCTGAATAACTAGCAAATTACTTGGTAATTTAGTTAATATTGGATAAAAGAATAAAAGAAACTATTTTTGGTCTCAGGAATTTCGGGAGCTCCTACAGTATCGAGATAACTCAGACAAAACCCTTGAAGCAAATGAAATGTTGCTTGAGAAACTTCGCCAGCGAATACGTGATAAAGCTGTTGCTCTGGAGGTATGTATCATCATTTCGCCCACTATGCTATGGATTATTCTATCTACATAGGTATTATAGAAATTTGTGTTTGCTTAAATTTGCTGCTTTGGGATTTGGTTTTCTATTCTGCCATCTTGTTGAATAAGAGTGATCAGGATAGTAAATCTTACAGAGCTTTAGGAGTCTTCCTTTCCTTGCAGCGGGCTATAGATGAAAAATTCTCTGCTCTAGAAGAGAAAGAAAAAGAACTGCGCCAGCTTCGTCTTGCTGTGAGAGAGCGAGATCATGACCTAGAGAGACTGCGCGATGTCCTCTCCTCCAATGAAGCTACTATGCAAGTAAGAGCAAAACCTATCTCTGACTTGGTGTTCCTCTCCCACTTGTATCCTGAGCCTGAAGCATGACCCCCTTCCATCATTTTCTGAAAACCAGGGATTTTGCTTTATAAGGGGGAAGAAAACCAAAAAGAGCAGTTACTAGTTCCATCATTGTCAATTAGCAAGTGAGAGATTTTAGCGCTTCTACTTTTCTTTTGTAATATGAACTTTGTGAGGAGAGCCAGTAAATATTGATTTCTGTTTACATAGTTCTGATTTATTTCCAATTCTTGTTCATACATAAGTATACATACACACACACTCTTCTCTCTCTCTCTTACTTTTACTGAAGCATTACCAGGGTGCAATTATTAAATTGTGTCTTCTACATTAATATTATCTACATGTCCATGAATTGCCATAATTAGAACACTTGTTTATCTATATTTACTGTGGACTTTTTTGCATATTTATTTTAGAGCTTATGTATCTATCTGCCACTTTTTCGAGAAATCCTTTATAGCATAGTGCACTTCCTCCAAAATACTTCCTTTTATCATATATTCTATATTTAATCTCTCCACAAACTAGATAAAAGTTTCTAAAAACCAAAAAAAATAGATTAGTATGGCATTGTTAGATCAATGTTCTCATCTTGCAAATAAAAAAAAATTGATGGGAGATTATTTAAAAGTGGATCTAATTTCTTGTTTATCCTGAGGAGTATGGGGTAATCATTTTGACTGATTATTGCTCTCTTTATGGCTGTAGACTATGGAGAGTCTCCTGAGGGCCAAAGGCCTGGAAGTGGAACAGTTATCTACTACCTGTCAAAACCTCCAGTGGCTGAAAGAAGAAATGGAAACCAAATTTAGCCGTTGGCAGAAGGAACAAGAGAGTATCATTCAGCAGTTACAGACGTCTCTTCATGATAGGAACAAAGAAGTGGAGGCAAGACTTCAGTTAACTTTAAGGCAGTTGGTTCAGTGATTATGTAATCTCAGCCTTGGATTAGGACTCTTCAGATCGGGAGGCCTGTGACCCAAGTCTTTAATTTCATTCTGTGCCTGGGCAAGTCATTGACTTTCACTGGGATTTTTTTTTTCCCCACGTCTAGAAACTTAAGTTGGCAATTAACTTTCTCAAAGAACTTATGTGAGAATTAATGAGACCCAAAAATTGCATCTTTAACATGATAGCTAACCTTTATTAGTTATAGTCTTCATGCTGGGTCAGGTACTGTTTTAAGATCCTAATGGATATTAACTCATTGGATCCTCACAAGTCCATGAGGCACTTTCTATTATTCCTTTTTATAGAGGAGGAAACAGACTTCTGAAGCTAAGTAACTTGTCCAAGCTAACATAGCTAATAAGTAGCAGATCCAGTATCAACCTAGGCAGTATGGCTCCATTCCTCCACCATGTGCCATCAGTTAGTACAGAAATAGAAACCATCGCTATGATAGCAAATATAGTGTTTAGTATTCCTTTCAGCTTATCGTTTTATGCTTCCCCCTGTTAAGTTACACTGGGGAGAAAACAAATAAATGAACTGAGTGTCCATTTATCCTCATCTAACATTAATTGTTACATGCCCTGAACAAATAGGAAAAAGACTTATTTCAGAAAACAATATGTATGTAAGTGGCCACCAGAGATAGTTTTCTGTATGGTTTGTATTCATTCCTGGGACATGTATTTAGAGACTTCTGTGTAGCAGGCCTATGCTAGATCTGGTAAAACAAAAATGAGTAAAACATGATACTTATTCTCAAGAATCTCACACCTCCTTCTTCTATGATAGATTCTTATAAGCCCTTTGATATTTAGCAGAGGCATTTCTTTCCTCCAGAAGCTTACAGTGTCCTTTCTGCATTAGGATCTTAGTGCAACATTGCTCTGCAAACTTGGACCAGGGCAGAGTGAGATAGCAGAGGAGCTGTGCCAGCGTCTACAGTGAAAGGAAAGGATGCTGCAGGACCTTCTAAGTGATCGAAATAAACAAGTGCTGGAACATGAAATGGAGATTCAAGGCCTGCTTCAGTCTGTGAGCACCAGGGAGCAGGAAAGCCAAGTAAGGATTAATGCACAGATCAGACAAGTGTCGTGTAGTGCATTTATAGTCTGCAAATAGGAAGCATTTGCAGACTATAGATGTGTGTATATTTATATATTTTACCGTCAACTCTGTTAGTTTCTTTCCTTCTATTTATTACCTAAACCACAGTTTTATTTATTTACTTACTTATTTAGAGATGGGGGTTTCGCTGTGTTGCACAGGCTGGTCTCAAACTCCTGGGCTCAAGCAATCATCCTGCCTTGGCTTCCCAAAGTGCTGGGACTATACGTGTGAGCTGCTGCGCCTGGCCTTAGACCACAGTTTTACATTAATCATCAAAGTATGACACATTTCTTGAAAACCTTGCATTTGGAAGGGTGCCTAAACAATACATGTATCCATTAACTTCATTACATACATTTTCTTTTCCTTAATAATCTGATAATTTTGAGAGAAAGGAGTAGGGGTTGTGAGTGTTTCGATTTTGATTCTAAATTGTTAAGACTTGAGTAATATTTTGCATTTCCAGTCAAGGTATGGGAAAACTTACACTCAACATGTTTACTCTTAGTTTTTGTAAAATCTGAGTTAAGAGGGAAAAAAGATCGCATTTTTCAGAGGTCATGGTGAGAATAAACAATCTCATAATAGTACAGGGTATATTAATTTCACAATATTTAAGAAGTAAATTCTTTTTTTTTTTTTTTTTTTGAGATGGCATCTCCCTCTGTCACCCAGCTGGAGTGCGATGGCGCAATCTTGGCTCACTGCAACCTCTGCCTCCTGGGTTCAAGCAATTCTTCTGCCTCAGCCTCCCAAGTAGCTGGGATTACAGGCATGCACCACCATGCCCGCTAAGTTTTGTATTTTTAGTAGAGGTGGGGTTTCACCATGTTGGCCAGGCTGGCTTACGATTCCTGGCCTCAAGTGATCCACCCATCTCGGCCTCCCAAAGTGCTGGGATTACAGGCGTGAGCCACCATGCCCTGCCCATAGTAAATTGTTAATTTTTCCTCATTTCTATGTGTTTTCTCCTCAAGGCTAAAAACTCTTAGTTGACTTGTGCTGCATTTCAGATACCAGTAGCTCAGAATCCCCGTAGTCAGTTTTTAGAGGAAGATAGACTCTTTTTTGCCTATGTTATTTGACCCCATAATATTTTCTTATGTTTTCTTATGTTGTGAAAGGATTATACTCCACTATTCTAATTGTTAGGCCCACTGAAGTAAATACACATCTTTCTAGAAAGGTCCTGCTGTGTGCTTCAGAAATTGTTTCTAAAATAGACCTAACAAAATTATTCTAAATTATTTAAATCTTTGGCAAGAGGCTAGGATCTTTGAGTTTTCTTTTTAACTTCTTTGTGATTTGGGACAATTGGTCTTTATTATACCTCAGAAAAAAAAATTATGCACTGCTGGTAATAGAATAATGGAGATGATGGAAATTACAGGAGATTTTTCAACTCAAGAAGATTAATGGTTGTATTCTTCTAGATCTGCTTCTCTAAATTTACGTGCAAAAGAAATCACCTGAATAGCTTTTTAAAGATGTAGATTGTGGAGCTCAACTCCAGAGAAAGAAATTACGAGGTATAGGTGGGACTTAAGAATTTGCATTTCTAACAAGTTTCCAGGTGATAGTGATGCTGCAGGTTCGTGGACTGCATTGGAGGAGCACTGCTAAAAACTCTTAAATACTACGAGAAAAGGAGTGCCAAGGCAGATAGAGCACAGTATATATCTTGTATATTATTTATTATGTTTTTTCCCCACAGTTTTCACAGATATTTTTATTAAGGTACTTTAATAATATTCTGATACGTCTAAAATAGTTATATTCAAATCTCCAAAGAGCCCAAATTTTACTTACTGAAAAGTGGAAGGTTTTTTTCGTATTTCCCCTAGAAATTGTGACAAGAGCTCAGCTTCTGCCCTAAAACAATAGTACTTTTCCTCAGAGACAGTTGGTGTTATGATTCATCATCTTAGACCCTCAGTAATTTTAATATCAATTTATTATTTCCAGATTTTCTGTTTAAATGCAGACTTCCTGTGCATTAATAGTTAAAAATGTTCTAGATCTTTCCCTTATTGTGTCATCATCTGTCTTAGAAAACTGGGATTTGAAATGAAACAAGCTGAGTTGGGTGATTTTGAGGTTGAGATTATCCTAATCATGTGGTCTGATAAACATGTTTATGTGCGTAATTGATTCATTCAGTAAATATGTAGTGTGTGCCTATTATGTGCCAGACACCGTACTGGGTGCTTGAGATTCAGCACCAAATTGCCTTTAGGAAACTTACATTCCATGTAGGGGAAGCAGAGAGAGAGATCTATTAGATAATGGTAAGTGCATCGAAAAAAAATTAAGCACAGTAAGAAGTGTTGGAGATAGAGAAGAGATTGCTGGGTTTTAAAAAAATTTTTTTCCCAGCTTTATTAAAGTATAATTGACAAATATTGTATATACTCAAGGTGTACAGCATGATGTGTTGATATACATATACATTTTGAAGTGATTGCCACAATCAAATTAACACATCCGTCACTACACATTTTATGCGTGTATGGTGAAACCACTTAAGATCTACTCTCTTAGCAAATTTCAAGTAAATAATACAGTATTATTAACTAAAGTCACCATGCTATCATTGGATCCCCAAAACATATTCATCTTATACTTTGGCCAGCAAGATTGCTGTTTTGGATAGGATATGCAGGAAAGACCAACCTGATAAGGTGACATTTGGCAAAGACCTGAAGGGAGCAAACCACACAAATGTTTGAGTGAAAAGGAATCCACCCCTAAGAAGCAACTATCCGAGAATAAAGACATTTGTTATACTAATTCAAACCAGAATCTTAACACCTTAGCCTGATAGTTGTAGCAGAACCTATTTCAGATTCTCTTATCTGTTACAGATGTGTTAAATTCAGTTTTTTTTCCCAATATTCTGCCTATGAGACTTTCTTTCCATTCACTTAACTCTGTTTTTCCCTGTAAACTGAAAGCAAGGAAACTATTTCCTAAGGACCCACTGTTTTTTGTTGTTGTCATTGTTGTTTGTTTTTTACAAATGGTTGACTTTGAAGAAATAATACCAGAACAAAAAATTTGTTTTACTAGAATATCTTTATAATGTTATTTGTGATTTCCTCTTACTAGGCTGCTGCAGAGAAGTTGGTGCAAGCCTTAATGGAAAGAAATTCAGAATTACAGGCCCTGCACCAATATTTAGGAGGGAGAGACTCCCTGATGTCCCAAGCACCCATCTCTAACCAACAAGCTGAAGTTACCCCCACTGGCCGTCTTGGAAAACAGACTGATCAAGTAAGAACTATAGACTTACATAATTCATGCTGATTCCATTTCCTTTTTACATTTGAGGTGTAAGTTTGATAATTTTAATACCAAATTCTGAGAATATTCTCAGTACTGTCATTGTGATCATAGTTCCTGCATCTTCCTAAGTCCCCTGACTTTTGCAATTTTTTAGGGTTCAATGCAGATACCTTCCAGAGATGATAGCACTTCATTGACTGCCAAAGAGGATGTCAGCATACCCAGATCCACATTAGGTAAGTATCAAATTTCATTTCATTAAGGGACTTTGTTTTTCTCTTGTTTTTTCTTCTAGTAATCTCTGTATTATAGGTTTGGCCAAGACTCTTTTCTCTTCCTACCTTAATAGAACAAATAAGTTTGGAATTCCTCTGAAAGGCTGAAGAACTGTCCTTACCTTATGTTGAGTTGAGGTTATTGCTCTGGGTTCACAATTCGGCCCAGAGAAATTCTATCCTTACTCTCCTTTTCAGATAGCTTTGCAGGGATTCAGAAATGCAGGAGGTAATTGTTCCAATCCTGCACAGCAGGGCCATGAGCTGACACCTTTTCCTGGGTATCGTTTCAAGTCTGGGGCCACTCACTGTAACTTGACATCACCTACTAATGTTATATATATATATAATGTTAGCATAGTTTGATAGTTTCTGGCACAATAAGATGTTCTATGATTACCTTTTGCTTTACCTGCCTCAGTCCCAGAATCAGCCATTATCCTAAAGAGCTCCCTGGTTCCTTTTGGTGGGTAATGGCATTCAGAAACTATGATCTGGACACAAGATGTGTTCATTGCTACATGAATGCCTTTTGCTTCTAGGACCTTTTTTTTTTTTGAGACGGAGTCTCGCTCTGTCACCCAGGTGGGAGTGCAGTGGCACGATCTCTCTGCTCACCTCTCGAGTAGCTGGGACTACAGCGCCAGCCACCACACCCAGCTAATTTTTTTGTATTTTTAGTAGAGACGGGGTTTCACCGTGTTAGCCAGGATGGTCTCAATCTCCTGACCTCGTGATCCGCCCTCCTCGGCCTCCCAAAGTACTGAGATTACAGATGTGAGCCACTGCGCCCAGCCGCTTCTAGGCCCTTTTAAGAGAACAGAACTAGCAATGAATATTTTTAAGTATGTATGTGTGTATTTGTATACATGTGAAGATTTGATACTGATTTCCTTAATTCCAATTTAACAATATAGGTTCTTTTTTCCCTCATTTCATATTTGTATCTCCTTGAGAGCCCTGGTTACTTATAGCATCAATATATTTCAAAATATTTACACAGTTGCAGAATACTATAATATGCAAAAGTATTTTTGGAATTGTTACATAAATACCACCATCAACAATAAATGTATTAAGTAATGTTTAAGATTTTTTTGTAATTCTTTTTATCCTTAGGATATTTTGCACTGACAGTGTTCAGTTAGAGTAGTAGTGAGTTCAAAAATTATTTGGATTAATTTTTTTATTATCTTCTGGATGGTTTTGTTATCTATTTGCTATATAGATTTATTTATTTATATTAGTATTCAATTTTAGACCTTTTCTCTCTCATTCATTGTCAAACTGACTTACACATTAAAAATTAAACATTTACACAGTTCAAAACTCTAGTATATAAAATGATATACTCAGATGTCCAATATTTTCCTGTTCCTTCTCTCCTGTTTCCACTCATCTCCTGCAGGTAATCAGTTTCATTTCTGGGTTATTCTTCCTGTATATCTTTTTGCAAAAATAAGCAAATGAATCATCTGCGTATATGTAATGTATATATGTACATTCTTATTTCCCCTTTTTCCTAATAGAAAACCTACTACTTTAGATGTATTCTTAAGCACATAGCTTGTTTTTACTTAACATATTCTTAAAATCTCAAAATCACTCCATATAAATTCATAAAGATCATCCTTATTCTTTTTTTACATCAGTATATAGTGCCATCTGTGAATATACTATAGTTTATTCAATCTTTTCTTTATAGCATCTAGGATGATTGCAGTATTTTGCTATTATAAATAATGCTATAAAGAACAACCTGTGTGTATGTTTTCTTTTTTCTTATTATTGGAATGTGTCCTCTGTAAATTACTCAAAGGAGGCAGCAGATACCACATTATGTTAATAGCAATTAAAACTAGTGCTATATTTTCATTTTAGGAGACTTGGACACAGTTGCAGGGCTGGAAAAAGAACTGAGTAATGCCAAAGAGGAACTTGAACTCATGGCTAAAAAAGAAAGAGAAAGTCAGGTGAGTTTTTTAGTTAAGTCTTAATTCCAAAATCCCTATTATTTTTTTCTTTCAAAATAGTTTATATTTAAAAGCATATAATTCTCCATGTATAATATCTGAGTCCAAATGCCAGGTATGACTTTTTTCTTTTTGGAGAAAAATATAAGTTATTTTATATATACATTATCTCAAAAAGATGCTCCTGTTTTTAGATTGGGACCATTAAAACTTATTAAATGCTGGAAAAACGTAACCCTCTCTCCCCATTGCTAACTGGAATAAAATAATTGTAAAGGCCGGGTGCAGTGGCTCATGCCTGTAATCACAGCACTTTGGGAGGCCGAGGTGGGCGGATCACTTGATCCGCTCGAACAGGAGTTCGAGACCAGCCTGGCCAATATGATGAAACCCTGTCTTTACTAAAAATACAAAAATTAGCTAGGTGTAGTGGCGGGCGCCTGTAATCCCAGCTACTCGGGAGCCTCAGGCAGGAGAATCACTTGAACCCGGGAGGCAGAGGTTGCAGTGAGCTGAGATCGTGCCATCACACTCCAGCCTGGGCAACAAGAGCAAAACTCCGCCTCCAAGATAATAACAACAACAACAACAATAATAATAATAATTGTAAAGCACTGGTGAAAAAAGGAAGCGCTGTGTGATTGCTGCTTAGAGTTATGACATTAGATCCGTGAAATTAGATTTAGAAACATGAAACGAGAAATTTGAGTATAATCAGTGTTTATCAAGTATTCATGTGCAATGTACTGTGCTAGGTATTTAAATTAGCACTAATGCTCACAACTCTACACAAAGTAAGTGGTGTCGGCCCAATTATTATAGACGAAGAAGCTGAAACACTGATTTCTCTTTTAAAATGGGAGTGGAGAATAGTCATGTAACTAATAAATGCCAGAGCTATGATTCAAACTCAAGCCTTTTGTGACTTCACATACTTCCTAAGAAGATTCATTTCCTAGAGCACATTTTTCCCACCTTATGCTTTAACTCTCTCTAGCATAGAGTTCTCATCAATTTTTTTTGGAAGAGGCCTTTCAGCCTTAGAGATTCCCTTCCCCCTGCCTTTCCTCCACAGCTAGTTGCATATTCAACTATGATGTTGAAGAAATACTAGGACCACAGCGCAGAGTTACAGACTGAAACTAAAAGCTTGTTTGTTACTATGTTGGCATCTCTTTTAGAAGATCACTCAATGTCATGGCTTCCTAAATTCAGTTTAGCTAGCTAGTCCAAATAGCTCCTTAGTTTTTTTCTACCTTTTGCCATAGCTAGATCTATAATATAAAACCTGTGTTTGTATTTGTGACAGAATTATCATATTTTATCTTTTGATTTCATTGTCATATTTCTGCTTACAAACAGACTCATGTTTTATGACTCAATTAGTTTTCAGGATATGAGAATGTGTGGCATTTAAGAAATACCAGTTTTAAAAATCCCCTAGTCCCCCTTCCTTTTTGTGGTTCTACCTTAGCCGTTATCTGATTATTCATGTCAGATATTTTAGTTTCCACATCCTCTTCCTGTTTTTCTCACATTTATCAAATCTAGAGTAATGTTACTTTTTGGTTCTGTCCTGTTTTCAGGATCATGAAATTGTAATGCCTATGAATGGGTATTTTGGGTGATATTTAGCTATTGCTAAATTCCTTTAAAGGGTTTATTTAAAATAACTTGTCTTACCATAAAGATTGTATGGATATGTGGTATCTACAGGAAAGATATTATAGCCTAGTGGCTCTGAGTCAGCTTCCCTGAGTTCACGTTCTGGATTTACCACTTACTAGCCAGCCCTGTGATTTTTGAACAAGTTCCTTAATTTCTCTCAGACTCAGATCACCTTGTCTGTAAGTTGAAGAGTAGAAGAAGTCACCTTATGTATAAATAAAAGAGTAGTTATCTCATAGGATTGTTGTGAGGATTCACTCATTCATTCATTAGCTATATGGGGACCTTCTCTAAGCTTGGGCTAGTGCTGGGGATGAGGTAGGTAGTGAATGAAATCAGTAAGGTCTGTGGCTCTGTGTAGTTAATTTCTACTGGGGAGATACAGACAATAAATAAATAAACATTATAGTTATAGAGTATAGTAAGTGATATGAGGGAAATGATAGAAAGCAACATGGATGGAGACCATCTTAAATAGGGTGGCCAAAGAAGGCTTCTCTGAGCAGATGACACGTAAGCTGGGACCTAAGGATGAAAAGGAGGCAGCCCTGAGAAAGATATTTCAGGCAAAGGGAGTAGTTGTAAAGGCCAAGTCAAGAGAAAGTCTGGTGTTCCTGGAACAGAAAAAGTCTAATGTGCCTACAGAGTCATGAGTGAGCAGTAAAATGGCAGATATTAAAGTAGGAAAAGTAGGCAGGAGCCAGATCACTAGGTTTGTTAAAAGGATTAAATCTATACAAAGCATTTATTAGAGAGCCCAGGGCATAGTAAGTGTTAGCAGCTATGGTTGTTATCATGATTTTTTTTTTGAGATGGAGTCTCGCTCTGTTGCCAGGCTGGAGTGCAGTGGCACGATCTTGGCTCATTGCAACCTCTGCCTCCTGGGTTCAAGCGATTCTCTTGCCTCAGCCTCCTGAGTAGCTAGGATTACAGACACACACCACCACGCTCGGCTAGTTTTTGTATTTTTAGTAGAGATGGGTTTCACCATGTTGGTCAGGCTGGTCTCGAACTCCTGACCTCATGATCCGCCCACCTCAGCCTCCCAAAGTGCTGGGATTACAGGTGTGAGCTACCACGCCTGGCCTATTATGATTTTTAATGAAGTTTGTCATAACCAAGTACTTGTCATTTTCTGATGAGAACACTGAAAGTTTAGGGCATGTAGTGCCAACTTTTGGCAGTATTTCTTCACAGGTGGTGGCGTGTTCTTCCATCAGGAGTCATGTAATGTTTGGTGATCTCTCGTGATGTTAGCAGCTGTTGCTGTTTGATGCCTTATCCCTTAATTCATTAAGGGTTGCAAAATGGAGATATCCTAATGCTATCATTTTTTCATCTGTTAGGTGAAGTTTTACTTACATAAAAACTTCATCTCTTCTTGCTTCTGCTAATGGTAACCATCTTCTGAATCGCTAGTAAGATTCAGCTCTGGGTGTTTCTTCGTTTCTAATGGCTCATAGTGATTACAGTTTATGTTAATAATCACTCCTACTTCTGTCAACCTCCAGCAAGAGTAAATTGATAGCAGGATAAATCCTGTTACCATCAAGTATAAAACTTCCTTCTGCTGATGCTATTTAGGTTCTGTGGCCTTCAACTTTCTCAGTCTTCAACTTATAAGCCCATGGACTACTTCAGTTTACTTACAATAACAATAATAATATTGTTTAAGGATGGTATTTATTGAGTACACACTGTGTACCAAGCACTGTTCTAAGCACTTCAAAATCAGCAAACCCTTTAAAGTTCACAACAGTATGGAGTGGGTAACACTCTTAACCCTAATTATTAAATGAAGAAACTTAGTTATGGAAAGGTTATGACTTGCCTGAAGTGACATAACTAACAATAAAAGCACAATTCAAATCAAGACAGTCTATCTCCATAGTTCTTGTTCTTAATTATTATGCCATACTCAATTTAAAAAGTTCTACAAAAGTATGAATTTTTGCTTCAGTGATAAGAATACCTTATATTTGCATAACGCTTACATTTTCACCCAAGGATTTTATGGTCTTATGTTTTAGAGGTTTATTTTTGTGTACTTTGTAGAATTAGATAGCTGATAGAAAATACTTTTCTAAATAAGGGACATCTTGGTATCACCTCCATTTTGTATTGTTCAGAGCCTAGAAACTTCCAAGAACCACAAGTTGAGAACTTTTATTGAAGCCTCAAATAAAAGTTTTTTATAAAATTGCCAGTCTAACATGTAAAACTTAATCTCGAAGAAGCAAGTTAAATGAACAGATTCTTAGCTCCCAGAGAATCTAAAGGCGGCAGGCTATTTTATATTTTATCAAAAAATAAGCAGACGAGTCATCAATATAAAATCATAGGTACCTTAAATTAGAAATTCAAAATATTCCAAGTTAGTTCTAAAGACAGTGTTTCGTTGTGCAGTAAAAGTTTAGAAAAGGGTATCACACAAGAGAAGTTCTCTCATTTATTTAAAAAAATGGAAAATGGTAAAAGATGTCTAATGTCTTGTATGGACCTTGTATGAGATAACTTACTCTTTTATTCCCATATTTTCTATAAATTTTTTAGCTTTACCCCTCAAACATGGGAGAAAAAGTTTCAGCATTTTAATTCAAATTGGTAAAAGGCTGAGCAACCCTTAAAGCTGCCATAATGGAAGAAGACTGTGAGCTAGCTTAAAAAAGAGAGAATGAAGGGGAAGAAACAAAACCCCTGTGTGGCAGAGTGTCGAGATGAGATGAGCATTTATTTGTCTCCGTCGAATTCCTTACGGAGATAAGGTAAGCACCTTATCTGTATTGGGTAGTGAATGCTCATGATTCAAGCAGAGCCTTTCATGCCTGGATGTCTGAACTCAACAGAAGGTTCTTTGGTCTTGGAGGAAGAAGCAAAGATAAAGATCTGATTTGTCACCAGAAGGAAAAGTGAGTGGCTTCTGTCTAAGAGTCCAGAGTCTTGACTTACTGGCGCAGCTCTAGTGAGGGCTAGTTGTGTAACCTTGGACTCACCACGTAATCTCTTAGAGGTCCAGGTTAATCAGTGGTCAGAAGTGGAGTTGTAACTGGTTGGTTGCCGAGGCTAGGATCAGAACAAGATTTCAAGATTCTTAAGTTGGGGAGGTTCTATAAGACACAGTGAGTGTCACAGTAAATTTTCTTTGACAAATTAACCATAATAAATTTCTACACTTCCTGAAAAATACAGTATATAAAACATAGCTCTTGGTCTTAAAATGTATGAACAGTCTTAATTTTAATCAATATAAGGAGGAAGACACACCCTAGATTTGTGCTGTCCAATAGGGTAGCCACTAGCCACATGCAGTCATTTAAATATAAGTAAATTTAAATAAAATTTAAGATTCAATGCTTTGAAATGTGAGCCATACTACCCACATTTCAAAGCTCAATAGCCATATATGACTGTGTCCACTGTACTGGGCAACACTGGCACAGAACATTGCTGTCATTGCAGAAAGTCCTCTTGGTCAGTGCTGCCTTAGACCTTTGCCCATACCACAAACTGCAGCTACTTGTACCTTAGAGCAAGGTGTAGATGTTTGGGCCCTAGAGTGGCTGTGTCCATCTCTGGAGAATGAAAGGATGGGTTAAATCCCACGGGGATAAAGCAGTGCAAGAAACCCTTCAGACAAAGGGTGTCTGCATAGAATAAGAGTTTGAGAGAGGTGAGGAGGAAGGGAGGTTAGAGGAAGAAATTAGGGAACAACTGAATCCTTTGGTGTCTTGAATCTTGACTAGACCTGAACCTTACTAGGACACAGGACCCCCAGAGGGAAGTTCCTCAGAGAGATTGTCACCCTATGCACAACTGATCCCAACAATAGATACCTCTGAGAGATTCAGGGCAGCTCTAATCTCCAGGCACTCAGTGGTGGGGAAAGGGTTAAGCATATTGGACTCATATTATGGAAGAGAAAGTTTTTATGTAGCCAGGCAGTGGGGAATAATTCAGGCTTTCTTGACATTCGAGTGGGGTAACCAGTGCATCTGACAGTCGGCTCCTTAGAAATGGGTCTGTGCAGGCAAAGTCAGCTTATGTTGTGAGGCTCAGGCTTGAGTATGAGTAAGAAAGTGTCTGTGATACAAAAAGTTCTATTTTTCTTTCCAGCCCTGCTGGCTAGGGAGAATTTCTTCCCCATGTATATGGAGAAAGGAAGAAATCAGAGTCAGCGGGCAAAAAGAGTATAATTTAACCTGCTGTCTGGAAGCCATCTGTGAAGGGAATCACTTTTCTTTTCTGGACTTGTTTCCAGGTGCAGCTGCAGGGGATGACACCGAAGATACAAGCACTGAGTTCACTGACAGTATTGAGGAGGAGGCTGCACACCATAGTCACCAGCAAGTAAGTCAGTGTCAGGGTCTGGGACTTCCAGGGTGGACAGCACACAGCCCTTCTGAGGTCTGATAGTCTCCTGCAGCCCTTGCGGACTTAGTGAGAAGATATCTTTTTACATAAACTACTTCTCAGTCATCTACCTGTTCTCCTTGAACTTCCCAGCTGCCTTTCCAACCCATATCTTCACTCCATTTTTCTCTCCAATCCACCCTTTGGTTTGTATTGTATCTCTTTCTTCTGCTTCCTTCCCCCTCCTACCCACCTTTGCCCCTATTTATTCTCTGTAGCTATAGCTTCAGAAGCATTTTTACTTGCAAGACGATGGACACATTCCCCTTGGGCTTTTTGTAACTGAAATGCACCACAGAAGACAGGGAGTCATCGAAGGGCTGCTCGGGGAGGTGGCAGGGCGGAGGAACTGCTTGGGAAGAAACTCCAAGAAGATTGGAATGCTTCCAAAGCAAGAATCTTTCTCAGTGAAATCTCATTATACAAAGAGAACCTTATGCAACCTGACAAACCACTGAGGTCATGGTGACTCAGTGATCAGCAGATGGTACTTCAACAGCAATCCCCTGTCAAACCTCAGAACTTGAGGCTGAAACATTGCTTCCACCCACCATCAGTGAAGATGTAACTAGCATGTTACAAGAGTGAATAATCTGGACTTCAGAGATTAAGTCACCAATAGTGATCTCACAAGTACTCACCGGAACTCCTATAATGTCTCCACTTTGTCCATGCCATTTAGCAATCTCATCTCCTAAATGGACTGTGCCTATGATTCTTAAGGAGAAAGTGAATCATTGGTAGATATCCTGCACAAGCAGCTGGACTTTCCAGTAATAGCTTTCTTGGGGCTATTAGGAAAATTAAACAAGAAATGAGGCTTTCTGGGTCTGCCTGTATGTCTTCTGCATAAGAAAAAGAAGAGACATCGAATCAACCAATAAGAAGAGCCCAAATAAGCATCCTCAAATCTTTTGGGATTTGGCACTTGGGGACATGAGTAGTTGTCTGGGATACGTCATATTCTCAACAGTTTCTTTGTAGTAGTAGGATCACCTTCTTATAATAGGATCACCTTCTTGTTGCTATAGCTGTACCCGACCTTCCCTTCTCCCTTGAGTGCTTGCATGAGCTCCACTTTTCCTTTTGCTTGAACAGCTTCTCCTGAGTCCTCCTTACCGATGGTTGTGACTTTAATTATATACATCTCTGTCCCTCCAGACAGATCCCTCTGTCCTCACTCTCTGATTTCATTGAGGATCTTGGGTGAGAGAGAGGGACCTGCAGGATGAACAAATGTCTACTCTAAGACAGCTAGATTGGGAGGTTGGCTGGTCACTGATGGTTATAATGACTGTGGGACAGGATTAACTTCAGAATAAATGAACAGGAGACACAGATATGAAGAAAGTTTCTGATTGATATGGTCTGAAGTACTCCTGGTATTGCAAGTCATTTGCTCTAATTCTCAATTGTAGGCAAACTGATTTGTAAATTTGCTTCTTCAGCCTTCTTTCCTGTAGCCTAGCATGGAGAATCTGACCAGACCCCATTTTGAGAAGGTCAGCCTACACTGGAATGAACTTTTTACATTAGGGCATTTGTATTTCCCTCACAATACTTGCCACATTACTTGGCATAGGAGAGATGCTTAGTGTAATTATGAGTTAACAAGCCTTTGGATCAGGGCTTGACTCATGATAGACAAAGTATATGCCTGCTGGATGGAAGAATCTCTTGGGCGAGCACCATTTTTCTTTCCATCACCTTTCCTTGAAAATATATCTTCAGCTTTGGGTAGGAGGAATCTTGGTGTATGAAATCATTGCAAATTTACTTCATCTTTTCTGGAGTTTGAAGTTGTGACTCTCCTGCTACCAATTAAATAAAGCTTACTTTGCCATAACTGTTTTGTGTCCAGATTCTCAAAATTTGTTTGCTTGTTTCCAGGAAAATGGTCCCTTAAAGGTAGATTTTGAGCTTCTCCTTGTTATGTCCTTGGAAGGTAAATTTTTGCCTGACACCAAGTTCCCTTCCTACTCCAAGCATTCATATGCTTTTCCTAACAGACACATCCCACCTTGTCTTTCTTCCAAGGTGAGAATCACCTTTTGGCCAATACAAGTTGCTTGCTCCTTATGTTTTGGACTCAGCCACCTCAGGAAGCCTCAAGTCTGGCCATGATAGTAATTTTCCCTAGATTATCTCCCACAAAATTCTATTCTCAAGCAGATGTAAGATCTATAATAAATACCTATGAAATTGCTGTGAAAGAAACTAGAGTAACCAACCATTGCATTTTTTATGTGAAGTTTTGTAATGGAGAAAAAGTTAATCAAGAATAAAGATTCAGGCCCAGGTAGTGTGCATCTATAGTTGCAGCTACTCAGGAGGCTGAGGCAAGAGAATCTCTTGAGCCCAGGAGTTCAGGGCCAGCCTGGGCAACATAATGAGACCCCTACCTCTTAAAGAAAAAAAATCAAGATTCAAATATGAAGAACAGACGTTAGTAGACAAAGTGTGATAAACTTGAAAAAAGCTATTTTAAAAAAATAGTTATTTTTGATTGACAAATCGTAATTGTATACATTTATGGGGTATATGATTATATATATATATATACACACAATATGGAATGATTAAACCAAGCTAATTACATATTCATAAACTTGCCTACCTACCATTTTTGATGGTGAAACATTGAAAATTTACTCTTATTTTGAAATATACATTTTATTGGCTATAGTCACCCTGCTATGCAATATATCTTAAGACCTATTCTTTTTGTCAATACTTTTGATCAACAATTCCCCCTACTCTCCCTCCCCACTCCACCAGCCTCTAGTAACCACCATTCTACTCTTTGCTTCTATGAGTTCAACTTCATTAGATTCCACATATAGGTGAGCCTATGTGGTATGTGTGCCTGGCTTATTTCACTAAGCATAATGACCTTCAGATTCATTCATGTTGTCACAAATGACAGGAGCTCTCCCCCAACATTTTAAGGTTAAATAGTATTCCATTGTGTATTATCTGCCACATTTTCTTTACCCTTTTATCTACTGATGGACCTAGGTTGGCTCTACATCTTAACATAAATTATGAATAATGCTGTAATGAACATGAGAGTGCAGATATACCTTTAACATATTCATTTCAGTTCCCTTGGATATATACCCAGAAATGGGATTACTGGATCATAGGGTAGATTCTATTTTTAGGTTTTTGAGGAAACTCCATACTGTTTTCCACACCAGCTGTACTAATTTACATACCTATTCACAATGTCTGTGTTCCGTTTCCTCTGCATTATCTCTAACATATCATTCACCTTTTTGATAAATGCCACTCCAACAGGTGTGAGATGATATTCATTATGGTTGTAATTTGCATTTCCCTAATGATTAGTGATGCTGAGCATTTGAGAAAAGCTAATTTTTAATGCCTTAATGTTGAGAACTGACTTAACATTGGGACAGATACGAAGCAATAGGGTAAAAGCAAAACAATGTCATTCAAACAAGATATCAGATTTGCACAGAGGCCTTTGTGGGGCAGATGGGAACCCAGCACACAAAAAGTTGAATTATATGAAGCAATATCACAAGTGAGTTAGGAAATGTGGAAAAAAAAACCAATAAGACAGATATAATTAAAAATAGACCTAATGGATTCACACTATCACTACAAATACTGGAAGCCCTGGGGTTTCATTTGGGGGAAATAAATACTTGCTTTCATACATGATCAAAACTAATGAAAAGGCTAGATCCTGAGTTACTTTTCAGGCATTTACATTTAAAACTTAAAGTTACATATGTATACATGTGCCATGCTGTGCTGCACATTATGCACATGTACCCTAAAACTTAAAGTATAATAATAATAAAATAAAAAAATAAAAAATAAAAAAAGAAATAAAAAATAAAAGTTGTATATATGTAAAAAAAAAAAAAACCTTAAAGTTAGCCAACGAAAGTCCACTTTGAGATGGAAATATGAAAACCCAAATTAGCCTGGGGAAAAATGAGATCCCTAGGCAATGTTTGATTTTCTCACTTTAAAGTGGGAAATTAGATCAGATGTACCTTAAGGTTTTTCTGGTGTTAACATTCATGGTTCATAATTTTTTCTTTTTAAAGAAAATAGGTGTATTGAAACCAATAGAACAAGATAACATATATCCAGAAGGCACTTTAATAATGGGTAAACTTCATTAAAGTTAGACATTATTTTTAAGCAGAAGGAACCCTTAAGGCCTAGAAAAGAATAATGCTGTGCCCACACTCAAGACTAATGGCAAAGTGTGTTTTAGTTAAGTTACTCGGAAAGAGTTTATATAGAATGACAACATCACATAGTTTAAATAAGGGATGGGATCGTAAGCTTTCAGAAGTGGTTTTATTTGGTCCCCCTTCCTTTATTTTGTCACAAATGCTGGGGGGCACATATGGAGATGGCCACCAGCCTGATTAAGCCTGCCAGCAGAATCTTAGAGACAGACATTCCCAGGAGCCTCCCAAATCTCAGGCTCACAAAGTCCAAGTAAGATTGGGTGCCTGGGACTTGAGTGGCTTTGTCTAAGGATCTTTCTTCTTTGACCTGGGTGCGCATGTCTTCACAACCTCAACTGCTATGCTACTGAACACCATTGCACATGCATACTGTGAATCGACCCTACCACAAACCTGTGACCTACATTTGAACATACTTTGTTATGGGTAATAGCAAAAGTCAGTGGCTTTGCACCAACCCCAGCAGCTCTGTCAGTCGTTGATCCATATAAGCTGTTCTGGGCCCTGCTCTCTTCAATGTATTGGTGACCTGAATGGAGATATAAAGCATATAATTAATTCTACAAGTTATCCCCAATCACTTGTAGTGGGGGCCAGTACATGATTTGTGGAAATGCACATCAAATATTTGGATGACTCGGATAATTGGGGAATGATTCAGTATAGCCAGAATGAATTTATAAGTGACAATTACAAGTCACAATATTTGTAGAGATAAAAGAAAACAACATGACTCAGCAACAGCTGTAGGGGAGGGGTGGAAAATTCAGAGGCCAAAATTGACCCAAAGTTAAGTAAAAGCTCCAAATGCTGCCACTGAGAAGAAAAAGAAGCCAATGTGACATTGGGACATATTAAGATTAATATTGGACAGACAGGCAGGAACTCCTTGTACTAAAGTAATTAGTCATATGCTAAGTAGATTATCATACTCAGATTTTGATTTCTACACTTTTAAGAGCGTGGGAAAAGACCAAAGATAAGCCCAAAATGAACAATAACAAAGTCTAAAAGTTAACAAATTCCCATTTGAGCAAAGGCCATAAGATCTGCTTTAATTAAAACATTGATGAATAACTTCAAGAGTGTCCTCAAGAAATAGAAAGGTGCTGGGCAGTTGTTCCTGCCTCTGTTTCTTCCACATGCTGAGATTTGTAGAGAGAGTTTGTCTGGCAGCATCAGCACAAAGATAATAACCAAAAAGTGAGGTTGGCTGCTTGGCAGGATGGCTTCATCTCCATCTCCCAGTAGCTGCGGAGTGTGATTCTTCTGCTGCCAATGAAATAGTTGGTGTTGTCTTCCCTGTCGCTCCACCTTATTCTAATTCTGTAACTGTGTCTGCCGACTGTTTCCCCAGTGCCCTGAGTCCTCCCTCTCAGCTGTCCTTGAGGGAGTTGGAGTTACAGGCAGGGCCTTAGGCTTTGCGCCCTGATATCTTAAGCCATCATCTCCCGCCATCCAGGACTCAAGTGTTGCAGAGCTGATGAAGCTTCCTGACTTGTGAGAAAACTCGCAGGGCTCTGTCTCCTCAGGAAGAGAAAGAATCACCGTATTCACACCCTCCAGTCCTGTTTCAACCTCGTTTGTTTGCATTTGTTTTAATTTCTTACGTGCTTTTCTCCCTCACCATCTCTGGATTCTCCTCTTCTCCATGGGGAAATTCCTCCTGCTCATTTTGTGTGTCCTTCCCACCCAAACCAGTCCCCAGGGCCCTTATGCCTGACTAAGGAGGTTCTGGTTAGGGAGTTTATTTTAGATCTGCTTTTTTTGTTTGTTTTTGTTCTCATTGAAAACTGCCTTTGCAATCTCATGTTTCTCTTGGGTCCTCTTTAATGGCCTAACTTCTTCAAACCATGATTTTCTTTTAGCTTGTCAAGGTGGCTTTGGAGAAAAGTCTGGCAACTGTGGAGACCCAGAACCCATCTTTTTCCCCTCCTTCTCCGATGGGAGGGGACAGTAACAGGTGTCTTCAGGAAGAAATGCTCCACCTGAGGGCTGAGATCCACCAGCACTTAGAAGAGAAGAGGAAAGCTGAGGAGGAACTGAAGGAGCTAAAGGCTCAAATTGAGGAAGCAGGATTCTCCTCAGTGTCCCACATCAGGTAGAACATTCTTCCCAGGGAAGGGGAGCTTGCGGGTCATGAGGCACCACAGCCAAGGGGTGCCTATCCCAGGCTCCATGCATTAATATTTCTACAAATTCTTTAGATAAAAGTAAGTAATATTGGCTAATGGTAATCACTTTCTGTTATTCAAATAATCCTGGTCTTAATTCAGTATAACAGTGCCCACTATTATTGTGCATCTGCCAGTCATACATATGACAGTCATGGTGGAAACCTCCTTGTTACATGACCAGTATTGCTGTTTTTAATTGACCAAAACGTATAAGGAATCCCTGCTACCTAATATGTCTCACTGCTGTATACAGAACCAGAACAGTTCACGAAGGAGGAGGAATTTTTTTTTTTTTTTTCGTTGAGATAGAATCTCGCTCTGTCGCCCAGGCTGGAGTGCAGTGGCAAGATCTTGGCTCACTGACTGCAAGCTCCGCCTCTCGGGTTCATGCCATTCTCCTGCCTCAGCCTGCCGAGTAGCTGGGACTATGGGAGCCCGCCACCACGCCCGTCTAATTTTTTCTTTTTGTATTTTTAGTAGAGACGGGGTTTCACCATGTTAGCCAGGATGGTCTCAATCTCCTGAACTCGTGATCCCCCCGCCTCAGCCTCCCAAAGTGCTGGGATTACAGGAGTGAGCCACCGCACCCGGCTGGAGGGTTTGTGTAGAGGCCCCTCCCTCTCCTCTCAGCTCTCACTCATAAGTCCTTCAATCATAGAGTATCAATTTTAATCATCTCTGCTGCTTTAGTAATTTTACAAAAATAGCAGGTAGCTCATTGATTGGTTAGATTGGCCACTCTGTCTTTGATGGCTTTTTGTCAAAAGCTCCTTGGAGAACATGCTGATACTGTAGGGCTGATCCATTTATTCATTCACTCCCAGGACTATAATCATCACTGCCTGTTTAAAGTACAGCTGTATGACTTCTAAATCATGCCCTGTTTTTTCCCTGCATGTTACTTACCACTTAAATTTCCCTGAATAATGTTAGCACTTTGAAAAGGGCCCAGGCATCTAGCCTCATGTCGTTGTTTCATAGCTGAGGAAACTCAGGCCTAGAAAGTTTCAAGTGACTTGCTCAAGGTTGCATAATAGTCTGTGGCTCCCAATTTCTAACATCTAAACCTTGCTTCTATACTACATACTTTGTCAAACAATTTTTAAAAAATTCTTGTGATTGTTCTAAGTGCTGATTCTTTTGCTCTGAATTATCATAATAACTTTTTCCTTAAGTTCTACTTAAAGCATATTATTTTACTTAAATTTTTGTATGTGTAAACTTAATTGAGTTGTCATGGGTAAGAACAGTACATCTCTTTTGATTCTATTGTTGAACCTACAATCAAACCATCTATAGCTATCCCTGTGGATTATTTTCCTTTGTCCTCAGAGTTACTAACCTGAGACTCTGATTTGTTCAACCCTCCACCCAACCTACAGAATCACTTATACTGTAGAAGGTAGAATCTAATGCATTGTTCTTCCTTTCAAGAAGGTTTTGTTGAGTTTTTCTTTTATTTGTTTGTATTTAAAAATATCAGTTTTTTTTAATATGAAGTTAGAACATAATATTAAATATTCTTTTCCATATACACATGCGCCCTCTTTATCCCCTTTCCACATCCCAGTTTTGGTAAAATACCTATCCCCTTTTTCTTTATTGAGAAACTATCTCATAGATTGTCTGTATCCTATGTCCTATTTTCCTCCCAGAAACACACCAGACAAGCTCTGCTGTAGGTTCCAAGACTCCTGGATTCTGAGAAATTCAATCTAGGTGCATAGCCCACTGCTGATCCTTCAATTTGTGAATTACCCATTTCCTGTGCATCCTCTAGCTCAGGGGTTCTCAGTTTAGCATGCTTAAGAATCACCTGTGGACTGGGCGTGGTGGCTCATGCCTGTAATCTCAACACTTTGGGAGGCCAAGGCAGGCGGATCACCTGAGGTCAGGAGTTCGAGACCAGCCTGCCCAACATGGTGAAACCCCTTCACTGCTAAAAATACAAAAGTTAGCTGGGCGTGGTGGCACGTGCCTGTAGTCCCAGCTACTCGGGAGGCTGAGGCAGCAGAATTGCTTGAACCCAGGGGTGGAGGTTGCAGTGAGCCAAGATCTCACCACTGCACTCCAGCCTGGGTGACAGAGTGAGACTCTGTCTCAAAAAAAAAAAAAAAAATAAATAAATAAATAAAAATTAAAAAATCACCTGTGGAACTTAAGTAAAATGTGGATTCATAGGCCTTAGCTCTACAGCTTTTTAAACAAGCACCTTATGGGATTCTGGTGTTGGTATTTCTCAGGTCTGCAGCTAGTACAGCAGGGATTGAATGACTTCCCTGTTAGACCCTGAGCTAGCCATACCGTATATGCAATTTCATTTAAGCATCTGCTAACTCTACTAGGTAAGTGTTATCATCCTTATTTTATATAAAAGGAAACTGAGGCTCAAAAAAGTTAAGTGAATAGACTTGTTACAGCCATGTTTGCTTCCACTCAACCCTAGTATGAGTTTGTTGTTGTGGAAAGAATTTATCTGGAATGTCTTGGTGCAAATTAGCTGTTTTGGTCAATTTTATTTCTTCAACAAATATGAATGATTTATGTGGCAGGCACTTGTGTAGGCACTGGGGATATGGGATGAATAGGACAGACACAGTCCTGCTCTCAAGAAGGTTATCTCCATCACGTGAGCCAGACATAAAGCAAACAATTATCTAAGTACATTTTGATTATAGTAATAGTTCTGATTAGCGTTATTTATTTATTCTGTGTTCCTAAGTCCCAATGGTTTGAAACTGACTGATGATAAATAATAGAACTGTAAAATTTATAACAATAAATTTGTTACAGAAAAGGTCTTATTTTTTAACAGTGTAAGTACTCTGGTTTATTCCAGAGGCTACTAAAAATTAGAACATATGAGGCTATGGGGCACAAGTAAAGAAAACTAGCCTGCATGTCTTGAGTCCAAGGTTTCTAGTGATGGTGCTGCCACCAAGAAGCTGTGGAAGTTTGGGCAAGTCTCTTACTTTTCCTGAGCCTTGGCTTTCTTGTATATAAAATTAGGGGGCTGTGGTAGGTCTCAGGTTGCTTCATGCTCTGGGGTAAGTCTGAGTTAATTGCGGGCTGAGATGTTGGTAAGAGGTAGTATTAGGAACTGTTGTGAGGACCAGACCTAGCCCTCAATTAAGTGTGTTTCCTGCAGGAACACCATGCTGAGCCTTTGCCTTGAGAATGCGGAGCTGAAAGAGCAGATGGGAGAAACAATGTCTGATGGATGGGAGATCGAGGAAGACAAGGAGAAGGGCGAGGTGATGGTTGAGACTGTGGTAACCAAAGAGGGTCTGAGTGAGAGTAGCCTTCAGGCTGAGTTCAGAAAGCTCCAGGGAAAACTGAAGAATGCCCACAATATCATCAACCTCCTCAAAGAACAACTTGTGCTGAGTAGCAAGGAAGGGAATAGTAAACTTACTCCAGAGCTCCTTGTGCATCTGACCAGCACCATCGAAAGAATAAACACAGAACTGGTTGGTTCCCCTGGGAAGCACCAACACCAAGAGGAGGGGAATGTGACTGTGAGGCCTTTCCCCAGACCCCAGAGCCTTGACCTTGGGGCTACCTTCACAGTGGATGCCCACCAAGTAAGTGTGGGCTTAGATTGAGTGAAAAACAATTGGAGAAGGGCTTGAGATGACAGTGTTTACCTTAAAACATTCTCCCATATGAATCAGGAGGTACCAAGAGAAGGGTCTCTTTGTACCACAAACAATAATAGTAATATTCTGCCTACATTCAGCCTTTAGAAAGGCTTTTATAACATAAATATTTCTTGAGTACTTAATTTTTCAGATAACACACTAGGCATTGGCATGGGGCAATAAAACCAATGGCTGCCCCTGAGATACTTAATATTGTCGGGAAAGATGGCACACAAACAGGTAATTTTAACAGGATGTGGTAACTGCTGTAACATAGGGATGCATCAGGTTATGAGGCAGCCCAGACAAGTGGTATGTAATGACATCCCTTATCACTGCCATTTTTTTGTCACAGCTCATCACAGGTGTCTGTTCCTGGTCTTCAGATGGGTTACTGGGATCCTCTTTAGGGAAGGAGCCATGCTGAAGATTCAGTGAAATGGAGAATACAGGGATTCTGAGAGAATCAATGGGACAGAATGTGAGGGGAGATGAGTGGTCTCTTTTTGACCACTGAGAAAACATTTCCTGAGAGCTCCTCTGTAGACCTGATTGGTGCTGTGCTGTGTGCTGTGGATACAGATATGAAGAAAACATTATCCCAGCGCTCCAGGAGCTCCATCTGGAAAGCAAGTCACTGCCAAATGGCATGAGAAGTGCTGTGACAGACTTGAGTAAAGTCCACAGGGTTCAGAAGGGGCGGTGGTCGTCACTGCATGGGGGTGACCTCAGACTGTCCTGATCCCTGTATTGGCCCCTTTCACAGTTGGATAACCAGTCCCAGCCTCGTGACCCTGGGCCTCAGTCAGCGTTTAGCCTACCAGGGTCCACCCAGCACCTGCGCTCCCAGCTGTCACAATGCAAACAACGCTATCAAGATCTCCAGGAGAAGCTGCTGCTATCAGAAGCCACTGTCTTTGCTCAGGCTAACGAGCTGGAGAAATACAGAGTTATGCTTAGTAAGTAACTATGACTTACTAGTAAAGAAAACTAGCCTATGTGTCTTATAAGTTCTGTATGTTCTATACCGACATAACGTGGTTATTGAGCACACGAAGTGTGGCTAGTGCAACTTGGACATTTGGTTTTATTTAATTTTAGTTGATGTAGTATAAAGTGGCCATATGTGGCTGCTAACTACCTTATTGGACAGTACAGGTCTAGGGTCTTGGGACTCTAAATTAGTTCAGCTCCATTCAACATTTATTGAACCCCTGCGGATAAAGCACTTGCCAGCTTCAATGGGGCTGCTAGAGATGATAGTGTACAATCCCTGACTTACAGATATCTGGTCCCAACTAAAGCCTGGGTTATCTGAAGGGGAGATAATGGCAAATGCAGGCTCCTCCTTTGGAAAGAAATTCTGCTTCCTGGAGCTGGTGATCTCTTCTCCCACCAGTTCAGAGAAGCTTCTCTCCCACTGTGGATCTGCCTTCCGTGCCTCAAAAGGTTAGGGTATGTGCCATTGAGGCTGAGGGCATATGTGGGAAATTCAGACATTCTGTAACACCTGCTTCTCTTCCCAAGCAGGTGAATCCTTGGTGAAGCAGGACAGCGAGCAGATCCAGGTGGACCTCCAGGACCTGGGCTATGAGACTTGTGGCCGAAGCGAGAATGAGGCTGAACGGGAGGAAACCACCAGTCCTGGTAAGAGCACAGGGTGTGGGGCTCACCCCTCCCTGGAGTCAGCTGTCACATTTGGATGCTGTTGGCCAATTCCACACCTGACAAGTATTGGGGAAGAGGAGGACAGGAGGTTAATAGGAGAAATCTTACCCAAAATGAGGCTGAGTATAAGTTTGAATTTCTACAATTAGTTTTTGGCATACTGCTAATAACAATAATAATATAAAATTCTATCCAACTGATTATTATAGAAATACTAAGGCCTACTTAGAGACCAGATAAGGTTTTAGAAACATGCAAGCCATAAATTAAAAATAATTTTGTTTTGCATTATAAAAAGACTACAACTATAGGGCCACCCACCACATTGAAAACCAGAAGAGAAAAAAAACACAATCTCTCTCATTCTTGAGGCAGTGTAGTGTGGCAGTTAAGAGACAAGATCCTGGGGCCAGACTGGTTGGTTCAAATCCCAGTTTGAAAACTTTCCTATGTCCCAGTTTCTTCATGTGTTAAAATAGTAATAAAGGAACTACCTACCCCATCAGGTACTAAGTCAATTAAATGAGTAAATTCTTATAAAATGCTTTAGAACAGTGCCTGGCATCTGGTAAAATGCCATGGATTAGTTCTCATTCTGACTACCACTGCCCTAATACACTGATGTTAACATGCTGATATATTTATTTGAAGCCTTATTTTCCTATGCCTATTTTTCATACAGTTGTAACCCAATAAACTTTTAAATTATAGTAAAATTTAAAGAGCATTAAACTTTCAGCATGCAGTAATAGCTTGTCCTACATTCTTGTGGCCATCCTAAATAGATAAGGCCATGTTAATGTCTTAAGAAACACCAGTGTGTGTGGAATGAACACAGGACATTGGAGGATTTGAATTCTGGCTCTGCCATGTGCTAGTTTGAGTGATCTAGAACAAGCTAGTTTACCACCTCTCTTTAAGTTTTGGTTTCCCAGTCAGTAAAATAGAAAGTGATGAAACCTAACTTGTAGGTATAAGGAAGATAAGAAATATTGTATTTGAATGCCTAGTACAGTGTCAGGGTTGAATAAAGTACTACTTCAACTTTTTCCCTAGTAATTATTGTCCTCATGACCAAACCTGCCTCCTCTCAAAGGCAGTGGCCACAACAGCACATCCAACTTTTATTTAGGAAGACATCTTTGTCTTTTTTCAGAGTGTGAGGAGCACAACAGCCTCAAGGAAATGGTCCTGATGGAGGGGCTGTGCTCTGAGCAGGGACGCCGGGGCTCAACACTGGCTAGTTCCTCTGAGAGGAAGCCCTTGGAGAACCAGCTAGGGAAGCAGGAAGAGTTCCGGGTATATGGAAAGTCAGAAAACATCTTGGTCCTACGAAAGGACATCGAAGATCTGAAGGCCCAGCTGCAGAATGCCAACAAGATCATTCAAAACCTCAAGAGCCGGGTCCGGTCCCTCTCAGTTACAAGTGATTATTCGTCTAGTCTGGAAAGACCCCGGAAGCTGAGAGCTGTTGGCACCTTGGAGGGGTCTTCACCTCATAGTGTCCCTGATGAGGATGAGGGGTGGCTGTCTGATGGCACTGGGGCTTTCTACTCTCCAGGGCTTCAGGCCAAAAAGGACCTGGAGAGTCTCATCCAGAGAGTATCCCAGCTGGAGGCCCAGCTCCCAGAAAATGGACTAGAAGAGAAGCTGGCTGAGGAGCTGAGATCAGCCTCGTGGCCTGGGTAAGGATGGCACTGTTTGGGTACTTTCTTGATTGAAAATGTGTAAGTTCATGCTTGGCGTAGGGTAGCTCAGGCAGTTGGAAGAAAGAACATGTCTGGGTATTCAAAGGGACACTGATTTAAATGGTAGATACAGGTCTGCAGAAAAGACAGGTAGGCAACCAGGAGGGCATAGGATGATGTTCCAGTATCTGGGAGATACCGGGTCTCAGGGATTTCCTCTTAGGGATATATTAGTAAAGATGGTATAGTATAGTAGTAATACTGGAATCAGACTACCTACCTCTGGTGCTTACTACCCATGCAACCTTCTTAACCTTTCTGAGCCTTTGTCCTTACCTATTAAATGAGGATGATAAGAGAACCCATCTCAAAGGGTGGATATTAGGTTTAAATGAATTAATACAACTGCTGACCAGGCGTGGTGGCTCATGCCTGTAATCCCAGCACTTTGGGAGGCCAAGGCAGGTAGAACACCTGAGGTCAGGTGTTCGAGACCAGCCTACCCAACATGGTGAAACCCCATCTCTACTAAAAATACAAAGATTAGCTGGGCATGGTGGTGCACACCTGTAATCCCAGCTATTCGGGAGGCTGAGGCAGGAGAATCGCTTGAACCTGGCAGGTGGAGGTTGCAGTGAGCCAAGATGGCACCACTGCACTCCAGCCTGGGTGACAGAGCAAGAGTCTGTCTCGGAAAAAAAAAAAAAAGAATTAATACAAGTGCTTAGAATAGTGCCTAGCATATGTTAAGCTCTCAATGCTATTTGCCATAGTTATAAGTGTTATTGATACTTAGTGTTGAAAACACAGACATTCATCTTGGTGTGTCCTGGTTATCTATTGCTAAGTAATAACCACTCTAAAACTTAGTGACTTCAAACAACACTTTATTATGCTTCATGGTTCTATGGTTTGACTGGTCTCAGCTGGGTGGTTCTCACTTAGGGTCTCTTGTTTTGGGTCCCATCAGTTGATGGTATGAGTGTTTATGTGATGGCCATCATTGCAAAATATAGTCAGCCACAGTATCATAACATAGAAGAAATTCAGGCATCAGGTGGTGGTTAAAACAGAAGGCATGAAAGGTTCTATCCAGACTTAGGATGAAATGATGCTAATTATTCATTGAGTAACTGCTGTGAATCTATGTGATACTGGTGCTGTAAGGGATGTAAAATGCAGAACTATGTTTATTCTCACAGACCTTATGATTTATCTAGGGACATATAATTAACACATGTATAACAGTTGAAGAACAGTGACATACTAAATTTTTTTTTGATACGGAGTCACTCTGTCATCCAGGCTGGAGTGCAGTGGTGCCGTCTTGGCTAACTACAACCTCCACCTCCTAGGTTCAAGCAATTCTCCTGCCTCAGCCTCCCGAGTAGCTGGGATTACAGGCATGTGCCACTATGCTCAGCTCATTTTTTTTGTATTTTTAGTAGAGGCAGGGTTTCACCATATTGGCGAGGCTGGTCTCAAACTCCTGACCTTGTGATCTGCCTGCCTTGGCCTCCCAAAGTGCTGGGATTACAGGCGTGAGCTACCACGCCCGGCCCGTACTAAGTTTTTTAATGCAATACTTTATCAGGGTAGAATTTACTCTTAAATACCTCCTATGGCTTATGTGCCAGAATTTAGCTTGGGGGAGTTCCTTAGAGACGTTCTCATAGAAATCTCTACAGAAGCCCCCATAACTCCATAAGTTAGCTTCCACTCTTTCCATACTTACTCTTTCCTCTTCTGTCCTGCATTAGGAAATATGATTCCCTGATTCAGGATCAGGCCCGGGAACTGTCTTACCTACGGCAAAAAATACGAGAAGGGAGAGGTATTTGTTATCTTATCACCCAGCATGCAAAAGATACAGTAAAATCTTTTGAGGATCTCCTAAGGAGCAATGACATTGACTACTACCTGGGACAGAGCTTCCGGGAGCAACTCGCCCAGGGAAGCCAGCTGACAGAGAGGCTCACCAGCAAACTCAGCACCAGTAAGTTGGCCACAGGGCTTTGGAATACTCTCAGTCACCCCCACAGTTCCAGCCCCTGGTGGCCACCACATCTCCACTGCAACTTTTTATCCTAAGGTCCTGTTTCTATTTCATTTCCTGGGGCTAATACAGGATCAAGACTGCTCAGTGGGGAGCATGGAGAGGAAAACACAGGGCTGGAGATGCCATGGTTACAACTATAGAAACTTCACCACTAATGGAATGTGACCTGTGGGGCAGGGGCAGCATCTCTCTGATGCTAAGAGGGAGTAGGGGACATGAGATGGAAGGGCTTTGTTATAGGAGGAAGAGCCCTGAACCAAGAACTACAAGACTCAAGCTCTGGCCTGGATGCTGCCACCAACTCGCTAAATGCCTTATCCTTGTGGTGTCTCCATTTATGGCATGGTAATGTGCATGCAGGTACTCCACATATGGATAAAGCGCCATGCTCTTTTATACATGGTTTAGGCACTGGCTGCAGTAGTTCAAGGGCTACATTGGTTATTATTGGGGTCTTCTACTCAGAATTTCCAGCGACTATCCAAGGGAGTAAAGTAGGATCAGACTTGGGAGCCACCCAGCCCACCACCTGGTGGCAGATGCAGAGGTGGGGCAGGGCTTCTTGTCATCTCCTCAGAGACCAGTGCAGGTTCTGCATGAAAGCTGTGGTGGGGCATATGCATTGGGGAGCTAGTCTGCAGCAGGACATGGAGGCTGGAGTGTCCCGCAGGGCAGCTGGGCAAGGGCCTCATGATTAATGGAACAAAAGACATTATAAATGTTTTACCCTGATTTAGGGCAGAGGAAGTCATCATGGTGACCGGCAGGTCAGGGACAGTGGGGTCACTTCTCTAGAGACACAAGCTGAGGTATCCCAGAATAACTGTTCTGGATGCACACATGAAATGCTCACTACTCTGTCTCCAGATAGGCTCCTGCATTTGTAATGCGGGAAGTGGGACCAGCCTAATTTCTTATCGTCTCTTTCTAAATTTGGTTTACAGAGGATCATAAAAGTGAGAAAGATCAAGCTGGACTTGAGCCACTGGCCCTCAGGTAATTCAGAGGAGAATCTGGGAAAGAGATTGGGACCGAGGCCCAAAGGGTCAAGGGTGGCGGCAACTCCACAAATCAAGGGGAATAAAGCAAAGTGCTGAATGTATTGAATTCAGGCATTCATTGAACACCTCACTGTTGTTTTTAACTAAATTCTTTCTTCCCTTTTGGTTGAATTATATTGGCACATTAATTCTCCAGGCTTAGTAACCTAGAAACAGTCTGAGCTAAAAGTGAACTAACTAGGTTTCAAGAGTCTTCTGCCCCACTAAGGGTCCTGCTTTCCTGCTGTGTGTTTAATAAGCAGGATGAGCTTTTTCCAAAGTTGGGTTGACAGCTAATTTAATAGTCACTCAATTGCCCTGGGGGAAAAAAGGAATCATATAACAGGACCTGGTGAAAGAGGCCTAGATGGTGTAGATCACCAGGAGGCTGCAGTGCCTCAGGACCCAGTTCTCAGTGAGTTGCTTCATATAATGATCAATGAAATATGGGCTCAGAGTCCGTTGTAGCCACTAGTTGGGGTTCTTTGTGTCATGCTTGTGTCTCAGACTACATAAATGCTTCTGAAAGTATCTGTAGTGAAGGACACAGTGGTTTTTTTTGTTTTGTTTTGTTTTTATTTCTAATCTATCATAGAAACATATATGGTCTGAATTCAGTTAATTACATGATTCCACTTATCATGCTCTTGGATGTTGGGACAGTGGTTTGTTCTGTGTTTCTCAATGCTTGCTTTCAATTTTTATACTTGTCTTGTTGGAGATGGTAACAAACAGTTCGCAGGCTGCAACTGTTCCAGGGATCATACATTAAGCAGCAGTGCCTTAAAAGGAGGGCTAGCTATGTCTTTGCTTGTCCTCAGCATATTATGTGGCCAGAGCACTAGGTAGCTATTCTCTCTCCATCTACACCCCACCTACACTCCATCCCTAAGCAGAGGTGGGTTATTTCCATAATTATCTGCAGGCATGGTCCCCTTGGCTTACTTGGCTTTTCCTATGAGCCATAGTCAGGACAGGTTGGTTTCGGTGACCTTGGTTTTACCCGTTGTCCCCCTTCTCCCCACCAGGCTCAGCAGGGAGCTGCAGGAGAAGGAGAAAGTGATTGAAGTCCTGCAGGCCAAGCTGGATGCTCGGTCCCTCACACCCTCCAGCAGCCGTGCCTTGTCTGACTCCCACCGCTCTCCCAGCAGCACCTCTTTCCTGTCTGATGAGCTGGAAGCCTGCTCTGACATGGACATAGTCAGCGAGTACACACACTATGAAGAGAAGAAAGCTTCTCCCAGTCACTCAGGTAGCCTCCACTTTCTGGGTGGTACCATCTTTGTCTAGGGTGAGTGGAGAACTCAGGAAACAGGGCTTATAGCTCCACCATGGTGTGTATCAGGCTGAACATAGCTGTGGGGCCAAGTGCCATGCACAGGCACCAGTGGATCAGGATCTTTGCTCTGCTCCTGACTCTACAAGTTACCTCTGTCACCGTGGTCTCCATGGGCACGTACATGCTGTTGGGCACAAAGTGAGCCACTGTGGGGAGAGTGAGAAGATCACGGCAGACTCTTCTTCCTTGGTGACTCTGTCAGATAGATCTTCTTTAAGATGGAAAACCTCCTTCATCTCTCCTACAATGATCTTGCTACTTATTCCTGAGCAGTGGTCCCTAAGTATATGTGGGTGTCCACAGATGCTGCTAGTCTTGCCTGATATTTTTGGAGTTGCCATTTTCATGTTTCAGAGCTCAGAGCACCGCTGTCATCCCTAAGGTGGTTTGCCTCACTATAGGAGCTGTCTGCAAGCAAGAAAATGAACACTGCTAACAGTGCTTGTGCTTGGTTCTTTCCCTGAAAGCAAGACTCTAGCCCTGGTACCCCTGGGTAAACATAAGGGCAGGATTCCAGTTCTCTATAGAACATCATACGTTTTCTTTCATTCATGGGTTTTATAGATTCCATCCATCATTCGAGTCATTCTGCTGTGTTGTCTTCTAAACCATCATCAACCAGTGCATCTCAGGGGGCTAAGGCCGAATCCAACAGCAACCCCATCAGCTTGCCAACTCCCCAGAATACCCCCAAGGAGGCCAACCAAGCCCATTCAGGTATGCAACAGCCAATGGGGCAGAAGCTTCATCTCCCCTTTCTCTGCTGCCTGTTTGACTTTTCTTCAACGACAGAGGTTTGAACTGTTAGGGGCCTAAATGCATCAAAACCTAGACAGAATCGAGAAACCATCCTCATTTTCCAGTTGTGTCTGATTTAAGAAAATATTTTAGAAAATAAGTAATCCACATCAGGTTTTGATCTGCATACCAGTTCTGACCAGTAGTTGGCTAATCATTTAAAAAGAAACATTTTTATTGGTTTTCTCTCATTTTATCCTGGGAGCAAAGAGGCAAAATGTTTCTCCCAGGATTACAACAGCCATAGGATGAAAAGAAATTCACATCTATTGATCCACTGTATGTGTTACCCATTAAATCTGCATGGAGATCCTCTGCAAGAGGTAGTGCTACTTGTAGCCAAGGATGGTGAGAACAGCCTCAGACAAGGTTCTGTTCATAGTACGTTACCATTAATGGATGTATGAATGGATTGGCAGTCCTCCATATGTACATAGTGCATATCTTGGGGGCAGTTAAAGGGGTGCATTTCATTTACAAGTTCAGCTTAGTTGCCGGAGGGTACACTGCTCATTCACAGCCCTGTACCAGGGATGGCAAGAAAAGGCAAACCTTGTCTTCGCCTCCTACCTCCCACCATAGCTGGCTGGCTGCCTTCAGTGTGGTTTGTTGTGAGGTTTGACTTGAGTAGAGGTGCTCCCAGAAAGCACAGTGCTTTCTTCTGCTGCCCTCATTTCCCTGAAAGCAATTCAACTAAAATCTTAAGGAAGAGGAAGTGTTCCAATGCTTCCTGAGCCTGGTTTCAAAGTTTCTAGGCCAGAGTAGGCAGCAGCTGGACCAGAATCATGAGGAAAAGCTGTGCTTCCAGACTTATAGACATCTGCTTAAATGTTGTGGGTTCAAACAGAGCAGTAGGTAAAGAACAGAGGATTTTAAAATCAGAATGCCTCCTCAAAGAATGCCTGGGCTGTGTTACCTGGCAATTTGAGTATATTTGCAGTATTGATCTGAAATGGTGCCAGCACCATTGGGATGTGTTTTAGGATATAATCATTGTCTTCTACATTAGACATTCTCTATGGGTCAGCCTTGGTTTCTGCTCCCTCTCCATTGGCTACCTGCCCTTTAATTGCTTTTAGGGAAGAGGAAACAATTTTAAACATTGAACCTTGCCAGGGTTTCTAAAAACCTGTCTGTAGATGGGCTGCCTAAAGATCACCAGGGAAGACTTTTTTTAAATGTAAATTTCATGTTCCAAGAATTTATAATTCTGTAAGTCTACATTAAGGCCTAGACAGAATCAAGAAGGCCTAAAGAATCTACATATATTAGAAGTTTTTGCTATGTGATTTAAATGCCCAGAAGGATTTGCAAGCCATTTTGTCTAAGCCACTCTACCAAGGCATCTATTTTTAATTTGGTCAATGAACACGTTGATTTGGAATTCTGAAGTTTGTTTCCATCAGAGTCCTGAACTGCATGCACTAGTAATGAAAATTTCCCCACAGCCTTTGTTCACATCTCTCCTACTCAGGATGGGACCTGATGCTGTCAAAGAGGAGCTCTAGGTAGAGAAAGAGTCTTGTCCCAGGGCCAAGGACTGATACATGCTGGGAGCAGAGCCCCAGGGGCCCTTGAAAGCATTCAGGCTCTCTGACTTGTCCATGTCCAGGATTGCTGGGGTGGGGCTCAATAATGCCACCTTACCTTCTTTAGCCAATTGCTTTCAAGATGAACACAGAGGATATATGCAGGATAGCCCTGGCAGGGGAGAAGAGGGAAGGTCAGCCAGGCCAGCCTCTGGTAGCAATGGTCACCCTTGGCTGTCTTATCCTGTACCACACTAGATGATAGCCACTCCGCAGGGTGATGTCTGGTCAGGGAATGCTTTTACCTTCTCAATCTTTTACCCATTCTTTTCTCTCATTTTCTCTTGATGATGTGTCTCTTTTCTCCTTAACTTTCTGTTCCTAGGCTTTCATTTTCACTCCATACCCAAGCTGGCTAGCCTTCCTCAGGCACCATTGCCCTCAGCTCCATCCAGCTTCCTGCCTTTCAGCCCCACTGGCCCTCCCCTCCTTGGCTGCTGTGAGACACCAGAGGTCTCCTTGGCTGAGTCTCAGCAGGAGCTACAGATGCTGCAGAAGCAGTTGGGAGAAAGTGAGCACTTCTGCATTTGTGTGCTTGCGATTGGCAGCCCCACACTGTGTTGCTCTGCATGGCTCGGGCTGGATGGCAGAGTTTAAAAAAACAACACGGGTACACGTTACAAATGTAAGAGGGAGGGAAAGCTCTGTTTGCTTATTTTTTGGAAATGTATTTACTGTTATTTCTGTGGTGTGTATGTCTCATCAGTTAACAGGTAGATATGTTCACGAGGCTCTAGACCTGGTGCTCTCACACTGTAGACAGTGTTGGATACCACCAAGTATGCTGAATCCCTGACAGACTGGTGGACTGCTCATTGGTAGGGGGTGGGAGAGAGATGTTATGCTTTGCCTATGCAGGATGAAGTGGCCAAGAAAAAGATGGCCACATTCAGTGGGCTCCTTTGTGTGACTATTATATTTTTCTGCTGTGAAATGCTGTTAATCAAGTTCAGTTCCTGATATCATTAGGTTGGAGCAAAAAGGGTAATGATAGAGGGATTCAGAAGAGGAAATGATGAGCCCCTTTTCCTACTGCACAGGGTTGGTCCCTGCCCTGGGACAGGTGACACGTAGGCAGCTTAGAACCACAGCACCAGCTATGGCATCTGACTGTGAATCCCATCCTCTGACTCCCAAAGATAATTGATCTCATGTAGTTACGTAGACTGTGGACAGTCACCTTTTAGAAAGTGCTTTGATGTATTTGTAGGCTGGATGCTCATCATAAATTTAGTGTGCTGGTGGTCACTGATAGCTTAGAAAAAAATGACAACCTTCACATGAATTTGCTCTTTCATAGCACCTTAGGCACAACAGTTAAAAAGCAGTTTGAATGAACTTAAACTCATTTGTCAGGCACTTTCTGTGCCTGTAAAGAAGCTTAGGTGAGCCAGAGACTGATAGGGTCACCATGCCAGAAGTTTCTAGTGATGCAAGACAACAGCCAAGAATTTGCATCCCCCTCCCTACAGCCCCAAATGTCATGTGGACCAGCATATTTCTTTCCTTCTTCCTCTTTTTTTTTTTTTTTTTTTTTTTTGAGACAGGGTCTTACTTTGTCACGCAGACTGAAGTGCAGTGGCACGATCTCGGCTCACTGCAGCCTCTACCTCCTGGGCTCAAGCAACTATCCCACCTCAGCCCCCCAAGTAGCTGGGATTACAGGTGTGTGTCACCACACCTGGCTAATTTTTGTATTTTTTGTAGAGACAGGATTTCGCCATGTTGCCAAGACTGGTCTAGAGCTCCTGAGCTCAAGTGATCGGCCCACCTTGGTTTCTGAAAGTGCAGGGATTACAGGTATGAGCCACTGCACCCAGCTTAGCCTATTTATTTTGTCAACCCAGGAAATGGGTACTTTGTCTAATGCAGGGAACTGTAAAGCTCAGGGAAGTGAAGTTACTTGTTCAAGGTCACTGGTAAGTGGGAGAGATGGGGTTGAATCTGGTCTTCTGCTCCAGGTTTTATGTTTCTGTTATATCTTTTCTACTTAGGATGGCTTTGTCACCATCCTGCTTAGAGTATGGAGCTGAGCTCAGCTGATCAAACTCTGGGGACTCGTTGCAACAATTTTTTCCCTCTCTTTAGAGACCAGTAGGAAGTGCTGCTGTTTCTGACCTAAAACTTGTTATTTTAGCAGTTCTGGCACCAACAATGAATGGGCAACAAATGTGTCCCATGACAAATGGCAAGAGTATTTTCTAGCTTCCATTTCTTTATCTTGCCTCCTTTTCCTTTATCTTTCCACATTTGTCCATTTGTCTTTGCCCAAACGGAAGGATGGAAGGAGAGCACTGTCCATGAAAAAGGGTCTGTTGTTTTGGGTTAAATTGGAATTACATCAAGTCTGAGGCCATTGACCGGAGTTCAAATGGTCCCAGCCTAGATGAGGAAGATTGTAGCCCTTTCTTTCTCCACCTGAAGTCAAGGTCCTCTCCAAGGGACCATTGCTTATACATGCTCATTGTTTGCTTTGAGCCAAGTTTCCGTGTGGACAGTGGTGCATGGTGGCCTCTCAGGTCCCTGGGTTAAAATCTTGTGCAAGAGTCTGTATGGTATCTTTGCATGGTTTAGAGCATGTACTGTGTATTGTGTGGCTAAGGGACTGGAACATGAGAATACTGATCATAGTTACTGATAGACTTAAAACCTCACATGGCCTTGATTAAAAAGTAAGCTGACTATCTGCAACCACTGATTTCTCCCTTTGCCTTGTGTTCGGATGGGGTTGAAGGCAGTTTGAAAGAGGTAGGAAATCATGTATTTGTTGCATTCCTTCTAAAATGTAGGTGCTTAAATTTTTAACCTTCTTCCTCAACTAAGTGATCCTAATGAACATCTAGTATTTTGCAAATTAGAAGAGAGACTCATGACAAGACTTCCCAAACTTCTGCCTATTAGAATTACCTAAAATGAATTTAAAACATCCATTGTTCAAGATGTATCCCATATAGACTAAGGCAAAATCTCTGGAATCCAGGAATCAGTATATGTTTCCATACTTTCTCAGGTGATTCCAATATGTACCCACATTTGAGAACCAGCTACAAGTAGGGCTAAAAACTGGCAAGTGGCAATTACACTAACCCCTCCAAGGAGTTTGGCTTGGATGGAAGAAACAACGACCTCACTCCTGTTGCTTAGGAGGAGCTACCTGTCTATTCTGCTGCCCATGTTCATAATCCCTGAAAGAAAGCAGGCTTCTGAATTTTCTCCTAAACTGTGTCTCTGCCCACCTCTTTCCTCATCTCCCCCATGCTAGGCTTCTTTTTACAGAGAAGTGGAGATGACGGGGCTCAAGGGAAAGGCCTATGATTTCAAAGGATCTATGAAAGTATCAGCCTATTAAATGAAAGGTCCTACCTGCCTCTGTGGAATAGTATTCAATGATTCTTTAGACAGGAGTGATGACATTTTGCAGCTCCTTGAGTCATGTTGGATGGGATCCAAATAAATACTTGCCTTACATAGGCCCTTCCCCAGCCTCAGCAAAGAGTTCTTCAGTCTGGAGGAACTAGGGCCACCATATCCAGCTTGATTTCATGTCCCCTTTCTCTTCTGAAAAACTCCAACATGGAATGGACATATTGACTAGTTAGTTTCAGGGGAAGGCAAGTACATGTAGACAAACAGATGTTCGTGTTCACAGGTAAGCTCAATCCTGCATTCCACTGCACTCACAACTTCTAACTGTGGGAGTGAATCCTACTTTTAGAACTTTCCTTGGAGTCTGTCATGAAGGATTATAGTAGGATCCAGGAGTGGGGCCACTGGACTTTTCCATTGTATATACTGATGACTTTAAGATACTTTATTCTCTACCTCTTGTGTCTCCTGCTAGGAAATACAAAGGGTGAGAGTTACAACCTCTAGGTTACAAGCCTTAGTCTAATTAGTATACCAAAGTGAACTGGGATCTCTGACATTCCACATGTCTCCTTTTAGTCTCTATTCTTAGCAATCACACACTTCCTTGCAAATTCTTCCCTTCTGACACCCCAGTTGCTTCTTACTAATGTTTCTTTCTGCCCAGGTACCAGCACTGTTCCTCCTGCTTCCACAGCTACATTGCTGAGCAACGACTTGGAAGCCGACTCTTCCTACTACCTCAACTCTGCCCAGCCTCACTCTCCTCCAAGGGGCACCATAGAACTGGGAAGAATCCTAGAGCCTGGGTACCTGGGCAGCAGTGGCAAGTGGGATGTGATGAGGCCTCAGAAAGGGAGTGTATCTGGGGACCTATCCTCAGGCTCCTCTGTGTACCAGCTTAACTCCAAACCCACAGGTAAAGCACAAAGCAGAGATGGCAGCCTTTGAAAAGAAGTCTCATTTGGAGTCTACTCTTTTCCTACCCAGGCAGGACTATTTCATTCCTCCTCCATCCCTGGCTCACAGAGTGGATATAAAATGCAAGAGCTGTATCAGGGCTCAATCCTTTCCAAGTACATTTCTTCATTCTCCTGCCCAGGGCCTCAGTGCTCTGTAGGGATATGGGAAAGTCAGGGACCCACCTCTTGTGCTGTCACACTCATGTCCTTCCATCCCTCTGCAGCCTGGCCTCTTTGTAGCCCACTCTCTTAGACCCTTCCAGAATGCCAGGCATAGATGGGACTTTCTTCCATCAGTCAGGACTTGTCACAGGAAAGGGTGTAAGGGTGCAGCTCCCTGACCCTGCACATATATCCTGTGTACAAAATTCAGTCACAGCAAGTGGAGAGGTATAGCTAAGCTCATAAATGCTGAGATGCCGCGCAGTTCCAACAGTAAGACAATCGTAATTTTCAGGAAAAGACTGAGCCCAAAGCAAAATGGTGCAGTTAATGTCCGGTGTAAGCATCCGTCTGACTTTTCTGGATATTTTTGCTTTGTTTGGCAGGGGGAAGGGGGGTGTCATCCCCTCTCTAATTTGCCTTCAGATCTCTAGATCCTTCCAGGCTATTCTTTCATCTTCCATATTAAAAGTGATTTCAGGGAAGCATTCAGTGTCAGTCATTAACCGCATAGGGTGAGTGTAAGATCACGTACTTTTACTTTAGGCCTTCTTTCTAAGGGTGGGAGGAAGGGCTTTGTCCCTTGCTAAAGAATGCTCACTCACGTGTCAGTAAGAAGAAAGGTAGAGTGAGGTCTCACCTATCATCCTCTTAGTCACACCCAGGAGGTGGCCACACCTTTCCAGATGCTAGGCAGGCCTTGTCCAGAGCCCTCAGTTATTTTTCTAAAACGTGGAACTCTCACAAGACCCCTGTGTGGGAGGAGGCCCATGGAGATTTTTTAGCAAGTGACTGTCATGTGTTTGAAAGCACATTGACTGTTTAAACAAAACTACCATTCTTTTGGGTGTCCGTGTGAGAGGACACAGTTGGCAGAAGGCTAGTGATATTTACAGGTCTTGCTGCAGGTCCCCTAGCCGAGCCCCACCCCCATCAGTAACCAGGATTCTCCATCTCCCACCTCTCTTCATGTCCTGGTGGTTTGGCCGCAGGGGCTGACCTGCTGGAAGAGCATCTTGGTGAAATCCGGAACCTGCGCCAGCGCCTGGAGGAGTCCATCTGCATCAATGACTGCCTACGGGAGCAACTGGAACACCGGCTGACCTCTACTGCTCGTGGAAGGGGTAGGAGAGGCCCAGACCTTCCTGTTTCTGGCTCTATTTAGGGACTTTTAGGCAGAGCTTCACAGATATTCTTTACTTCACTTGCTCCTTATGAACAGTCCAGCAAGGGAGGTGGGCAAGTACTGTCATCCCTACTTTCTGAATATATCTGAGTTTAGAGAGTAACTCTCTTTAAGGCAGAACTACGTCTGGTGCCCAGAGTCACCTGACTTCTCACCCCATACTTAATCTGCTTATATACTGCTGATGTCTGTGCCTTTGTTGTGTGATTGATAAGTGGTGGAACCAGGTCTGTAAGGGTCCTCCCACCTCTACCCTCGCCTCTTTACCAAGGTGGCCTTTCTCCTTACACTCTCCTTCCAAGCTGCTGTCACGTGGAGGCCAGTCTTTCCATATGTTGTTGTCCTGCCTATACCACAGCAGCAGCTGTTTAGGGAGATCGAGCCTCCTGCACCATTGCAGTTACGGCATGTGATGATGCACGCAAAGAATCCACTGAGAAGAGGCACACAGAAAACATGTACCCAGCCCCCCACGCTTCATTCAGGGCCAGGCCTTCAGTCCTTGGGGTTTTCTGCTGGGTTGGGGCAGTATCTTTGAGAGATAACGAATGGGAAACTTTTGAAAGTTTCTGTTACCCAAATGTCTACTTTCTGGGACAGGATCCACTTCTAACTTCTACAGTCAGGGCCTGGAGTCCATACCTCAGCTCTGCAATGAGAACAGAGTCCTCAGGGAAGAAAATCGAAGACTTCAGGCTCAACTGAGTCATGTTTCCAGAGGTACGTGGTCAAAACCCACAAACTGTGGTCACTCTTAAGTTTCTTTCTTCCCTGGCCACACTAATCACCAACTGGAGAAGCAAACAGAAGAAGGTAGAGGTAACAGAGCTACTCAGATCCACCAACCCAAACTCACAGCTATTCTCAGTCTAGAGAAGGCTGCTTTCTAAGATGTTCCAACTATGGGCCCCTCAGACTCCTAGTCCCCAGAAGCGAAGAGCTCTAGGAAATCCATCATTTCTGTACAAGCCCACCTGCATATATCCAGAGTCACAAGCTATCAATTTGGATACCAGTCTGGTATCTGCTCTACCTCCCTTCACTCACAACTGACTTGGAACCAATAAAGGAGGGAGTGCGAATGCCTATCTTCCCTCTCAAGTTTCTCCAGACTTTACTGCAGCAGCATGTGTCGCTCCTGGCCCTGCTGTGCCATCCCTCTGCCTCCTCACCACATCTCTCACTCATAGACTCAGGGCTTCCCTCTGGTCAGTACTCCCATGACTCCATGCCGAGTGGCACTAGCAAATGCCCCCCAGCACTTTCCCAGCCCTAGCCAGGGGGCGCTCACAGGTGGGCATCATTTCTCGTGTGGCTGGGAGGCAGCTGACCTTGGTGTTAGTCTACTTGATCAGATCAATGTATTATCGATAACAAAGTATTTTTATTCACAAATATTTATGAACAGCCATGAAAAGACTGAGGGTAGTATCCAAAAGGATTAAGCCCAGAATGAAGGAATGCTTGTGGAAAAGGAAAAAGCCACCAAGAGATATTTCTAAATTAGCCACCCAAATTAATTAATTTAATTAATTGATTTCTGTATTAGCAAGAAGATTTGAGAGGAAAGGTCACTGCTGGGGGACGATAACAAAAGTTAACAGATAAGAAAGAGGGCAGAACTACTGAGCTACCATTGCATGCTTGGAGAGAATAGAACACCTCACAGGTGAGAAGACAGTAAGAGATTTAAACGAATACAATTTGCCAGGCTCAGGTGACTCTTTCCCCAGAGGACTTACTGAGCCTGCAGCTGTATTTTTAGAGTCCCTTCAATAATCTTTGACAACTTGTGAAGATCAGAGAAGTGCTGCAAGTTCAAAAACAAAAAATCCCAGTTTTCAAAATAATGAAAATGAGATCCAAAAAGAAATCTTGACGTTGATCTTTGTCAAAATTCAAGAATGGATTATTGAACAGACGATATGTGAGCACTTGGAAAGTGGTGATCATTAGAAAGCAGAATTTCTCTAAGAGCAAGGTAGGACAGATTAAATAAGTGGCATGAAGGGTTTTGCAAAGAGAGAGAGGCACCGTGCTCCAGGCTCTGGGGGATGTTGAGCCAGCATGCTTTTCCCACCAACATAGGGCCTTCCTTCCCTGCTCCTTAGCTCTGTCTGTCAGGGTGGATGTGCTTGGGGTCATCTTCCAGCTGAGCTCTGGCCCCATGATAATAAATCAATCCTGTGTTCCTCTCACCAGAGCACTCCCAGGAAACAGAAAGCCTGAGGGAGGCTCTGCTGTCCTCTCGATCCCACCTTCAAGAGCTGGAAAAGGAGCTGGAGCACCAGAAGGTGGAAAGGCAGCAGCTTTTGGAAGACTTGAGGGAGAAGCAGCAAGAGGTCTTGCATTTCAGGGAGGAACGTCTTTCCCTCCAGGAAAACGACTCCAGGTAAGAGGGGACCCATTGACAGAGAAGGTAGCATTCTTCATTCTTACATTCATTCTTACATTACAAGAGGAAGGGATATTGGCAAGACAATTGATGTCCTCTTTTGGAAACCTAAATGTTCCCTCTGCTATTCCTGATTTTTGTGTGTCAGTGGGGTGGGGGGAGGGGCGCTTTGAGCAGAAGAAAGGACTTCTCTGGGAATGCCTTGTCACTCCCAAGTTGAGAGAGTAAAACTCTGTTATAGAAGTCTTCAGTATATCAGAGACATGAAAAAAGAAGGGTTCCCATGCTTCCAATTAGATATAGGACATTAGTCTCACCATCACCTAGGAAGCTTCTATACTGGCTGTGATGCTTGGTCCCAGCATAAGCCCTGTAACTGCTTGTCAGAATGCAAACAGCACTGTAGGAACAGTAAGGAGACTGTGCTGGTGTGTCTGTTCTGCTCTGAACTAATGTAGGTAATGGTGTGTTTTCAAGCAAAGTTACTTGACCTCCCTCAGCCTCCATTTCCATATCTGCAAAATAAAAGTGATAGTCTTCATGACCCCCTGAGTTGACATCTGGGGCTCAGATGTAACCCTAACTGTAACCCTTTATGACCCTCTGAGTTGACATCTGGCTCTCAGCTTGTTGCTCTGGTGTGGCTGAGTAGCTCTGCCATCTCAGTGGGCCTTGCCTCTCCCTGGTCAGACTGCAGCACAAGCTGGTTCTCCTGCAGCAACAGTGTGAAGAGAAACAGCAGCTCTTTGAGTCCCTCCAGTCAGAGCTACAAATCTACGAGGCACTTTATGGCAATTCCAAGAAGGGGCTGAAAGGTATGTGTTCTTCTCCCCTCACCCCATGAGCTTTTTGCCCTTGCATAGGATGCTAGTGAGGTCTTTCCTTTGGGAGTTGTGGAGATCATGGGAAGCTACAGAGTTCTGTCGCAGAAACCCCCACCCGAGCCTGGGGCTCCCAGTAGGAGCTCTCAAACACAAAGCCCAACGGGACAGGTTGGTGGCATGAGCAAGATCCGGCCTGATCATTCCTAATTACTTTAAGAAAATCTAGACATTCCTATCAATGTCTAGATTGTAACATTTTTGAAAGCAAAAGAACTGTCCTAATGATATCATCATTTGAAAAGGCCTTTAATATTGTTGGTAATACATACTGACAACCCATTCAGCCCAATGTAGCAGGCAGTCTGCTCCCACCCTGACCCTTTCCGTAGTGACATCTGGCTCTCAGCTTATTGCCCTTTCATGTAATTTTCATAAATCCTGATTTAGTTTCCTGATTTTCTAAAGAGAAGGTGAACTGGAATTTGAAGAAATACAGGGGCTTACCAGGCTGGGCGAATAGCTTAAGTACAAAGTCATGGTGAGTGTTGAGTCAGTGGGGACCAGCCTGCCCACAGGAGAAAATTAAAAGACACAAAAACAAAAACAAAAAAACCTTATAGAAATACCACTAATAGGACCTAAATTTCAATCCTGGATTTAAATATTAAGGACATTTATTGAAGACTTTGCTGCCTGCTGAAATAATAATCTAATATTTGAGAATTTTGATATATTTCTTCATTCTTTAAATGGAGAAGGGTATTCAAAACATAATGTGAATAAGTCACAGCAGGCTGGAACAGAGGACGACATCAATGTCGTGAAATTTAGCAAAGATAAAAAGCAAAATCCTGAGCTCGATTAAAAATATCAGTGGTAGAAATATAGGTTGAGGGTAGAAATATAGGACAGGCAGCCATTCATGGACATGAGGGTTTGGGGTTTGGTAGAAACATGTTCACACAAGTAAGGTGTAGGACAAAGGTTGCTAGAAATGCCAGCTCAAACTGGAACTACAGTAGTGTAAGTGTGATGTTCGCCTGTGGAGACCATGTCTAAAATATTGTTAGATTAAGGGGCACCATCTTTGAAAAGGGCGTTGACACACTAGGGAACATAATGAAGACAGGGCGCACAATGGTGTGGACCAGAAATCTCCAACTAGTCAAAGAAACTAAAGAAATGTAGGCTTTCAAAAGATCTTGAGGACATGAGAACTGGCTTCGGATATTTGAAGAAGTGTCAGGTGAAAAAGAACTCATGTATTTTATGTCCCTCCAGAAGGCTAAACAAAGAGTGAAGGGCAGTGGAAGTTAGATTCGAATTATCATAAATCCTGATTTAGTTTCCTGATTTTCTAAAGAGAAGGTGAACTGGAACCTGAAGAAATAGAAGGGGCTCACCAGGCTGGGAGAATAATTTAAGTACACAGTCATGGTGAGTGTTGGGTCAGTGGGACCAGCCTGACCACAGGAGAAGCTTGAGGTTGGAGTGAGAAGTCAGGATGGTGGAGCAGAGTCACCAAATCTTGAAAGCTCACAGGTCAGGGTAAAAGTTGACATTCTGTATAGTAGATAATGAAACTAAGTCTGTTCTTTTTCAAAGAAGATAAGCATATGATGAAAACAGAACTTTAGGATGCTAAGTCTTAGGGGATGTCCTGGAATTGGGAGACATTAGAATCTGGGAAACGTATTGGATGGGTCTAGTGATATTCTGGCACATTAAGAGATGACAGTCTAATATAAGGTGCTATTGGGAAGATGAAAGGGTATAGATAGATTTTAAAACATCTCTTAAAAAATAAGCAAAATTTAGTGAGAAGTTGGGTTGAGAGAGAGAGGAACATCATAAAACTTTGGGCAAAATTCAAGAGTAGATTATTTACCAAAGTCCCTAAAATTGGTTCATCCTGAGCTCCCTTTCCTTTCATGCTTTTCTCCCTGCCTTTTAGGACTCATTTCAAAGCTACAACCACTAAAGCTCCATAATCTCTTATCTGTAATTTCAAAATCCAGTAAGATTTCCAAATTAAATTTTTCAAATACTCATTTAGTGACAAAATCTAGATGATCTGACATGAGGATATTCATAAGTCTTTATTTATCTATTTAGAATATTCACATAGCTCATTGCGGAAATAGTTATATGTTTGATAAAGGATTGTGGCTCACATGCAACTGGGTACATGTTATATATGATATATGCACCCTGTTGCCTTGCTAAAAACTAAAACAAATTTTACCTTTCGAAATACATTTGGCCTTAAGGTTTTCAGATAAGGGATTGTAGCCTCGTAGAATATTTCTTAGATCTCTTCATCCCCAGTACAAAGAAATAGCCATGTGGTGAATGGAGGTAAATATACATACATATATATATTTATATATATGTGTATGTATATATATGTGTGTACATGTCATATATATGTACATGTATATGTGTGTACATATATATGTACATGTATATGTGTGTACATACATATGTACATGTATATGTGTGTACATACATATGTACATGTATATGTGTGTACATACATATGTACATGTATATGTGTGTACATACATATGTACATGTATATGTGTGTACATACATATGTACATGTATATGTGTGTACATACATATGTACATGTATATGTGTGTACATACATATGTACATGTATATGTGTGTACATACATATGTACATGTATATGTGTGTACATACATATGTACATGTATATGTGTGTACATACATATGTACATGTATATGTGTGTACATACATATGTACATGTATATGTGTGTACATACATATGTACATGTATATGTGTGTACATACATATGTACATGTATATGTGTGTACATATATATGTACATGTATATGTGTGTACATATATATGTACATGTATATGTGTGTACATATATATGTACATGTATATGTGTGTACATATATATGTACATGTATATGTGTGTACATATATATGTACATGTATATGTGTGTACATATATATGTACATGTATATGTGTGTACATATATATGTACATGTATATGTGTGTACATATATATGTACATGTATATGTGTACATGTATATGTGTACATATATACACCTATATATAGTATGTATATAAACACACATATATAAACACACTATATGTAGGTGTATATATATGTACACACACACACACATATATAGAGAGAGAGAGAAAGAGAGAGAGAGAAATTGAAAAACTCAGTTATAATCCCTCGTCTAAGGTGCCCAACTCACATTCTCACATGCTACCAAAAGACCTCCTCCTTCTCTTTCATTTTTGAGAGTGAGGACTATGAAATCTCTTTCTTCCTCATCCCCTACCCTTCTCTAGCTCAGTGCTGACCTTCTACCTTGGAGTATCCTATACTTTAGCCTACAGGACTAAGGTTACTATGGAGATGAAATATGGACTTATCTTCATCTGCCAATCAAATGCTCTATAGGTGCATGTGTGTAACTTAAGCCGCAGGGAAGTTTCAGACTGGATGTGTGCCAGCTCAGTGCCATCCCCAGGCCACACACAGAAATGGTGACACCTCCATCACAGATGGGTTGCATGAGACTCAGATGATAGTGGGGTCCTTGGCAGAAAAGAATGTCACAGAGGAGGGTTCTGACAAGTGCTTGGAAATACTTGGGTGAATGTTACCAGACTCCTTCTCTCTCAGCTTACAGCCTGGATGCCTGTCACCAAATCCCTTTGAGCAGTGACCTGAGCCACCTGGTGGCAGAGGTACGAGCTCTGAGAGGGCAGCTGGAGCAGAGCATTCAGGGGAACAATTGTCTGCGACTGCAGCTGCAACAGCAGCTGGAGAGCGGTGCTGGCAAAGCCAGCCTCAGCCCCTCCTCCATTAACCAGAACTTCCCAGCCAGCACTGACCCTGGAAACAAGCAGCTGCTCCTCCAAGGTAGGAAGGAAAAGGGACTTAGAAAGCCCTTGGCCAGTGGGGAGATCACCAGGAAGTTCTGCGGCAGAAGGTGTAATCTGCCTGGTCCATGCTCCTTAGGGTCAGGTTGAAATCAGAGATGCTCTAGTCTAGCAGCCTGAGTGAAAGCGTGGGATTTAGGTCAGACTGGGCTCCAGATTCTGAGTTTACCACTTAGAGGTCGTTTGATTTGGGCAAGGTGTCTAAAGTCTCAGAGGTTTAAGCTTTAGTTTCCTTATATTTAAGATGAGGATAATGATCATATGTACCTTATATGATTTTGAGCATTAAATGAAATCATTTACAAGTGCTTGGCACACTAAGAATTACTCAATAATTAGCAGCTGTATATGTTCATATCTTTTTCTTGGATTTGCTTGGTGCTTTAGTTTTAGCCAAGTGTTTTCACATATATAATTTCATCTGAAGTAAAGCAGGTTTTGCTATCTCTGTATTTCACATAAGAAAACTTAGGTCCTGAGATATTAACAGACAAGCAGGGGTTTAGAGAAGTTATAGACAAAGCCAGAATCAGAACCAGATGTTGTGATTTTCAGTCTGTGTTCCTTCCAGTTCATTGTGCCCTGTCTCAGTATTGCCGACCTTCCCAGATTCTCTAGTCCCCCTTTCCCTCACAGGTGGGGAACTCAGTGTGTGGTAAAATGTTCCTGCCCCTAAGGAAACAGGGCTCTGGGGAAGTCCTGGATGGTGGGTGATTTATTTCGGGTGGCCATCATTCGCTTTCTCTACCCCACCCCTTGCCTGCCTTTTCAGATAGGCGTGTTTGACCAGGTCCCCCTTCTCTTCTCAATATCCTCTATCAATCTCACTTCTCCCAGTTTTCATTGAAATGTCAATGGTGTCCCCCTAGTCTCTTAAATCATTCAATTTCTACTTCCTCTGTCCTTTTCTCCTTTTGATACACCGTTTAGTACACCATCTCCACTCACCTCCATGGCCATACCTTCAATTTTATTCAAATCAGGAACCACTTCTGTTCAGTTTCTCTAAAGCTGAGCTTTCAAACTCTCCTGCCAGCTATTTCTGGGTCATGTTAATCTTTGTTTTTCTGTGGTTCTTGTAGATTCTCATTTATCTGACAGTAACCTTATTTGTCAAATGAAGGTGACAATAACATGATTATGCTGTTTTGGCAATTCAATAAAAAAACACATGTGGTCCACCAAGCAAACCGCCTGACCACCAGGAACTGCTCAGCTTACATTAGTTGGACATCTTGCCCTCCTCTGGGCTGCCCTGATGGTTGTGGTGTTCAGTTATGTCTCCAACTCTTCCTTCTAACCAGGCCTTCTTCTCTCACTGGCTTCCCATACAGCAGCCAAGACTCAGCCCCACTGATGCAGTCCCTGCCCCTCTTTCTCTAGCACCCCGGAGGCCTGAGCTGGAAAGCAGGCACTGGGCCACACTTGCCTGAGCAGGACCTTTTCTACCTTCTTTGTGATATTTTCCAATTCCTCCACCATAGGGTTGCTTTTTAGTCTCCAGCAAGACAATGTTAACCCACCAAGCCTTCTGTCTCCGTTCTTCTCATACAAGTCAATTTTTTTCAGTATTACCTCATCAGAATGATGACTAGAATGTTGAGTCCCCCATGAATCCATTCATTCCTTGATTCTTTGATTCTAGATTTTAATCTGTACTATGTATATTTATACATATTACATTTAGTTACAGGGCATCATATTAGATACCACACACAAATTATACTTAAGACTCGGTTTATAAAAATACACCTAATAATTTTTCAAACTAGAAGTTACGTTCTCATGGAACACCCCTCAATTACAGGAATATCTTTTTGTTCTGAAGAATGGAAACATTCTGAACTCAGTGACTCATAGGCTTTTGCTTTTGCTTTGGCTTGTGGGGTATGGATAATTCTGTAAGAGGAGAGTCCTGCCACCTTAGGTCTCAGTGGGGACAGCTAGGTGTGCATGTGCTTCATGTGCAGTGTGTTCCAGGGCTCCTGAAAACTGTGGTTGCCTTTACCCCCTAGATTCAGCTGTGTCCCCTCCAGTCCGGGATGTTGGTATGAATTCCCCAGCTCTGGTCTTCCCCAGCTCTGCTTCCTCTACTCCTGGCTCAGAAACGCCCATAATCAACAGAGCAAATGGTAAATATGGCAACTAAAGGGCCCAGGGACTGATGATGGAAAGTGATTAATGCAAACAACCTTTTGTTGTCTCTAAACATATTATCTGTATTTAGAGAGTTTTCTCTGCATGCCCCAAGGCCTTTAGCCCTACTCCCTGCACCTTCTGTGGCTGCCTTTCTTGCCATTGTTCATCTTCCTGTAGTTTTCCTACTGCTGTTTTTGCTTCATTGCACCATAATCTCTCTATTCTTGAAAATGCTGTCTGTATCCAGCTTGACTTCCTTGTCTGTGTCTTCTCTACTCAGAAACTTATTATTTATTATGATTCATCCTATTTCATTTGCCAATAAGGAAAAAATTGTCTCCTGGCAAATTTATCATTAAGAGATAATGTAAGAAAGATTATAAAAATATAGAAGCCAGAAGATCTCTATGGACTTTGCCCCACCCTTGTACATTCCCAGGCTTCCTTTCTTGTTCCCGGCCTCGTCCTTTTCTTGTTCCCTACCTCTTTTTTAGTTGGAGCAAACTGAGGATATCATTATGAATAACAGAAGATTCAGTTGTGTTGTCATTTTCTTTTTCAGGCTTGGGTTTGGATACTTCTCCAGTAATGAAGACCCCTCCCAAGCTAGAGGGTGATGCTACTGATGGCTCCTTTGCCAATAAGCATGGCCGCCATGTCATTGGCCACATTGATGACTACAGTGCCCTAAGACAGCAGATTGCGGAGGGCAAGCTGCTGGTCAAAAAGATAGTGTCTCTTGTGAGATCAGCGTGCAGCTTCCCTGGCCTTGAAGCCCAAGGCACAGAGGTAATCACACCTGAAGCTTTAGGTGCACTCTTTCCCTGTGCCCTTTCTTCCTTTGATGTTAACTCCTTCTCCCACCATTTTTGTTTTTTTCATGCTTTGCATCTCTCAACAGCTGAGACTTCCTCTTCCATGTATAGCAGCCAGGCCCTTTCTTCTCTATCTCCTATTTTCACTGTGAGTTCTGCTCTGTTCCAGATGTAGCTGACTGGATATTTCCCCTCAGCCCCACAGAAACATGTGGCATTGCCTAGCAGCCTTTGGTAGCTTATTATCTACCATAGTCATGCAGGCACATGACCATCTGTGGGCAGAGTCAACTCAATGGGATGGATAGAAACTGAAGGATTTGCAGGTGTATGGCCCCCACATGTGGAAGGGGTGAGAAGCCTGGCAGCCATGTCATTTCCTTGTGCAGACTGCATAGAGGGAGGGAAGGCAGTCAGCAAAGCTTCTGAGAGCACCTTGCCAGTGAGAGAGACCAGGAACCTGTGGCTGTGCTGTCTGAGCTGCTGGAGACCCATGGATGTGTAGGGACAGCCCTGCCTCCACGGAGCCCCCACACTAGAGGGCAAGACACACACCCAAGTAGATAAGCACAGTAAGGGGCTACAGGCACAGTATGAGAAGTCATCCTCTGTGCTGTGAGAGCGCCAATGCAAATGTGGTCATTTATCTCAGGCAAGGAAGGTAACAGGCTCATAGAGGACATAGCAAGGGGGGTGAGTTTTGAAAGCCTTGTGGGTTCTGCAGGTGGAGGAAGGCATTCCTGGTAAAGGGAGCAGCACCTTAGTTCTGAGAGCTGCAAATGGTTGTGTGAGGGCTTCACAGGTTCAAGCAGGCCCATGTTCTATGCCTCACTCACAAAGGAAGCTTGAGCCCACGCAGGGGGAAGAAAGTAATCTCTCCGCTCCTGTGGTGTTACCTTTCCCCAGGTGCTAGGCAGCAAAGGCATTCATGAGCTTCGGAGCAGCACCAGTGCCCTGCACCATGCCCTAGAGGAGTCGGCTTCCCTCCTCACCATGTTCTGGAGAGCGGCCCTGCCAAGCACCCACATCCCTGTGCTGCCTGGCAAAGTGGTAAGATGCCAGTGCCCTTTCTTGGTTCAAACCCAGTTCTCCTGCCCTCCAATACTGTTCTGTCTCCTCAATGTCACAGCTTTTCCAGAAAATCAGGAGCCACATAGTGAGTTGGGATAGACAGGAACTTAGAGGAGTGTCCCTGGAGGGACATCTCTGACCCATGGTGGCTGCTTTCATTGCAGCTCTGAATATATCCCATTCCCCGCCAGCCCCCTGTCCCCTGGTTAAGAAATCAAAGAAGATGAAGGGGTGTGAAGAAGGCGGAGACATCATAACCCTGGCCATCCATAAATGTTCAGTTTATTTACCTCTCTGAAGTTTGACTGAGCTGAAATTCAGTTAAAGCTTCAGCACCCATCTCCTACCCCTCAGGTCCCATGGTTAAATGATCACAGAATGCCCCCATGAGACTGAGCCTTTTTAGCGACTGCCTGGAATCCCAGCATATCACTTAAGCTGGCATCGCTGGACCAGGCCTGGGGAAAGTCAGCCTCCCCTCAGGATCTGCTCAGAGCTCAGGCTAACTCTGATTGGCAGACCCTCGTGTAGGCAGGTTTCAGGATCCCCTCCCCAGGGATTCTACTTCCAGGTCAATGGCACCAATACCTTTTGGATCCAACTATGCTAATTCCAGGGAGAGGGTGTTGTGCCATCTTCATGTTGGCACAAATATTTACAAACTTGCAGACTTCCCTGAGTCCAGATCTCTCTCCCCAGCATAACACTTCTGAACTCTCAATCTTACCTGTGAAGGGAGAGTGACAGAACTGATATCAGGACTAAAGCAAGGTCCTCTTCAGAGTTGGGAGTTTTAAACCAGCCTGAAGCAAGTTTCTCTTAAGCTACAGGTGTGTGGGCCTGTGCTAGTCTGCATGGGGAATTCCAGAGTCTCAATATTCCTACCTAATGGCCTCATCCTGAACTGTCCTCAGCTGGAGATATCCAAGGCTGTGAAGGAGGAAATCCAGTTCAAGAGAGTTGAGAAGACTGTAGAATCCTTCTTTGAATTGGAAAGAGCCACAAAGCACAGGGTGCTTTAGGCCTTCTGCCTGGTCAGTAAGAGTCTGTTCCTCTTATCCAGGGAGAATCAACAGAAAGGGAACTTCTGGAACTGAGAACCAAAGTATCCAAACAGGAGCAGCTCCTTCAGAGCACAACTGAGCATCTGAAGAATGCCAACCAGCAGAAGGAGAGCATGGAACAGTTCATTGTCAGCCAGCGTAGGTTCCCTGAGAGGGAACGGGGGCAGAAACAGGCAGTCTTCCCGATGCCCCACTTGTGCTTCAGATGAGAAGTGATCAGGGGGGCTTGGGGATGTTGGGAGTGGAGACTGATTTGATGTCCCCAAACCTCCTGTGCCAGGAGCAATTGTGGCTGCAGAGGGAGGGGAGGACAGGGGGTGGATAGAAGGAGACTCCAAGCTGAATAGCCAGAAAGAAATAAATGCTTTAGAATTCTCACGCTAAGCAAGTAGGGTTAATTTCTGCTGGTGGTTTCTACTCTGTGGTGCTCTTTTGTTGTTTCAGTAACCAGAACACATGATGTTTTAAAGAAGGCAAGGACTAACTTAGAGGTAAGGAAACTACTGCACCAGTCAGAGGCACCAAGCCTGTCCCCCACCCATCACCATCCGTTAGCAGATCTTGTAGGTGACTCTTGGCCTGCTTTGGCCTTCCAGGAGAAGATTTGGGGTCCACTTGCAAGATCACAGGTCCTCAGTGAGCATCCTGCTAGTTTCTGTCCCTATCACCCTCCCACCCCGTCAGCTCCTGCCCCTGTATCTTGGTTCACTCTCACATTGTCATCATCTCTCCTTTTTACTCCAATTTTTCTTCTTTGAGGCCAAGTTCAGAGACTGGAGAAATGCAATTCAGCTGACTCTTGAAGTCATTAGACATTCGGGAGTCTGCCTCTGAATGAGCTTCTAGTAGAGGGATCTTGAGGCCAGTTATGTGTTCTACTCTTCATGAAAAAGTAAAAGCAATTTGCAACCTAATAAACTGATTTCACTGCACATTCCCGGGTTAAGAACAGCGATTTGATTTTGCTGTATCTTTAAGTAACATGACAAAAGAGATCTGTTGGGTCTCATTGGTCTAAAAGCAAATTTGTTAATAAATAACAACTGAACCTTCAGGGAAAAAATGTTATATATGTACCAGACATTATCTACATTTACTTAAAACACTAAGTGTTAATCATTCCCTAGGAAGTGCTTTGAAGAAAAACTTGAGGTATATGAAATGGTTAAAAATCAGAAACTAAACCTTTTAACATGGACATCAAAGCTTTGCCATAAGCAATTCAGCATATTCCTAGAAATGTTTCTAATCCATAACCTGAGAGAATGTTGATCTCCATAGTGTGAAAATGACTTGGGCCAGTTTAACTTGCTCTTTTTTTTATTTTTTCACTAATTCCCTTTTGTTTTTCTCTGATAATTCTTCTCTTTCCTGAGCCTCTTTAGAGCAGCACTTACAGGATTGCCTCTGTAAAGCCTTATTCCTGTCCCAGAAAAGGTAACCCAAAAAGTCTCTAGTATCCACTAAAAGGTAACCCAAAAATCTCTAGTATCCACTGGCTTTCTCCAGTGTGGAAGCTTTCCCCTCCACCTCCCATAGATCACTGGAAAGGACCCGAGGCCTCGGTTCTAATCCCTGGCTTATCACTAACTGCTGTGTGGCTTTGGCTTGTCCCTTAGTCTCTGTGAGACTGCTGCACCCTCATCTGTCAAAGATGGAACTGAACTTAGTTGAGCTCTGAGGTCCCTGTGGACTTGGCCCCTCCACACCCTCATTATGGCAACTGGACATAAACTTAACAGAGGACTTCCCAGCAAAATGTCCTCTTCTTCCTACAAACAGGCTGTTTCTATATGTGCATGTTTCATGCTAAGCACTTCTTTCTTGGGTGGAGATGGCAAAGGCCTCTTTCTGCTGAGACAAAGTGATTTGGAGAGTCACCTGGCCCCTGAAGGGGGAGTGGTAGGATCCAGCCACCCAGTGTGCAGTGAATTGGAGCAGGGATCTCAGCACACAGGGAGGTGGGGAGGCTCCCCCTAACCTCGGGCACCTGTTGCTCCTCCAGACTGCAGCGCATGCTCTTAGCTCATCCTCTTAACTGGCTCTCACCGTGCTCCTGGCTTTGGTCACCACGTAGCTCTCACTCCAGCTTCAGGTAGCCATCAGTAGGACCTGGCAATATACACTGATTTGGTTTGTTTTATGTTTGTCTGCAGGTGAAATCCCTAAGGGCTCTGCCGTGTACTCCAGCCTTGTGACCCTTGCCTTCCAGGAACCATGCAAGAAGCGCAGCCACCAGAAGTCCTTAAAACAGCAGGAAAGGTGAGCCTGTCCCCATTTTGTGCAGCTACCTATCTGCTGAGGAGCATCTGGGCCTCATTCCTCCAAGTCCACTGGAGGGTCCAGAAGAGGGAGTCAGAGATGTATCCTGGTGGAGCTGGGAGAAAGGCAGAAAGCCTTTGTGACAGCTATGGAATACCGTTAGCCAAGGTCCACTTGGCCCAGCACTAAGCAAAAGATGCGTAGTTTGCACAGAAGGTTTTGTGATACTGCCTCTCAACAGCCCCAGCAGCTTGGGAACTAGCAAGAGCACATTTCTTGCCTCATCAGCTGTCCTGAGATGGAAAACTCAGTGGATATAGGACCCTGATTCCGATGAAAGGGGCACGTGGTCCCAATGCTGGAGCTCCTCTGGCAGGTTCTAAAAGCACACTACGGAGCAGCGGTGCCCTGCCGGACACTGCTGGCGGGGGCTCAGTGAGCACTACTCACAGATCCACACCTGACCCTGTTGGGTCGAGTCAGGCTGGGCTTTGGTCTGCACTGTAGCACCTGTGTTCTTTGAGTTCACATCATGAATGTGGTGATTTCCCAGATACCATCTCAGGCTTAACCTAGCACATCCTATTTCTTTTCTTCTATGATATCCAAATTGGACTGACCTCACTTCAAAGTTGCTGTCCCATTTTGTCACCCTATCTTATCTCGGGGAAATTGCAGACTGATGGCCAGACCAACTCTGTTGAAATTCTTGCATAGAGCAAACCTGTGCTCATTTTTAAGTGGCATGGGAGAGGCCCCAAGCCTAGTAAAGCCTAGTCTGTGTCTTCACAGTGCTGGTAGAATGTGTTTGTGTGTATAAATATATGATATAGATTTATATATGTTGCTAACGCCACATATTGAAGGCCAACATAACTGGTGGACAGGGTGGGTGACAGAAAATGAAAGTCTTTTTGGTGATTGTTTAAGCAAGATGTGTATAAAGAAATAAATAGTTTTTCTTTCACTGCTTTGTTTCCCATTTCTGCACCAATCCCTTGACAGTATAAAGAACTGGAAAGAGAAAATGGGAAAGACAAACTGTGTTTAAGAAGCATATAGTCTAATGCTTGAACTCTAACTTTAAAAGATTAAGGTTTTCCTTCTTTGTCATTTTGTAAGAATCCCCAGTCTGAAAATATGAAAGAATGGTTCTTAAACTTGGTGTGCCTGAGAAGCAGCTGTGGAGATTATAGGAGCTACCTCCTGGTCTCCAATCCCAGGAGATTTAGTTGGTGTGAGCCCTAGAATCTGCATTTTTTTAATATAAGCACCCCAGGTGATTCCATTACATGTGGGCTTCAGATCACAGTTTAAAAAAACAGTGTTCTATAACATTGAATCAAAACTAAAACTACATTTAAGAACCTTGAATCAAAAAGTATGTCATTCCATAAACATTGATATAAAAATTTTGAAATATTCCTTGGGAAAAGTTCTTAGCTACATGCTTTTGATTCCCAAGATTAAAATAAGCTATCACTTCACAATTATGTACTAGAAACATTTAAAAAATAAAAACAGGTAGAAGGTGGAGTACGATGGTAGAATAGAATTCTCCGGCAATGGTCTCTCTGAAGGAACATCAAATTAAACAACTATCTATGTAAGAAAACACTTTCACAAGGGCTAGCCAGGTGAGAGATCATAGCACCCGCTTTTAACATGCTAACAAGAAAAGATGCATTGAAGAAGGGAGGAAGGACAGTCTTGCATTGCCTATGACACCTCTCCCCCAACCATAGGAAATTCTCTGAGAGAGAATCTAATGGCTTGGGGACAAGGGGGAAAGTGTGAGACTTTATATTGAAACTTAGTACCAGTCTTGCCATAGTGACACACGGCACTGGGCAGAACCCCACAGCACTTGATTCCAGGCTGGTGCCCACAGAAGAAGCATTTAGACCCACCCTGGGCCACAAGGGAACCAGCTGCCCCAGCAGGAAGAACCCAGCAAAGTTCTGGCCGGCTTTATCACTGGAAATTTCTTGGGCTTCAAATAAATTTCAGTGGCAGGCAGGCTGTAGTGACCACAGTCCTTGGGCAAGCCCTGATGCTGCATAGGTCTGGAGCACCCTGGACTTGTGGTGTGAGCCAGTATGATGGCAGCAGCTGCAGCAGCTATGGGAATGCCTGTATCACCCCTCCCCACACTCCAGGCAGTGCAGCCTGAAGAGAGGTTCCTCTTGCTTGGGGGAAAGAAAGGGAAGTAAGCTAGGGGCTTTACCTGGGAATGCGGAGAACAATCCCTGATCTTCCCCCAAGTCCACAGGGCTGGGGACCTAGGAATCGGTAAGAATTGCAGTGTACCTGGGCCTAGGGTGCCCTGTAGTACAAAAATGGCTGCAGTGATCACTGGCTTAGGGAACTCGTCAGCCCACTTTGAATTCCTGGAAGGTCCTCTGAAGGACAGGTACAAACAAGACCTGACTGCAAAGGCTGGAATAAATACCTTATCCTTCAATGCCCAGATACTGACAAACATCAACAGTATCAATAACATTGAAGCCAATATGACCTCAACAAATGGACCAAGTAAGGCACTCAGTGACCAACCCTGGAGAGATGGAGACGTGTAACTCTCAGGGAATTCAGAATAGCTATTTTGAGAAAGCTCAATGAACTTCAAGAAAACACAGAGAAACAATTCAGAAATATATCAGAAATTTAACAAGATTACTGAAGTAAGAGAAAAAAATCAAATGCTGGAGCTGGAAAATGCATTAGTGGGTCTCAGTAGAATTGATCAAGCAGAAGAAAGAATTAGTGAGCATGCAAACAAGCTATTTGAAAATAGAGGAGAAAAAAGAAAAGAAGAATGAGCAGGAACACAGAATGCTTAAGAGATCTAGAAGAGGGCCTGAAAAGAGAAAATCAAAGATTCATTGGCCTTAAAGAGGGAGTTGAGAAGGAGCAAAGAGTAGAACACTTATTCAAAGAAATAATCTTTTTAAAAAAAAATACTTTAAGTTCTAGGGTATATGTGCACAACGTGCAGGTTTGTTATATATGTGTACGTGTGCCATGTTGGTTTGCTGCACCCATCAACTCATCATTTACATTAGGTATTTCTCCTAACGCTATCCCTCCCCCAGCCTCCTACCCCACAACAGGCCCCGGTGTGTGATGTTCCCCTCCCTGTGTCCATGTGTTCTCATTGGTCAACTCCCACTTAAGAGTGAGAACATGCGGAGTTTGGTTTTCTGTCCTTGTGATATTTTGCTGAGAATCACAATTTCTAGCTTCATGCATGTCCCTGCAAAAGACAAGAACTCATCCTTTTTTATGGCTGCATAGTATTCTTTGGTGTATATGTGCCACATTTTCTTTATCTAGTCTATTATTGATGGACATTTGGGTTAGTTCCAAGTCTTTGCTATTGTGAATAGTGCCTCAATAAACATAGGTGTGCACATGTCTTTATAGTAGCATGATTTATAATCCTTTGGGTATTCACCCGGTAATGAGATTGCTGGGTCAAATGGTATTTCTAGTTCTAGATCCTTGAGGAATTGCCACACTGTCTTCCACAATGGTTGAACTAATTTATACTCCCACCAAGAGTGTAAAAGCGTTCCTATTTCTCCACATCCTCTACAGCATCTGTTGTTTCCTGACTTTTTAATGATCGTCATTCTAACTGGCATGAGTGGTATCTCATTGTGGTTTTGATTTGCATTTCTCTGATGACCAGTGATGATGAGCATTTTTTCATATGTCTGTTGGCTGCATAAATGTCTTCTTTTGAGAAGTGTCTGTTCATATCCTTTGCCCTCTTTTTGATGGGGTTGTTTTTTTTTCCTGTAAATTTGTTTGAGTTCTTTGTAGATTCTGGATATTAGCCCTTTGTCAGATGAGTAGATTGCAAAAATTTTCTCCCATTCTGTAGGTTGCCTGTTCACTCTGATGGTAGTTTGTTTTGCTGTGCAGAAGCTTTTTAGTTTAATTAGATCCCATTTGTCAATTTTGGCTTTTGTTGCCATTGCTTTTGGTGTTTTAGACATGAAGTCCTTGCCCATGCCTATGTCCTGAATGGTATTGCCTAGGTTTTCTTCTAGGGTTTTTATGGTTTTACATCTAACATTTAAGTCTTTAATCCACCTTGAATTAATTTTTGTATAAGATGTAAGGAAGGGATCCAGTTTCAGCTTTCTGCATATGGCTAGCCAGTTTTCCCAGCACCATTTGTTAAATAGGGAATCCTTTCCCCATTTCTTGTTTTTGTCAGGTTTGTCAAAGATCAGATAGTTGTAGATGTGTGGTGTTATTTCTAAGGGCTCTGTTCTGTTCCATTGGTCTGTATCTCCGTTTTGGTACCAGTACCATGCTGTTTTGTTTACTGTAGCCTTGTAGTATAGTTTAAAGTCAGGTAGTGTGATGCCTCCAGCTTTGTTCTTTTGGCTTAGGATTGACTTGGCAATGCGGGCTCTTTTTTGGTTACATATGAACTTTAAAGTAGTTTTTTCTAATTCTGTGAAGAAAGTCATTGGTAGCTTGATGGGGATGGCATTGAATCTATAAATTACCTTGGGCAGTATGGCCATTTTCACGATATTGTTTATTCCTCTCCATGAGCATGGAATGTTCTTCCATTTGTTTGTGTCCTCTTTTATTTCCATGAACAGTGGTTTGTAGTCCTCCTTGAAGAGGTCCTTCACATCCCTTGTAAGTTGGATTCCCAGGTATTTTATTCTGTTTGAAGCAATTGTGAATGGGAGTTCACTCATGATTTGGCTCTCTGTTTGTCTGTTATTGGTGTATAAGAATGCTTGTGATTTTTGCACATTGATTTTGTATCCTGAGACTTTGCTGAAGTTGCTTATCAGCTTAAGGAGATTTTGGGCTGAGGTGATGGGGGGTTCTAGATAAACAATCATGTCATCTGCAAACAGGGACAATTTGACTTCCTCTTTTCCTAATTGAGGAAAAGACTCTCTATTTCTTTCTCCTGCCTGATTGCCCTGGCCAGAACTTCCAACACTATGTTGAATAGGAGTGGTGGGAGAGGGCATCCCTGTCTTGTGCCAGTTTTCAAAGGGAATGCTTCCAGTTTTTGCCCATTCAGTATGATATTGGCTGTGGGTTTGTCATAAATAGCTCTCATTATTTTTAGATACGTCCCATCAATACCTAATTTATTGAGAGTTTTTAGCATGAAGGGCTGTTGAATTTTGTCGAAGGCCTTTTCGGCCTCCATTGAAATACTCGTGGTTTTTGTCATTGGTTCTGTTTATATGCTGGATTACGTTTATTGATTTGTGTATGTTGAACCAGCCTTGCATCCCAGGGATGAAGCCCACTTGATCATGGTGGATAAGCTTTTTGATGTGTTGCTGGATTCGGTTTGCCAGTATTTTATTGAGGATTTTTGCATCAATGTTCATCAGGGATATTGGTCTAAAATTCTCCTTTTTTGTTTTGTCTCTGCCAGGCTTTGGTATCAGGATGATGCTGGCCTCATAAAATGAGTTAGGGAGGATTCTCTCTTTTTCTATTGATTGGAATAGTTTCAGAAGGAATGATATCAGCTCCTCCTTGTACCTCTGATAGAATTCGGCTGTGAATCCATCTGGTCCTGGACTTTTTTTGGTTGGTAAGCTATTAATTATTGCCCGAATTTCAGAGCCTGTTATTGGTCTATTCAGAGATTCAGCTTCTTCCTGGTTTAGTCTTGCGAGGGTGTATGTGTCAAGGAATTTATCCATTTCTTCTAGATTTTCTTGTTTATTTGCAGAGAGGTGTTTATAGTATTCTCTGAAGGTAGTTTGTATTTCTGTGGGATCAGTGGTGTTATCCCCTTTATCATTTTTTATTGCGTCTATGTGATTCTGCTCTCTTTTCTTCTTTATTAGTCTTGCTGGCAGTCTGTAAATTTTGTTGATCTTTTCAAAAAACCAGCTCCTGGATTCATTGATTTTTTGAAGGGATTTTTGTGTCTCTATATCCTTCAGCTCTGCTCTGATCTTAGTTATTTCTTGCTTTCTGCTAGCTTTTGAATGTGTTTTCTCTTGCTTCTCTACTTCTTTTAATGGTGATGTTAGGGTGTCGATTTTAGATCTTTCGTGCTTTCTCTTGTGGGCATTTATTGCTATAAATTTCCCTCTACACACTACTTTAAATGTGTCCCAGAGATTCTGATTTGTTGTGTCTTTGTTCCCGTGGATTCCAAAGAACCTCTTTATTTCTGCCTTCATTTCATTATTTACCCAGTAGTCATTCAGGAGCAGGTTGTTCAGTTTCCATGTAGTTGAGTGGTTTTGAGTGAGTTTCTTAATCCTGAGTTCTAGTTTGATTGCACTGTAGTCTGACAGACAGTTTGTTATAATTTCTGTTCTTTTACATTTTCTGAGGAGTGCTTTTCTTCCAACTATGTGGTCAATTTTGGAACAGGTGCAGTGCGGTGCTGAGAAGAATGTATATTCTGTTGACTTGGGGTGGAGAGTTCTGTAGATGTCTATTAGGTCCACTTGGTACAGAGCTGAATTCAATTCCTGGATATCCTTGTTAACTTTCTGTCTTGTTGATCTGTCTAATGTTGACAGTGGGGTGTTAAAGTCTCCCATTATTATTGTGTGGGAGTCTAAGCCTCTTTGTAGGTCTCTAAGGACTTGCATTATGAATCTGGGTGCTCCTGTATTGGGTCCATATATATTTAGGATAGTTAGCTCTTCTTGTTGAATTGTTCCCTTTACCATTATATAGTGGCCTTCTTTGTCTCTTTTGATCTTTGTTGGTTTAAAGTCTGTTTTTTCAGAGACTAGGATTGCAACCCCTGCCTTTTTTTGTTTTCCATTTGCTTGGTAGATCTTCCTCCATCCCTTTATTTTGGGCCTGTGTGTGTCTCTGCATGTGAGATGGTTTTCCTGAATGCAGCACACTGATGGGTCTTGACTCTTTATCCAATATGCCAGTCTGTGTCTTTTAATTGGAGCATTTAGCCCATTTACATTTAAGGTTAATATTGTTATGTGTGAATTTGATCCTGTCATTATGATGTTAGCTGGTTATTTTGTTCATTAGTTGATGCAGTTTCTTCCTAGCATCGATGGTCTTTACAATTTGGCATGTTTTTGCAGTGGCTGGTACTAGTTTTTCCTTTCCATATTTAGTGCTTCCTTCAGGAGCTCTTTTAGGGCAGGCCTGGTGGTGACAAAATCTCTCAGCATTTGCTTGTCTGTAAAGTATTTTATTTCTCCTTCACTTATGAAGCTTCATTTGGCTGGATATGAAATTCTGGGTTGAAAATTCTTTTCTTTAAGAATGTCGAATATTAGCCCCCACTCCCTCCTGGCTTGTAGAGTTTCTGCCAAGAGATCACCTGTTAGTCTGATGGGCTTCCCTTTGTGGGTATCCCGACCTTTCTCTCTGGCTGCCCTTAACATTTTTTCCTTCATTTCAACTTTGGTGAATCTGACAATTATGTGTCTTGGAGTTGCTCTTCTCGAGGAGTATCTTTGTGGCGTTCTCTGTATTTCCTGAATTTGAATGTTGGCCTGCCTTGCTAGGTTGGGGAAGTTCTCCTGGATAATATCCTGCAGAGTGTTTTCCAACTTGGTTCCATTCTCCCTGTCACTTTCAGGTACACCAATTAGACATAGATTTGGTCTTTTCACATAGTCCCATATTTCTTGGAGGCTTTGTTCATTTCTTTTTATTCTTTTTTCTCTAAACTTCTCTTCTCACTTCATTTCATTCATTTGATCTTGAATCACCAATACCCTTTCTTCCAGTTGATCGAATGGGCCACTGAAGCTTGTGCATTTATCATGTAGCTCTCATGCCATGGTTTTCAGCTCCACCTGGTCCTTTAAGGACTTATCTGCATTGGTTATTCTAGTTAGTCGTTCATCTAATCTTTTTTCAAGGTTTTTAACTTCTTTGCAATGGGTTCGAACTTCCTCCTTTAGTTCGGAGTAGTTTGATCTTCTGAAGCCGCCTTCTCTCAACTCATCAAAGTCATTCTCTGTCCAGCTTTGTTCCATTGCTGGTGCGGAGCTGCATTCCTTTGGAGGAGGAGAGGCACTCTGATTTTTAGAATTTTCAGTTTTTCTGTTCTTTTTTTCCCCCATCTTTGTGGTTTGATCTACCTGTAGTCTTTGATGATAGTGACATACAGATGGGGTTTTGGTGTGCGTGTCCTTTCTGTCTGTTAGTTTTCCTTTTAACAGTCAGGACCCTCAGCTGCAGGTCTGTTGGAGTTTGCTGGAGGTCCAATCCAGACCCTGTTTGCCTGGGTATCAGCAGTGGAGGCTGCAGAACAGCAAATATTGCTGAACAGCAAATGTTGCTGTCTGATCGTTCCTCTGGAGGTTTTGTCTCAGAGGGGTACCCGGCCGTGTGAGGTGTCAGTCTGCCCCTACTGGGGGATGCCTCCCAGATAGGCTACTTGGGAGTCAGGGACCCACTTGAGGAGGCAGTCTGTCCGTTCTCAGATCTCAAACTCTATGCTGGGAGAGCCACTACTCTCTTCAAAGCTGTCAGACAGGGACATTTAAGTCTGCAGAGGTTTCTGCTGCCTTTTGTTTGGCTATGCCCTGCCCCCAGAGGTGGAGTCTACGGAGGCAGGCAGGCCTCCTTGAGCTGCAGTGGGCTCCACCCAGTTTGAACTTCCCTGCAGCTTTTTTTTCCTACTCAAGCCTCAGCAATGGCGGGCACCCCTCCCCAAGCCTCACTGCCACCTTGCAGTTCGATCTCAGACTGCTGTGCTAGCAAGGAGTGAGGCTCAGTGGGTGTGTGACCCTCTGAGCCAGGCATGGGATATAATCTCCTAGTGTGCCGTTTGTTAAGAACATTGTAAAAGTGCTGTATTAGCATGGGAGTGACCCAATTTTCCAGGTGCCATCTGCCACAGCTTTGCTTGGCTATGAAAGGGAATTCCCTGACCCTTGGCACTTCCTGGGTGAGGCGATGCCTTGCCCTGCTTCAGCTCATGCTCAGTGAGCTGCACCCACTGTCCTGCACCCACTGTCTGACAAGCCCCAGTGAGAAGAACCCGGTACCTCAATTGGAAATGCAGAAATCACCCATCTTCCGCATCACTCATGCTGGGAGCTGTAGACTGGAGCTGTTCCTATTTAGCCATCTTGGAACAGCCCCTGGGTTTTGACTCTTTATCCAATTTGCCAGTCTGTGTTTTTTAATTGGGGAATTTATCCCATTTATGTTTCAGGTTAATATTGTTATGTGTGAATTTGATCTTGTCATTGTGATACTAGCTGGTTATTTCCCACCTTTTTTTTTTTTTTTTTTTTTTGAGATGGAGTCTCGCTCTGTCACCCAGGCTGGAGTGCAGTGGTGTGATCTCGGCTCACTGCAAGCTCCACCTTCCAGGTTCACACCATTCTCCTGCCTCAGCCTCTTGAATAGCTGGGACTACAGGCACCCACCACCATGCCCGGCTAGTTCTGTTTTTGTATTTTTAGTAGAGATGGGGTTTCACAGTGTTAGCCAGGGTGGTCTCAATCTCCTGACCTTGTGATCCGCCCGCCTCAGCCTCCCAAAGTTCTGGGATTACAGGCGTGAGCCACTGCGCCCGGCCTTATTTTACCTATTAATAGATGCAGTTTCTTCATAGCATAGATGGTCTTTACAATTTGGCATGTTTTTGCAGTGGCTGGTACTGGTTGTTCCTTTCCATGTTTAGTGCTTCCTTCAGGAGCTCTTGTAAGGCAGGTCTGGTAGTGACAAAGTCTCTCAGCATTTGCTTGTCTGTAACAGATTTTGTTTCTCCTTCACTTATGAAGCTTCGTTTGGCTGGATATGAAATTCTGGATTGAAAATTCTTTTCTTTAAGAATGTTGAATATTGGTCCCCACTCTCTTCTGGCTTGTAGTGTTTCTGCTGAGAGGTCCGCTCTCAGTCTGATGGGCTTCCCTTTGTGGGTAACCCGACCTTTCTCTCTGGCTGCCCTTAATATTTTTTCCTTCATTTCAACCTTGGTGAATCTGACAATTATGTGTCTTGGGGTTGCTCTTCTCAATGAGTATCTTTGTGGTGTTCTCTGTATTTCTTGAATTTGAATGTTGGCCTTCCTTGCTAGGATGGGGAAGTTCTCCTGAATAATATCGTGAAGAGTGTTTTCTAACTTGGTTCCATTCTCTCTGTCACTTTCAGGTACAGCTATCAAATGTAGATTTGGTCTTTTTACATAGTCCCATATTTATTGGAGTCTTTGTTCATTTCTTTTTACTCTTTTTTCTCTAATCTTGTCTTCTCACTTTATTTCATTAATTTGATCTTCAATCACTGATATCCTTTATTCCGCTTGATTGAATTGGCTATTGAATCTTGTTTATGCTTCATGAGGTTCTCATACTGTGGTTTTCAGCTCCTTCAGGTCACTTAAGCTCTTCTCTACACTGTTTATTCTAGTTAGCCATTCATCTAACCTTTTTTCAAGGTTTTCAGCTTCCTTGTGATGGGTTAGAACATGCTCCTTTAGCCCGGAGAAGTTTGTTATTACCGACCTTCTGAAGCCTGCTTCTGTCACCTCATCAAACTAATTCTCCATCCAGTTTTGTTCCCTTGCTGGTGAGGACTTGTGTTCCTTTGGAGGAGAAGAGGCGCTCTGGTTTTTGGAATTTTCAGCCTTTCTGCTCTGGTTTCTCCCCATCTTTGTGGTTTTATGTACTACTTTGGTCTTTGATGTTGGTGACCTACAGATGGGGTTTTAGTGTGGATGTCTTTTTGTTGATGTTGATGCTATTCCTTTCTGTTTGTTAATCCTTCTAACCAGGCAGGTCCCTCAGCTGCAGGTCTGTTGGAGTTTGCTGGAGGTCCACTCCAGACCCTGTTTGCCTGGGTGTCACCAGCAGAGGCTGCAGAATAGCAAATATTGCTGCCTGATCCTTCCTCTGGAAGCTTTGTCCCAGCGGGGCACCCACTTGTATGAGGTGTCTGTCGGCCCCTACTGGGAGGTGTCTCCCAGTTAGGCTACACGGTGGTCAGAGACCCACTTGAGGAGGCTGTCTGTCCATTATCAGAGCTCAAATGCCATGCTGGGAGAACTACTGCTGCCTTTAGGGCTGTCAGGCAGGGACATTTAAGTCTGCAGAAGCTGTCTGCTGCCTGTTATTCAGATATGCTCTGCCCCCAGAGGTGGAATCTAGAGGCAGCAGGCCTTGCTGAGCTGCAGTGGGCCCTGCCCAGTTCGAGCTTCCCTACCACTTTGTTTACACTGTGACCATGGAACCAAGTACTCGAGCCTCAGCAGTGGCAGAACCCCCTCTCCCTGCCATGCTCCAATGTCGCAGGTTGATCTCAGACTGCTGTGCTAGCAGCAAGCAAGGCTCCGTGGGCATGGGACTTGCCGAGGCAGGCACAAGAGGGAATCTCCTGGTCTGTCAGTTGCAAAGACAGTGGAAAAAAGCACAGTATTTGAGCAGGAGTGTACTGCTCCTCCAGGTGCAGTCACTCACAGCTTCCCTTGGCTAGGAAAAAGAAATCCCCCAACCCCTTGCGCTTCCCAGGTGAGGTGACACCCCACCCTGCTTTGGCTCATCCTCTATGGGCTGCACCCACTGTTCAACGAGTCCCAGTGAGATGAACCAGGTACCTCAGTTGGAAATGCAGAAATCACCTGTGTTCTGCGTCTATCTCACTGGAAGCTGTAGACCGGAGCTGTTCCTATTCAGCCATCTTGGAAGCAACCCTCTTTTTTTTTTTGTATTTTGGTAGAGACAGGGTTTCACCATATTGCCCAGACTGGTTTCAAACTCCTGAGGTCAAGCCATTCTATAAAAGAAAATTATATTTGTTTTATCTGAGTTCCTTCCTCAGGAAAGGACTCTCAGTCCTCTCAAAAAGCATCAGAGACCTGAAACTCAGCCAATCACAGCATCCAGACAATGAGATGCCAGTCCCCTCACTCATCACGAGTGCTTCCTCACCCCTCCCTAGTTCCTCTCTTCCCACACACAGTTACGTTTCTTCTGTGCTATATAAACCCCTAACTTGAGTCAATCAGAGAGACAGATTTGAGACTCATCTCCCGTCTACTCAGCTGCAGCACCCAATTAAAGCCTTCTTCCTCAGCAATACTCAATGTCTCAATGATTGTCTTTCTGTGTGCTGAGAACACTGAAGCCCTGGGGTTTTGGTAAAAATACATGTACACTTTTAAAAACCGCAATTAATGGGTTGTGGTATATTGAGAAATTGGAGTGGCATCAACTTGGCCAATTCTGAGGAAACACACTGTGCTTAAGTGTCAGGGCCCTGTCTCCTGACCTCGACAGTTTATGGTTGATTTTGAGGCACAGCAGGGGAGTATGGCCTGGTTTGAGTGTTTTATAGAAATGTAAAACATGGCTGATTACTTTTTATTTTAAATCCAACAAATCTCCATTTCTGGTGAGAAAATCTTGCCAAAACCAACCAAACAAATGCATAGAAGTATATGAAGAAGGAAATGAAAGATTCCCTGCCTCCCAATCCCACTTGCTTGGTGTCAGCCATTATTTATCACATGGAGGAAGGGGGAAAGGCACCCAGGAAGTCCCAAGTCCTGTTCTCACAATCATCTGGCCTCCCTGGGCAAAGGGAAAAGAGGGAAGGCAAAAAGAATATAGCACTACGGTTTGCGGAAATTTCCCCTTGGTACAGGAAACTCTGGTAAACTGAGAGAGTATGTTTTCCATGAGGGAGGCCTCAAGGGCTCTTCTCTGGCCCTAAGCCCAAGCTGGATTTTGACTCATTTTCTGAGGTGCAAATGAAATGATAAAAGTTGATCAAAGGAGAGGGCAGAGAGAAAGAGGATGACTCCTCTCTCGCAGGTCCACCTTCCTTGGTGTTGCTTGAGGGATCAGAAGAAATGCCTTAACATAGGTGTGTGGGAACTATGGCTGCTAAGTATGAACTCAGTTACCTCCAGTTATAAGCTAGTGTGAGGTTCCATGGTGTAATGGTGAGCACTTTGGACTCTGAATACAGTGATCAGAGTTCAAGTCTCACTGGGACCTTTCTGTATAATTCCAGTGAGGTTCTTCTCTATTGCTCCATAAGCAGAATGGGGGAAATTGCCCAATCGTGGTCACAGACCCTCCATGCCACTGGCTGTGTGCAATTGGAGTCCCGGACCCAGCGACCAGCAAGACCCCTCCCCTCTCAGGGTGACCCTGGGCCTCCAGGTCACAGGTCTCCACTAAAAAGGCTGCCTCCCCTCAATCCTAGACCCCGAGTTTTCTTTTGTTCACGTCATTGGGCCATTGCCCTATGTCTCTTTGGAAGAAATGACCTATATGAAAAGCTTTACTTCTGGGATTCCCTAATTCCTTCATCCCTTAGGACAGTGCAGTTTTTCATCTCCTGATCTTGGGTCCAGTACTAAAGCGCGCGTTTGATTTTGTTTTCATGGGATCCCCTCTGACCAGCTACCAGTGGATTCCTGTCCTTGGGGTCTCTGTGGACGGCAACTAGATGCTGCTCTTGTCCCAAATCCTGACACCTCCCTCCAGCCAATTGCCTCCCTTAGCCTCCTAAATCAGCCAATATTTAGATTTGAACTTGAGATCCCAGCATCTGTGGAGAACAGAGGTTCCTGATCCCTGGCCAGCCTCCCGCAGTGAAGGGGAGAGGAGCAGAGCAGCTGGGAGGGGCAAGTCCAGGGCCCTGGGCAACCCCCTTCTTCCTGCCCAGACTCTGCTCCAAGGAGAAGTTGCCTTAGGACCAGATCAGATGGAAACTCTTGTTCTCTTCTCATCAGCAGAAAAATTTAGGCAAGAGCTCTGGAGGACCTTCCTAGCTCATAAAAATGCTGTGGTCAAGTCTCTCCAGTTTTGGAAATGTCCAAGGTTACCAAGTGTTTTGAGGGCTCACTTTGGAGCCTCTGAAAAGGAGGGGTCAGGGCCCATGGAAGGTACCTGAGGGATGCAGGGGAGAGAGGGGAAAGAGCAGACAGGAGGGAGGAGAGAAGGAGGGAGGGGGAGAAAGGGTGTGTGAGGGCCAGGAGCCAGGATTCACCCTGACAGTTCAGTGACTGCTCCCTGACCCCAAGGTTCCCACTGTGGCACCTTCCAGCAGGTGGTTTCCATCTCTTATTGATGTCCTGAGAACTTGGCTCTACAGAATGGTCCCACCCTATTTGTCTGGCATGAGTCCTGCAAAGTTTCTTTTCATCGTTTGGGGGATGAAATGGGGGTATATAGGTTTGCAAGTGACTAGGAGCTAAGTCAGGACCTTGTGAAGCCACTCAGAGTTAACTGTCAGGTAGCCTCCTTTCCCCCTTCCCTTGCAGGATGATTGCCTGCAAGACAGGGCCTGGAGGAGGCCAGGGCACCCAAGGCCACAGAAATGCCCAGGGATGAGTCCCAGCTGGAGATGCCTTGGCTGAGCTGATTGTGCACTTCCAGGGCTCACAGGGGTCTGGCCAGGAGACTAAGGAAGGGGACCAGGGAGGTTGTGTAGCAGGCTTCTGCACAGCAAGGCAGACATTCTTCTTGGAGCCCCCAACCCAAAACAGGTCTTCCACCTCCTCTTCCTAAAGACCCTTTACTGCTGTCATTCTTTTACTAGAACTACAAGTTTATAGGACATGGATTTCAGTGCCCTCATCTGGCCAAGCATCTTCAGCTGCCAATGCCCAAGGTAACCTCTCTCCCTACTAAGACCTGACTCAGGACCTTTCCTTAAGGAGATGTCCTGTTCTTTCTTTCCCACCAGAACCGCCCTGGCCCAGACCCCATTTCTGTCTGGTGACCAGGACAGTCCCCTCACCAGTCTCCCAGGTTGGGGAGGGCAGATCCTCCTCAGCTCCCTGCCCCTGAAAGACCCCAACCGTCTTGTGTGGCTCCGGCCCACAGAGTGATATCCATGGCCCATATCTCTCAAAACTCTCCCCTCCCACTCTGAATCCACCCTCTACTGCATGCTCCCCTCACAGAACAGACTAATTTTTGTGTGTGTGTCCTTGTTTTGCCTACCTGTACCCCAGACAGACTTTTCTGTCTTAGAACTACCTGTCCCTCTTTGAACAGTGTCTTCCTGGTAGTACACATGAAGATGTCCCGCTCTCCCCTGCTCAAGGAGAGAGTGCCTGACCTGAGCTGGGCCCATCAGATCCAGTACTTACCTGGAATAGGAAAACGATGGGGAGGGTGACCAAAGATTGCAAAAATCTTTGAAGCTTATCTACTTGAGAGAGAGTCCCTGAAGATACTGGCCTCTCATTCCTGCTATGTATATCCAATGTGACTGAACTCTGAATAAAATATACAAGTTATAACAATGTAGCAATTGACCCAGCAAATGAGGACACAAACGTGTTGGAGGGTAAGGTGGTGAGAGGCGTGTTTGGGGGTGGTGGTGATGAGCAAGTATGTGAAGGAGAGGTAGTGCCTAAACTTGAAAATCAAAAAGTAATAATATCTATTTAGACATAAGGAGATAAATAACGAAATAATTGCTTCTATGTGATGAAACTCTGGGAGTACACAAGGGGACTGCTATTTTACTAAACAAATTTTCAAGTATATATAACTTTGATAAAGTATCCAAATAATTCCTTTCCCATATAAATATGTGCATATATGTATTCATTGTATTTTGAAGATAAATTTTTACACAGTCATGTTAATCGCTTTCATTTAAGGATTTGAGTTTGATGTCTTGCATACAATGTGATCTCACTGTATGACTACACAAATGTTGGCAAAAGTGAGTTCAGAGGAAATGGTAGGCAAGTACTTCCCAGTTTTGGCCAGAAGATGGAGAAAAAGAGAATTCTCAAAAAATGTTAAAAGTATGACATGTTATATCTTCTTTTCACAGTAATTTAGACAGAAATTAGCAAAATCAAAAATGTATAAATACTTTGGTCTGACAATTCCATCTCCAGGTGTCTACAGAGAAATAGACAAGCGATGCACGACAGATACATGTGTCAGTCTGGTCCCTGCAGTTGTATTTGTAATAATACACATTGGAGCAATTTCATGGCCATCAGTTAGAGAATGTTTGAGGAATGATCCATTCATATCAAGAAGGACATTTCAAAGATCAAAGCCTGATGGAAATGCTGGAGACCATGGCGCTGATAGGAGCTCATGCGTGTTGACCAATTACTACATGACAGGCATTGGCTCCAGGCTTTTCCTGCACTGCTCATTTAAACACTGGACAACCTAAGTGTTCTGATTTAGCCCATTGGACAGATAGAAATGGAGGCACAGAAGATTCATGTGTTTAACTTCAAACCCTGGCAGATTAGGTTTTTCATCCAGAGCCTGTGGCTTCACCATAGCTGTGATTCACGTTCTGTCATTTTCCACTTTAGGAATTTCCAGTATTCCAAATATGAGAAGCTGAGAAAACAAACAACAAACTCAAAACCCTAAAAACCAGGATACATAAGGGTAGATGTTTGTTGGGTGTGGATTTAAAATGGACTTTTTTTGCCCCAAGCAACAAAGAGGCACCTTAGAAAATAGACAAGAGACAAGAAGAAGAGAAGCTTTAAGAGATATTTGGTCCAAGGAAGAGACTCTTCAGATGGAAGGTCACATCAGCTAGAAACATTAATATGACTGGATGGGCTCAAACCACTGACTTTTCAGTCAACATCCGACAGCACTAACCCAGTGTTCCAGAGACACTGCTTGTTAAACAGTGAAAGCTGTTGCTCAATTGTGTCATCCGTAATTGTCAAATATTGCCATTTAGTAGCACAAGGAAGTATTCTCCGTTGCCAAGCTAGAGTACCCATAACTCTTCTGTTTTGTTGAACATTCTTCCCCACCACAAACCCTCTTTAGAAGACTGGGGGCCCCTAAAGCATTGAGGCCGAGAGTCCCGTCCTTGTGCATGTTTGGGCATTGACCCAGGGCCAAGTCAGTGGGAGACTCCTCCACGCCTACGCCAGGTCCCCAGGTGACAACTGCAGTCTCTGGATCTGAAGTCATCCACTTTCCCATTCCTAGCTCACCTCACCCATCGTGAAGCCTGGTTAGTATTGCCAGAGACCCGAGTGGGCAGATGCCCACACCAAAGACAGAACCTGCTGTGTGCCCACCTTGCTGATCCCTCCCTCCTTCTAGACAAAGGCTTCATAAGCCAGGGACCTTGGGTTTGCTCACAAGGCAGCCCCTCACCTAGTAGGCATTAGTTCATTATGTATATGTATATGTAGTCCTCAGATTGTATTCCTTAAATATATATAATTTAAGGATATGTATTTTATATATATAAATATATATGTAATTCCTTAAATATATAATTTTAATACAATTTTTTTTTTTTGAGACGGAGTCTCACTCTGTCTCCCAGGCTGGAGTGCAGTGGCACCATCTTGGCTCACTGCAAGCTCCACCTCCCAGGTTCACGCCATTCTCCTGCCTCAGCCTTCCAAGTACCTGGGACTACAGGCGCCCGCCATCACGCCAGGCTAATTTTTTTTTTTGTATTTTTAGTAGGAATGGGGTTTCACCATGTTAGCCAGGATGGTCTCGATCTTCTGACCTCATGATCCACCCACCTCGGCCTCCCAAAGTGCTAGGATTACAGGCGTGGACCACCGCACCTGGCCAAAACAAAGTTTTTAAAAGATTCCTTTAATAAACATTTACAATAACATCAAGAAATATAAACGACATAGCAAATATGTGAAAGCCAGCCAGACTCTCAATGGCATCCAGAAACATAAACTACATAGAAAAGACATGAAAGCCAGCCAGGCTTGGCTTCGAATCCCAGCACTTTGGAAGGCTGTGGCAGGAGGGTTGCTTGATCTCAGAAGCTTGAAACTAGCCTAGGCAACATAGTGAGCCCTCATCTCTACTGAAAATCAGAAAAATTATCCGGGTTTGGTGGTGTGAGCCTGTAGTCCCAGGAATCAGTGGATGAGGCCCTAGGATGTCATAGGCCTGAGAATTCCATGCTGCAGTGAGCTGTGATTGTGCCACTGTACTCCAGCCTGGGTGAAAGAGTGAGATCCTGTGCAGAAACAAAAGAAGAAAAAAAGAGATATGAAAGCCTATATATTGAAGACTACCAAGTACTGCTTAGAGCAGTTAAAGACCTTTGGAATAGAAAATGTTTCTTCTTGCATTTCAAGATTGCTTTTGTTTTGGGGGGACACACTATTTTTTAGGAATATGAAGTTCTTCTTAGGCATTCCTGTAAAAAAGGCCACTTCTTGATAGGATTGTATTGAATCTGTGGGTTGCTTTGAGTTGTATTTTTATCTTAACCATGTTACAACTTCCAACCCATGGACACAAGATGTCTGTCCATTGATTTAGGTCTTCCTGAATCTCCTCGAGCAATGTTCTGTAGTTGTCTGTGTACAAGTACGGCACCTTCTTGAACAAATTTATTCTCAGGCATATTATTCTTACAAGTGCTATTATAAATGAAATCATTGTGTCAATTTTCTTCTCAGATTGTTCATTGCTAACACAACTGATTGTTTGCTGAAAGTTTGCTGAATTCACTTATTAACTCTAGTAGTGTGTGTATGTGAGTGTGTGTGTGTGTGTGTGTGTGTGTGTGTGTCTGGCCTCTGTATGCATGTATGTGTGTTTGCATCTGTAGGTATTATTTGGGATTTTCTATGTATAGGATCACAACATCTGCAAATTGAGATCATTTTGTTTTCTGTTCAAAAATACTTTTTCTCATGTTTATTTTTAAAAGATAATTTGGCCAGGTGTAGAATTGTAGGTGACAGTTTTTCTTTTTTTAAGTTCTTTATTGCAAACTTCTTGTTTGTATGAGAAATCTTATGCCATCCTTATATTTAGTGCTCTGTATGTAACATGTTCTTTCCCTTTTTATTCCTTTTAGGATTTCCTTTTTATCACTGGTTTTGATGGATTTGATTAAGGCGTTCCTTGGTGAAGTTTTCTTCATGTTTCTTGTTCTTAGAATAATCATATTTCTGTAATATTTGAAGTTTATGGTTTCCATGGAGCTTCTAAATCTTTCATCCAGTATGTTTTAAATATCTTTGTCTCTCTTCTCCACTACACGCCCTTCAGGGATTCCATTTAGCCCTATACTGGGGGGTTTAAAGTTTTGATGCCAATGGTCTTTTTATGTTTTCAAGTCATTTGTTACTGTGTGTTTCATTTATGTTAGTTTCAACTTCTATTCCTTCTAGTTCAATAATCTTCTCTTCTGCAATGTTTAATCCACTGCCTTCTTCCATTTCAGACTGTAAATCATACTTTTTATCTACAGAATTTGATATTTAAAAAATCTTCAACCTCCCCATTTAATTAAAATACAATTATACTAACTGCTCTAATGTCCTTTTCTTCTATGTCCAACATGTCTGTCAATTTCAACTAGATTATTAGATTCTTCATTATGTGTCATGTTTTCCTGCTTCTTTGGCTGCTTCATATTCTTTTATTTTTTTTTTTTTTGCGGGGGGATAGAGTTTTGCTCTCATTGCCCAGGCTGGAGTGCAATGGTGTGATCTCAGCTCACTGCAACCTCCACCTCCCAGGTACACAAGCGATTCTCCTGTCTCAGCCTCCCAAGTAGCTCAGATTACAGGCATGCACAATCATGCCTGGCTAATTTTTTTGTATTTAGTAGATATGGGGTTTCACCATGTTAGTCAGGCTGGTCGTGAACTCCTGACCTCAGGTGATCCATCTGGCTGCTTGATATTCTAAGATTTGATGCTGGAACTTTGGTGTCAATGCTCAAAATGCCCAAAGACACCACTCAACCTCAGTGTCTATGCACACCCAAGCTTTTGCAGCAGGACAGGTAGAGCAGAGATGAGTGTGCTACAACATGCTGGTAGAGGGTACCCCCAATTGTGCTTGGGGATTTCCTATTCCTCATGGAAAAATGTGTCTTCCTTAATTTTTCCCATAAGAACCACCCTACTTCATGCCCTGTCTCTCTGTCCAAACACCAGGACAGTCCTCTCACCAGTCTCAACCACCCAATGGATTGACAAAGGTGCAAATATGATTCAGTGGAGAAGGCATTCTCTTGTCAACAAATTGTGTAGAAACAACTTTTTTTTACACAATTTTTTTTTTATCCCCAAAGGAAAAAAATTCACCTGAACCTCAATACTAACTCAAAAACTAACTCAAAATGGATTATGCAACTAAATATAAACTATAAAACTAGAAAAAGTATAGCAGAAAATATAAGACAAAATCTTCATGACACAGAGTTAGGTAAAGTGTTCTTTATTATCAATAAACACAAACCATTAAAGAAAACATTGATAAATTCGACTTTATAAAAATTAAGTTTTTGCTCAACAGTACTAAGAGAACAAATATAAGCTGCAGTTTGGGAGAAAAACAGTGGAAATCACCAATATGACAAAGGGCATGTGTGATAGTTACTTGTACTTGTCACTGTGACCGAGCACCAGGGTGCCAGGACATTTGGCCAAACATGATTCTGGTTGTGTTCCAGAGAGTCTTTCAGATACGATTAACATTGGGATGGGCAGACTAAGTGAAGCAGATTGCCCTCCTTAATAGGGGTGGGCCTCATGCAATCAATCAAGGGCCAGGAGAGAATTAAGAGGCCTAATGGGAAACAAATGCTTTCCTGGGTATCCAGCTTTCCTTCCATCTTGGGAATTTCAGCCTCCATAATCTCAGAAGCAAATTCATGTATATATATACACACACATATACATTTCATAGGTATGTGGCTAAGATTGTATTTTTACAAGTTCAGCCACGAGATTGGTGAAGCCAGCCAATGAATAAGGGTGTGTTCTATTATACGATTCAGTCTTCTTTTGTAAACGATTGAAGTTCTGCATTTGAAGTAGGAGGATAGGAGGGAGCAAGTCCACCTAGGATGATAACAGCTGAATTTCTCAACATACACTTCAGAGCCGTAGGGGTCAACTTAGAGACTCAAAAATCTCACCCATAATCCTGCCCCTAAACACCAGGGCTAGGGAACACTGTGGCCCTCAGGTGATTTTCTTTAGCCAGGTCTGGGAGCCACACGACGGCAGAGGGAGCAGGAAACACTATGCAAATAGAGGCCAGGACAGCAGGGAGGGCCTGTTCATGATAGAACCCAGGCAAAACTATCCTCAGAAAGCGAGTGTGGAGAAACATAGATCATGCCTGAGACCTGGTGGATTAGAGCACTGGCTACTGGGGAATTGAAAGGAAGGGGCTTCACCGTGCAGAGGACCAGAGGTGCCAATCTTGGAAATGCAGAATTACTGGGAGATGGGGAGGCACGGACCATGGAAGTATCCTCTGGAGACTCATGGTGAAGAGAACAAATGAGTGAAGTAACTGGCAGAAATTAGAGGTCCTGGTAGAACAAAATCGAATCCCACAATGAGAACATACACCATGTATGTCCCCCAAGGAGGACAATATCTCCTAAAAACTCCAGAAAAATCATTTTGGGCAAGCACCTTATATCTAGTAATGCGATCCATGTATCGAGACCGTGAGAAAAGATTATTAAACATGCTAAACTCAGCGAGACCTGATTCCCTCATGAGGACTCTGTTAAGGATGAGTACCACTCAGCAAGTGATGACTGTGACATTCACTTTTGAATAGCTCATGAGCGTTAATATATTTCATTGTGGATCTAAACCAAAAACCAAGGTAGGGGCAAGATGATAATCACAGAATGTCACCGGTATATGTTTAGGTTCAAATACTATTATGAGAAGTGGCAGGTAAAGGAGGTAGGAAAAAGAAAACACATCATGTAATTGACTGTTGTATGGAAATATTTGATGCTGAAAGTTATAATTTAAAACTATAAACCAAATATTAGAAGTGTGTCTAGTTCAAAGGGAGGAAAACCATCAAAAACATTTTTAGTGCAATATTTAACATGAGCTATACAACCCTTCCTAAATGCCAAAGGCACACACAGACACACACACGCACACACACACTCTCACACTCACGAAGAATACAAATGACTAGAACCAAGAAATGTAAACACATTCTGCTACGTATGGTAAACATAGCCTACAATGTGGAAGAGATTACAAAATAAACATGGAAATGAAATGTTTTTATTAATTCGCATCAGTACCCACCAAAACCAATCAGCATAATCAAATATTATAACACTGAATGTGAAAAACAATCCAAAAGTCCAGAGTGATAGGCAAAAGGTTTTAATTGTATAGATTAAAATTAACTTTGGACAAAAATTAAAACTCAGGCAGAGAATGTTTTCTTCTTTTTGCAACAGCAGACACTAGTAAAAACAAAGGCACAGTAAAAATTGAGACCCAAAATTTGCAGTGTAGAGATATGAATATAATAATAGACACAGGCAGGGAGGATTAATAAATGATAAAATGTTTAGAGGATGATCATTAGAATACAGGATATTTATACTCTTGAAAACTGCTTTCCCAAGTACTTCATTATAAGTAAGGTGTCTCTAAAAGGGACAGATCTCCTAGACCCCTCCTTAACCAAGTAACCAGTCCTGATATCATAATGGTGATGGACAAACTAGACCTTCTCTGCCCGCAGATGGGCTGAGGTTGGAAACTCACAGCATTGTCTCTGCAGTGTTCCCGGCAAAACGTTTAGGCTGAATTTAATCATGAAGACATTTTCAGACAACTTCAGAATGTAGATCATTGAGCCAGACAGCTGACCTGTCCTCTATAAACAAGTCCATGTCACCACCATCCATGACAACAACAAAAAGATGAGGAAATATTTGGGGTTCAAAATAACTAAAGAAATGCAGCTACATTATCTTTTTACTTTTTTTCAACCGAAAATATCTCTTCTCCTTTTTGTTGTGTGATTTGTGGTGATATGGACTATGTGAAGGAGACAGGTCAGTTGTCCTGCTCAGTGTTCTACATTCTGCAGTTGTCTGGTGATTACCTCCTATGAAACTCAGGTTAAGCGTTTTCTGCAAGAACATGGCATTGCTCATATTCTGCACCGGCAGAGTCCTGGGTGACATGCTGTCTCCTGCCAGCGGCTCCTGACTCCTGTTCTCTACAGGATGGAATTGAGAGGAGCAGGGCTAAGGCCTCCCAATGCTGTTTGTCCATCTAGCTGTGGTCTTCCTAAGTACTGACACCAATTGGAGGCTGAAGGACTGTGGCTTCTCTAACCAAAGGAGCCTAGCGGGTTAACAATTGTCAAGAGCAGTTGGTGGTTCTGAAATACAATCCTCAGCCAAGGATCCCTCCTGTGTTACAGATGGATCAGCTAAAACAAGCCAACACTGAAGACACAAAGAATGAGGTTAGGTTCATTGAAACCAGGGTAACACCTTTGGATGAGCTAAACACAAAGATGACAATGACCTTGAGCAGGTATAGAAGCTCAGAGACATGCCTGCAAAATGAAATCCCTGAGGAATTTTGTAGCTACCCAGAGATACGTGGTTCAAATTAAAATGTCCGACTGATCACTCCCGGCATGTGCTGCACAGTTATGTGAACGTGTCACACCTAACGTGGGTCCATTGTCTTCAGACTGAGCACAGGTTGCCACTGGCATGCTCTGAGAATAGGAATAGAGCCATGCCCACTGACCCATCCTATGTCTGGGCTTCCAAATGGAACTATAGTTTCATTCAAATCTTCAGGCGCCTATAGGTCCTGCCTGCAGGAATGACACCTCTCGGCTTAGTAAGGGCTGCTTATTGTGGGAATATGACTCCCATCTGGAAGACCAGATAGAGACTTGTCACCGTCAAAGTAAAGAACCTATTGTCCATGTCAAGGGCAAAGCTGATGTGCTGTTCCTCAAATGAGTAAAACACACTTCTGTAGTGCTGGAATGAGTCACGTAGTTCACAGTACATTGATGGAGTCGAATAACATCTATCCAGTGAGTCCTGTAAGACTTCAGGCTCTTCCACTTCCATCAGCACGCTGTTGAGCCTGGAAAAGGAGACAAAACTAAAGAAGCAGCCAGGGAAAATCAGACACCACAGAGCCCCACTAGATTTCAGAAGTAACATAAGGAAGTGGTTAGAAAAGAAAAAGGACAGATCCATTAATGAGGTAACAAATTATTGCCTTTATGTTGGGATAGAACAGGGCCAGGTAGAAAACAATGAAAGAGAAAGACAGAGAGAGAGAGACAGAGACAGAGACAGAGAGAAAGTGACCTAGTGAATTGGCCAGTTGACATACTGGTAAGGGAGTAAAAGGACACTCTGAGTTAGTGCCCTCATGACACACAGCAAACTGTGATCATGAAAAGAGTGAGCTCAATAGTTTTCCATAAAATATGCTCAAAATTCGATGCAGTGGCCATGAGAGTACAGCTTTTGAAGTATGGTCAACCTATGGTACGTTAGGAAATGATAAGGGGAGGAAGAAATGGAAACCTAAACATCTACTGCAATGAAAACCAACAGCAATGACAGTAGGAGTAATTCAGTCTTCGTTGAAAACGTGACATCAAACACACTCTGGTTTCCCTGAATCTGTTGCCTCCAGGTGTTAACACAGAATTAAGCATCCACAATTGCTGAAAGTTACCTGGGGCATGGTGGGTTTTGATCTTCTTCCCCTTCTTTTCTTCCCCTTCTTCTTTTCTTCTTTGATCTTCTTCCCCTTCTTATCTTCCCCTTCCCCTTCTTTTCAATTTCTGCAATAAATTCAGACATGGACAGACACATTAAGCTGATTCCCCTACACACATAACAATCCACTGTCTAATCCTCACACAGGGACCTCAGGCTCCTCAGCATAAGAATAGGACACTGTGAGAGATATATTTCAGGAGGCCTGAAGGCTGGTCATGATAGAAATTCCTCGGTTTTTCTCCCAGAAACTGTGGGTAAAATGTCCCTATTCTAGTAGATCGTTATCCCAATATCATTTGTCCCAAGTTTGTGCAAACAGTTATGCCATATTTTTCCAATCAACTTAAAGCAAATACCCTCAAATGATTTCTAGGAGAAAAACTGCAATATTTAGCCCTGTCTCATCAAATACTCAGATTGTTCATGGTTGTGAGGACTTTAGACACTGAAATTAGAGTGAAAAAGGAAATCTACAAACCCTTGAGTCAAAATCATAGTTCTCTGAATTTGTCACATCTGCCCAGGTCCAATGTCATGAGAGTAGGATCAGGGCGCCACAGGTATGGCCTGAGACTAGGAAGAGAGTCTTGCTCACTGACCCATCCCTTGTCTGGGCTTCCAGGTAGAACTAGAGTTTCATTCAACCTACATGTGCCTATAGGTCCTCCCTGTGGCAATGACATCTCTCAGCTCAGTAATGGCCACTTGGAGCAGGAACATGATCTTTATATGGAAGACTCAGTGGATCCTTATCACCTTCATAGAAAGGTACTCACCTCCCACGTCAAGAGAAAAGCCAACATGTTTTTCCTCCAATGCATAAAAGGAACTTCCATACGGCTGGCAGGAGTCAGGCTGTTCAAGACAACTGGAAGGAGTTGAATAACATCTATCCAGTGAGTCCTGCAAGACTTCAGGCTCTACTACCTCCAGCAGCTCCCTGCTGAGCCTGGAAAAGGAGGAAAAAGTAAAGAATACGCCAGGGGAAATCAGACACAACAGAACCCCAAATAGGTTTCATGGGTAGCATAAGGAAGTGGTTAAAAAAGTAAAAGGATAGATCCATTAATGAGGTAACAAATTATTGCCTTCATGTTGGGACAGAACAGGGCCAAATGGAAAAGAATGAAAGAGAAAGACAGACAGACACACACACACACACACACACACACACACACACACACACACACAGAGAGAGAGAGAGAGAGAACGAGCTCAGTGAATTGTCCAGGTGACACACTGATGAGGGAGTAACAGGACACTCTGAGTTAGTGCCCTCAGGACACACAGCATACAGGGATCATGAAAAGACTGTGCTCAATAATTTTCCATAAAATGTGCTCAAGTTTCCATGCAGTCGCCATGAGAATACAGTTTTTGAAGTCTGGTCCACCTACAGTAGGTTAGTAAATGAGAAGGGGAGGAAGAAATGGAAACCTAAATATCTACTGCAATGAAAACCAACAGCAATGTTAGTAGGAATAATTCAGGCTTGGTTGAAAAGATGTAATCGATAATGTCAGCCCGCTCTGTTTTCCCTGAACCAGGAGTCTCCAGATGTCAACACAGAAGTAGCTGTTCACAATTGCTCAGTTACCTGGGGCATGGTGGGCCTTGGTCTTCTTCCTCTTCTTGGTCCTTTTTAATTCCTGCAATACATTCAGACAGGGACAGACAAAATAAGCCAATTCACCTACACCCATAACAGTCCACTGTCTAATCCCCACACAGGGATCTCAGGCTCCTCAGCATGAGAACAGGACAATGTGAGAGATGTACTTCAGGAGGCCTGAAAGCTGGTCATGATATTCTTTGGTTTGCATCTCAGAACCAAGGGTGAAATATCCCCCTTCTGGTAGATCGTTATCCCAAAATCATTTATCCCAAGTTTGTGCAAACAGTTATGCCTTATTGTTCCCATCAGTTCAAAGAAAATGCCCCAGATGATTTCTAGGAGGAAAACTGCAGTATTCAGCCCTGTCTCATCAAATGCCCAGCTCGTTCATGGATGCAAGAATTTGAGACACTGAAATTAGAATGAAGGAGGAAATCTACAAACCCTTGAGTCCAAATCATACTTCTGTGAATTTTTTACATCTGCCTGGGTCCAATGTGCTGAGAGCGGGCTCAGGTTGCCACAGGCATGGCTGGAGACTAGGAATAGAGCCTTGCTCACTGACCCATTTCATGTCTAGGCTTCCAGCTGAGACTACAGTCTCATTACAACCTATATGCGCCCATAGGTCCTGCCTGCGGCAATGACATCTCTCGGGTCAGTAAGGGCCACTTGGAACAGGAATATCACCCCTATCTGGAAGACCAGGTGGAGGCTTATCACCTTCATAGTAAGGTACTCACTGTCCACGTCAAGAGCCAAGCCAAGGTACTGTTCCTCCAATGAGTAAACAGCACTGCTGTAGGGCTGGCCTAAGTCAGGCAGTTCAAGATAACCTGAAGGAGTCGAATAACATCTATCCAGTGAGTCCTGCAAGACTTCAGGCTCTTTCTCATCCAGCAGCTCCCTGCTGAGCCTGGAAAAGTAGGAAAAAGTAAAGAATAAGCCAGGGGGAATCAGAAACCACACAGCCCCAGCTAGATTTCATGGCTAACATAAGGAACTGTTTAAAAAGAAAAAGGACAGATCCATTAATGAGGTAATGAATTATTGCCTTTATGTTGGGATAGACCAGGGCCAGGTAGAAAAGAATGAAAGAGAAAGACAGGGAGAGGGAGAGAGAGAGAGAGGAGAAAGTGAGCTCAGCGAATTGGCCGGGTGACACACTGATGAAGGGGTCAAAGGACACTCTGAGTTAGTGCCCTCGGGACACACAGCGAACAGTGATCATGAAAAGAGTGGGCTCAATAATTTTCCATAAACTTGCTCAAGACTCCATGCAGTTGCCATACAGCCTTTGAGGTATGGTCAACCTATAGTAAGTTAGTAAATGATAAGGGGAGGAAGAAATGGAAACCTAAACATCTTCTGCAATGAAAACCAACAGCAATGTCAGGAGGAGTATTTCAACCTTCGTTGAAAACATGAAATTGAACACACTCTTGCTTTCCCTGGACCTGGCATCTCCAGGTGTCAACACAGAATTAAGCATCCATAATTGCTCAAAGTTACCTGGGGCATGATGGGTCTTGGTCTTCTTCCACTTCTTGGTACTTTTCAATTTCTGCAATAAGTTCAGACATGGACAGACATATTAAGCTGGTTCTCCTACACACATAACAATCCACTGTCTAATCCTCACACAGGGACTTCAGGCTCCTCAGCATGAGAATAGGACACTGTGAGAGATATTCTTCAGGAGGCCTGAAGGCTGATCACCATAGAGATTCCTTGGTTTTTGTCCCAGAAACTGTGGGTAAAATTCCCTATTCTGGTAGATCGTTGTCCCAATATCATTTGTCCCAAGTTTGTGCAAATGGTTATGCCATATTTTTCCAATCGATTTAAAGCAAATGCCCCCAAATGGTTGCTAGGAGAAAAACTGCACTATTCAGCCCTGTCTCATCAAATACTCAGATTGTTCATGGTAGCGAGGATTTTAGACGCTGAAATTAGAGTGAAGGATGAAATCTACAAGATCTACAAAATTGAGACAAAATCAGAGTTGTGTGAATTTGTCACATCTGCCCAGGTCCAATGTCATGAGAGTAGGATTAGGGCGCCACAGGCATGGCCTGAGACTAGGAAGAGAGCCTTGCTCACTGACCCATCCCTTGTCTGGGCTTCCAAGTGGAACTAGAGTTTCATTCAACCTACATGTGCCTATAGGTCCTCCCTGTGGCAATGACATCTCTCAGCTCAGTAAGGGCCACTTGCAGTAGGAATATGACCCTAACCAGAAGACTCAGTGGATCCTTATCACCTTCATAGAAAGGTACTCACCATCCATGTCAACAGCCAAGCCAACACGCTGTTGCTCCAATATGTAAAACGCACTTCTGTAGGGCTGGCATGAGTCAGTCAGTTCAAGGCAACCTGAAGGAGTTGAATAACATCTATCCAGTGAGTCCTGCAAGACTTCAGGCCCTTTCTCATCCAGCAGCTCCCTGCTGAGCCTGGAAAAGTGGGAAAAAGTAAAGAATAAGCCATGGGGAATCAGAAACCACACAGCCCCAGCTAGATTTCATGGCTAACATAAGGAAGAGTTTGAAAAGAAAAAGGACAGATCCATTAATGAGGTAACAAATTATTGCCTTTATGTTGGGATAGACTAGGGCCAGGTAGAAAAGGATGAAAGAGAAAGACACACACACACACACACACACACACACACACACACACACACACACACAGTTCGAGCTCAGTGAATTGGTCAGGTGACACACTGATGAGGGAGTCAAAGGACACTCTGTATTTGTGCTCTCAGGACACACAGTGAACAGTGATCATGAAAAGCCTGTCCTCAATAATTTTGCATAAAATGTGCTCAAGTTTCCCTGCAGTTACCATGAGAATACAGCTTTTGAGGTATGGTCAACTTTCACTAGGTTAGTAAATGATAAGGGTAGGAAGAAATGGAAACCTAAACATTTACTCTAATGAGAACCAAAAAGCAATGTAGTAGGCGTAATTCAGACTTGTCTGACAAGACAAAATCATTATTTTCAGCATGTACTGTTTTCCCTGGACTTGGCATCTCCAGGTGTCAACATCAAATTAACTGTCCACAATTTCTCAGACTCACCTGGGACCTGTTGCCTCTTGGTCCTCCTTTTTCACTTGATCCCACCGATGTCCTGCAAATAAATTCATATGGGCCCTCTTACATTAAGCAGTTCTTCCTTGCACACAGAAACATTCCTCTGTCCAATCCTAACACAGGGACATCAGTCTTGTCAATGTGAGAACAGGAGACTTTGAGAGAAATATTCCAGTAGGCCTGAGGTCAAGTCTTGAGAAAACTGGCTTGGGTTCTTTCATGAGCCTTGGGCAAAATTCCCCTGAGTTGGAATGTTATCTTCCCTATGTGCTCTGTCCTAGGTTTATGTACACAAATGAGCAATTTTTTCCCCAATAAATTGTAGGCAAATAGTTCTAACACCTCATAGGAGAGATACTTCAATATTAAGCTTTCTCTCATCAAATACCCAGAATTTGATAGTTTATGAGATTGTGGACACAGAGATTTGATGAGGGGGTGCAATGTACCAGCTCTTGAGTCAAAATGAAACTTGGTTCTACACAGAAGCATCAGCTATTATGGCTTTTGTGGGTGAAAAGTCAGCCATTTATCTAGAAAACATACCAGGAACATGACGGACAGATGAGCTAAAGCAAGCGAACTTAGAAGACACAGAAAATGGGAATAAATTCAGTGAAACCTGGGTCACATCTTTCACTGAGAGGTAGACAAGGGTGACACTGGCCTTGGGCAGGTAAAGAACCACACAGACATGCTTTGGGAACAAAACTCATAAGGAATTTTGTAGCTGGCAAGAGACATTTAATTCAGATGAGCTGAGCTGACAGACAACTCCTGGGCATGTGCTGCATAGTTTGGTGTGAGTTTGCCACACCTGCCTTGAGTTCAATATCGTGACAGTCAGTCCAGGTTGGCACGGGCATGGCGTGAGACTAGGAAGAGAGCAAAGCTCACTGACCCACCCCATGCCTGTGCTTCAGACTCGACTCCAGAGTGATTGAAATCTACATTGATATATAGGTTCAGCCCACAGTGATGGCAAATCTCAGCCCAACAAGCGGCACAAGGCCCAAAGATTATGGGGTCTACCTGGGCCATGAACTGGAGCTTTATCACCTTCACAATGGAGTACTCACTGCCTATGTCAACAGCCATGCAGACTTGCTGTTCCTCTAATGAGTGAAATGTGCTGCTGTAAGACTTGTACGAGGCCAACATTTCAGGAGGAATTGAGAGAGTCGAATAACCTTCATCCCAGGACTCCTGGGGGACTTCCTCCTCTTCAGACTCCTGCAGATTCCTGATGAGCCAGGCAGGACAGGGATGATAGAAGATTTAACCAACAGACATTAGACAACAAAACCTCCCAGATGATCTGATGGGAGACAGAATGGAGTGGTCACAGAAACCAAAGGCATTTTTCCTTCAAGAGAAATAAAACTATCCTTCTAAATACAGGGTGGAGGGTGACTGCTCTGGGGACAGAGCAAAAATGGGCAGCATGTGCTCAGTACATTTGCCACAGATGAGCCAACTCAGGGCACCCAGACTCTCCCTGTAAACTACCATCATGACTTGCAGCACAGAGAACTGACACAGGGCTTCAACTACTTTGCATAAATTGGGTTGAATTTTACATGCAGCATTCAAGTGAAGAGAGTTCTTGACGCAGTGCAGACACAGATCTTGTGTATTAAGGGCCCCATTTTCCCAATATTTTGATATAATATATTTACTTTTTCAATTTCTTTTCTTGCAAAAATACTAGCCAACATACTACCAACAAATAGGAAGAAAGCATATATACACCTCTCCCTGGATTTAAACACATGGGAGAGAATAGGCAACACCAAGAAATCCCTGTTTGAGGGTCTGGAGTGGACTTCCAGCAAACTCCAACAGACCTGAAGCTGAGGGACCTGACTGTTAGAAGGAAAACTAACACACAGAAAGGAATAGCATCAACATCAACAAAAAAGACATCCACCCCAAAACCCCATCTGTAGGTCGCCATCATCAAAGACCAAGGGTAGATAAAACCACAAAGGTGGGGAGAAACCAGAGCACAAAAGCTGAAAATTCCAAAAACCTGACATCCCTTCTCCTCCAAAGGATCGCAGCTCCTCGCCAGCAATGGAACAAAGCAGGATGGAGAATGACTTTGATGAGCTGACAGAAGTAGGCTTCAGAAAGTCGGTAATAACAAACTTCTCTGAGCTAAAGGAGGATGTGCGAACTCATCGCAAGGAAGCTAAAAACCTTGAAAAAAGATTAGACGAATGGCTAACCAGAATGAACAGTGTAGAGAAGACCTTAAATGACCTGATGGAGCTGAAAACCATGGCACGAGAACTATGTGATGCATGCACAAGCTTCAGTAGCCAATTCGATCAAGTGCAAGAAACGGTATCAGTGATTCAAGATCAAATTAGTGAAATGAAGCGAGAAGAGAAGTTTAGAGAAAAAAGAGTAAAAAGAAATGAACAAGCCTCCAATAAATATGGGACTATGTGGAAAGACCAAATCTACGTTTGATTGGTGTACTGAAAGTGACGGGGAGAATGGAACCAAGCTGGGAAACATTCTTCAGGATATTATCCAGGAGGACTTCCCCAACCTAGCAAGGAAGGCCAACATTCAAATTCAGGAAACACAGAGAACACCATAAAGATACTCCTCGAGAAGAGCAACCCCAAAACACGTAATTGTCAGATTCACCAAGGTTGAAATGAAGGAAAAAATGCTAAGGGCAGCCAGAGAGAAAGGTCGGATTACCCACAAAGGGAAACCCATCAGACTAGCAGCAGATCTCTTGGCACAAACCCTACAAGCCAGAAGAGAGTGGGAGCAATATTCAACATTCTTTTTTTTTTCCATATGTATAGTTTTCCTTTATTATTTTTTGTGTGTATGTATATATATATATATATTTTTTTTTTAATACTTTAAGTCTTAGGGTACATGTGCACAACGTGCAGGTTAGTTACATATGTATACATGTCCACATTGGTGTGCTTCACCCATTAACTCATCATTTAACATTAGGTATATCTCCTAATGCTACCCCTCCTCCCTCCCCCCACCCTACAACAGGCCCCAGTGTGTGATGTTCCCCTTTCTGTGTCCATGTGTTCTCATTGTTCAATTCCCACCTGTGAGTAAGAACATGCGGTATTTGGTTTTTTGTCCTTGCAATAGTTTGCTGAGAATGATGGTTTCCAGCTTCATCCATGCCCCTACAAAGGACATGAACTCATCATTTTTTATAGCTGCATAGTATTCCATGGTGTATATGTGCCACATTTTCTTAATCCAGTCTATCATTGCTGGATATTTGGCTTGGTTCCAAGTCTTTGCTATTGTGAATAGTGCCGCAATAAACATATGTGTGCATGTGTCTTTACAGCAGCATGATTTATAATCCTTTGGGTATACACCCAGTAATGGGATGGCTGGGTCAAATGGTATTTCTAGTTCTAGATCCCTGAGGAATTGCCACACTGCCTTCCACAATCGTTGAACTAGTTTACAGTCCCACCAACAGTGTAAAAGTGTTCCTATTTCTCCACATCCTCTCCAGCATCTTCAACATTCTTAAAGAAAAGAATTTTCAACCAAGAATTTCATATCCAGCCAAACAAAGCTTCATAAGTGAAGGAGAAATAAATCCTTTACAGAGAAGCAAATGCTGAGAGATTTTGTCACCACCAGGCCTGCCTTACAAGAGCTCCTAAAGGAAGCACTAAACATGGAAAGGAACAACCGGTACCAGCCACTGCAAAAACATGCCAAACTGTAAAGACCATTGACGCTAGGAAGAAATTGCATCAACTAACGGGCGAAATAACCAGCTAACATCATAACGACAGGATCAAATTCACACATAACAATATTAACCTTAAATGTAAATGGGCTAAATGCCCCAGTTAAAAAACACAGAATGGCAAATTGGATAAAGAGTCAAGACCCATCAGTGTGCTGTACTCAGGAAACCCATCTCACATGCAGAGACACACATAGGCTCAAAATAAAGGGATGGAGGAAGATCTACCAAGCAAATGGAAAACAAAAAAAGGCAGGGGTTGCAATCCTAGTCTCTGATAAAACAGACTTTCAAACAACAAAGATCAAAAGAGACAAGAAGGCCACTACATAATGGTAAAGGGATCAATTCAACAAGAAGAGTTAACTATCCTAAATATATATGCACCCTATACAGGAGCACCCAGATTTATAAAGCAAGTCCTGAGAGACCTACAAAGAGATTTAGACTCCACACAATCATAATGGGAGACTTTAACACCCCAGTGTCAATATTAGACAGATCAATGAGACAGAAGCTTAACAAGGATATCCAGGACTTGAACTCAGCTCTCCACCAAGCAGACCTAAAAGACATCTACAGAACCCTCCACCCCAAATCAACAGAATATACATTCTTCTCAGCACCACATCACACTTATTCCAAAATTGACCACATAGTTGGAGGTAAAGCACTCGTCAGCAAATGTAAAAGAATGGAAATCACAACAAACTGTCAGACCACAGTGCCATCAAATTAGAACTCAGGATTAAGAAACTCACTCAAAACCGCACAACTACATGGAAACTGAACAACCTGCTCCTGAATGACTACTGGGAAAATAACAAAATGAAGGCAGAAATAAAGATGTTCTTTGAAACCAATGAGAAAAAAGACACAACATACCAGAATCTCTGGGACACATTTAAAGCAATGTGTAGAGGGAAAATTATAGCACTAAATGCCCACAAGAGAAAGCAGAAAAGATCTAAAATTGACACCCTAACATCACAATTAAAATAACGAGAGAAGCAAAGCAAACAAATTCAAAAGCTAGCAGAAGACAAGAAGTAACTAAGATCAGAGCAGAACTAAAGGAGATAGAGACACAAAAAACCCTTCAAAAAATCAATGAATCCAGGGCTGGTTTTTTGAAAAGATCAACAAGAAAACCCTGTTTGGCTAGTTCACCTGGCTCATCTGATGGCAAGTTCCTATCTTGAGAGGACTATGAAATTAAAACCAATACAAGTGCCACAAATAACATACAACATTGTAAATCAGCACAATTTGTAGCTGGGTGAATGGAAGAAATAGTTCTATTCATCACTTCCTCATTTTCCCTAAATCTACAATCTCCAGATGTCACTACTGAATTAACAGCCAACAATTCCACAACATTACCTGGGAGACACTGGTCCTTTTTCTTCCTCTTCCTCATCATCACTTTCATTTTCTGTAAATAAATTCAGAGAAGCAGGTCACATTAAGCAATTCATACTTCACATATGAACAAATCACTGTCCAATCATAGCACAAGGACATAACTATTCTCAGTGCAAGAATAAGGATTCTGACAGGAATATTCTAGGTTGTCCTAGATTAACTTTGGTGAGAATTAGATGACCCTGCTTTCCAGACCCACAGGCCAAAATCTCCCTCTACATGTAGACCATAATGCCATATTCCCTGCTTGAGTCAAAGTTAAACAAAATTTTTTCCCCAAAAAAATCTCCAAAAATTGGTCAAACAATTTTCTAAGAGTGTTGCTGCGATATGGACTTATATCACCAGGTAACATGGACATTAAATGTTTAGAGGCATCTATACATGAAACACGACTGATAGATAAATTTGAACAACTCTTGCTTTAAAAAGAATCTGTGATTTGGGAGGCCAAGACAGGTGAATCATTTGAGGTCATGAGTTCAGGACTACCCTGGCCAACATGGGGAAACCCTGTCTCTACTAAAAATACAAAAATTAGCCAGATGTGATGTTGTGCACCTGTGGTCCCAGCAACTCAGGAGGCTGAGGCAGGAGAATCACTTGAATCTGGGAGGCAGAGGTTGCACCAAGCCAAGATGGTGCCACTGCACTCCAGCCTGGGTGACAGAGCAAGACTCCATCGCAAAAAAAAAAAAAAAAAAAAAAAAAAAAATCCACGATGCTACAAAGAAACATTGGATCAGCCATTGCATTGACAGGGTGGAGAACCAGGGTCCAGCCTTGCTTTATGGAAATATATCAGCAAAGTAAAGAAGAAAAGTTTCCGTACTGATTTCAGGGTGACTGTGCAGCTAAGCAAGCTGACTTAAAGGAGATCCAGATGAAAGCTGAGAGCAGTGAAGCCTGGGGAACAATAATTCCAAATACAAAGGCAAGGCTGCCAGCTTCCTTAAACAGGCATAGAAACTCCATGGACATTGTTCAGGGACAGATGACTTAATCACAGATGACAAGAGATACTGAATCGAAGCTAGGAGGCCTGACAGATACTGCCTGTGCACCTCCTGCACTCAGGTGACTATGAGATTGTCACACTTGCCTGGGGTTGAGTAACTTGATACTGGGGACTGGCAGACAAAGTCATGACATTAGCTGTGAAGGACAAAAAAACTCCCTGATATCTGTTTAGAAACCCATCACAGTTTTTTATTCAAATGAATTTGTGTTTATAGAGCCTGTCTTCAGAGTTTATCTTCCTCAGCCTAGAGAGAGGTATGAGACACAAGGAAAACAGAGGCTACCTGGAATAATGTGTACAGCATCCTCCCATTCAACATGAGAGGATGAGCCAATGAGAGCTGAGTCGACTTTGTCTTCCTCAAATGTGATTTTGGTTTTCCTATGTGGCTGGTTGGAGTCATAAGGGCCATGGCTATTTGAATAAGTGATGGCACATTCCTCCAGTGAGTCCTCAGGGACTTCCTTTTCTTCAGCCTTCTGCATCTCCCTGATGAGCCAGGTGGGACAGAGATGACAGAAGATTAAACACAGAGGGATTGGACCCCAGGGAGTCCTAGCTGGTTTTGACAGGCGGCATTAAGAGAGTGGTCCCAGAAAGCAAAATGGAGGTTCCCATTAAGAGGGAACATGCAATCCTGTTCTCTCTGCAACAGAGCATGGCTGCCATGGGAACCAGAGAGGAAGAGAGCAGCTGCTGTTCATTGCACTGGACAGATAGGAGCTGAGGAGGATGAAGACTCAGCTATCCCTGTACGGTACAGACATGACACTCGGCACACATAGAGAAACATGACAGCTACCGCACCCTGTGTCTAAGCTGGGTTATATTTCACATACTGTGGCTAAGCAAATGCGGGTTTTTGACCCATCATAGATGCCAGAGAGGGTGTGCCTCCTAGATATTCCTCATATGTTACCATCCATTAATTGTTCCTGAGTATTCAGTGTTACCTGGGGGCAGACGATTTCTGCACTTTCTCAGCCACCTCAACTTGAACATCTTCATCGTCATCGTTGTCATTTTCTGTAAATACAGAAGTGTTCGTTCAGATATTTCCCACTTCACAGTCTGCAAGCACAGTCAGCCCAATGTGCAACAGAGACATGAACATCTAGGCATGGGTCACCGTTCAACTGAAAACTCTCATGTTTTATCTTTAACAGAATGCCCTGGCATGGTTTCCTGATCCATCAGGCAATGCATTTCTGATCTGGAGGGCCACCATCAAGATGTGGCCAAATATTGAAAAGACCTTTTGCTTCCCATATCACTGGAGGCTTGTGCAGCCTCTCTCTGGACGTTGGCAGCTGTCTCCCCCATCCTGCCAGATCTGATTCCCAGGCACAGGCTTGGTGTCCTGTCACGGTTTGCATTTCAAACCTAATTCTTTCTCTTAGAAGCAGACAAACTTGTCCCACAGTCCTCTATGCATCAGAAGATTTCAAGCCTCCAAGTGGCTTCTGCTGTGTTCTTCAGGGACATTCTATCCATGGGGAGCGCTCCAGTCTGAAGCACTTCCTACCACAAAACGCCCCCACATAAAGTGCCTTCTCCAACATCACACGGCGAGGGCCTTCATCTCATTTTGGAAAGCAGTTGTAAGTGTTCCCACATTTGAATGCTTCGACCCTTGCAAGAGACAATTTGTCTGCCACGGAGAGAGAGAAACTCAGGAAGGACAAGTCATTCACTCTCTGACAGTTACTAAGAACATTGCCGAAAAGACAGCCTGGGAACCTTCATTCTTAGTCCAGAGCTCTTTTCACTCTAACAAGCCTGCTCCCATCGCAGCCTCCTTCCTGTCCTTTAAAACTAGACAGATGCTGCCTCTTGCTCCAGAGACCACCTTCCATCAAGGGAGGAGGGACACTTGCAATACTGTGACCTCCAACCCCATGGGTTTCCCATCTCCGTTCTTACCCAAGAAGTCCTGGTCATGTCATGGCCACATAAGCTTAGTGGAAAAAAACACCATTGATACAACTGTCATTGTGAAAGTATGGAGGTCTGGAGTCTCTCATAAGCCTGGGATTTTGGGTCATCAGGGCCTATGGCCACCTTACCTGGGCTGAGCTTTTGGACAAGGTGCTGTGCCAGTCTACACCCCTCAGCCAGCTGTTCTTGGAGGTCCTGCCCCTGGGACTTGTCCGGCTCATCCGGAGTGAGGAGGGCCTGGAGATGCTCATTCAATGAGAGGGAGGCATCTCTCCCTTCCCGCAACTTCTCCCTTAACTGGGTCAGCTCTCGTTCCTGAGTGTGAACCAGGACTTTATATTGCCTAAGGTGAGACGGTAGAGAAAATTTAAGAGTGGAAAGGGTTGAGTGATCCGCTCAAATATTGCAACAGAGACTTCTGAGACAATGTCCTCAAGGAGACCTTGAAACAGAAGGTCAGCACATGTTGAAAGGAATGTCTGTGGCCAAGAGAAAGAATAGAAAATGGTTTACAGGCTTCCTCTGTATCACAGAGAGCTCTTGCAAGATCCTCGATGATGTTCCATTCATCTTTCTCTTCTGTAAACAAAAGTAGGTGTCTTCCTAATTCCATTTCAAAAAGACATCCTTTCAGTTCCTCACTCTGGCCATGGACAATTCCATGTGAAAATACACATAGTGCATCTTGCGGCCACTAGATACAAAGCCATGTACAGAAATGAGGCCAGGTGCAGATGGGGCGAATTGAAAAGACGAAAGAAGAAAAGAATGACAGGGTCGAGAAGGCAACATTGATTGAGTGAAAGAATGAGAAGCCGCAGTCAGTCAGGAGGTGATTCTCACTAAGGGTAAGTGGGGTGGTGATGGCACACCATTTTGAGTATACTGAATGCTGCTGTGTGGTTCACACTCCTTTGGTTAATTTTGTGTTATGTAAATTTCACATCAACAATTACTTGTTTGAAAAAGAGAAAACAAGGCTCTGAGAAACAACTGCAACCCATACATTTTTACTATCCTCCTTCTCTGTTTGATAAATATTTGTGTGTAGCGAGCCTGCCATGGCAATTCCTGCCCTTCCCCTGGCCCAGCTTAGCTCTTACGTCTCCCCACCGAGCTGCTGTACTTCAGAGATTTACACACCTGCCCCCTGCCTGCCCCCATGGGGTCCCCTCACCTGAGCTCCTCAGCTTGCTTGAGCTGCTCTGCAAGCTTCTCCTCCTTGAACTGTCGCTCATTCCTCAGCATAGATTTTATGAGATCTTTGCACTCTTCATATTCTGAGAAAAGACAGACACGCCTGCCTCAGTGGAAGGCTGGACATGCTGCTGTGGTCATTGCCTACAGGACAGGAGCCAGGTCCATCCCAAGGACAAAACTCTCCCCAGTACCAGGGTCTAGACAGGGATTTCCACATCTTTACTCTTCAGTCTCCTGACTTTCTGGCATCTGATCCTCCAAAATTTAGAGATGAAGAAAGAGAACCTCAAGGGCACATCAAGGAAGTTGACAAGATGATTCAACCACAACGAAGTGGAGTCAGAATTCACAGTCCCTGAGGTCTGACTCTGAATGCGGGGCCACTTTCCCAAGCCTTGCAGCCTCTCCTCTAAAACACTGCACTGGGGCATGAAGTAGTGATTTCTTGTACAGTCGGGAAGGCCCCTAGGACTATGGGACTGATGGTTTCCCTTTCACTGGGAATTTCAAGGACAAGTATGCGAAAGATTTTTAAAATCTTTGATTTTTAAATCATATCTTCAGTTATGATTTTAAGAATCATATCTGAAGCATAAAGTGTGACACATAACACCATAAGGCCATGAAGGAAATATGCCCAAATGCTAATAAAGTTTGTGTTAATTTAGAAACAGCAGAATGAAGAACTAATAGATAGTGTTTACTGTGTGCCAATAAATGTTCTAGGAGACTGACAAGAAATAGCTCATGTAATTCACTGCAGCAATTTACAGAGGTAGGTATTATTGTAGTACCCTCTGAACAGGTGAGGAAACTGAGGGACAGACAAGACAAGCAACTTGGATGGATCCCAGGAGACAGGCCCACGGTCCCTGCTCTGTACACTGCACTGCTATCTCCACACATTCTCGGGTGGGATCTTTCTTCCTCTTTAGCAACAAGACTCTGTGCCCCAGGAAGCAGGACTTCACTCTCACCAAGCTACTCTCTGCTTTTTATTCTTATTTTTATTTATCATTATTATTATTATTATTTTTAACAGTCTTGCCCTGTCGCCCAGGCTGGAGTGCAATGGCAAAACCTTGGCTCACTGCAACCTCAGCCTCCTGGGTTCAAAGGATTCTCCTGCCTCAGCCTCCTGAGCAGGGGTGATTACAGTCACCTGCCACCACGCCCATCTACTTTTTGTATTTTTAGTGAAGATGGGGTTTCTCCATGTTGCCCAGGCTGGTCCCAAACTCCTGACCTGATGATCTGCCCGCCTCAGCCTCCCAAAGTGCTGGGATTACAGGAGTGAGCCACCATGCACGGCCCCTACTCCCTGCTCTTGATGCTGTCACTTATAGACAGCACAGGTTCTATTAGGAATAGACTCCTCTTGAAGCCCTCAGAGCAGGTACTGGCTACTATCACCAAGTTTCCCTCAGAGTCACTAGAACAGAGCTTTGTCTGTTGGGCCTCAACAGAAACTTGAACTGAATAAAAGTTCACTAGTCTCAGACATTTAGAACAACAGACTAGATGTTATTTGTCTGCAGGATCTTATATGGTAGAGAGGATTCTTGAAAACACGATTGAGCCTCTTGGAGAAAACAGGTCATTCTGTGCCTGTGTCAGAAATCAATAAATGGCAGTTTAACTCTAGTCCCACCCCCACCTGATTGAAAACATGGAAAGTTGCTAAATACTTTGGTACCTCTGTCTTCCAACTTTGACAAAATGTTAAAATACCCATTTCTGTTTTCCTAGAAGTACAGGAAGGATGAAATTATTTTTGATGGAGAGAGCATTTAGTGTCTCAGAGAGAAGACAGGATATCATTCATCACTTTCATGATGGTGAGCCTGTAGATCTTACTGTATTTGTTCTGTCGGTTGGCCAGGAAGCCGGCCAGTTGAGTTAGAAAACATTTCTCTTTGAGGTTTCTGAACTGCTGTTTCTTCTCTGCCAGCTGGGGGTGCAATTTCTCATTGATTTCTAGAATGTTCATCTCTGCCTTCTCGCTGGACAAAGGGCCGGCTGATACCACCATGCTGACGTTTGTGGCAGAAGAGGTGGGGCCAGGGACTGGGGAGAAGAAAGGCAAACACATGATGGGTTAAAAACTGGTGAAATCAAATAGGCTTAATCAGGACTGAGGGATGTCACTGGCAGCCTTGTTTACTTATTTGAAGATGATGTTTCCCTGGTTTCACTCTTGTCATCTCCAGTCTTGATCTCCTTTAAGTCAACTTGTCTCAGCTATGCAGTCACCTTGAAACCAGGACATAAACACTTCTACACTTTTCTTGCTTATAAGTTTCTATAAAGCAAGGCTTGGCCCTGAGATTTTTACCCCATGAGTGGCCAATGTTTCTGTGTAGCACAAAAGATTTCATTTTGCTTTTTTAATTTTTTTCTTTTTTGGTTTTTTGTTTTTTGTTTGAGACGGAGTCTCACTCTGTCGTGCAGGCTGCAGTGCAGAGGCACAATCTCAGCTCACTGCCACCTCTGCCGCCCGGGTTCAAGCGATTCTCATCCCTCAGCCTGCCAAGCATCTGGGATTACAAGCGCCAAGTAACATGCCAGCTAATTTTTGTATTTTTAGTAGAGATGGGGTTTCGCCATCTTGGACAGGCTGGTTTCGAACTCCTGACCTCAGGTGTTCTGCCCACCTCAGCCTCCCAAAGTGCTGGGATTAAGATGTGAGCCAGCGCCCCTGGTCAGAGACTTACTTTTTTTTTTGAGATGGAGTCTCGCTCTGTCTCCCAGGCTGGAGTGCAGTGGCACAATCTCGGCTCACTGCAAGCTCCGGTTCCTGGGTTCATGCCATTCTCCTGCCTCAGCCTCCTGAGTAGCTGGGACTACAGGCGCCCACCACCGCGCCCAGCTAATTTTTTTTTTTTTTTTGTATTTTTAGTAAAGACGGCGTTTCACCGTGTTAGCCAGGATGGTCTCGATCTCCTGACCTCGTGATCCACCCGCCCCGGCCTCCCAAAGTGCTCGGATTACATGTGTGAGCCACCGCGCCAGGCCGAGACTTCTTATTAATAGCTAAGACAAGCCAATGAAAAGGAGAGAGAGTCTAGCCTGAGAGGAGTGAACGAGCGTGGGAGGATCGTCTCAGCCGATCCTCCCACCTAAGTCTCCTGAGCAGTTGGGACTATAGGCATGCAGCACCATGCCTGCCTAATTTTTTGTATTCTTTGTAAAGATGGGTTTCACCATATTGTCCAGGCTGGTCTTCAACTCCTGAACTCAAGTCATCGTCCCACTTGGGCCTTCCAAAGTGCTGTGATTATATGTGTGAGTCACAGCACCTAGCTCCATCCTAGTTTCTGACTAAAACAATAACAATATGTGTATATACAGCCTGTCCTCAGAATTAATCTTCCATAGCCTAGACAGAGGTATGAGACACAAGGAAAATAGAGGCTACCTGAGAGAATGTTTAGAGCATCCTGACATTCATCATGAGAGGATTCTCTGTCTACAACCAGAGTTGAGTTGACTTCGTCTTCCTCAAATGTGATTTTGATGTTCTTGTGAGGCTGGTTGAAGTCACAAGGGCCGTGGCTATTTGAACAAGTGATGGCACATTCCTCCAGTGAGTCCTCAGGGACTTTGCTCTCTTCAGCCTTCTGCACCTCCCTGATGAGCCAGGTGGGACAGAGATGACAGAAGATTAAACACAGAGGGATTGGACCCCAGGGAGTCCTAGCTGGTTTTGACAGGTGGCATTAAGAGAGTGGTTCCAGAAAGCAAAATGGAGGTTCCCTTAAAGAGGAAACAGGCAATCCTCTTCTCTCTGCAACAGACCATGGCTGCCATGGGAGCCAGAGAGGAAGAGAGCAGCTGGTATTCAGTGCACTGGACAGATAGGAGCTGAGGAGGATGAAGACTCAGCTATCCCTGTATGGTACAGACATGACACTTGGCACACATAGAGAAACACGACAGCTGCCGCACCCTGTGTCTAAGCTGGGTTCAATTTCACATACTGTGGCCAAGGGGATGCGGGCTTTTGGTCCACCATAGATGCCAGAGAGGGTGTGCCTCCTAGACATTTTCATATGTTACCACCCATTACTTGCTCCTGAGTATTCAGTGTTACCTGGGGGCAGATGATTTCTGCACTTTCTCATCCTCCTCAACTTGAACATCTTCATCCTCATCTTCGTCATTTTTTATAAATACAAAATGTTCGTTCAGATATTTCCCACTTCACATTCTGCAAGCACAGTCAGCCCAACGTGCACAGAGACATGAACATCTATGTATGGTTCAGCATTGTACTGAAAACTCTCATGTTTTATCTTTCACAAAATGCCCTGGCATGGTTTCCTGGTCCATCGGGCAATGCATTTCTGATGTGGAGGGCCACCATCAAGATGTGGCCAAATACTGAAAAGACCTTTTGCTTCCCATATCACTGGAGGCTTGTGTAGCCTCTCTCTGGACTTTGGCAGCTGTCTCCCCCATCCTGCCACAGATCTGATTCCCAGGAACAGGCTTGGTGTCCTGTCACAGTTCGCATTTCAAACCTCATTCTTTCTCTTAGGAGAGGACAAACTTGTCCCACAGTCCTCTATGCGTCATGAGACTGCACAGGCCCTCCATGTGGCTTCTGCTGTGTTATTCAGGGACATTCTATCCATGGGGAGTGCTCCAGTCTGAAGCACTTCCTACCACCAAATGCCCCCACATCAAGTGCCTTCTCCAACACCACATGGAGAGGGGCTTCATCTCATTTTGAAAAGCATTCGTAAGTGTTCCCATATTTGGATGCTTCAGACCCTTGCAAGAGACAATTTGTCTGCCTTTGCAGATGGAGAGAGAGAAACTCTGGAAAGATAAATCACTCACTCACCGACACTTACTAAGAACATTGCCAAAAAGACAGCCTGGGAACCTTCATTCTTAGCCCAGAGCTCTTTTCACTCCAACAAGCGCCCTCCCATCACAGCCTCCTTCTTGTCCTTTAAAACTAGATAGATGCTGCCTCTTGCTCCAAAGACCACCTTCCATCAAGGAAGGAGGGACACTTGCAATACTGTGACCTCCAAACCATGGGTTTCCCATCTCTGTTCTTACCCAGGAAGTCCTGGTCATGTCATGGCCACATAGGTGTAGCAGAAAAAAACCCCACTGATACAACTGTCATTGTGAAAGTATGGAGGTCTGGAGCCTCTCATAAGCCTGGGGTTTTGGGTCATCAGGGCCTATGGCCACCTTACCTGGGCTGAGCTTTTGGACAAGGTGCTGTGCCAGTCTACACCCCTCAGCCAGCTGTTCTTGGAGGTCCTGCCCCTGGGACTTGTCCGGCTCATCCAGAGTGAGGAGGGCCTGGAGATGCTCATTCAATGAGCGGGAGGCATCTCTCCCTTCCTGTAACTTCTCCTTTAACTGCGTCAGCTCTCGTTCCTGAGAGTGAACCAGGACTTTATATTGCCTAAGGTGAGATGGTAGAGAAAATTTAAGAGTAGAAAGGGTTGAGTGATCCGTTCAAATATTGCAACAGAGATTTCTGAGACAATGTTCACAAGGAGACCTTCAAGCAGAAGGTCAGCACATGTTGAAAGGAATGTCTGTGGCCAAGAGAAAGAACAGAAAATGGTCTACAGGCTTTCCCTGTATCAGAGAGGGCTCCTGCAAGATCCTCGATGATGTTCCATTCATCTTTCTCTTCTGTAAACAAAAGTAGGTGTCTTCCTAATTCCATTTCAAAGACATCCTTTCAGTTCCTCACTCTGGCCATGGACATTTCCATGTGAAAATACACATAGTGCATCTTGCGGCCACTAGATACAAAGTCATGTACAGAAATGAGGCCAGGTGCAGATGGGGCGAATTGAAAAGATGAAAGAAGAAAAGAATGACAGGGTCAAGAAGGCAACATTGATTGAGTGAAAGAATGAGAAGACGCAGTCAGTCAGAAGGTGATTCTCACTAAGGGTAAGTGGGGTGGCGATAGCACACCATTTTGATTATACTGAATGCTGCTGGGTGGTTCCCACTCCTTTGGTGAATTTTGTGTTATGTAAATTTCACCTCAACAATTACTTGTTTGAAAAAGAGAAAACAAGGCTCTAAGAAACAACTGCAACACAGAACTTATTATTATCCTTGTTCTCTGATAAATATTTGTGTGTCATGAGCCTGCCATGGCAATTTCTGCCCTTCCCCTGGCCCAGCTTCATTCTTACTTCTCCCCGCCGAGCTGCTGTACTTCAGAGATCTACACACCTACCCGCCTGCCTCCCCCTACGGGTTCCCCTCACCTGAGCTCCTCAGCTTGCTTGAGCTGCTCTGCAAGCTTCTCCTCCTTGAACTGTCGCTCATTCCTCAGCATAAATCTTATGAGGTCTTTACACTCTTCATACTCTGAGAAAAGACAGACACGCCTGCCTCAGTGGAAGGCTGGACATGCTGCTGTGGTCACTGCCTACAGGGCAGGAGCCAGGTCCATCCCAAGGACAAAACTCTCCCCAGTACCAGGGTCTAGACAGGGATTTCCACATCTTTACTCTTCAGTCTCCTGACTTTCTGGCATCTGATCCTCCAAAATTTAAAGACGAAGAAAGAGAAACTCAAGGGCGCGTCAAGGAAGTTGACAAGATGATTCAACCACAACGAAGCGGAGTCAGAACTCACAGCCCCTGAGGTCTGACTCTGAATGCGGGGCCACTTTCCCAAGCCTTGCAGCCTCTCCTCTAAAACACTGCACTGGGGCATGAAGTAGTGATTTCTTGTACAGTCGGGAAGGTCCCTAGGACTATGGGACTGATGGTTTCCCTTTTACTGGGTATTTCAAGGACAAATATGTCAAGGACTTTAAAAATATTTCATTTTTAAATCAATATTCAGATATGGTTTTAAGAATCATATCTGAAGCATAAAGTGTGAGACATAAGACAATAAGGCCATGAAGGAAATATGCCCAAATACTTTATTAGTATGAGAGGCAGCATTAAGATTTAGATTCGTTGTGTTAATTTAGAAACAGCATAAGATTAGTTTGTGTTAATTTAGAAACATCAGAATGAAGAACTAATAGATAGTGTTTACACTGTGCCAATTAATGTTCAAGGAGATTGACAGGAAATGCCTCATGTAATTCATTGCAGCAATTTACAGAGGTAGGTATTATTGTAGTACCCTCTGAACAGATGAGGAAACTGAGGGACAGACAAGACAAGGAACTTGGATGGAGCCCAGGAGACAGGCTGAGGGTCCCTGCTTTGCACACTGCACTGCTGCTTCCACACATTCTCGGGTGTGATCTTTCTTCCTCTTTAGGAACAAGAGCCTGTGCACCAGGAAGCAGGACTTCACTCTCACCAAGCTACTCTCTGCTTTTTATTTTTATTTTTGATTTATTTATCTTTTTGTTTTGTTTGTTTTTTGACGAGTCTTGCCCTGTCACCCATGCTGGAGTGCAATAGTGCAATCTTGGCTCACTGCAACATCTGCCTGCTGGGTTCAAAGGATTCTTCTGCCTCAGCCTCCCGATTAGTGGTGATTACAGTTGCCCGCCACGATGCCCATCTACTTTTTGTATTTTTAGTGGAGATGGGGTTTCTCCATGTTGCCCAGGCTAGTCTCAAACTGCTGACCTTGTGCTCTGCCCGCCTCAGCCTCCCAAAGTGCTGAGATTACAGGAGTGAGCCATGTTGCACGGCCCCTACTCCCTGCTCTTGATGCTGTCACTTATAGATAGCACAGGTTCTATTAGGAGCAGACTCCTCTTGAAGCCCCTCAGAGCAGGTACTGGGTACTATCACCAAGTTCCCCTCAGAGTCACTAGAACAGAGCTTTGCCTGTTGGGCCTCAACAGAAACTTGAACTGAATAAAAGTTCACTAGTCCTAGACATTTAGAACAACAGACTACATGTTATTTGTCTGCAGGATCTTATATGGTACAGAGAGGATTCTTGAAAACATGATTGAGCCTCTTGGAGAAAACAGGTCGTTCTGTGCCTGTGTTAGAAATCAATAACTGTGAGTTTAACTCTAGTCCCACCCCCATCTGATTGCAAACATGGAAAGTTGCTAAATACTTTGGTACCTCTGTCTTCCAACTTTAACAAAATGTTAAAATACCCATTTCTGTTTTCCTAGAAGTACAGGAAGGATGAAATTATTTTTGATGGAGAGAGCATTTAGTGTCTCAGAGAGAAGACAGGACATCATTCATCACTTTCATGACGGTGAGCCTATAGATCTTACTGTATTTCTTCTGTCGGTTGGCCAGGAAGCCGGCCAGTTGAGTTAGAAAACATTTCTCTTTGAGGTTTACGAACTGCTGTTTCTTCTCTGCCAGCTGGGGGTGCAATTTCTCATTGATTTCTAGAATGTTCATCTCTGCCTTCTCGCTGGACAAAGGGCCGGCTGATACCACCATGCTGACGTTTGTGGCAGAAGAGGTGGGGCCAGGGACTGGGGAGAAGAAAGGCAAACACATGATGGGTTAAAAACTGGTGAAATCAAATAGGCTTAATCAGGACTGAGGGATGTCACTGGCAGCCTTGTTTACTTATTTGAAGATGATGTTTCCCTGGTTTCACTCTTGTCATCTCCAGTCTTGATCTCCTTTAAGTCAACTTGTCTCAGCTATGCAGTCACCTTGAAACCAGGACATAAACACTTCTACACTTTTCTTGCTTATAAGTTTCTATAAAGCAAGGCTTGGCCCTGAGATTTTTACCCCATGAGTGGCCAATGTTTCTGTGTAGCACAAAAGATTTCATTTTGCTTTTTTAATTTTTTTCTTTTTTGGTTTTTTGTTTTTTGTTTGAGACGGAGTCTCACTCTGTCGTGCAGGCTGCAGTGCAGAGGCACAATCTCAGCTCACTGCCACCTCTGCCGCCCGGGTTCAAGCGATTCTCATCCCTCAGCCTGCCAAGCATCTGGGATTACAAGCGCCAAGTAACATGCCAGCTAATTTTTGTATTTTTAGTAGAGATGGGGTTTCGCCATCTTGGACAGGCTGGTTTCGAACTCCTGACCTCAGGTGTTCTGCCCACCTCAGCCTCCCAAAGTGCTGGGATTAAGATGTGAGCCAGCGCCCCTGGTCAGAGACTTACTTTTTTTTTTGAGATGGAGTCTCGCTCTGTCTCCCAGGCTGGAGTGCAGTGGCACAATCTCGGCTCACTGCAAGCTCCGGTTCCTGGGTTCATGCCATTCTCCTGCCTCAGCCTCCTGAGTAGCTGGGACTACAGGCGCCCACCACCGCGCCCAGCTAATTTTTTTTTTTTTTTTGTATTTTTAGTAAAGACGGCGTTTCACCGTGTTAGCCAGGATGGTCTCGATCTCCTGACCTCGTGATCCACCCGCCCCGGCCTCCCAAAGTGCTCGGATTACATGTGTGAGCCACCGCGCCAGGCCGAGACTTCTTATTAATAGCTAAGACAAGCCAATGAAAAGGAGAGAGAGTCTAGCCTGAGAGGAGTGAACGAGCGTGGGAGGATCGTCTCAGCCGATCCTCCCACCTAAGTCTCCTGAGCAGTTGGGACTATAGGCATGCAGCACCATGCCTGCCTAATTTTTTGTATTCTTTGTAAAGATGGGTTTCACCATATTGTCCAGGCTGGTCTTCAACTCCTGAACTCAAGTCATCGTCCCACTTGGGCCTTCCAAAGTGCTGTGATTATATGTGTGAGTCACAGCACCTAGCTCCATCCTAGTTTCTGACTAAAACAATAACAATATGTGTATATACAGCCTGTCCTCAGAATTAATCTTCCATAGCCTAGACAGAGGTATGAGACACAAGGAAAATAGAGGCTACCTGAGAGAATGTTTAGAGCATCCTGACATTCATCATGAGAGGATTCTCTGTCTACAACCAGAGTTGAGTTGACTTCGTCTTCCTCAAATGTGATTTTGATGTTCTTGTGAGGCTGGTTGGAGTCACAAGGGCCGTGGCTATTTGAACAAGTGATGGCACATTCCTCCAGTGAGTCCTCAGGGACTTTGCTCTCTTCAGCCTTCTGCACCTCCCTGATGAGCCAGGTGGGACAGAGATGACAGAAGATTAAACACAGAGGGATTGGACCCCAGGGAGTCCTAGCTGGTTTTGACAGGTGGCATTAAGAGAGTGGTTCCAGAAAGCAAAATGGAGGTTCCCTTAAAGAGGAAACAGGCAATCCTCTTCTCTCTGCAACAGACCATGGCTGCCATGGGAGCCAGAGAGGAAGAGAGCAGCTGGTATTCAGTGCACTGGACAGATAGGAGCTGAGGAGGATGAAGACTCAGCTATCCCTGTATGGTACAGACATGACACTTGGCACACATAGAGAAACACGACAGCTGCCGCACCCTGTGTCTAAGCTGGGTTCAATTTCACATACTGTGGCCAAGGGGATGCGGGCTTTTGGTCCACCATAGATGCCAGAGAGGGTGTGCCTCCTAGACATTTTCATATGTTACCACCCATTACTTGCTCCTGAGTATTCAGTGTTACCTGGGGGCAGATGATTTCTGCACTTTCTCATCCTCCTCAACTTGAACATCTTCATCCTCATCTTCGTCATTTTTTATAAATACAAAATGTTCGTTCAGATATTTCCCACTTCACATTCTGCAAGCACAGTCAGCCCAACGTGCACAGAGACATGAACATCTATGTATGGTTCAGCATTGTACTGAAAACTCTCATGTTTTATCTTTCACAAAATGCCCTGGCATGGTTTCCTGGTCCATCGGGCAATGCATTTCTGATGTGGAGGGCCACCATCAAGATGTGGCCAAATACTGAAAAGACCTTTTGCTTCCCATATCACTGGAGGCTTGTGTAGCCTCTCTCTGGACTTTGGCAGCTGTCTCCCCCATCCTGCCACAGATCTGATTCCCAGGAACAGGCTTGGTGTCCTGTCACAGTTCGCATTTCAAACCTCATTCTTTCTCTTAGGAGAGGACAAACTTGTCCCACAGTCCTCTATGCGTCATGAGACTGCACAGGCCCTCCATGTGGCTTCTGCTGTGTTATTCAGGGACATTCTATCCATGGGGAGTGCTCCAGTCTGAAGCACTTCCTACCACCAAATGCCCCCACATCAAGTGCCTTCTCCAACACCACATGGAGAGGGGCTTCATCTCATTTTGAAAAGCATTCGTAAGTGTTCCCATATTTGGATGCTTCAGACCCTTGCAAGAGACAATTTGTCTGCCTTTGCAGATGGAGAGAGAGAAACTCTGGAAAGATAAATCACTCACTCACCGACACTTACTAAGAACATTGCCAAAAAGACAGCCTGGGAACCTTCATTCTTAGCCCAGAGCTCTTTTCACTCCAACAAGCGCCCTCCCATCACAGCCTCCTTCTTGTCCTTTAAAACTAGATAGATGCTGCCTCTTGCTCCAAAGACCACCTTCCATCAAGGAAGGAGGGACACTTGCAATACTGTGACCTCCAAACCATGGGTTTCCCATCTCTGTTCTTACCCAGGAAGTCCTGGTCATGTCATGGCCACATAGGTGTAGCAGAAAAAAAACCCCACTGATACAACTGTCATTGTGAAAGTATGGAGGTCTGGAGCCTCTCATAAGCCTGGGGTTTTGGGTCATCAGGGCCTATGGCCACCTTACCTGGGCTGAGCTTTTGGACAAGGTGCTGTGCCAGTCTACACCCCTCAGCCAGCTGTTCTTGGAGGTCCTGCCCCTGGGACTTGTCCGGCTCATCCAGAGTGAGGAGGGCCTGGAGATGCTCATTCAATGAGCGGGAGGCATCTCTCCCTTCCTGTAACTTCTCCTTTAACTGCGTCAGCTCTCGTTCCTGAGAGTGAACCAGGACTTTATATTGCCTAAGGTGAGATGGTAGAGAAAATTTAAGAGTAGAAAGGGTTGAGTGATCCGTTCAAATATTGCAACAGAGATTTCTGAGACAATGTTCACAAGGAGACCTTCAAGCAGAAGGTCAGCACATGTTGAAAGGAATGTCTGTGGCCAAGAGAAAGAACAGAAAATGGTCTACAGGCTTTCCCTGTATCAGAGAGGGCTCCTGCAAGATCCTCGATGATGTTCCATTCATCTTTCTCTTCTGTAAACAAAAGTAGGTGTCTTCCTAATTCCATTTCAAAGACATCCTTTCAGTTCCTCACTCTGGCCATGGACATTTCCATGTGAAAATACACATAGTGCATCTTGCGGCCACTAGATACAAAGTCATGTACAGAAATGAGGCCAGGTGCAGATGGGGCGAATTGAAAAGATGAAAGAAGAAAAGAATGACAGGGTCAAGAAGGCAACATTGATTGAGTGAAAGAATGAGAAGACGCAGTCAGTCAGAAGGTGATTCTCACTAAGGGTAAGTGGGGTGGCGATAGCACACCATTTTGATTATACTGAATGCTGCTGGGTGGTTCCCACTCCTTTGGTGAATTTTGTGTTATGTAAATTTCACCTCAACAATTACTTGTTTGAAAAAGAGAAAACAAGGCTCTAAGAAACAACTGCAACACAGAACTTATTATTATCCTTGTTCTCTGATAAATATTTGTGTGTCATGAGCCTGCCATGGCAATTTCTGCCCTTCCCCTGGCCCAGCTTCATTCTTACTTCTCCCCGCCGAGCTGCTGTACTTCAGAGATCTACACACCTACCCGCCTGCCTCCCCCTACGGGTTCCCCTCACCTGAGCTCCTCAGCTTGCTTGAGCTGCTCTGCAAGCTTCTCCTCCTTGAACTGTCGCTCATTCCTCAGCATAAATCTTATGAGGTCTTTACACTCTTCATACTCTGAGAAAAGACAGACACGCCTGCCTCAGTGGAAGGCTGGACATGCTGCTGTGGTCACTGCCTACAGGGCAGGAGCCAGGTCCATCCCAAGGACAAAACTCTCCCCAGTACCAGGGTCTAGACAGGGATTTCCACATCTTTACTCTTCAGTCTCCTGACTTTCTGGCATCTGATCCTCCAAAATTTAAAGACGAAGAAAGAGAAACTCAAGGGCGCGTCAAGGAAGTTGACAAGATGATTCAACCACAACGAAGCGGAGTCAGAACTCACAGCCCCTGAGGTCTGACTCTGAATGCGGGGCCACTTTCCCAAGCCTTGCAGCCTCTCCTCTAAAACACTGCACTGGGGCATGAAGTAGTGATTTCTTGTACAGTCGGGAAGGTCCCTAGGACTATGGGACTGATGGTTTCCCTTTTACTGGGTATTTCAAGGACAAATATGTCAAGGACTTTAAAAATATTTCATTTTTAAATCAATATTCAGATATGGTTTTAAGAATCATATCTGAAGCATAAAGTGTGAGACATAAGACAATAAGGCCATGAAGGAAATATGCCCAAATACTTTATTAGTATGAGAGGCAGCATTAAGATTTAGATTCGTTGTGTTAATTTAGAAACAGCATAAGATTAGTTTGTGTTAATTTAGAAACATCAGAATGAAGAACTAATAGATAGTGTTTACACTGTGCCAATTAATGTTCAAGGAGATTGACAGGAAATGCCTCATGTAATTCATTGCAGCAATTTACAGAGGTAGGTATTATTGTAGTACCCTCTGAACAGATGAGGAAACTGAGGGACAGACAAGACAAGGAACTTGGATGGAGCCCAGGAGACAGGCTGAGGGTCCCTGCTTTGCACACTGCACTGCTGCTTCCACACATTCTCGGGTGTGATCTTTCTTCCTCTTTAGGAACAAGAGCCTGTGCACCAGGAAGCAGGACTTCACTCTCACCAAGCTACTCTCTGCTTTTTATTTTTATTTTTGATTTATTTATCTTTTTGTTTTGTTTGTTTTTTGACGAGTCTTGCCCTGTCACCCATGCTGGAGTGCAATAGTGCAATCTTGGCTCACTGCAACATCTGCCTGCTGGGTTCAAAGGATTCTTCTGCCTCAGCCTCCCGATTAGTGGTGATTACAGTTGCCCGCCACGATGCCCATCTACTTTTTGTATTTTTAGTGGAGATGGGGTTTCTCCATGTTGCCCAGGCTAGTCTCAAACTGCTGACCTTGTGCTCTGCCCGCCTCAGCCTCCCAAAGTGCTGAGATTACAGGAGTGAGCCATGTTGCACGGCCCCTACTCCCTGCTCTTGATGCTGTCACTTATAGATAGCACAGGTTCTATTAGGAGCAGACTCCTCTTGAAGCCCCTCAGAGCAGGTACTGGGTACTATCACCAAGTTCCCCTCAGAGTCACTAGAACAGAGCTTTGCCTGTTGGGCCTCAACAGAAACTTGAACTGAATAAAAGTTCACTAGTCCTAGACATTTAGAACAACAGACTACATGTTATTTGTCTGCAGGATCTTATATGGTACAGAGAGGATTCTTGAAAACATGATTGAGCCTCTTGGAGAAAACAGGTCGTTCTGTGCCTGTGTTAGAAATCAATAACTGTGAGTTTAACTCTAGTCCCACCCCCATCTGATTGCAAACATGGAAAGTTGCTAAATACTTTGGTACCTCTGTCTTCCAACTTTAACAAAATGTTAAAATACCCATTTCTGTTTTCCTAGAAGTACAGGAAGGATGAAATTATTTTTGATGGAGAGAGCATTTAGTGTCTCAGAGAGAAGACAGGACATCATTCATCACTTTCATGACGGTGAGCCTATAGATCTTACTGTATTTCTTCTGTCGGTTGGCCAGGAAGCCGGCCAGTTGAGTTAGAAAACATCTCTCTTTGAGGTTTACGAACTGCTGTTTGTTCTCTGCCAACTGGGGGCGCAATTTCTCGTTGATTTCTAGAATGTTCATCTCTGCCTTCTCGCTGGACCAAGGGCCGGCTGATACCACCATGCTGACGTTTGTGGCAGAAGAGGTGGAGTCAGGGACTGGGGAGAAGAAACCCAAACATATGATGGGTTAAAAACTGGTGAAATCAAATAGGTTTAATCAGGACTGAGGGATGTCAGTAACTGAAATTCTTACCTTACTGTTGTGAAAAATGTGATCACTCCCACAGCACTTTAGGATCCTTCACCACAAAAACAAGGTTCGAGGTGCCTCAACTCAGAGCTGAAAGCACTGCCAGTAGCTCAGACTCTGATAAGAGTGAGGTAGATTGTGGCCAGCGTGCCAGGTAACCGTCTGCAGTTGCAATAACAGAATTAGAAGGTGGGGGTGTCATGGAATCTTAGGAGCCCTGCATTCCAATTGCCCAGGCTTTGCTGAAACACAGGCACCCTAGTCTCACCTGAGGGTCACCACCAATGGGGATCATTCCTTCAGCATTCACTCTCAGTATTCGTGTACCCTTGTGACAATGCCACAGACCCGTGTCTTTCCCAATACATCTAAGCACATTCCTCACTGTTTATCTCTTGTCTGTACAACATCATCAAGGCAGAAACAGTTTCCCAACAGGTTATATTTTCTTAATGGTAGTCATGAAGTCATAAATAAAAAAATGGAATCATTTAGTATGTTCTCTTGTTTTGACTTTTTTATTTTTTTGAGACAGAGTCTCACTCTGTCTCCCAGGCTGGAGTGCAGTGACGCGATCTAGGCTCACTGCAAGCTCTGCCTCCCAGGTTCACGCTATTCTCCTGCCTCAGACTCCCAAGTAGCTGGGAATACAGGCGCCCGCCACCACGCCTGGCTAATTTTTCTTTTCTTTTTTTTTTTCTTTTTTTGTATTTTTAGTAGAGACGGGGTTTCACTGTGTTAGCCACGATGGTCTCGATCTCCTGACCTCGTGATCTGCCGCCTCGGCCTCCCAAAGTACTGGGATTACAGGCGTGAGCCACCGCGCCCGGCCGACTTCTCTTTACTCAAGTGTGTATATATGCCACTAATTTGTTTGATTGTGTTTTTCCCTTGTTTCATTTTGTTTTGGCCAAGTAATATCCTATTGATTGTATGATTATCACACAATTTGATATCCATTTTTCTGATGGGAGACAGGTTTACTTGATAACTACTGTGCATAAGTAACTATGAATATTCTCATACAATTATTTCTGTGAAGATACATACTTATTTTCCTGGGTATCTATAGCTAGGGATGGAGTTGCTTGGTGAATGGGTAGAAAATGTTGGACAGAGTTTTGCAAAGTATTTGTATTGTTTTACATTTCTATGAAAGATGTAGGCCATTTCCAGTTGCTCTACATTCCCACACACTTAATATTTTCAGTCTTTTAAACTATGCCAGGTGTGTAGTGATATCCTAAAATTTGGTTTTCTCATGCCTAATGTGCATTTAGATATCTTCTTATGGAAAATATCTTCTCAAATTTTTATATTCATTGATATACTGGGCTGTTTGTCAATTTCTTTGTAATAGGAGTTCTTTATATATTTTGAATGAGTCCATTTATACATACATATTTTTTGCTGTATTATATAGCAAATAATTATTCCTGGTCTAGAGATAGCGTTTAAGTTGTTAAACAACAACATAATAAGGAGAAGCTTTTTAAAAATGAAGTGCAATTCGCTTGATTTCTTATTGTGGTGAGTGCTACAGTATCTAGTCTAAGAAATATTTTCCTGTGTCAAGTTCATGAAACTATTTCCTATTTTTCCTTTACAAGGTTTCTAATTTTAACTTTCACATCTTAAGATAATTTCAACATATGATGGAGAGTGGTTAATATTAACTTTTTAAAACAACAAATATTATTTCACTCAAAATCGTTTTACTTAAAAGTCTTTCATTTCCCCAATGAAGGGCATTGGTGTCTGTTTTTAAAACATTTAGAAGCGGCGGTGCAAGCATGTTCTCACTCATGGGTGGGAACTGAACAATGAGAACACTTGGACACAGGACGGGGAACATCACACACCAGGGCCTGTCATGGGGTGAGGGCTGGGGGAGGGATAGCATTAGGAGAAATACCTAATGTAAATGACGAGTTAATGGGTGCAGCAAACCAACATGGCACACGTATATATATATATAATATATATACACGTGTATATATATTATATATACATATATACCTGTATACACGTATATATAATATATACACACACATGAATATATATAATATATATACGTGTATATACATACGTGTATATATATATAATACGTGTATATACATAATATACAATATATATAACACGTGTATATATATTATATATATATATTTTTTTCTTTTTTAAGTGGCGGAGCGAGGGCTACTGCACAGCTAGCAGAGTCGTGGCGAGGAGGACAGCACCTGCATCGAGCTCTCCGCCTCCCCCACCCGCCAGCCCAGGCGGCCCCAGCAGCAGCGACCAGAGGAGCCCCTGCAGCAACGCAACGGCCAGGTGGACACCTCCATCTACAGCCTCGTGGCGGACGGGACCTGTTAGGACACTGCCATTGTGGGCAACAAGGACCCGCCTTCCATCTGGGCCGCCGTCCCAGGGAAAACCTTCCTCAACATCACGCCAGCTGAGGTTGGTGTCCTGGTTGGCAAAGACTGGTCAAGCTTTGTCATGAATGGGCTGACACTGGGGGGCCAGAAATATACTGTGGTCCTGGACTCACTGCTGCAGGATGGGGAATTGACCACGGATCTTCGTATGAAGAGCATCGGTGGAGCCCCCACCTTCAACGTCATTGTCACCATGACTGCCAAGACGCTAGGCCTGCTGATGGGCAAAGAAGGTATCCATGGCAATTTCATCGACAAGTAATGTTATGAAATGGCCTCCCACCTTCAGCGTTCCCAGTACTGACCTCCTTTGTTCCTTCCACTCCACCGCTCCCCACAGCTTTGCCCGCCTTTCCTTCACATACACACACCATTTTAATTTCAGGAGTCATTACTCCACACACCTTATTGCTGCCAAAACCACATGGGCTGGGGGCCAGGGATAGATGGACAGACACCTTCCCCCACCCATACCCCTCCTGTGTGTGGCTGGAAAACTTTTTTGTTTTGATGGATTTTTTATGAATAAAAAAGTTTCTACTAAAAAAAATCAATAACTGTACATATGTGGGCATATTGTTTGAGTCTGTATTCTTTCACTTTGATGTATTTATGAATACTGACACCATTACTACTGTTTTAAAATTACTGTAGCTTTAAAATCAGGTTTGAAATCTAGCAGAGTAAGTCCTCCAACTTATTGCTTCTTCAATACCGACTTGCTTATTCTAGGTTCTTTGATTTTCAAATACATTTTGAAACTAGCTTTCAAATTTCTCTAAAATCTCCTACTAGAAATATTAAGCAGAATTGTGTTGATGTAATATGCTAACAAAATTGAGTCTTCCAAGCAATGAACATGATATATATTTATTTAGCCTTCTTTAATTTTTCTCACCAATTGCTTTTAGGGGCCTTGTACCTGCTTCATTGCATGTATTGTTAAGCATGTAATGATTCTGGCTGTTAATCTCTATTATGTTTTATTGAATTTCATTTTCTAGCTGCTAATTGCTAGTATGGAGAAATTAAGATGATGAAATCAACTTTATAAAGGCATAATTTCGGTACAACAGACTGCACCACTTTAAAATGTGTAATTCAATGCACGTTTACAAATGGATACACTAACGGAACTACTGCCACAACCAAGATAGAGGAAATTCCCTATGCCCCAAAGTTTCTTGTACCCCTTTGCAGTTCATCAGCCTTTCAACCCTCAGCCCCAAGGAGCCACTGTCACTTCAGGTCCGTTTGCATTTTTAACCATTTTCTATAAATGAAATGATACCTGTGTTCTTTTGTGTCTGCCTTCTTTCATGCATCAATGTAATTTTAAAATCCATCTGTAATGTCTTGTAAATACTGAGTAGTATTCCTTCGTGTGGCTATACCATGTATGTTTGTACTTTCACTTATTATTGGACATTTCTATCATTCCACGTTTGGGCTATTATGAAGAAACTATCATGAGCATCCATACGTGGCAGGCCAGGTCTCACTAACACAGGCCTCCCTAACAACTGTTTCAGTACCGACTGAGTGGTTCAATTAAATATTAAGAGGAAAAAAAAAAAAAAAGAAGCCAGTGCCCTTATACAAAGGCTGGAATGTAACAAAAGCCCACCAAGAGTTTTGCCTAGGTTTTTCCTGGGCCTTAAAGCATGACGAAATAACGAAGGCATTCTTAACAGGAGCCATTTAGTATTAAACGAGTTTTATTGGGGGTCTGAAGAAACTCCCCAGGCCTCCACAAACAAGTTTATTGGAGATCTGAAGGGACTCTCCAAACCTCTGTGATTTAGCAGGAGACAAGATAAGGGACCCCAGCACCTAGACCCATTTAGATTAACTGAATTTAACTGAGGTTCCAGAGGAAGGTCTTCAGGACTCAGACTTAGTTATAGATTAAAAGAAGTTAATCATTTATGTGTTTAGATGAATGCACACTTCCACATACACATATAGCTTAGAAGGTACATTAGCTCAGGAAAACTTTCCAATTTTGAGTTGGTCTGGTGATAATTTCCAGGCCGTTTCCCTGTAACCAGTTGCAGAAGTCAAAACTCTCTTCCTCCCCAGTTCATCTGTGTCTCGTTACTGAGCCATGAGAAATAGCAGCCCGCCCCTCAGGTTGGTCTGGAAACACACATACAGATCACTGTGCAGACACAGTGTGTAAATTCCTAGGAATGGAATGACTGTCTATCTGATTTGTGTTATGTTTAACCTTTAAGAAACTGTTAGATTTTCAAAGGAGCCATACCATTTTTCATTCCTACAAGTATAAGACTTCCAAGTGCTTTATATCCTCACCAACAGGTGCTATTTTCAGCCTTTTTAATTTTAGCCATTCTTATGGATATGTAGTGGTATCTCATTGTTGCACTGATTGATCTCCCTGATGACTAAACAGTGGAGCATCTTTTCCTATGCTAATTGCCCATTCATGTATCTTCTTTTCTGAAGTATCTAAGTCTTTTGAGAAATTGTTTCAATGTGCTGTTTATCTTATCAGATTGCAATATATATATATGTGTGTGTGTGTGTCTGTATATATATATATATATATATATATATATATATATATATATATTCCCTATTTGGAGATGATAAATATATATATATATATATTCCCTATTTGGAGATGATAATCTTCAAAACGGTGAATATACACACACACACACACACACACACACACACGTTTGTGTGTGTATGTGTGTATACATATATATATGTCCTAAGAATCAATTAGACATACATGTGAGTATCTATTTCTGGATTCTCTCTTCTCTTCCACTGATATATATTCCATTTTTTTTTTCAACAAAACACATAATCTTGATTTTCATAGCTGTAGAGTAATTCTGGAAATAGGTAGTGAATTCATTCACCATTATTCTTTTATAATATTGCTATTTTATTATTCTTGATCATTGACATTACCATATAAATGGTAGAATCATCTTGTAAATTTCTACCAAAATGCCGGTTGGAATTTTTATTAGAATTGCATTGGATCTGGAGATCAATTTACGAAGAACTGACTTTTTAAACATAACAACTCTTCTGATCCATGACAAGGTTTATCTCCCCACTAATTTAGTTCTTTCATAATTTCTTAAAGCAATTTTTTATAGTTTTTGGTGTACTGGCCTTACATAAATTTTGTTGACTTTCCTTTTTTTTTTTTTTTTTTTTTTGAGACAGAGTCTTGCTCTGTTACCCAGGCTGGAGTGCAGTGATGCGATCTCGGCTCACTGTAACCTCTGCCTCCCAGGTTCAAGTGATCCTCCTGCCTCAGCCTCCCAAGTAGCTGGACTACAGGCACATGCCACCACGCCTAGCTAATTTTTTGTATTTTTAGTAGAGATGGGGTTTCACTGTGTTAGGCATGATGGTCTCCATCTCCTGACCTCATGATCTGCCCACCTCGGCCTCCCAAAGTGCTGAGATTACAGGTGTGAGCCACGGTGCCCCGTCTGTTGAATTTGTTTATAAGCACAACATGTATTTAGATGTTACTTTAAATGAAATTGTATTCTTATTTCATTTTCCAAATGCTCATTGCTAATATACAGAAATACAAAAGACCACTTATATTGAGAGCTTACATTCTGCAACACTACCAAACTCACTGATTAGTTCTGGTAGATTTTTGTAGATTTCTAGCATTGTTAACAAACACAGTCATTATCTGTGAATAAAGACAGCTTCAATTCTTTCTTTTCAATACTTTATTAATTTTTCTTACTTTATTGCATTGATTTAGACCTCTAGTATAATGCTGAATTAAAAGAGTAACAACAGGTATTCTACTTTTTTCTCTGATTTAATAGAAAAGCATTCAATCTTATGCCATTTAATATAATGTTACCTGTGGGTTCTTCAAATCTGCCCTTAATGGGGTTGGAAGTGTTGCCTTCTGTTCTCATCATGCTGAGCATTTTCTGGGGTTTGTTTTTATAAATCATGAAAAAAGTTTTCAATTTTGCCAAATGCTTTTACTGTGTATGACAAGGTAATCATACAGTTTTTCTCTTTTGCCCTGATAATATATAAAATGATATTTTTTAAATATAAAAAAGAGGCCGGGCATGGTGGCTCACGCCTGTAATCCCAGCACTTTGGGAGGCTGAGGCGGGCGGATCACACTTGTGGCAGCATTGAAGGCTTCACTCTTCCCCAAGGGATCCAATCTCCCCTCAGTCAAGAAGCTCCAGGTATCTGAACTGGATGCCAGGTCAAAAATTCCCACTATGGTGACTCCAACAGGTCTCTGTCCTCAGAACTAGAGCTTTTCTAATTATTACATAAGTTGACTTCTTAGTAGATTTCCCATCCATTACATCCCAGACACCTCACAATGATTAGTAACCACCACATGTCCCTGCCTCTCAAGGAAATCCCTCCCGCCATGTCTCTAGACAGCCAAGTCCCACGGCCTGTCCTCTACTCTTCCAGAACCCTGTTGTTCTGACAGCAGGGAGGGCAAATCCATGCAGCATCTCCCGCCATGACCTCCAGCCTGCAGAGGAGAGGTGCCACAGGACCTTTACACGCACGCCGCTGTTCCCCTCACCCATGCATTTCTTAATGCCTTGGTGAGGAGAATGCCTCTGGGTCTTCCTTGATGGGAGCTAAAGGAACAAAGGTAAATAATGCTATGGGACCCACTGAGAATTGGGGCTGTGGAAGAGTGGCCACTGAAGTAATAGACAGATGCAGCTATTGCCAGATACTCAGTGCCAGAGCAGGGAGGGAGAGGGAAGAAATACGGACCTCACCTTCCTCTCACTTCCAGGCTCCATCGGGTGCCCCCACTGCTAAACCTAACTACAAGTGTGCACACAGGGGAGCCAGGGATGCATTCTAGAAGGGACAAGCCCCAAGTGGCATAAGACAGGATGGAAATGAGTGGAGAGTGGATCTGTGGGAAGGAGGAGGGGATGTTATGGGGAAACAAAAGGAGAATACTAGCTAATAACGCTAGGTGACACTAATATCCCCAAGTCTGTGTTCATATTCGGAAAAGACAGCTCAGTGTAAAGCACTCAACCAGGAGTCAAGATATTGTTATTTTCAACTGTTGTTCCAACAGTTGTATTATAAAGGGTTAGTTTATTTCATGCCTTTCTAATTTGACATAAAGTGCTACATGGCATTGGGGCTGGTACAGCCTCGCTCAGTTATGGGTTGAAGAGTACACAGAGACTGACAGGCTGAGGGAACGTGCAAGAGAATAGAAGAGATGCTCACAGAGAACCACAGACCGCATGGCCCCAGAGTCAGGGGCAGCATCAGCCACTGTCGGCTGCTCATTTGTCCAGACATAGCCCACAAGCCTCAGCCATGCTTTGCTTCTGCAAGATGCTTCTTCACCTTTTCAATAAACCTGCCTGAATTAAAGCTGATGGGAGTTTATTTCTCCTTCATCATAAAAGAAATTCTTCACCACAACAATCTCCAATGAATTGTGGGCACAGAAGGCAGACCCATCCCTGCTTCTCTTCCACTATCTCCCCTGTAGGTTGAAAAGGAGGAGGTACTGAATTACCTCCAAATGTTCCTCTGGCTCTGATATTCTGTGACTCTGGTTTCTTTTTGGCTACTTTGTTTTTGCAAGCATGTATCCTAAGGCGTCCAGTTGAAAAACCTTTGTCTACTGTGTCCAGACATTCCTGGTGGTATTTCAGATAAGACACTCTTGGGTTGCTGCACTCACAACCACTGAACCAATTCTATGACCATCTGTTTCATGGCCACCTGTTTGCTCATTTTCTATGTACATAAAGGGAGGGGACAGACAACAAATTTGCATATTATAAACCGTATCATCTTAAAAAGGAAACAAGGCAATATTTTGCAATAAAACCTTAAGATGCATTAAAAAATTTAAGCCTAATGCAATAAAGAATGCCCATAAAATTATTATCTAAAGAATGTTTAGAAAATTGTTGAACAAGGGACATCATCATTTAAAGTGATACAAAGAAAACTCAGCTAAGCATATGGGCTAGATTAGAGAGAAAAATAAAGGACCCATCTCTGCCCTGGAAAAACTACTGGTAGCATCTTTCAGAAAGCTCTCTGTGTTTGAGTACGCACCTTGATCCATAGGCTCACATTTGATCCCAACTGGCGGCTGCTTCTTGGCATTAACTTTGGATTCCCAACCAGTAAATCTTAGCAAGATCTGAGTTTCTCCAGGTATGATATTATTTTGTTTGACCATCCTTATCTTCAAGGGCTACCAAGAAGAAACAAATCATTTATTTACCTCCCCAGAGGAAAAGGTTTTACCAATGAGACACTTTCTTACCATGACCCCAGGGCCCCCATGCCCTGTTCACTTGAGTGCCCTGTGTGGCCTGAGAGAAGCTCATACTGGTCACAGGATTCTTTATATGATTAACCTCCTTCCTGAATCCCAACTTTATGGTGGTGGTGATGACAGGTATCCCATGCTCATGTCCCTGAAGTCATCAGCCTGTCTCCAGTTAGAAAAAATTACATGTATATAGAGAGGCCTCTTTGGAAGTAGCAAAAGCTTTCTCACCTTCATACATTAATGGTTGGAATGTACAATAGTATAAACACTTTGGGAAAAAATGTCTGGCATATTCTTACAGAACTAAACAACTATCTATTCTATGACTCACTAATTCCTAAGCATTTATCCAAGAGAAATTAAAACATATGTCCAGAAAATGATTTATACAAGAATGTTCATAGCAGTTTTATTCATAATAGGAAAAACTGGAAACATTCAAATATCTATCAATACAAGAATGGATCAATAAACTGTGATACATTCATTCCATGGAATGGCTAAAGGAACAAACTTTTGACACACAAAACAACATGGATGAATCTCAAAAACATTTTGAGTGCAATAGGAGCCATACACAAAACAGTGTGAGAAAAATGATAAATAATAATGGTTTCAAGAAATGCAGAGCAGAGAGCCCAGAGGCAAAGACCCACAGGACAGAGGGTCAGTCCCAGGCTGTGGATCCTAACTAAGAAACTCCTGCTGGATTTTGCCCAGCTCCATTTCCAAACTATTTTGGGTTAGTGACTTCTTTATCCCCTCCATGTTCCCTCATTTTGAACTAGAATCACTGTAGTTGTTATTCTATGTCTGTCCCATCATTTCACATTAGAGGCAGATAAGCTGTTTGTTCAGTTTCACAGGTCGACAGAGGTAAGGGAATTATGTCAAGGATCTGCACTTAATGGACACTCTCGGAAGCCTCATTCACACCTGGTGTGGATGTTTTAGATGGGATTTTAAACTTTTGATCTGATGTGGTCTACATGACATTTTTCATGTTGAACTAATGCTTTAATGACATGAAATCTGGAAACCTCAGGGGAGAGGGTAAATGCACTTTGCAGATGGGGGAATGTGAGTGTCCTACTGTGGTAGATGGAATTTCTGAAATGGTCCCCAAACATGCCACACCCTTGTCTCTAAAGCCTCTTAAGGTGATGAGACACCATTCCTGTGACTATGTTGTTATATGCCAGTTATATGACTTTAAGATGGTGAGGTTACCGCATGAACTCGATCTAATCACATCACTCCATACATGACAGAGCTTTGTGTGGCTGGTTGGAGAAGATGAAGTCAGAGAAGGTGGGAGCTTGAGAAGGACTCCATGAGTTGTTATTGGTTGAAAGATGAAACAGACAGGTAAGGAGGAAAGCACGTGGCCTCTGGAGTCAGAGTAGACTGTCTCCCCGCTGACAGCCAGCACAGAAAAAGGGCCCTCAGTCCCCCACAAACAAGAATAGGAACTCTTTCATTATCTGTAGTGAACCTGGAAAAATAGCTTGAGCTCTAGGAAAAAAACACAGCCAGCCCATTCCCGGATTTTAGCCTCACATGACTCTGATCAGAGAACCCGGCCACTTCATTCCAGACTTCTGTGGTTTCAAACCACTGGTTTGTGGTAATGTGATAATAGGCAGCAAGAGAAAACTAGTACAGGTGCCTGTCTCTCCTCTTGAATTTCAATTTCAGATAAATGTATGCTAACCCTCTAAGAGAAAAAAATCAATCAACCAATCAATGAAAGAACTACAGTAAAAATATTGCCCTCACCTTTATGTGGCTGTTCCAGAGCCCTTGCCACCTGAAGAAGACAATGAGGGGTATTTCAGGCACTTGAGGAGTGTGGCTTTACTGTTATCAATCACATTTCTGGAAGAATAAAAATGGTTCAGTGAAGGGATGGGTTGCCCCTCCACACCTGTGGGCGTTTCTCATTAGGTGGAAGGAGAGACTTGGAAAAGAAAGAGACACAGAGACAAAGTACAGAGAAAGAAAAATGGGCCCAGGGGACCGGCGTTCAGCATACGGAGGACCCATGCTGGCACTGGCCTCTGAGTTCCCTTAGTATTTATTGATCATTATCGGGCATTTCCAGAGAGGGGGATGTGGCAGGACAATAGGATAATAGTGGAGACAAGATCAGCAGGTAAACACGTTAACAAATGTCTCTGCATCATAAACAAGGTAAAGAAAAAAGTGCTGTGCTTTTGATGTGCATATACAGAAACATCTCAATGCCTTAAAGAGCAGTATTGCTGCCAGCATGTCCCACCTCCAGTCCTAAGGCGGTTTTCTCCTATCTCAGTAAATGGAATATACAATCGGGCTTTACACCGAGACATTCCATTGCCCAGGGACGAGGAGGAGACAGATGCCTTCCTCTTATCTCAACTGCAAAGAGGCCTTCCTTCCTCTTTTACTAATCCTCCTCAGCACAGACCCTTTACGGGTGTCTGGCTGGGGGACAGTCAGGTCTTTCCCTTCCCACGAGGCTGTATTTCAGACTATCACATGGGGAGAAACCTTGGACAATACCTGGCTTTCCTAGGCAGAGGACCCTGCAGTCTTCCGCAGTGTAGTGTGCCTCTGGGTACTTGAGATTAGGGAGTGGTGATGACTCTTAACAAGCATGCTGCCTTCAAGCATTTGTTTAACAAAGCACACCCTGAACAGCCCTTAATCCATTTAACCCTGAGTTGACACAGCCCATGTCTTAGGGAGCACAGGGTTGGGGGTAGGGTTACAGATTAACAGCGTCTCAAGGCAAAAGAATTTTTCTTAGTACAGAACAAAATGGAGTCTCTTATGTCTACTTCTTCCTACACAGACACAGTAACAATCTGATCTCTCTTTCTTTTCCCCACAGTTCAGGTCAGGCCGTGGCTCGTGTCTGTAATCCTAGCACTTTGAGAGGCCAAGGCAGGTGGATCACTTGAGGTCAAGAGTTAGAGACCAACCTGGCCAACATGAAGAAACCCTGTCTCTACCAAAAATACAAACATTAGCCAGGTGTGGTGGCAGGCGCCTGTAATCCCAGCTATTCAGGATGCTGAGGCAGGAGAATCACTTGAACTCAGGAGGTGGAGGTTGCAGTGAGCTGAGATGGCGCCGTTGCATTTGAGCCCAAGGAAAAGAGAAATAACTCCATCTCCAAAAAAAAAGATAAAATAAAGACGGTTCACTACTTAACTCCAAATATTATTATGTGAAAATGTATCATCTCAATTTTAATAGCAGATTTTAAAAAATTCCTTTTCTTGTGCTCACCAGACAAGGTTTGGTAACAAATACCAGTCACCAGCACAGATGAACCAATTCAAGGAGAGCCATAAACAGGACTACTATTATGTTTCCCCAAAAACCATCCCTAGAATGCAATCTCTTCTCTACTTGTCACAAAACGAACACAATAGTCCACTATATAAAGTCCCAAACACAGGAAAATGTAAATATAATGAAATCTGCTTTCCAAATGTTTATTTTATTCAGACCCAGTCATGGGGACCAGGGATTAGGAAATGACTACAAACAGGTTCAAGGGAATTTGGGAAGTGACAAAATATGCTGAAGTAGAACTCTGCTGATGGCTGCACAATTCGATAAATCAACTTACATCATTGGGTTGTACATTAACAATGGGGGACTTTTATAACAAGTAATTCTTTAAACAAACTTTTGGGTTTCTATTTCAACATGGAAAGAGCTAGGCAGTCATCACTTGTCCTCACAGCTAGAAAAAAGCTGAACAAACTGAAAGTCAACCCTTCTAGGGTGGATCAGAGAATTGAGGTCACAGGGAAAACTGCCACCTTAAAAATGAGAAACACAGGCTAACACACAAGGAGTCACAGCTCACAGGGAAGAGAAGCTACTGGGGACAGCAAGTGGGAGGAGCACTTAAATGGTATTGACAGATTACTAGAAGCTGAGGGTAGCCTGGCTAGAACATTAAAAACTCCTTGAAGACCAGACTAAGGGGGAATCTCACACATTTCCAAGTGTTACTACAATGATCTCAACCAGGTTCTCATGATGAAGTTCAGAAAAACTCCCTGAGGTTTGGCACTACCAACTTCAGGACTTACATTAAGCTACAGTAACCCAAATAGTGTGAAGTTGGTGAAAAGAGAAAACACACACATATAGATGCATAGAAAAGAATACGGAGCCCAGAAGCAGGCCTACATACAGTCCACTGATCTTCCATGGAGGTTTAGAGACAATTTAAAGCAGCAAAGATAGCCTTTCCAACTAGTGGTGCTAGAACAGCTGGACAACCACATGCAAAAAAATAAATAAATCCAGGTATGCATGTTATATACCCTTTATAAAATAAATCTTACACGTAAATGTAAGGTGCAAAACCATAAGAATCCTAAGAGATAAAATAGGAGAAAATCTGAGGGATCCTGGGTTCAATGATGGCTTCTTAGATACAAAACCAAAAGCACAATCTACTAATGAAAAAAAATTAAGTTGAGCCTCATTAAAATTAAAAACTTCTGTTGTGTGAAAGACACTGTTAAGAGAATGGAAAAAGCAAGTCACAGACTGGGAGAAAATATTTACAAAATAATCTGATGGAAAAACTGCTGTCCAAAATATATGAAGAATTCTGAGAACTAAACAACACAAAGCAAAAAAAAAAAAAAAAAAGGTGAAAGATCTGAACACCTCATTAATAAGATATACAGATGGCAAATAAGCATATGAGAAAGATGCTCAAAATCATTTGTTGTGAGGGAATTGCACATTAAAACGAGATATCACTGTAAACCTATCAGAATGGCTAAAACACAAAACGGTGAACACACCAAATGCTGTCGAAGATGAGGAACAACCAGAACTCTCCATAGCTAGTGGAAATCAAAAGTGTACAGTCACTTTGGAAAACTTAAGTTCATTCAAAATCCTGCACATAAGTACTTGCAGCAATTTTATCATAATTGTCAAAACTTGGAAGTACCCAAGACATCTTTCACCAAGTGAATGAATAAACAAACTGTGTTGTAGCCATACAATGAAATCTGATTCAGTGATTTTACAAAACAAGCTGTCAAGTCATGAAAAGACGTGGAGGAACTTAAAAGTACACAATGCTAGAAAGAAGCCAGTCTGGAAACCTACATACTGTAATTCCAACTCTAGGACATTCTTGGAAAGTCAAAAAGATAGAAGTAGTAAAATGATGAGTGGTTGTCAGGGGTGGAGGAGAGGAGGAGGCACGAAATGGTGAAGTACAGGGAATTTTCAGCAGTGAAACTATTTTGCATGATGCTGTATTGGGGATTTAGGACATTACATAATTGCCAAAACCCATAATCTGTGAAACTCAAAGAATGAACTCTAGTGTAAACTATGGACTTTAGTTGATAATGATGTATCAATAGTGGTTCATCAATTGTAATGAATGGACCACACTAATACAACATACTAATAGGGGAAACTGTGTGCTGGAGGACAGGGGAGCCTAGGAGAACTCTCTGTACTATCCACTCCATTTTTCTGTAAACCTAGAACTTTTCTAAAAAATAACATCTATTACTTTTTTTTAATTAGGATGCAGCAGCCCCATACCAAGGTTTTGGTGGCATCCTGTTATTGTGTGGTTAGTACTTGGCATTGAAGTGCACCAACCTGGAGTCAGAGCAGTTGGAGATTTCAATGCCTGTGCCATTTACCTCTAACCCTGGGGTGCCCCCAGAACACAGATAGCAGATCAGTTAGGCAGAAGCAGCCTCAGTCATCTAGACAGTGCAGGGTTCTGGTAAGGACAGGTGCAAACCATCTAGGTGGGCAGAACTTGGTGATGACTAGGAACCACTGAGACTCAGCAGCTGCCCCAGTGGCACCCACAAATCAGAGGAGGAGGAGGCTGGGAGGACCTAAGGGCTACAGGACGAGCTCCCTGCCTACAAGACAGAAGCAGCTCCAGAGGTTTTGGTAAGTAATGTAGATTTCAGTGCAGTGTGGTCTATTTAAAAAAGTAGAACAAAAAGGAAAGAAAAAGAGAGAGCATGAGAGACAAAGAAAAAGAAAAGAAGAAAGGAAGAAAGGAAAGAATGGAGGGAGGGAAGGAAGGAGGAAGGGAGGAAGGAAGGAAGGAAGGGAGGGAGGGAGGAAGGCAGGGAGAGAGGGAGGAAGGGAGGAAGAAAGGAAGGGAGGGAAGGCAGAAGGGAAGGAGGGAGGGAAAGAATAAAGAGAGAGAGAAAAAGAGTGGGAGAGAAGTAGGGAGGGGAGAGAAGTAGGGAAGGAAGGAAGGAAGGAAATGAACAAACTTACATGAAGATGAGAACATCCAGGGGAACTTACACCACCAGTATTTTCCATTAACAGGAACACGCTAACTAGTTATTGGAGACAGACGCACTACTGTAAAACTATATACTGTTTCCATGGGGTACAACCCCTTCTTCCTTCTCTGAAACACATTATTCCTCTGGCCCACTGTTGCCAGAGACACTGAGTCTTGTCTTTGGATAAGTTCTGGTGCCCAAAAGAATGAGATGAGACAGTGGATCCCAGAACACCAGGCCGCAACCTTCCCTGCTGCTCCTTGTCCACTCCAGAAGCTGCCCAGCTGCAGGTGGGGACCTCAGCCCCTGGGTCTGACATCGTCCATTTGTCATTCTCACTGGACTTCCCTCCTTGCACTGGCTCCCACTCCCCCAGGACCTGGTGGACGGCCACGTGAGAAGGATACAAACAGGCCATGCCCCTTTCTTTCTCCCCCTCTCAATGCCTGCAGTGGTGGGTTCCATGGGGTAGTGACCTGAGATTTACTCGTTATGGGGTCTCTAGCCCAGAGCAGGGCATGGTGCCTAATAGTCACCCCATGAATGCTCAGTGAAAGAAGACATCCACCACAAGGTCCTGGGGAACCAAGAATTCCACTGTGGCCCATAAATTCTAAGTCCTACAGGATTCTGGAATGGGAGATGGGAACGGCCTTCAAAAGTGGCCTCTCTTTTAACCCATTATACTGGCAACTGAGCCATGTTTCCCCATCCTGGACACATCTAGAGGGCACTGCCTAAAACCACACACATCTCCCCACCCAGGACAGTGCAGGGCCTTAGCCTGGGGGATGCGGGTGGACAGGGAGGGGGTGAGCCATGAAAGCTGAAGAGAAGAAAGCAGGTGAAAGGGGACGGCAGGGTGGAAACAAGAGACGGAAATGGGGGCAGAGAATGGGGGGTAAGAGGGGAAGAGCAAGGAGTGGGATGTAGATCTAGCTACTAAGGAAAAGTCCTGGAGAGAACACTGTCCTCTCCTGAAGTAAAATCACTTCCACCTGACAACAGCACTGCAGGTCGAGGGTGGCACACGCTGTGAATATTTGTTCATTCACTTAACAAATATTAATTCAGTATCTGTTTCATGCCAGGCAAGGCCCTGCGATGTTTAGGGCCCTTGGCATCTTCCCTTCACATCTGAGTCATAATAGAAAAAGGACTCTCTGACTCCATCGAGCTGGCAATGCCTCAGGGTTTTTACCTGTGGGATCTGGCAGCTCTTCATTCGGCCCACACCGTGTGAGGTTGCTCTTGGTGCACCGAATGGGGAAGTTTCTACATCAGTACCTCGGAGAGTCCACTGGAAGCCCTGGACAGTGGGAGTTGGTGGCACCCCCAGCGTGGAGGCCAAGAACACACAGCACTGAAGCTCCAGGACACCCTCAGGAGGACGGTAAGGGACGGTAAGGTGAGAGCCTGGGTCACCAGGAACCTTCGCCTGCATCTAAACAGGATTTGCTTTCAGATTGCCTATGAGATAAAAGAGAGAAATCATGGTTAATATTGAGATTTGGGGCTTCGGCAACTTGAAGGATGGAGCTGCCGTTTACGGAGACTGGGAAGACCCAGGGAGGAGCAGGTTGAAAGGTGGTGGGGAACTAGAATTGTTTGGGTTCCTGTCATATGTAATCAACAGTCCTCACCAGCCTCGGCAACATAGTAAGACCCCATCTCTGAAAATAAAAAATGAAAAATTGGCCCAGCATGGTGGCACACACTTGTAGTCTCAGCTACTCTGAAGGTTGAGGCAGGAGGATTCCTTGAGCCTCGAATTAGAGGTTAGTGAGCTATGATGGCACCACTGAACTCCAGCCTGGGGGAAAAAAAAATAAAGAGTCCTGACTAAATACTTGAGTAGCCAGGGAAGTTTTCACCAAGTAATACTTGAGGCAGATCTTAGTGAACAAGAATTCGATTCTTTCTGTTAGGGAATTAAGAGTGTGTGGGTGTAGTTAATGCTTCTTTGGAATCTCATCTACTGGTCTATCTGGTCTATCTGTACACGTATATTCTACAGGCTGTCTCGCTGAGCTTTCGCTAGGTTATGCTACAGTAACAAAAGCCCCAAAATCTTAGCAGCAACACATACAAAGGTTTACTTTTCATTGACATTTCCTTTTATGTCAGGTTGACTGTGACTCTGCTGTATACAAGCTATTTTATTTGTTAGATGGTGAAAACTGTGACACTTGGAGATTGTTGAATATGGTATTAGTATGTTCATTCATTCATTCATTTAACAAATATTTATTCAATATCTGTTTCATGCCAGGCAAGGTCAAGTACTGAGAATACAGTGGTGAATAAGAGACAAAATCTCAAATTTCCAGGAGCTTATGTTGAAAATGAGATTGAACACATACAAAATAATCATAATAACAACAATGAATACTATATTCATAAATAATAGCTGTAAGAGATTTTAGTAAATCTTTTAAATTAGAAAAACATAAAAATTATTAAAACTAAAATGGCCAGCGGTGATGGCTTATGCCTGTAATCCCAACACTTTGAGATGCCAAGGTGGGAGGGTCATTTGAGCCCAGGAGTTTGAAACCAGTCTGGGCACTACAGGAAAACCCTATCTACAAAAAATAGAAAATTAGCCGGGCATAGTGGTGCATGCCTGTAGAACCAGCTACTAAGGAAGCTGAGGTGGGCAGACTGCTTGAGCCTGAGAGGTCAAGGCTGCAGAGACCCATGATCATACCACTCCACTCCAGCCTGGGCAACAGAGCGAGACACTGTCTCAAGAAAAAAAAAAAATTGTTCGATGTAGTCCTAAAACTATTATGTAGAATACTATTGTTTACATCATATCACGTCGGCCCTTTAAATGGCTTAACGCTTATTTAGGTACGATCCATAAAGTTTTCCTGGTAATTAAGTATACCTAAGAACAATGAAGTATAAAAGAGTTACTGCCTTGACAGGAAGATTGTAAAAATTGTAAAAAGATAAATAAATAAAGAGTCAAAACTGTAGCTCTGTGAGGCTCAAATAACATCTAATTCAAGTCACAATGAACATCTAGCAATCACTGTGAACACCACATACTTCCCTTAATACATTTTCCCTGAATGCCCAACACATCTGAATTACCAACACCCGTATGTAGCCAAGAAACTGACAATCATTTATAAATTATCACCTATGACTCCATCTGCTCTATGCACTTATTTTTTAAATTTTACTCATTTATTTATTATTTTTATTTTTTGTAGAGATGGGATCTCACTATATTGCCCAGGTTGGTCCAGAAACAGAAACAGACCCACACTAATTTCATAAATTGGATGACCATGCAGTCATCCAATTTAAGAAAAAAAGTGCCAAACAGTGAAGAAGGAAAAGGATAGTCTTTTCAATAAATGGTGCTGGATCAAGCAGACACATCCATGTAGTAAAAAGTGAATCACAGCCGGGTGGGGTGGCTCATGCCTGTAATCCCCACACTCTGGGAGGCTTAAGTGGGAAGATTACTTGAGCCCAAGAGTTTGAGACCAACCTGGGAAACATGTTGAATCCCCATCTCTACAAAAAATATGAAAATTAAGCCAGGCATGGTGGCACACTCCTATAGTCGCAGCTACTCAGGAGGCTGAGGTGGGAGGATCGCTTGAGCCAGGAGGTGGAGGTTGCAGTGAGCTGAGATCCTGCCACGGCACTCTAGCCTGGGCAATAGAGTGAGGCCCTGTCTGAAAAAAAAAAAGAAATGCAAAAACTAAAATAAAATTGCTATAAGGTTAACACAGAAAAATGTGTTCATACTCCTAGGTTAGGCATTGATTTCTTAAACAGGACACAAAAAGCAGTAACCATAAAGGAAAAGATTGATAAAGTATAATTTCATTAAAATTAAGAATCTCAGGCTGGGTGCAGTGGCTCATGCCTGTAATCCCAACACTTTGGGAGGCCGAGGCAGATGTCTCACCTGAGCCTAGGAATTCCAGACCAGCCTATGCAATGTGGCAAAACCCCATCTCTACTAAAAATATAGAAAAGAGCTGAGTGTGGTGGTGCTCACCTGTAGGTCCCAGCTACCTGGGGGCTGAGGCAGGAGGATCACCTGAGCCTTGGGAGGTCAAGGTTGCGGTCAGCTGTGATTGTGCCACTGCACTCCAGCCTGGGCAACAGAGTGAGATCTTGTCTCAAAAAGAAAAAAAAAAGTTAGAGAATCTCCATTCATGAATAAGCACCATTAAAAGAGCGAAAAGGCAAGCTACAGATTGAAAAAAGGGAAATGCAATACATATATATCGTAGAAAGGACACATATCCGGAAAAAAGTATTACAAATCAACAGAAAACCAAGCATATCAATGAAAACTGGATAAAAAGATTTAACAGGCACTTCACAAAAGAGGACACACAAATGACAATAAAAGATACTCAATCTCAATACCAGGAAAATGCAAAATGAAATCACACTGATACATTACTGCACCCCTACTAGAATGGCAAAATAATTTTTAACTGACAGGCATCAGCAAGGTTGTGGGGTAACCAGAATATCCCTGCTAAATGGTACAACCACTTTGGGAAAACGTTCAACAATATGTAATACTAAGTTTTATCATTCATATACCTCTAAAACCAACAATGTCACTCCTACAAATATACCCCAGTCTAGTAATGTTCTATTTCTTGATCTGTGGTGGTTCACTTGGTAAAAATTCATTACCTGTACTTTTTTTTTTTTTTTTTTTTTTTTTGGAGACAGGGTCTCACTCTGCCACCCAGGAGGGAGTGCACTGCCATGATCACGGCTCACTGCAATCTCAACCTCCTGGGCTCTGGTGATCCTCCCACCTCAGCCTACCAGGTAGCTGGGACTACAGGCACACACCACCACACACAGCTAACTTTTGTAATTTTAGTAGAGATAGGGTTTTGGCACGTTGCCCAGGCTGGTCTGGAAATCCTGGGCTCAAGTGATCCGCCCACCTTGGCGTCCCAAAGTGCTGGGATTACAGGTGTGATCTACCGCGCCCGGACCACCTGCACATTTAAAATTGTGAACCTCTCTGTATACTTCAGTAACTTTTCAAAGATTTCTTTGACACAAAGTTCTCAGAAATCTTAAAGCTAGCATTTCACAACAGAAAAAAAGAGCTTCTGGTTCACTGGTGAAATTTTACTAATAAAATTTAAAAACAAAAAGCTACTAACACATATCAGCTCAGAACAAAGACTAAACACTACCAGCAGATCTTTCCTTTAACTTCGTGAAGCACTGGGATTCATTCTTTCGGCAAAGAAAGGATGAACAACACTGTAACCCAAAGAAAAGGTATCACTGCAAGAAAAGACTTCTTTTTGAAAGCAGCTCTAGCAGCAAAAGATAGGAGGAAAGCAAGAAAACCACGCCAAACGTCTTGGTTAACTCTTCGGAGAAAGGACGCCAAATGAGAAGATCTAACAAGCCAGAAAGACAGATACAGGGAAATCACGCCAACTCTTTGGAGTGCAAACACCAACCCCACAATCCAACCTACCGGAAATCCTGCGGTGAATTAGAGGCCTGCCCCGCTAGTCATGAGGTGATTCAGTGATGGCTACAAACGCGCCTCATGTGTTGCCCATCACCAGCCTGGAGAAACCGCCAGGAGCAGAATCCCGGAGGCCAATAAAGACCCCAACTTTGCAAGTCAGGGGCGCGAGTGGTCTCGCCTCTCAGGTCCCCAGAGGCAACTGATTTCTGGCCTCGAGGGTGGGGTGCGGGGTCAGGGTCCTCCACAGGATACACGAGGACGTGCCCCCGAAGCTGCTCGTCCCTCCACCCCCTGGGATGCCACAGAACACCCGCCAGCGAGTTTCTTCCCCAGCGCCCAAGAGATGAGGGCTGCGGGCGGCAGCGGCAAGCGAGGAATCGAACGCATGGAACTTAAGCCCCGGCGGGGCCGGAACACACGCCCTCCCAACCCCCCACCCCGCCTCGCCCTCCGTCGCTCGCAACAAAACTTGCGACAGCCGCAGCTCGACCCAGCTGTGTACCCGCGGGTCCCGGACTCACCGCCCCCCGGCCTGGCGCGGCGCCTTCACCTCGGAAACGCTGGGTGGACTTCGCTGTAAACCGTAACTTCCCATCCAGATGGCATCCGTGCGCCGCGCCTCGGCCCGCTCCTGGCGCCACAGGTCGCCCGTCCCGCGTTCCCAAAAGCACCGCGTTCACTCAGATGCTCACGCAGCCTCGCGACCCTCACCTACCCCTCCCAATACCGCCGCTGTCTCAACCGCCGCCCAGCCCATAGCCTGAGCCAGCTGGCTCCTCAGGGTCCCGCTCGGCGCGTCAGGAGAGCCCAAGGCGCAGGCGCAGCGGGGCCTTAAAGGTACATGGCCGCCTCTGCAGCACAGCGGGTTCGCGCGGGCCAGGAAAAGGAGTAACCGAGCGGATAGACAGAGTGCAGCAGAGACCGGGAAATCCCTCTCTCCCCTCCGCCTCTCTTTTAAAGCACCAGCCCTTGACCCTACAAATCGCTGATTTCCAGGGCCACTTGAACCGCCCCTGCCAGGTTAAAGGGGCAGAAGACACACCCCCTCGGGGGCCCGGAGCGACCCCGCGCTTAGGACTGCAGGCCTGGTGCTGCAGCACCGCCCCCGAGTCTGACTTCCAGGCCCGGGCATGGGGTGCAGACGCGCAGACGTGGGAAGGCAACCCCCAGCTCCCCCGAGAAGTGGCCTTAGGTCACTCGCAAAAACAATAACCCATATGTCAGTGGGACTTGTAATGATTTTCTAATTTAAATTAATAACAGATTTTGCAGATGGGCTTCCACTGAAATAAGCCTTTGAGAAAAAGAAAAACTTTTTCAACAAGATTAGGAAATACCAAGAAATAGGAAGTAAAGCCATGCCGTCCACCCAGCTAACAACTTTGAAAACTTGAAATTTTATCTAAGGCAAATGCTTGCATAACTTTAGGTCGTGCCATTATTATTATTGTTATTATTATTATTATTATTATTTGAAACGGAGTCTTGCACTGTCGCATGCAGTGATGCAATCTCGGCTCACTGCAACCTCCGCCTCTTGGGTTCAAGTGATTCTCCTGTCTCAGCCTCCCGAGTAGCTGGGACCACAGGCCCTCGCCACCACGCTCGGCTAATTTTTGTATTTTTAGTAGAGACGGGGCTTCACCATGTTAGCCAGGCTGGTCTCGAACTCGTGACCTCAGGTGATCCACCAGGCTTACCCTCTCAAAGTGCTGGGATTACAAGCATGAGCCACCCACTGGGCAAGGCCTGCCTGGAAATAATCGTGAGAAATAAACTCACCCGTCCAAACCCAAAGAATGGACTCCAAGACCCGGAAAACAGCAGAAGTGCGACTTATTATTAATGACAGTCTTGCAAGATCGGGTGTCTGGTAGGCAGGCACACCCAGTAGGCTTACAACAAGCAATTTATCCCCTAGTGTGGAAGTGCCTCCCCCGGTTCCTCATAGGCTGAGTACTATGGGGTCACAGTATTCCCGGATGTCGCCTATTGGATCTTGGGTTGGGACTTTTAGGTTGTTGGTTTTTTTTTTAGGGTTGTCTCCCTGTATTTTGTTGCAGCCCATAATGCATTGCAATCATGGTCAGCTCGGGGGCTTTTCAAGTATTTGACTTATGACCTGGGCAGTCAGGCAAGCTGATAAGAATAGATGTAGTGAACTATTTTGCAGGCTAGTAAATGTCCATTCTAGACTAAACTCTTTGGTTTGGACAAGGCAGCTAAGGTGGGGGAGTGGGGGTGGGCGACAAGCAGGCACCAGCTATTAAAGCAGCGGCCTAGTATATTCTGTTCTTCCATAGTTTGCGGGCCCAAGCCTAACTTCCTACAATAATAATTATATACAAAAGTTTTTAAAAGGGATAAAAGAAAAGAGGGGATGTCTCAAATGAATACACTTAAGCTCCCCCATCAAGAAACAAGAAAAAAGCAAGTAAAAGAAACCTAAAGCAGGCCAGGCACGGTGGCTCACGCCAGTAATACGAGCACTTTGGGAGGCCAAGGTGGGTGGATCACCTGAGGTGAGGAGTTTGAAACGAGCCTGGCCAACAAGGCAAAACCCCGTCTCTACTAAAAATACAAAAAAATTAGCTGGGCATGGTAGCACCCGCCTGTAATCCCAGCTATTCTGGAGGCTGAGGAAGGAGAATCGCTTGAACCCGGGAGGTGGAGGTTGCAGTGAGCTGAGATCGCACCACTGCACTCCGGCCTGCGCCATGGGAATGAGACTGAATCTACAAAAAAAAAAAAAAACCTAAAGCAAATGGAAGGAAATAATACAGATAATAGCAGAAATCAATGGCATTGAAAACAGAAAAAAACAAAAGGGGAAACTAGTGAAAATAAAGCTGTCTCTTTGAAAAGATCAATAAACTTGACAAAGAAAAAAAGAAGTCAGCTTATGAACATCAGGATGAAACAGGGACTACACTCGTTACAGACTGCAGATATCAAAGGGATAATAATAAGGGAAAAACTATTTAAAATTCTGTACACACATATATTTGACAACCCAGATGAATTGGACAAATTTGTCGTAAGTATCAACTACCACAACTTACCTAAAGCAAAACAGGTCATCTGAGTAGCTCTGTAACTATGAAAATAATTGGATTCCTAATTTTAAAATTTCCAGAAAGAAAAGCTCCAGGTCCAGATGGTTTCACTGGAGAATTCTACCAAACGGTTGAAGAAAAATTAACATCAATTCTTTTTTTTTTTTTTTTTTTGAGGCGGAGTCTTGCTCTGTCTCCCAGGCTGGAGTGCAGTGGTGCAACCTTGGCTCACTGCAAGCTCCGCCCTCCGGGTTCACGCCATTCCCCTGCCTCAGCCTCCCGAGTAACTGGGACTACAGGTGCCCACCACCACGCCCGGCTGATTTTTTGTATTTTTGGTAGAGACGGGTTTTCACCGTGTTAGTCAGGATGGTCTCGATCCCCTGACTTCGTGATCAGCCCGCCTTGGCCTCCCAAAGTGCTGGGATTACAGGCGTGAGCCACCGCGCCCAGCCGAATTAACATCAATTCTGTACAATCTGTTCCAGAAAATAGAAGATGAAGGAACACCTCTCGACTATTTCTGTAAAGCTATGATTACCCCAACTCCAAAACCAGACCACAAAAATGTTTATCAGTCAATGAAGAAAAATCATTTGACAAATTCAACATCTATTCATGATAGAAATAAAGAAGGGAGGCCAGGCTCTTTGGCTCATGCCTGTAATCCCAGAACTTTGGGAGGCCAAGGTGGGTGGATCACCTGAGGTCAACAGTTCGAGACCAGCCTAGTCAACATGGCAAAACCCCATCTCCCTGTTAGGATTCTGTAATTTCTGTTTTCTCATCTGCAGTATATGGATTTGTTTGCTCCACACCATCCATTCTGCTGCTGAGCCTATCTGCTGGACTTTTTATTTTAGTTGCATTTTTCACTTCTAATACTTCCATTTGGTTCTTATTTATGTCTTGTATTTATTTGCTGAGTCTTTCAGGAATTAAGGGGTAGATCAAAACAGTTTCAGATTAAGAAAAGCTAAGGGAATCTCTGACCAGCAGTTCTGCCTTAAAAGAAAGATGTCCATAGAAAAAAGAACAAAGAAACTAATCAGAGAGAGAAAGGGATGTTATAAAATGATGAAAGGACCAATCCACCAACCCCTCCCCTGACAAAAGTCATAAATATCTATGCAAAATTTCAAGTCATAAATATCTATGCAACAACAACCTTAAATACTGAACAGATAGCTAGACTAATCCACAAATATAGCTGTACACTTCCATGTCCCCCCTGTCTCTTGTAGGACATTGAGCCAGACAGCTGACCTGTCCTCTACAAACAAGTCCATGTCCCTACCATCAATGACAACAACAAAAAGATGAGGAGATACTTTGGGTTCAAAATAACTAAAGAAATATAGCTACATTATCTTTTTAGTTTTTTTGAACCCAAAATGTCTTTTCTCCTTTTTATTGTGTGATTCGTGGTGACATGGACTGTCTGAAGGAGACAGGTTATTGTCCTGCTCAGTATTCTACATTCTGCAGTTGTCTATCTGGTGATTACCTCCTATGAAACTCAAGCTAAGCATTTTTAGCAAGAACATGGCATTGTTCGTATTCTGCACTGGCAGAGTCCCAAGTGACATGCTGTCTCCTGCCAGCAGCTCCTGACTCCTGTTCTCTACAGGATGGAAGCTGAGAGGAGTAGGGCTAAAGCCTCTCAATGCTGTTTGTCCATCTGGCTTTGGTCTTCCTAAGTATTGGTATCAAGTGGAGGCTGAAGGACTGTGGCTTCTCTAACCAAAGGAGCCTAGTGGGTTAACAATTGTCAAGAGCAGTCAGTGGTTCTGAAATACAATCCTCAGCCATGGATCCCTCCTGTGTTGTGTTGAGCTTTCAATTGCTTTGCTCTTTTAGTTCTATTCATCAAATGAAAATGCTTTTTGTGACATCCGTTCTTTCTTTTCATTGTTCCAGCAGCATTTAGTATCTGTAGGAGAGAGAGAAGGAAAGATCAAATGGGCATCTTTGTCAGGTCCTGCTGATGGCTGAGTCTAGAGGGACTGTTAAGTGGTGATAGCCCAGGGGCAAACTGAGCTCCTGCTAGGAGGATGAGCTGAAGGGTGAGCCTCAGGCTGAGTGAAGAGGCAAGTGCCATCCGCAAGTGAAAAATAAACACCCCTGAACTTCCAGTCAGCTTGAGGTGAAGGATATAGGGATCCTAGCTCTGCCCAACGAGCAGCCCCTTTCCTCCTGATCCCCAGTGTCTGGAGCAGAGTAATGGCTTTTCACACCCCTCAGTGAGGATGTTCTCAGCATCAACCATGAAAGCTCAGAAACAGAAGGCTGCAGAAGGAAAGGACCTTTTGCAGAGAAACCCACTCCCTTACAACTCCATGTCCCCGTCTCTTAGGGAAGGGTGCGCAGGGCCATGGGAAGAACCCTGGAGGTGAGATACAGGAAGGACCTCAGACCGCATCCACATCCAGTTCTGCCTTTTACAACAGAGGAGCAGTGATGCCACAGGGCTGACTTAACTAAAGCCACATGACTTGCAATGGACAACCCTGAAACTAGAACCCACGCACAAAGTCTCTTTCAATAAGTTAGAGAGAAGGGAGAGTCAATTCTCCAATCTGGAGTTCTCAACAGTCACTAGAGGTTGCTGGGTCACCTTGGCTAGGATAGGAATGAGCTTTTACAAAGAAATATGATGTCACTGCTGCTTGTTTTGTTGGTTAAAATAAAAAATGAGAAAAAGACAAAAGAAATATTATGTGTTCTTCCAAAAAGGATCAGAAGAAAAGGAAAGAGTCAAATGGAATTACAAAGGAAGGGTGGTGATTGCAACCATGGCCCGACTTATTATCCCTAATTCCCTGAAGTTGATTCCACACCTGGTTACACCTTAAGGCATTTCTAGAAACATGCTCAATATCTGATCAACAAAACTCTGAAGTAGAAAGTGAAAAGGATTAGTTTGTGTTTTATTACATTCTCCTCTCCCTGTTACATTTTTCCCAGAGTGGTTTGTTGGGAAAGATTTCTTTTTAGAATTTCATGCCAGCAGCAAGGGTAGCATAAAAAAGTATTCATATATCATCTCTTCCTGAGTTTCAGTTTTTTTATTATTATTATTTCTTTTCTTTTTTTTTTTTTTTTGAGATGGAGTCTCACTCTGTCACCCAGGCTGGAGTGTAATGGTGTGATCTCAGCTCACTGCAACCTCCGCCTTCCGGGTTCAAGTGATTCTCCTGCCTCAGCCTCCCGAGTAGCTGGGATTATAGGCACGTGCCATCATGCGTGGCTAATTTTTGTATTTTTAGTAGAGACAGTGTTTTGCCATGTTGGTCAGGCTGGTCTCGAACTCCTGACCTCAGGTGATCCACCCTCCTCAGCCTCCCAAAGTGTTGGAATTAGAAGCATGAGCCACCATGCCCGGCCAAGTTTCAGTTTTTACTTATTATTATATTCTGTCTAGTGGAGTGAGACCTACGAGTTCTCTTTGAGGATTTGGCTGAATGACAAGAATTGAGCAAAGCAGAATTTTTACATTGCAGTGCCGAACCCATTAATGGGCTGTGGAATCAGTGTGTGGAAATGTAAACTGCAGGATTTATTTTAAAATTGAAAAGAAGGCTGGGCATGATGGCTCATGCCTAAATCCCAGCTCTTTGGGAGGCAGAGGTGGATGGATCACTTGAGGCCAGAAGTTCGAGACCAGCCTTGCCAACATGGTGAAACCATGCCTCTACTAAAAAATACAAAAATTAGCCAAGTGTGGTGGCAGGCACCTGTAATCCCAGCTACCCAGAAGGCTGAGGCATGAGAATTGTTGAAGCCGCAAGACAGAGGTTGCAGTGAGCCGAGACTGCGCCACTGCATTCCAGCCTGGGTGACAGAGCGAGACTCTGTCTTAAAAATAAAATACAATAAAATAAAATTTAAAAGAAAATACTAAATCTGAATATGTGTAATATACGAGGTATTGTTTTCTGTATACTGGGTTTCAATATAATGACTATTTCTTATTTTACTTGTACTCAAAATTAAGCAAGTGTGCTTTAAGTAGAGAGACTACAGGTCTAATCCATCTATTTTCTTGTTTTTCTTTTTAATTTTTTTCTACGTTCTACAAATACTACTGTTGAGAGGTGAATACAGATCCCATCAATGTCTGATGGATATTCCGCCTTTTGTGTGGAGTAGCCACACAAGTGGTCATCTCCATGTTGAAAACCTGAGGTCAGAGTAGACCAGTGGTCCTTGTCATCTTCAGTTGTATATTAGAATATCATGGAAGTTTTTTAAAGGTACTGATGCTCACATCACACCCCAGACCATTTAAGTGAGAATCTCAAGATGTCAGTTCAAGGCATTCATCTTTATTGAAATCTCACCAGGTGCTTATTACATGGTAGCAGGATTTAGAGACAATGAATGAACCAACCTGATTTCCCATCATTTTCTTTCCTATCCTCATTTCTCTCGTGATTGCCTTCATTCTCTGTGGCTCTGTGGATTTTAGTCTTTCTTCTGACTATTTCAATTAAATCTCTCACTTGGGCTGGTCTGAGGCAAAGTCTGTCCTGTAGATAGGTTCTTGTCTATCATCTTGTGTAGACATAAAGCTGGCCCCTGGACTCACTTTTCTCAAAGTTAATTCATTAAATGCTCTCTTATTTCTCTGTCCTCAAGATTCACCTGAGTTGTGTTTTAGACTCTAACTGAGCTTGTAGAAGTAAATATGTGAATAAAAAGGACAGAGGTGAGAATGCACTTTGTGGTCTATGTAGGTTCAAAGTCCTGCCCTGCCCTCTGCATCTATCTTTGGATGAGGTCCCTTTGGAATATCATAAATGTTCTCCAGTTAATGTCAGCTAAGTGAGTCCATGAGGAGCAGACACAGTCCCTGGAAACTTCATCCACGCTGGCATAAGGTTGCCCATCTAGAGATGAAGACACACCTGACTCCAGGCTAGTAGGGAACTCTCATCTGTGACCCAGGTTCTAATTTAGTTTTTGATTTGGAGTTCTTAGTGCTCAGTTTTAACACTTCTCATTCCCATGTACAAGGTGAGGGTTACAGTTTGACTTAGTTGTGTTGCTCAAAAGCTGTCCCAAGAGAAAAATCTGTGTGTAAATGATGTATTAAAGCAATGCTCCTGGCAGAAAGGGGCAATGGAGTTTGGGATGCAGAAAGGAAAGGCAAATTACTCAAGCTGTGCAATTCCAGGCAAAGAACCCTGTGTTTAGCAGCTCACACCATGCACTTGGAGGGGGACAAGGAAGTTGGGCTCTCCTGCGGCCATGAGAGGGACTCTTAGGACAACAGCAGTGGGAACAGAGCAGAGTTCAGAGAGCAAACAGGGGATGGGGATCAGAAGGACCTGGCAGCATGGCAGCCCATGGGACACAGAGGTAATACCAGACAGAGGTGACAGCAGCTGCTGGAGAGAACAAATACAGAAGAAAAAAGCAGTGGGAGAAGGAGCTGTCATCATAGACAGAGAGGAATAAGGAGTGAGTGCAGCTAAGAGCCATAGATGTGATTACCTTCCTGCTCTAAGCTTGCAGGCCAGGGAATCTGCATGCCAGTCTCCACTTGCTGAACAGCAGTTTTCTTTTGATCATCTTCGGTTTTAGGACACTTGAGGCATGAATGTGGCCAATGACTTGATGCCCATGTATGTTGTCAGCTGAGCCTTCAATAGCATCACCTTCCAGCTGGGGAGGGTTCTTCATTCAAGGGAAGGCTCTAAACCCAGCTCTGAAAATGAAACCACACCCAACAGTGTTCACTGTCATCCATGATCTTACTGTGACTTTCTCTTCCACCCAAGAGGATCATCAGAGAAGGAAAGCGGCCTTGAATAAGAAAGTCCAACGGGTAAAGGGAAGCCAGGAAAGACATTTTGGTATTTTCTGTATTGTTGATTTTTCATGCATCACCCAGTAATGACAAGATTGCCAGGAGGAAAAGGTGATCCCAACTGACAAACATATTCAAAAAATTTAGGATTAATAAACACAAATAGTTTCCAGGTAGATAAGGCAAAGGCAAGGAAGTCAGACTGGATACAGGCTGTGTTTTGGGAGGGAGGAGATTCTAAAACTCAACATTAAATGAACATATGAGAGAAAAGAATTGGATAGACTAAACATGAGATATTGATGAAATGAGCATGCAGATATGTATATAGCATATATCTACATTTTATTAAAAATACATGCCAAATATGCATAATATATATATCCAATGACATAAATGCATATATTTATATATATAAATCTATTGGAAGAAATTATTACATAAGGATGTGGAAGATGTTGAATTAGCGTTATAATCACTAACATTATAATCTGGTCCACTGAAACTGGAAAAAATTTTAGAAAAATAAGATGAACGAGAGAGAGAAGACATGGTGAGAAACAAATGCCCTATTAGACAGCAAGGAGAAGTCACCAGGTAAAGGACAATGAAACAAAAGGCATTCACTCTGTCCTCTTGCCTGGAACCTGGTTAGTGATCCGGACTCCTGGGAAAGCCAGCAGGTAAGAGTGTTGGAGCCAGCGGGGTGAGTCCTGACTAGGGGTGCAGGAATCCATGGAGAAGCAAAAGAGACACCAGTGGGAAGAAATCAGTTTAAATACTCAAAGTTATCAGGGCACGTGTCAGGGACTACGCATCCCCCGACACTCACTGAGCGTTTTCCATGTGTCCTCTCCATGGACCCAGATGGTGCTCGTTATCTCACGTGACCCTCCCTCCTCCTGAGGACGTGGGTCTCCTTATTCCTCGGCTGGGGTCATCGATTGACAGATGAGCACCAGGCAGCCCCAGGGGCTCCAGGAGTAGATATTGAGTGGGACGGAGAGTAAGGATGAACACAACCCAGGGTTTTAAGGAAATCTGGGCAGAAGTGGATCCCTGTGAGAAGAAAACTGAGGACATGGCCGTGGGCATGAATGGAGATGATGAACTAAATGGAGTTTCATAAAAGAGACAGATTTATACCCTTTCCATGAGAAGGTTGCCCTTTCATTCTTTTATTTCAAAACGAGGGGAGAAAACAGAGCAAGAAGCTGGGTATGTCAGGAGACTGACTTGTGGGCCCAGGATTTGCACTTTTACTAATGTGCCTAATAGGTTGTTACTGAAGTGCATGACAGGGGGAAATTGACTTAAAAAGGGATGCTGAGGAAGAGAAAGAAAACTGGCAAAAGATACTTTCTAAGTAAACACAGGAAGGGAGTCTCTAGAAAGTAGAGATCCTAACAGTTACTCTTCCTCAGTTGAAACAATGCACGTGAAGTCATTTCCTGAGTGCTAACTTACCAGAAAGATAACAGAATTAGATAACATCTATTCATAGATTTATTAAGCAATTTTTACTGAATTAGCCCTTTGGAAATTATCATAATTAATGTTATCAACAATGATGGAATGTAGATATTATTTTTCAGGTCTCTCAGATGACAGGACTGAGATGTAAATGCCAACACCACAAATAACTTGGCCGAGATGAATAATGAGTAAGGGTTAAGCCCAGGACCTGAGAGCAGATTTGATCCTAAACCCCAGGCTCTTGCTCACCTCACTGGGTTGGAACATTGTGGATTTCTGCTTGACTCTGAGGGAGCACGAAGAGACCCCATTGCCTCCTCCCCTCACAGCACCATGACCAGGACACCCGGATGAGAGCTTCCTGGTCCCCTTTCCTTCCCTACCTTGGAAGGGCCATTGGTTCCCAGGATCACCGTTGGTTGTGAAGCTGCAGGTGGTGGAGGAAACATCCCGCCTGGCTAAGCCATAGCCACAGTCAAACCCTTGATCCAGTTGCAGTCACAGACAATTGGGCACCAGGGTTCTTGGCTCCAGCTGTGCCTGTGAAGTCTCCACCTCTGACAGGTGGTGGCTCAAGTCTCCACTCCAAGGCCCGTGAGGACAGGCCACCTGGGTGGGAGCTGAAAGGAGAAGGGGCTTCAGTAGGAACGCTCTCAGTTTTCCCTTTGTTAATCATGCCCAGAACACCCATCTCTGACATCTCCGCCTCTGAGGTAAGCCACCCAGTGGCCCAGGCCACAAAGACAGACATCATGTAAATGGGGTGATGTCACCTTCCTGTCTGTGCCTGGGGATGCTGAGATGGAAGGTACCCAGGCTGGATGACCCTGAAGTGAAAAACCCCCACTTCAGCCCAGAGGGCTTTGGATTGGCTAACAAGGCCATGCCAAATATTCTGTTATTATTAATCTCCATCCTGCTGCCTAGAAAGAATGTTCTGGAGAACCTTCAGAGCATAGGAAATGCTATTTTTCTCCACACACAGGAGTATAAGAACAGGGGAGGACTTTGAGCCTCCAGGCTTTGGGAAGGAACCATAGAAAAGGGTTTTGGGACACTGTAGACCAGCAGTCTCCAAACTTTTTTGCCTCGGGGACTGGTTTCGTGGAAGACAATTTTTCCTTGGACCAGGGGTGGGGGACGTGAAAAGAGGGAAGGATCATTTCGGAATGAAACTGTTCCACCTCAGATCATCAGGCATTAATTAGATTCTCGTAGGGAGCGCGCAACCTAGATCCCGTTCATGCACAGTTCACAATAGGGTTTGTGCTTCTATGAGAATCTAATGCCACCGCTGATCTGACAGGAGGCGGGGCTCAGGCTGGAATGCTCGCTTGCGGGCCACTCATATCCTGCTGTGCGGCCTGGTGCCTAACAGGCCCAGGACAGGTAGCTGACCACAGCCCCGGGGGCTTGGGTCCCCCTGCAAGAAACCAAATACTACATGAGGCGAACTTTTAAGAGTTCTGGAACATTTTGAATTTCCGTTGCCTATAATGGTTTTACCACCAACCCACACATATACATCTTGTTGCCACATAGTGGGTTTCCGCAGCCATACGCAATGTTGTAAAGGGACCAGTCCCTTCACGGACACTTAGGGGCCACAGGTATTACAGATCAGTATGTGTGGTTCTGTAGGGAGGCAACACCGAGCACAATCCTCATCTTACCCACTCCTCCAGTGGGGTCCGGGCAGCACCCCCTCATAAAAATTATTGCTGTTTCCACAGGAAGAGGAAATCACATTCTCAGAAAGTGGACAAAATGCATTATGATTTGCAGTGGTTTTCGTTTTCTTTTTTTTCTTTCTTTTTTTTTTTTTTTCCCTGAGACAGACTCTCGCTCCGTCTCCCAGGCTGGAGTGCAGTGGCGCCATCTCGGCTCACTGCAACGCGATTCTCCTGCCTCAGCCTCCCAAGTAGCTGGGATTACACGGAGGCACCGCCACCCCCGGTTAATTTTTGTATTTTTTTAGTAGAGACAGGGTTTTACTATGTTGATCAGGGTGGTCTCCAACTCCTGACCTCAGGTAATCTGCCCACCTTGGACTCCCGAAGTGCTGGGATTACAAGCGTGAGCCACCGCGCCCGGTTCTTTTTTGAATGTTTGGAAGAGTTGAGCTGTGAGGTCATTTGGTCCTGGGCTTCTCTTTGTTGGGAGGTTCTTCAGTCCTTTTATTTGTTATTGGTCGTTCAGGCTTTCGGTTTCTTCTTGATTCAATCCTGGTAGGTTGTGTGTTTCTAAGAATTTATCCATTTACTCTAGGTTATCCAATTTGTTGGTATAGAGCTGTTAATAACAGTTTCTTTTTTCTTTTTTTTTTTTTTTTTGAGACGGAGTCTCGCTCTGTCGCCCAGGCTGGAGTGCAGTGGCACGATCTCGGCTCACTGCAAGCTCCGCCTCCCGGGTTCATGTCATTCTCCTGCCTCAGCCTCTCGAGTAGCTGGGACTACACGCTACTGGGTAGCTAGCTGGGTAGCAGGCACCCGCCACCACGCCCGGCTAATTTTTTTGTATTTTTAGTAGAGACGGGGTTTCACCGTGTTAGCCAGGATGGTCTCGATCTCGTGACCTCGTGATCCGCCCGCCTTGGCCTCCCAAAGTGCTGGGATTGCAGACGTAGGAGCCACTGCGCCCGGCCTAATAATAGTTTCTTATGATACTTTTTACTTGTGAGGCTTCTGTTGTAATGCCTCCACTTTCATTTCGGATGTTATTTATTTGAGTCTTCTCTATTTTTTTCTTAGTTAGTTTAGCCAAGTGTTTGTTAATTTTACTTTTTCCAGAAAAACAACTCGGGTGCGAGAGGCCTACGTTGCATCACCACTGGAGGCCAGTAGTTCCCAATCAGCCTGGAAAGAATAGTAAGACGTTGTCTCTCCTAAAAAGAGAAAAAGAAAGAGAAAGGAAAAGGAAAAAAACAAAACAAAACAAAACAAAAAACCAACAACTCACTTTTATTATTTTTCTGTAGTATTTCTGTTCTTCAGTTGATTTACTTCTGCATTGATTTTTGTTTCCTTTTTTCAGTGAACTTTGGATTTATTTTGTTGTTTTTTTCCTGGTTTCTTGAGGTGTAATGTTTATTTGAAGTCTTTCTAATTTTTTTTTTTTTTTTTTTTTTTTTTTTTTTTTTTTTTTGAGACGGAGTCTCGCTGTCGCCCAGGCTGGAGTGCAGTGGCGCAATCTCGGCTCACTGCAGGCTCCGCCCCCTGGGGTTCACGCCATTCTCCTGCCTCAGCCTCCCGAGTAGCTGGGACTACAGGCGCCCGCCACCTCGCCCGGCTTTCACCGTGTTAGCCAGGATGGTCTCGATCTCCTGACCTCGTGATCCGCCCGCCTCGGCCTCCCAAAGTGCTGGGATTACAGGCGTGAGCCACCGCGCCCGGCCGAAGTCTTTCTAATTTTTTAATGTATGCATTTATGGTTATAAACTTGACTCTTAAGAGCTGTTTTTGCTGTTTCCAAAGATTTTGTTATGTTTGTTTTCACTTTTGTTGGCCTCAATATATTTTCAAATTTCCCTTTTGATTTGTTCTTTGATCAATCAGTTGTTCAAAGGCAAGTTGTTTAATTTCCATGTATTTTTTAATTTTCCAGTTTTCCTTATGTAGTTAATTTTTAGTTTCATACCGTTGTGGTCAGAAAAGATACTCGATGGGATTGGAATCATTGTTAATTTGTCTAAGATGTACTCTTCATTATTTTAATTGATGTATAATTGTTGCACACATTTTGGGGATACACATGATATTTTGATAAACATACACAATTTATAATGATCGAATCAGTGTAAGTAGTATATCTGTCACCTCAAAACTTTATCTTTTCTTTATGTTAGGAATATCCCAATTCCTCTCTTCTAGTTATTTTAAAATATACAAGAAGTTATTTTGAGTTATAGTCTCCCTAATATACTATCAAATACTAGAACTTATTCCTTCTATTTAACTATATTTTATATGCATTAACCAATATCTTTTCTTCCTTCTCCCCTATCTCCTTCCCATCCTCTTGTAACCACTAATTTTAATATGTGATATGACACATGAATTCAGTTTTTTCTACTTGTTTATTTTTATATGGTTACAAATATGTCACATCCATTGCTTAAAAAGAAAATCTTCAATCGTTTGTTGAAATATTATGCATTTTTAAATACATTGCTTTTTCAAGATTGTCAAAAATCTGTTCTCAATATATGTGTTCATTTATATTTGGACTCTATTTTCTTTTGATCCATTTAATTGATCACATACCAAAGCTCTGTTGTGGCCATTACAACTCTGTGATTGTTCTTTAAATCAGGTGGAGCTAGCCCTCCAATTTTGCACTTCGTTATACAGGCATTTTGGTTATGCTAGTTCATGTTAATTTTAGAATCAGCTGCCATTTTCTACCAACGATGCATGCTGAAATTTTGAGTCGGATTGCATTGAATTCATAGATCAAATTAGGGGAAATGAACATCTCAACAATATTCTTACACATGAGCAAACAATATCTTTCCAGTTATTAGGCCTGCACTATGTTCTCCGTGAAATGTGCTCTAATTTTCAGTCATATTCACATTTATGGATTTTATACACTTGACATTATTGTAAATGGTATTCCTTTTACATTTAAATTCTGCCGTGCAATTGCATAAACACAATTTATTTTTGCATATTGATCTTATATCCTGCTAGAAACAAATGCTTTTTGGATTCAGGTTTGATCGGCCAGTGGCAATATCTTTGGAAACTTGCGTATTTACCAGGCATGAAGAATCTTTCTCATTTCAATTGGAGCTTTATCACCAGCCCAAAGGAGAGGAATGTCCTAACGCATATCAAGTTCTGAGGTTGGGAAGAGTTTGTCCTTTGTAGACAAATGCATGTGAAATGTTCTGTATGTTCACCAATAAGTTTTCCTTAAGATTACTCATGCAGTTATAAGGCTGCCCATCTGCACTTGTGTTTAGCTGCAATACTATAGTTGTAAAATTTAGAAGCCAATGTTCTCCCTTAGTTTAAAATTTAATATTCAAGAATCTATTCCAACATTATGTAGTGCCAAAAACTTTGGGATGATATGCAATGATATGTCCAGCAAGTATGAGTTTGTACCTGATCCTTATTAGTCTTCCTTCTGATGTGATCTATTATAAAATGAGACCTTTAAGAGCTTTAAAATAATTAATAATGGCATGCTGAGGAGGTTAGTTTGTGGGATATTCAGTAGCCGTAGGAAACAGTAGTTCCTACTCTGTATCTCAAGTGGGAGTCCACTCTTCAGTATGTCAGCTTCAAGACCCTGATCTGCAGTGGAATTTGCAGCCCCCTGCTGTGTCAGCTTCATTACTTCAAGGGAGGGTGAATGCCTTCAGTTCTTTAGGTCACAATTGACACATGTAGCACATTTTGGTACCTCTTCAGTTACTGACCTTTATGCCCACTCATGTCAGGCTTGCTCACCTGAGTGATTCACAAGATCACATTCCCAATGCATCAGATCACAGTGTCACAAAAAAAAAAAAAGCATTTATTTTTCGTTATGTATCTCTCCTGAATTTCAACCTTGATAGGCTAACATGGCTCATGAACAGCTTTAAATTTGGTTTCTCAAACGTCTCTCTAATGGTTTACAAAAGTCCAGTTACTCAAATGAATTTATCTTACAGTCCGGTTTTCTATTGTTCCATGCTGTGCCTCAGTGACATAAACCAAGAGTCAGTATATAAAAAAGATTTATTCCCACTGGTTTATAACCAACCAATAACTAGTATGCCTGTTATATATAGTTCTGTGCATTGGGTTGCCAGTCTCCTTCCTTCTTTTGCCTGATTTTTGTTAGAAGTGGAGATGATGTAATGTTATGGGTCACTTCTATTAGTGTCCCTGGACTACAGTTCTACCATCTATTTTTTAAGCTATTTTACCTCGTTATTATAAGATCTGCATATTTGTGAGCATCATTTATGTTATTAATAGTTAACATCTGGGGGGGTGGCGGAGGGATAGCATTAGGAAATATACCTAATGTTAAATGATGAGTTAATGGGTGCAGCACACCAACATGGCACAGGTATACATATGTAACAAACCTGCACGTTGTGCACATGTACCCTAAAACTTAAAGTATAATAATAAAAAAAAAAAGTTAACATCTATGGTAGTCACTTCTTTGGTTATGTCAGAGACTAAAATCTGAAAATCAGAAATTCATTCTTTATTTCAGGTGTGTGCATGCTGTTGTGTTGATCCCTCTCCCCTCCCAGAAAAGTCATTGTAGGCCCAAGTCGATGAAGGGACAGACTGTGAAAGAAAGATGCAGAGCATGGACTAAGTATGCAGTGCCTACTGAATCAAAAACTTTGCTGAAGTTGCTTTTCTGCGATTGTCTAACATTCCTCTGAGTCACCTTATCTGCTGCTTAAAAGCCCCAAAGCATTTTCTTAACTGTCTTGTGGCCATTGTTATAAACTCTGCTCTGCTCTTCCTGTGTCAACTACCACACAGTCTGTTTCATTGCATGGCCCTAAAGGCAGAGCCATTTTTCCAACTTTAAGTGCACTAAGGGTATCCTGTTTCTACAAAACCAGTGGATGTTAGTGGTTCTCTTAGGGATTTTTTTTTCTTTTTTGTCATATAAGGCCATAATTGGAGTAATGTGAAAAATATTTTTTTCCTCCAGAAGTTATTAGATGCTGCTATATCCAATATTTGTTCTATCAGTACACTATAATGTATCCCAGCTATGCATTTTATATTTCCTAAAACTTCACTTCTGAGAAGGCCCTTCATGTGTTTTTAAAAATTCATGGCCCACCCAGCAGCATTACTAAGTCTTTTGGAGTCTAGCCTCATGGTCTTTCTGTTGATTTTCCTGCTGTCAACATGTAATCTGTGAAATGAAACAAAGGGAGGGGATCCAGGCCAAGACTTGGTGACATTCACTTATGACAGTCAGTAGTCAGACACTATGTGCAGAGATCCTCCAGATCCTGTTTGACCAGCATCTTTGGGAGGTTAAGAGCCCAGCCCTGTCAGAACCACTATTCATTATCATCGACCCTTTCACCAGAATGCACCTGTGGTTGTCGGCTACTGATTTTCTCACCTGCAGGCAACTCAGGCTGAGCTGAGAGCAGAAATCTTAAGCTCTTGTCACTAAGGACCCTTCTGTGCTTCCTCTGTATCACCCGCCGTAACTAGCATAATGCTTTACCCACAGGGGCTCAAGAGATGCATTTGTTGAGCTCAACAAATTGAGAATCCAAGTTGTCTTGATAAGCAGAGATGTTATGGTGTAGAGAATTGGATAGGGTAAGCAGAGGAACAAAACAGGTTGTCATTTTTTTGTTGTTGTTGTTGTTTCTAAGAGTACAAAAATTGTGACTGGCAACTGCTGGGGAATCCTAAGGCAGGACTTTAGTCCCTAACCCCCCTACATTCTCACTACATTCATGGAAGCTGCTTTACTCCTTTCCACCTTAGGTATTTCATCTATAATTAGAGGATAAAACACACAACTTCTAAATGCTAGTACTATGACTGATATAGAATTTATTTTGGACATGGGTGAATCTTGGAGTCTCCAAAGCATTTAAATTACCAGACAGAGGCTGGGAGTGGTGGCTCATGCCTGTAATCCCAGCACTTTGGGAGGCCGAGGTGGGTGGATCACCTGAAGTCAGGAGTTCAAAACCAGCCTGGCCGACATGGTGAAAACCCATCTCTACTAAAAATATAGGAAATTAGCCGGGCGTGGTGGTGCACACCTGTAATCCCAGCTACTCAGGAGGCTGAGGCAGGAGAATCGCTTGAACCCGGAGGCAGAGGTTGCAGTGAGCCGAGATCATGCCATTGAACTCCAGCCTGGGTAAAAAGAGCGAAACTCCATCACAAAAAAACAAAACAACAACAACAACAACAAAAACATATATATATATATATTACCAGACAGAAGATAGATAATCTGTGATTACTATGTCAAGGACAATTTTAGAATACTTGTTAAATTCACCCCTTTCTTTTCACAGCTGGCCAGGACATAGTCAGTAGCTACTGATACCTTGAATACCTTGGCTGTGTTAACTGTTTTGACCCATCATGGAGCCAAGATGTTGGTTGTACCTTGAGATGCTGATCTGGCTGAAGTCCAGGGTCACGGGCCCAGGATAGGTCATTCAGCTATTTGAAAAAAACAGAAGAGAGACCAGGCCATCCACTGAGGTCATCTCCATGCAGCATGGGCCACTGGTTCCAGTGAACCCACCATCACCATACTTCTCAGGAATCGCTGGTCACTAGACTGAGAGTTCTGTCAAAGCTGAGATCATATCTTGCTAATCTCTGTGTTCATGGTTCCCAGCTCAGGGTCTAGCACTGAGGGAGTTCTCAGGAGAGTGTTCATCAATTATTGAATAAAAGCGATTGCAAACCTCCTCTCACCTGCATTCCTGTCCCAAATATCCTGTCAGGGATGCTGAGATTTCTCCCAGGATGCAGCAAATCCCTTTCCTTAGACTGGCCCTTGCCTTACACCATTCATGCCCCAGGATCCCTCTCTGTGGGACATTGGAGGAAAATGAGTCTGTTCTGAAGAAGTCCTCTTATGGTTCCCCCTGTCATTAGGAGCAATGTCTTCACCTAAACTCCCACTCTATGGGTTGCCACAGCACCCCAATGTGGGGGAACTTTCATATTTTCTTAAAAAGCTATATTTCTGTTCTTTCTCTCATGGGCTTGAGTTCCTTTGGGGAGACATTAATATCTGAATCCCAAGTGTTTAACACAGCGTAAAGAAAATTAAACACCAATAAATATTTATGAGCTATCATTTGGAAACCTCCTTCAACTGTAAGTACAGAAGAATATTATAAGTATCACTGCTTTGTATACTAGCAAGGGACACTTACTCTAGCACCTGACCTAGGGCAGAGCTTTTTAACATAAGAATGGATGTCTCCAACCCTTCTCCCAGCATGGTTATTCCCTCTAACCCACACTGACCTGAAGAGCATCCACTGCTACGGCAGCCCCAAGGTCAAGCCTCCTGGGTCTGGGGCGGGGCTCATGGTCACATCTTCCCCCTCTTGGAGTTGCTGCTGCCCCTCACTATAAACCAGATGTCATCCAGCCTGTGGCTCTCCCTGGCCAGGGGCAGGAGACTCCTGTGGAGTAAATTTCTCTCTCAGTCCCCACTGCTCAGCTCGCACTGCTCCTTGAGAGTTTGGATGATGACAGGCATTGCCCATTTCCCCTGAGGCTTCTATCCCAACTTGTCCTTATTCCCCCCTTCTTTGGTTTTCATTTACCAATGGCTTGTCCTTTGTGAGTTGTTCTCATCCCCTAAACCTGCTGACTTTCTTTCTTTTATCTGTTCCCTCAGTTCTGGGCTTCCAGTGTGTGGACTCAGCTCAGGCTCCTGCAGGAGACACACAGAGTCAGGTCTCAGCTGCAGGTCCTGGGTGGCATTAAAAACCATCTCAGCAGAGTTTCACCATGTCTGTCAGGCTTGGCCGGTTGTGGTGGTTCACGTCTGTGATCCCTGCACTTTGGGAGGCTGATGCAGGTGGATCGCCTGAGATGGGGAGTTCAAGACCAGCCTGGCCAACATGGTGAGACCCCATCTCAACTGAAAATGCAAAGGATTGGCTGGGCGTGGTGGCGTGCGCCTGTAGTCCCAGCTACTCGGGAGGTTGAGATAGGAGAGTTGCTTGAACCCGGGAGGCGGAGGTTGCGGTGGGCCGGGATTGTGCCACTGCACTCCAGCCTGGGCAACGAGAACAAAACTCTGTCTCCACCAAGATGACATTTTCCACCCTGTGTCCTGTTCCCCAATAAAAACAAATTCACAAATTCACAAAAAAACTAAACTAAACTAAAACTGTCTCAAAAAAAAAAAAAAAAAAAAACCCCACCATGTTGGCCAGGCTGGCCTCCAACTCCTGTCCTCAAGGGATCCTGTAATCTCCCCATTTTGGGAGGCCGAGGCGGGCAGATCACTTGGGGCCAGGGGTTTGAGACCAGATTGGGCGACATGGCAAAGCCCCATCTCTACAAAACATATAAGAATCAGCCAGGCGTGGTGGCATGCACTGCCTGTGGTCCTGGCTACTTGGGAGGCTGAGGCTGGAGGATAGCTTGGGCCCGGAAGCTTGAGGTTGCAGTGAGCAGAGATCATACCATTGTACTCCAGCCTGGGTGACAGAGCAAGACTTTGTCTTTAAAAAAAAAAATAGAGGCTGGGCACAGTGGCTGACGCCTGTAATCCCAGCACTTTGGGAGGCCGAGGCGGGCGGATCACGAGGTCATGAGATCGAGACCATCCTGGCTAACATGGTGAAACCCCGTCTCCACTAAAAATACAAAAAATTAGCCGGGCGAGGTGGCGGGCGCCTGTAGTCCCAGCTGCTCGGGAGGCTGAGGCAAGAGAATGGCGTGAACCCGGAAAGCGGAGCTTGCAGTGAGCTAAGATCGCGCCACTGCACTCCAGCCTGGGCGACGGAGTGAGACTCTGTCTCAAAACAAAAAAAAAAAAAAAAAAAAAAAAAAAAAAAAAAAAAATTGACTTGAAGGAGTCAGGCCGGAAGGCCAAATAGGAGATGAATGGGGATAGCGGCTTGAATAAGGGCAGTGGCAAGGAAAATGGGCTAGGGGTTAGGGAAGGGGGCCGACTGGCTGTGCACCCAAATGCTAAAAAGGGTCCAGAAAGGAATGTGTTCAGCTATTTTTCAAGGACTTCTAAATTAAACTCTCTTAAATGATGTTTATATTAAGGCTGGTGGTGGAGTCTTTCAGAGGCAGTGTTGGTGCTAGAAGAGCTCTTGAGGATCATACAGCCTCCCCCCTCAATTTCACAGTGAAAGAAAACCTCAGAGAAGCAAAGCAACTTGCTCAAGGTCACACAGCATTTCAGTGGTAGAACATGACTCGTGGTTCTTAGATAGCATTACCCAGCCTCCACTGAGGCTAATGGCTGTAGGCGCTATGCCAACATGACTAGATCTAAGGCAACCCAAGCAATATTTTAAGGGACTGAACGCAGATTCCCTCTCTTCCCCTTCGCCACCCCTTCCTCCACGCGCGACTCCAGTGATCAATGAATAATTGTGGAAACAGTTCCTTTGTGCAGAACACTTCGTTAAAAGAGGTGCAGAGATACACGTCTGTGGTAGGATTCCTTATCCTGAGATCTGAGAGCACCTCGATGCTTCCCCAACCTGCTAGGTGAGGGTGGAAAGGGCATTCCTGAGGCAGCCGGTGCCCCTCCTCTGCCCCCCAACTCCCACGTGGTTTCTCCAGCCAAGTTCTCACGGAGTGGCCCCTCCCTCAGCGGCTCCACTGTTGCCATAGTAATTGGGTGGGTGGACAGCCCGTCCTATCTAGAGGCCACCCAGCCCTCGCGTGGGGAGTTACCATAACAACCCCCTAGTAATAGAGGGGGTTGGGTATCGCCCCCTTCCCCCGCAAATGGAAAGGTGGGTGGCTTGATTGGCAACTGGGCACAGGAAAGAAGGAGGGAAAGGGAAGGAAAAAAATAAATAAATAAAAACCTTCTCAGTTCCTCAGAGACTCAGAGAAAACACAGTAGGAAGGGACCTCAGAGAGGAACAATAAGCCCCTACCTCACTGAGGAGGAAAGTGAAGCCAAGAAAGACTAAGACTCTCCCAGGCTCCCTCACCACATGGTGGCAGCAGATCGACCACACAAGCCTTGGCCTCAGCCTCCAGGTCCAAAGCACCTAACTCACCCACCAGGAACTCACTGCTGCGTTTCAGAAAACTTTGGATCAAAAACAGCAATTTCCACTGTGAAAACAAATAAAGTAAAAGGGCTTTTCCTTGGACAAACCTTTTATCACGGTTCTGTAGTCCTAGTATTTCTACTCAGTCAGTTGTCATTCGCTGGCTGGTAGATTCAGGCAGGGAGCACATAAAGATTAAGTAATGCTTAACACAAGCCTGCTCTCCCAGCCTGGGATCTCAGCTCCTCCCTTCTTCAGGGAGTTTCCTCTGCTCTAACTGCTGGAGAGTCTCAGCCCTCATGTGGGTCATTTCTCCATGGTGATACCTATTATTTTCTTCCTCTCTTGGAGATAAGAGAGGGCAGAGATTGGTTCTGGGTCTCCACAATTCTAGGTTTTCTCCTAAACCAGCCAGGTCAGCTGAAAGCAATCATGACAGAGAGGTCAGGTCAGTGAAGAGGGTCCCAGGGGAGCAGGGGGTCACAAGGACAACCCCTCATGGAGATGGTCAGGACCGTGACGTGGGCAACATTTGACCAATTCTGCTGGGGATGATGTGCCAAGGATTAAGGGGAGGATGCTGCCATAAGGAGAAAGGGGAAGAACCAAGGGAGTAGGAGAGGAAGGAAAATAAAATGATTGCCATAAAGATAGAAAGAAATGCAGACTCCAGAGGCAAAGCCCCATGTCACAGAAGGTTAGTTCCAGGTTGTGGATCCTAACCACGCAATTCCTGCTGGACTCTGCTCAGCCCCATTTCAAAAAGGTTTTGGATCAGTGACTTCTTTGTTACTTCCACTTTCCCCGTTTGTGAACAAGAATCACTAGAATTGTTTTTCTAGGAGGGGGGAGGGATAGCATTAGGAGATATACCTAACGCTAAATGATGAGTTAATGGGTGCAGCACACCAGCATGGCACATGTATACATATGTAGCTAACCTGCACATTGTGCACATGTACCCTAAAACTTAAAGTATAATAAAAAAATTAAAAAAAAAAAGAATCGTTTTTCTATGTCTGTCCCACCATTGCACACTGAGGGCAGATAAGCTGTTTGTTCAGTTTCACAGGTTGATAGAGGGAAGGGAATTATGTCAAGGACACCCTCAGAAGCCTCATTCATACTTGGTGTGGATGATTAAGATAAGATTTTAAATTTTTGATCTGGTGTGGTCTACATACCATTTTTCACTTTGAACTAACGCTTTAATGACATGAAATTTGGAAACCTTAGGGGAGAGGGTGAATGTATTTTGCAGATGGGGGAATGTGAGTGTCCAACTGCGGTAGATGGAATTTCTGAAATGGTCCCCAAACATGCCACACCCTTGTCTCTAAAGCCTGTTAAGGTGCTGAGACATCATTCTGGTGATTATGTTGTTATAAGCCAGTTATACGACTTTAAGATGGTGAGGTTACCTGTGTAAACTGGATCTAATCACATCACTGCATACATGCCAGTGGTTTCTCTAGCTGTCAGAAGAAGGTAACGTCAGGAAGAATGGGAGCTTGAGAAGGACTCCATGAGCTGTTATTGGGACAGCCAGCACAGAAAAAGAAAACCCAGTCTTTCAACTCCCACAAAATGAATTCCTCCTACACCTGAAGTGAACTTGGAGAAGTAGCCTGAGCTCCACATAATTACATAGCCAGGCACACCTGGATTCAGCTTCCTAAAACCCTTATCAGAGAACCCAGCCTCTGTTCCAGACTTCTGTGGTTTCAATCCACTAGTTTGTTGCATGTGTTAATAGGCAGCAATAGAAAACTAGTACAAATGCCTATCTCTACTCTTGATTTATTATTTCAGATACATGGATGCTAATCCCTCTAAGAGAAAAAAATTAAAAAGCAAAGAACTACAGCAAAAATCTTGCACTCACGTTTACCTTTATGTCACTATTCTGGAGCCCTTGCAACCTGAAGAAGATAATGAGAGGCATTCCAACCATGTGAGGAGTATCTGTAATGTTACCAACCAAATTTCTGAAAGAATAAAGATGGTACAATACTAACTCCACATAATCTTATGTGCAAATTCATCATCTATCTCTATTTCTTATAGCAGATTTTTTTCTTTTTTTAGCTCATTCATTTAGGCTCGCCAGACCAGGTTTTGTAGCAACTATCAGTTATCAGTAAAAATGAAACAATTCACGAAGAGCAATGAACAGGACTATTATTAAGTTCATCAAAAAAGTCCCTAAAATGCAATATTTCCTCAAACGTCACAAAAGTAAGACAATGATTCACTACAAAAAATCCCAATCTAAGAAAATTTGAAATTTAATGATGTCGGATTTCCAAATTTTTATTTTGTTGGGGCCCAGTCATGGGCACCAGAGATTAGGAAATGACTGTGCAGAGGCTTTAGGGTATTTGGGGAAATGACAAAAATATTCTAAAACGTGACTCTGCTGATGGCTGCACAATTCTACAAACCTCCTTAGATGGTTACATCGTAGATTTAAAATTGGTGAGTTTTATTACAAGTAACTTTTTTTTTTTTTTTGAGACAGAGTTTCACTCTGCATTTTCCTCTCACCTGCCCCACACCTCTTCCAAATCTGTTCTTTCACTTCCAGGTCGTTGAGTTTTTCCATTTAAAAATATAAAAGATACAGAAAGAAGAAGATAACCAGTCATCCATATTCCCATCACCTGGAATTAAGTACTATTCACATATGTACATATTTTTTCTTCCAAATCATTTTGAAGTTACTCTCTTTTTTTTTAATTATACACGCTTAGCATAGACCATACCACCAATACAGAAAAAGTACAGATAGGTAAAATTTCTGATCACCTTAAGTTCAAAATAACTTTTGTTAACATTAGGGCAACACTGATCGAGTCATGTTCTTCTGGTATATCTACAGAGAGAAGAATGTATATTTTAGCTAGACTGTCCCCCCCGCACCCCCGCAAAAGAAAAAACAATAAATAAAGCTCTCTCTATATATACACACACATATATATGGGAGCTATATATTATATATACACATATATATATATGCTTTTGTAAAATTGAACTTAGACTCTATTTTTATTTTACAAATATTCCATTTAATAGTGCATGAATTTAACTGAAGACAAAGAGACAGAAACAGAAATGAAGGAATTCCTGAACTCTCAATCACATTTAGCGAGACGCTTTTCTAAAGGAATCCTCTAAAGCTAAACATACATTAAATTAAGTAGAATGCATTATGATTTGCTGTGTTTTTTTTTTTATTTTTTTTGAGACGGAGGTTTTTTTTTTTTTTTTTTTTTGGCTCTGTTGCCCAGGCTGAAGTGCAGTGGCTCGATCTCATCTCACTGCAACCTCCGCCTCCCATCCGCCTGCCTCAGCCTCCCAAAGTGCTAGGATTACAGGCGTGAGCCACCGCGTCCAGCCTGCAGTGGTTTTCTTACTACTTTTTACAATCAAATTGATTAAGGCATTGGTTGAATATGGTACAATGCATCCATTTCAAGTTTGATGACATGTCTACTACTCCAGAAGGTCCTCTTGTGCCCTTTGCAGTCAGTCCCCTCGACTCCCTGACCCCAGCAATTAATGATGTATTTTCTGCCACTATACAGGTTAGTTTCACCTGTTCTAGAAATTCACCTTGATGGCACCACATAGAATCCACTCTTTACATCACTCAGCATGAGGTTTTTGAGATTGGCCCATGCTATCTCATGTTTCCATAATTTGTCCCATCTTATTGAGGGTAGTACTCCGTTGGATGAATATATCACAATAGGTCCATTCACCTCTTGATGCATATGAACCTTTTCCAGTTTGGGGACTATTGTAAACAAAGCTGCTAAGAACAAGTTCTTTTTGTGAATATATGTTTTGTAAATTCCACTTGTCATTCTTTAGTATTAACTTATTTTGTAAAATGATGTCACCTTCACAAGTGCAAAATTCATTCAAATGTTACAGAGGCCTGAAGCATAAGTCTACACACTTTCCTTTGTTATATTTCATAATTAAGGGGAAAAAACTTTATCTGGGATGTTGTTTCCTATCAGCAAATCCTTAATGTAAGCCATACAGGATGCTAGCTGTACTATTAGACTATCTTCTGTAATCTGTGCAATAACTCTAAGAAGCACTTCGCATTATTATTTTCCTGTAACACTTTCCAACTTGAAGCCTAGCAAATTGAAGGACCTGGCCCCAGGTCAAACAGAAGGCAAGCGGCAGCGCCAGGACTGGAAGAAGGCCTTCCCAAAGGCAGACAGAAGCTCACGTCTTTGTCAGAACCTCGGTATTTCTGATGCGCCTGGAAGCCAATATCCAAGCCGTTCTCAGCCACTGGATTGGTGGGCTGCTTTGCTCAGAAACTCCTCGATCAGGAATCCCAAGCATACGTTAGTGATGACGGTCCCAAAACAAGGGACATTTCTTAACCATTCTAAAAACCCGTTTGCTCATCAGTAACGCAATAAGAGTTGCTTTCGGTCTTGGTTCATATATTTTATATTTGAGCAAGGCAATGTCCGCTGCTGGGGTTAGAAGTAAATGGCTCGTCTTCAGCAAACTAGATCAGTCCGTGGGACGTACGGCTTCCACTCGCAGTGTCCTGAACACTGGCTGGGCTTCCTGTGCGTTCTAGCCGGTTTTCTTTGGAGCCGCGGGTTTCTGCACGGCTCCGGGGTCGGGATGGCAGAGGCTTCTCGGAACACGCGGATCTATGAGTGCAGTCCCCGGGGTAGCCACCAGGGAACGCCATAGGCTTTCCCGCTGTGTTCCTCCTTGCCTTTTCCGTTTGGGCCCAGTAGTTTCTATTGACCATGACATTACAGATCAGAAGTGGGTGGGGTCAGAAAGCACACCCTGGGAGAAGCTGGCAAAATGCCCAGAACCGCCATCACTAGGCCTGGGGTTTTCTTCTGTAGTGGAATTCTCGTGCTTATGTAGTACAGGGAGGAGCGCAGCGCATTTCCGCCAAGACAGGTGAGACTGCAGTTCTGACCTGCGGGCCTCGATGAACTGCGTTAGGGCCCCTGGGCGCCGGCAGAGCCGATCTCCTACACAAAGCAAGCGTGTTATGTCTACAACCGAACGGGGACACTAAGAAAGAGCCCCAAAGGCCCTGCTTTCATCCCAAAGAACAGCGCCTGTCTGCGTAGTTTCTACCTTGCTCTATGAGGTGAGAACACCTTCACCGCTGGCACAGAAATCCTACAAACTCCTGTGGGGACCGCGGTTACAAGCAGACGCTGTGTGAAAGGTGACTCTGGGGGCTAGGGAAAAACACGAAGATTTTCACAGAGCGTGAGACCCCAAGAGACTGGAGACCATGGACCAAATTTCTGCGAACAGTAGCCTTATGTAGAAAGAGCTATGCAATCTTCGTGCTAGTTAGCTTGTGATACACATGCTCACAAAGGCTGGCGCTTCCTTCTCCAGCGAAAAGCAAGGCGATATATCACTTCCCGATTCAAAGCATCCAACTGTAAGAATAACAGTGTAGGGAGAAAGGTCTATAGTCATGGCAATATTGCCTAATGATATTTTTTTCTGTGATGGTCATTTTATAATATTATTTAAAAGTTTTTTTTAATTAAACAAGCAATGGAACTTTGAACAGAAAAATATGAAATTAAAACAATAAAAATTACCCATAATCACACTAGACTGTGATAACTAAACTGTGAATATTTTGGTTTCATAAGCTTTTAATCTTTTTCCTTAGGTATATAAAAATATTTAAGAACCAAAGAAAATTATATCACAATGGGTATATCAACTTAGTATCAGTTTTACTCATTTAATATGCCAAAGGTAACCTACTTATCCTTTGACTATAAGAGCTTTCTAAATGTCTGTATAATATTACATCAGATGAATGCAATATAATTTATTTTAAATATTTCTTTTTTTGTTGTTTTTTTTTTTTTTTTTTTTTTTTTGAGACGGAGTCTCGCTGTCGCCCAGGCTGGAGTGCAGTGGCGGGATCTCGGCTCACTGCAAGCTCCGCCTCCTGGGTTCACGCCATTCTCCTGCCTCAGCCTCCCAAGTAGCTGGGACTACAGGCGCCCGCCACTACGCCCGGCTAATTTTTTGTATTTTTAGTAGAGACGGGGTTTCACCGTTTTAGCCGGGATGGTCTCGATCTCCTGACCTCGTGATCCGCCCGCCTCGGCCTCCCAAAGTGCTGGGATTACAGGCGTGAGCCACCGCGCCCGGCCTAAATATTTCTTATTGCATATTTAGATTGTTTCTAATTTTTGAGTATGATCAACAACTCTTTGACCAGTATTCCTATAGCTAAGTGCTTATGTTGTAGGTCTGATTATTTCCTTAGTACAAATTTCTAACAGTGGAGTGTCAGTCAAAGGGTATGTACAATGTAAACATGTAGATGTGTATTGTCAAATTATCCCCCACCAAGTTCCTAAAATATGCATCTTTACTGTCATGGTGTAACTACCAAAGTCCTGTACCCTTGAAAACATAGATTCTTATTTCAGAACATCTTTATCAGTTTAAAAGATAAACTATGCCATCCTCTTGTTGTTAGTAAAGTGCATTTCTTTGATTACTCCCCTTTTACAGAAGAGTAAATGAAGATTCAGTAAGTTTGTGTGAGTTATGCATGGGTGCATAGGTAACGCGTGCAGAAAGCAATCACTTCAGTTTTCCATATTTGAGGTCCTCTCTGGGCCAGTACAGTTCGAGACACTAGAAATTCAAAACCACAGATAATGCCCTCCTGGGCCTGTAGGATGTACTTGTTAGGTGGCAGGGGCGAGGCCCAACCAGTGTGCACAACAATGTCATAGCCCCAGGTGAGTGTGGGAGGGGAAGTTGTAGAAATATTTTCCAGCCAAATAAATCAGTGAAGTAAAGATAGGCAGGAGGCAGGCAAAAAGGAGGCAGGACTGGCAGGTTGTGGGGGCAGGAGTGGCCACGGATGAGGAGCCAGGCTTGGCTACACAGGTGCAGGTGGCACGTGTCATAGGCACAGGCATGGAGATCTGAGGGCGTAGAGGGGAGAAGACCATGCACCGCCAATGTCAACTGTGTGGAAGCAAACCTGGGCTACATCTAAGAGTCCTGAGAGCAGGGGAGGAGAAGGGAGGAAGAGACAACAGAAGTCCTGGGTGGGAAGCAGAAATATTTCCTGAGTCAATGAAAGAGCCCCAAGCCTCCAGACCTGCCAGGGCTCAAGCAGGCAGCTCCAGATGCCAAGACCTATAATCCAGCAGTTCAGGTTGATTTTGCCAGAGTAGTGTGAAGAGGCCCTGATTTTCCCCTTTAATGTATACCCATACAAAAGGCAGAAGAGTTGTTTGAAAAGCAGGAGATTCACAGTTACAAGCACATAGGAAGCACAAGAAAAACTGGTAGAAGGGATCTGGGCCCTTCAATGTTGACAGCCTTCTCTAGGAGCCCTGGCTACAACAGAATGAGAAGGATCCTTGTGGGGTATAAAAAGGTGGGAAGGAGAACAAGCCAAACAAAACACCACCCTCAGGACTACAGAGAAGTTATTTCAGGCGATGCATTGATTCCATGTTTTTGTTTCCATAGGTTGCTGTTTTGTAACTTTTTTTTTCTTTGGTGAAGGAATTAAGTGTCCTCCCCCACTGTCTGAAGAAAGTTATGCCTGTCATGAAGCGTGCCCTTACTTACTTTGAAGGGGACAAGCCTTTTCTAGCTTCAATATTTATTTCCTATTTTGATGGGGAAACCTTTAGGGAAGTAGAAAGAGAGCTTAAAGCCTTGGGGGAGACATTTTACGTGCTTGCTAAAAAAATGCATTAAAATATTTAGTACATGTCCTGAATGTAACCCAGCCCTCCAGAGCTATTTTTTTCTCACTGTATTAGTCCATTTTCATACTGTAATAAAGAACTGCCTGAGACTGGGTAATTTATAAAAGAAAGAGATTTAATTGACTCACAGTTCAGCATGGCTGGGGAGGCCTCAGGAAACTTACAATCATGGTGGAAGGTGAAGGGGAAGCAAGGCACCTTCTACACAAGGTGGCAGAAAGGAGAAGTGCTAAGCAAAGGGGAAGAAGCCCCTTATAAAACCATCCGATCTTGGGAGAACTCACTCACTATCATGAGAACAGCATGGGGGAAACCATCCCCATGATTCAATTACCTCCACCTGGTCTCTCCTTTGACAAATAGGGATTATGGGGATTATGGGGATTACAATTCAAGATGAGATCTGGGTGGGGACGCGAAGCCTAACCATATCAGGGGAGGGGGCTCACAACTGAATATTTCAGATAATTTTAATATGTGCTGGTATCCACAAACAAGAGCCAACGTGGACTCAGCAGGAAATGTCATGGGCCTTCTGTTTCAAAAATGATTCAGATAGACTTTTATGCTTTTACATGTGCCATATGGGAGTGGGGCATTCTCATCTTGTTCCTTGTTTTACCCTCAGCATCTACCTTTCATAGCAGTAACTGATGATCATGAAATGTTTGTTGATTGAATGGCTGAAGTATAGACAGATGCAGCTTCTGTCCATGAAAGGCATCCTGCTTGCTCCTTGCACTGTGTCCAGTGAAAACTCTTGTTTCTCTGCGCAGCTGCAACACGTTTCACATCACAAGGAGCACAAGGCACTGGCTTCCATTTCCACCCTGAAGCTCAGCAGCCCCATTTGCGTCCCATCAGCTGCCTGCTCCGGAATAGAGGAGGGAAGGGCTGGGCTTCAGAGTTTGCTTTTTTTTCTTGGTTCTGTGAATGGAAAAGGATCCTGTGAAGGGATCCAGATTGATACCTTGGGGTCTGGTGTATGTAGGTCTGTTTGTGTTAACTCACCATTTAAAGACAGAAAAAAGGAAAACATACATATTTATAGCCTCCTAGAGAGAGCCTTGGTGCTAGTTTTGATGGCTTGCTGGGAACACAAGTGAAGTCAAGGGGGGTATTGTGGTTGGGAGCATTGATTTTGGGAGGAAAGTGGTGCTGGTATCATTTAGGGAGGGACAACAAGATGCTCCTGTGGACCACCACTGATTCTCTCACGCTGATGACATCTGGCAGTAGTGACAATGTGATGGGAGCCCAAAGAGGGGAGGGTCTTGTAGAAATTTCACGTGGTTGCATCAACTTCAGCTTTTGGTAACTGGTGGATAGCCAAGCAGCAGGAGTAGGGCAGAATACCATGAGTCCGTGAACCAGGCAGAGAGTTGAATGACATGAACTTGAGTCAGGGAGGAGAAAACTAGGGGCCGGGCACATCTTTGATTAGTGAGTAACCAACAAGGTGGACCCCCAGAGGGCTTAAGGCCCTTCGCTGGAGAACTAGATGGTTATCCCTGGGTCCTGTTATTGAGGCTAGCTTCTCTCAAGTTTCAACGCTAGTCAGACCACCATATCTAAATCATGGAAAGTGTACCACTGGTTATGTTAAGAGGTGATGTTTGAATATTTAGATGGAGATAATCAAAGTATTACAAAAATGACAAAGGATTCAATGCAGTAAACAAGTTAATTTACACACCAGAGTCAAAATTTCACAAATATTATTGCATAGAGTGAAGATAATTTTTTAAAATTTAAATTAATTTAACAAAATAAACATAGTACTTAAATGTGGCTTTTTTGGTTAGATTATTTTCTTATTCAAGATTTTTCCTTTCCTAGTTTATAAGTATTTTGTTGCTATTCTTTCACTCTCTGAAAATTGCAAAATGCATACTTAACTTTTCAAATACAAGTTTTTCCAAAAATTGTATACATCTCCTGAAAATGAGTGCCTTTGAAGATGGCAACTCCATTTCTGCTCCCTCTAATTCATGAGTTATTCTTGACTTGTTTTGTGGAATTAATTAGTTTCATCTTTTTCTTAATGGCAAAAACTACTTGTCATGATTTTTGCATGTTTCCTACCTTCTTGATCCTCATCTTTTTCTCTGATTTAATTACATCCTTTTCTGAGGATATGCTGCAGATAAACTCTCTTTTTTTGTTTGCCCAAGAATGTCTGCATTTCATCCTACTCTTAAAAAGTGGGTCCTAGAAATTCTAGATTGGCAATTATTTTTTATTAGCACTTTGGTGATCTGATTCTTCTGGCATCCGTCTTTCATCATTTCTGTTGAGTAGTTAGTGGTCAATGCCATTCTGCTGCCTTGAAAGTAAGCTGTTTTATTCACTACCTTGTGGATTTATGCATGTGTGTGGTTGTTCTTTGGTTTTACTATTGTTTTTGGTTCGTCCAACTCGCCATGACATGTTCAAGTGTAGTTTTATGTTTGTGTACCCTCTATAGATTTAGGAACTTCCCGTTGGCTTTCTTTTGATGTAGGGTATCAGTCATTATCTTAAAATATTACTTACAAAGGTTTTCTCTGTTCTATGTTCTTTCTCCTCTTTGTTTAGGAATCCAAGTAAAAATATGGTAAAATGTCTCACTGCCTCTGTTTTGCTGTGATGCATTCTGCATAATTTCTTCTGACTGATCTTTGGATTCACTAGTACCTACTTTAGCTACTACAAAATAGTGAACAGCCATTGCATTTAAAAATTTATTTTTTGCATCTTTCTATTTTAGAAATGTTCTTTGTTTCCTTTTTCACACATTCCAGTCATTTAAAAAATATTTATTTTATTTTAGATTCAAGGGGTCCATGTGAATGTTTGTTAAATGGGTATATTGCATACTGGTGGGGATTGGGCTTCTAGTTCACCCATTACCCAAATAATGAATATTGTACCTAATAGGTAGTTTTTCAACACTCACATCCTCTCCCCTTTGGGAAACCTCAGTGTCTATTATTTCCATCTTTATGTCCATGTGTACCAATTGTTTAGCTTCCACTTGTAGGTGAGAATATGCAGTATTTTATTTTCTGTTTCTGAGTTAATTCACTTAGAATAATGTTCTACACCTCCATCCATGTTGCTTCAAAGGACATGATTTCATTCTTTTTTATGGTGGTGTAGTATTACATGATGTGTATATATATCACATTTTCTTTATCCAATCAATTATTGATGGACCCATAGGTTAGACTTAGGTTGGTTCCGTGACTTTGCTATTGTCATGGTATTGTCCTATAATGATTTGTTTTCCTTTGGGTAGGTGTCCAGTTATGAATATTTCTGGGTCAAAGGGTAGTTCTGTTTTCAGTTCTTTGAGATATCTTCATACTGTTTTCCATAGAGCTTGAACTAATTTATATTCCCACCAATAGTGTATAAGCGTTCTCTCTTTGCTCTGCATCCAAGTCAACCTCTGTTTTTTTCTTTTTTCAACTTTTTAATAACAGCCATTCTGACTGATATAAGATGATATCTCATTGTGGTTTTAATGAGCATTTCTTTAATGATTAGTGATTCTGAGCATTTTTTCATGTGTTTGTTGGCTGCTTGCATTTTTTTTTTTTTTGAAAAATGTCTGTTCATGTCCTTTGCCCAGTTTTTAATGGGGTTGTTTCTTTTTCTCTTCTTGAATTCTTTGAGGTCCTTGTAGATTCTTGATATTAGTCCTTTGTCAGAGACATATTTTGCAATTCTGTTTTTTTTTTTTTCAAGCATGGCAAGAAAGATTTTATTCAGGACCAGAGCAATAGTTACAGGGACCACTGAAATGTTGTCTGACAGTGGGGAAGAGAGATTCTATGCTGGTCATTTTTAACAGCTTTCTTTTATTATTATTGTTATTATTATTATTATTATACTTTAAGTTCTAGGGTACATGTGCACAACGTGCAGATTTGTTACATATGTATACATGTGCCATGTTGTCGTGCTGCACCCATTAACTTGTCATTTACATTAGGTATATCTCCTAATGGTATCCCTCCCCCCTCCCCCTACCCAACGACAGCTCGTGGTGTGTGATGTTCCCCTTTCTGTGTCCAAGTGTTCTCATTGTTCAGTACCCACCTATGAGTAAGAACATGCCGTGTTTGGTTTTCTGTCCTTGCGATAGTTTGCTGAGAATGATGGTTTCCAGCTTCATCTATGTCCCTACAAAGGACATGAACTCATCCTTTTTTATGGCTGCATATTTGACAGCTTTCTTTTGCTGAGATTGTTTCAAGTGTGTTCTAGCTTTGGACGTTATGAGAAGAGTTGTTTTACAACATTTTTCTCTGATTATTTTTAAATCTAGGGTCTTTGTAGAACTGTTTCTTTCTCCACTATTTCTTCTAGTTCTCTGTAATGGTTATATGTATATATATATATGATACATATGTACTTATCTATCAGCTATATTCATCATATAGGTGATACATACATACGCTGTGAGTGCATTATTTTCCTTGGAATATTATTGTGGAGATTCTTTCAGGATGAGGAAGAACTGCACATTTGTTTCTATTAGGTATTGTGAACTGTTTTAAACTAAATTTATAGCTTGAGTTTTTGAGATTGTAATTTATGCAACAGCAGCATTTTCCCCATGCTTTGTTTAGCACCAACGAACACTTCCTTGCCGACACATGGAAGAAGGAGTGAGGTAGTGTGGGTTTACTTTTGGTTTATGCTTATTGTGAAATTATAGCTCTTTGGAGGTCTTGTTTCATAGGGGGAAAGTCTTCTATTATCACATGCATGTTGCTGGGGACTTGAGATTTTTTCCTTCTTCCATATCACTCCACAGAGACTGAAAAACTGAAGCTCAAATTCACTGCTTTCATGAATTCTCCAAGGGCCAAATGGAATTCAACATTTAGCTTTCTTTTCTGAGATCAAGACATCACTTAGATTTTGGTCTTGTAATTCCTTACCATCTTGTATGCTCTTTGTTGCTCCAAAATCTTCTTTTTCTTCTATCTTATGCAGAATTTCTAGTTGTTTTTATCAAGAATGTGGGTTTGAACAACTGAGCATATTATTTTATTGGAAAAGTGCAATTGCTTTTTACTACCGATTCCTAATTATCCAGAGGATCTAGAAAAAATGGATTTAACTCTTTGGCCAATTAAAACACAAATTCCAAAAATGGATTATCTGTTCTTATAAAGCTATAGTATATTAAAAGATATTTAATACATAAATAACAGTAAACAAAGTATCCTCTACTATGGTTTGAAAATTATTTAGAATCTTGCGATTGTCCTGGGTCTCTCTAGATGCTAATGATCACCAATGAGTTTGACAAATAGAGATGTTACAAGTGATTGGTTTAAATCTTTGATGCACCTTAAATGTATTTTAAAATGTGCCCCTAACTCTTTATTTTACCTGACTGTATTTCAGTGCATCAGTTTAAGGGTAGACATGAGATCATGGGTTTAAGTGAGGCTTCATCATACTAAGACAACGTGATCAGGTAAGTACTTGCCCCTCTACATGTCAGCATTCTCACCTGTAACATAGTACAAACAAGACTTTGTCTGAGTCCCTTGCAACATTTTGTGGAGCATCAAATACAATAAAGACCGTGGATATGCTTTGTAAACCTTGAGTTTCTACACATATGCAAATATAAGTACTGGTAAGATATAGAATGAACAAGGGAAATAGAATCCTATTTTTATGTTTCAATTTTATGGATTGCTGGAAAATTGAAGTGTATAGGAGTCTTCCTGTGTTGCTCACTAGAATGCCTTTGGCTGGGTTTACTGGTATTGCACGAAAACAGCTGTTAGCAAAGACAAGACTTAGGCACCCAACAAGACCTTTTATTTTCACATGACTGAGCCTCTGACTTCAATATGCGTTCCGTGTTTTTCCCAGAAGTTCTTTTGTGTTATGTACAATTACTCTGCTGAACAGATTGTATTTGTTTTTTTCTTTGTTTTTTTTTGTTTTTTTGTTTTGTTTTGTTTTGTTTTACTGTGAGACAGTGATGCCAATGCTTGTGTATTTAGGATGGGGGTCGCAGACTCTGTACTTCCAGGAGAAGCCCCCGGAAGGTCTTAGCTGGCTCCTGAGGGGGCACATTTGCTGTGCTCATTGCACTTTACCTGGTGTCATGAAGCATAAAGAGCACAAACGTGGACACCAAGAGTCTACATTAAAGTCCCACTCCTTTATGTTTGTAAATATGGGATATTGGGAAGTTGCTGCACCTTTTTTGCTCATTTTCTTCACTGAACAGCAGAAATAGAAAAATTTCTTCTTAATAGGGCTTAAGGGAGACTCAAATACAACACTGTATATGATGTTCTTTTGCAAATTGTAAAGCAAAGTACAAAGTTTCAAATATATTCATTATACGTATATATCTAGCTTTTTATTCCATTTGGTTCAAAAAATTTATGTGTTCCAAAAAATTATGGAGGTGATACATATCTAAGTAGAGGATTTGTCAGATATAAATATCATGATGTACTAACAAGGCTGGACAGCTTTTATTAACACATTGTCTGCAGCACAAAAAAACAATGCCTGGGCCTGAATAGGAACCATAAGAAAATATTTCTTAAATCAATGAAAGATTATTTAATAATTAAGAAAAACTGGCCAGGCGTGGTGGCTCATGCCTGTAGTCCCAGCACTTTGGGAGGCCGAGGCGGGCGGATCACGAGGTCAGCAGATTGAGACCATCCTGGCTAACACGGTGAAACCCCATCTCTACTAAAAATATAAATATTAAAAAAAAAAAACTAGTCAGGCGTGGTGGCGGGCGCCTGTAGTCCCAGCTACTCGGGACGCTCAGGCAGGAGAATGGCGTGAACCCGAGAGGCGGAGCTTGCAGTGAGCCGAGATCGCGCCACTGCACTCCAGCCTGGGCGATAGAGTGAGACTCCGTCGCAAAAAAAAAAAAAAAAGGCGAAGACAAGGGTGAGTTTAGAAGGTGAAATCTGTGCTGTATATACTGAGAAATTGCTTGGGATGACTCATTTGATTCTGAATATCTGCATTAGCCAGTGCAGGCTGGCGTAACTAAATGCCACAGACTGGATGGCATAAGCAGCAGAATTTCATTCTCTTACAGTTTTGGGGGCAGTGAAGTCCAAGATCATGAAGCTGGAAGGGTTTGGCGTCTGTTGGGGCCTCTTACCGGCTTGGGCTGCTTTTTCCTTATGTGACCTTTATACATGTGAGGTCGAGGGGAGAGACATCTGTCTCTTTCTTTCAGTATAAAGCCACCAGTCCTAGTAGACTGAGGTCCCACCCGTATGACCTAATTTGACCTTAAGTGCCTACTAAAGGCCCTGCCTGTCTTCAAAAACAGTCACATCAGGGATCAGAACTTTTATACATAAGATTTTTGCAGGGACACAATTCAATCCAAAGCAATATCTTATCAAGATAACGATATGTTTGGCTACGTCTCCACCCAAATCTCATCTTGAGCTGTAGTTCCCATAATCCCCACCTGACATGGGAGGGACCTGGTGGAAGGTGATTTTATCATGGGAGCAGTTACCTCCATGCTGTTCTCCTGATAGTAAGTGAGTTTTCATGAGATCTGATGGTTTTATAAGGGGCTTTTCCCTCCTTTTTCCCACCTCTCTTTGCTGCCGCCATGTGAAGAAGGACATATTTGCTTCCCCTTCTACCATGATTGTAAGTGTCCTGAGGCCTCCACAGCCATGCCGAACTGTGAGTCAATTCAACCTTTTTCCTTTATAAATGTCCCAGTCTTGGGTATGTCTTTATTAGCAGCTTGAGAAGAGACAAATACGGATAATATGATTGGTTAGACAATTTGAGAATCTTTATAATATTTTTCAAAAGAAACATAAATATTGTAATTTTTGTCAATAACTGTTTGGTGAGCAAGGAAGTTAATTTCTTTGAATGTGTTTTTGTACTTGTGAAATAGGGATTATAATTCGTGCATTGACTTAATGTTATTATAACAGTCAAAGAATGTATTGTGCACTAGTCCTTGCAAACCCAAGCAAAGCCCTTGGGTTACACATGTGAGCTGTCATCATTCAGTATTCCCCTTGCCATGGGAGGGGAAAGAAGCATGTATGATCTGCACTGCGATGCACACATGGGCCCCCTGGAGATGTGGAGCAGGTGATGGATCTTCAGTCTCCATTAGAACCTTATTATTGGACATTTAGAAAAAGGCAGAAAAAGTTAGCAGCTCCAGAACTGCTGGATCGTGATTGTGCTTCTGTTTTGTAAATATCTCCATTGACTTCAAGTTACTGCCCACTCGGACCTACGATTCCAATCCCCCTCCCCATTCACCTACAGAATAATGAGACTGTGATTTAAACTAGAAAGCCAGTAGCTTTTCTTCTTTATTTTCTTTGAGTGATAGCCACAAAGGGGAGAGTTTAAGAAATAAGTCGTTGCTTGCATAAAGACTGCAGAGAAAAACCTTCATTTGTTTATTTTTTTCCTTTCTTCTATTTTCTATTCTAAAGCTGCATGTGGTCTCCTCCTAAAAGGAGTTTACTGGTAGCATGTTAAACATGTCTAAGACATTTCTGAATATTTGAATATAAATTATTTACATAACTTGTTAATTTATTTGCTTATGTAAAAGATATGGTGGGTCAATTGGGTAAATAGCTAGCACACTGCAGACTACCTTGGCCTTTTTTTCTACCTGAATGCCTTGTGGCAATGAAAGAGTTGTGAAAAGGAGCAAAGAAGAAAAAGCAATTTATAGTCAAATTTTGAGAATTTTTAAAAGAGGAGGAAGAGGAAAACAATTTGACAGAGAGAGGAGGAAGGGAGGAAAGTAAGAAGAAAATAAAGGATCATATGTTAAAATCAGAAAGAAATATACAAAAACCTAAAGATGACATTGGAATCAATGAAAGCAAATATACTAGGGTCAGATTTTTGCCTCTCATCTCTAATCTAACACAGTCTATGTCAAATAGTTACAGCATCATAACTTCTGTCCCCTTTATTCAGAATTAGCAAAGTCTGAACTGACTTACCTGAACAGGAAGAACTAGTTGAGTAATTTCTTTTAGTAGCATGGTAGTGGAAAATTTTAGAATCATATAAACTTAGGTTGAAAATTCTGCTCCTTTACTCTCCCGCCCTGTGACTTCAGGTAAGCTTGTTGATCTTTCCAACTTCAGTTTCTTCTTCTGTAAAATAGAGATAGTAGGACCTGCCTTATATATTAAATATACATATAAACCATAGAGATGCCTCTGAAATTAGCATAAGCTCCTTTGGAAATTGAAAATGGCAATGTTTGGGATAACTTTCACCGTTTATGTGTTTGCTGAAGGTAAAAATATCAGTTAAAAATATCTTTCACTGAAACAAGAGGAAATTTACTCTTAAGTAGGAATACTTTACGCATCGAGCAGAGATAAAGAGAATTTACATGTGTCTCTAGGTTCCTTGGCTTCCAATAGTATCTTTATTTGTGCAAGTTTTGTGTTTTGTAAAAGCTAGAAGGTCAATAATCAAAATGGCATTTGATTGCTTATTCATTATTTGGTGGTGCAAACATGTAGAACATTTTCTGTTTCTATTTCTGGCAAACGGAAGGGATGGTAAAACTAGACGCAATATTGGATGAACATTAGCGGCCCAGGACTGGCCTCAGTCATTGAAACTTTGATTAAGAACTCTGGGTATGATGGATAATTTTTGTGTCAAATTCACTTAGACATGAGGTGCCCAGACTAAACATGGGTCCTGGTTATGGCTGTGAGGCTGTTTCTGTATGAGATTAGCGTTTGAATCAGCAGACTGAGTAAAGCAGGTGGCCCTCCACCATGTGAATGGGCATTATCCGATTCATTGAGACCCGAATAGAACAGAAAGCACAGGAAGGGTGACTTCACCCTCTGCCTAACTGCTTGAGCTGACACATCAGCCCCCTGTGCTGTTCTTGACTGGGTCTTATACCATCGATACTTTGGTTCTCTCAACTACATCACTGCCTTTCCTGGGTCTCCAGCTGCAGATGGCAGATTGTGAGACTTTCAGCCCCCATAATCACATGAGCCAATTTCTTATAATAAACTCCCTCTCTCTCCTTCTTTCCCTCTCTCTCTGTCTATATATATATATATACACACACACACACGTATTAAATATATATGTGTATATATATACACACACACACACACATGCGCGCACACGCACACACATACTCTTGATTCTGTTTCTATAAAGAACCCTGATTAATACAAAGGGCAATTTCAAGGATTTGATTATATATATAAAATATTAAATCACTTATACATATAACATTGTGTGTGTGTGTGTGTCTCCTTTTACTGAGTTACCTCCTGATTTTTATGACTTTAGGATGAGAACCAGGGCTATTTTTCTAATAACACAGATACCTTTCCTGAGAAAAATCATCCTAGCCATCCACAATGGCAAAGATCACATATGTGTATGCATGTTCATGTGGTCACATATGTGTGCATGCATGTATACATGTCTGCATGACCACATGTGTGTATGCATGTGTATTAGTCAGGGTTCTCTAGAGGGACAGAACTGATAGAATAGATGTACATATAAAAGGGGGTTTATTAAAGAGAATCAACTCACATGATTACAAGATAAATTCCCATGATAGGCCATCTGCACGTTGAGGAGCAAGGAAGCCAGTGGTGCATCAGTCTGAGTCCCAAAACCTCGAAAGTTGGGAAGTAAACAATGCAGTCTTCAGTCTGTGGCCAAAGGCCCGAGAGCCCCTGAAAAATCACTGGTGTAAGTCCAAGAGTCTAAAAGCTGAAGAATTTGGAGTCTGATGTTCGAGACCAGGATGCTTCCAGCACAGGAGAAAGATGAAAGCCAGAAGACTCAGCAAGTCTGTTCTTCCATCTTCTTCTGCCTGCTTTATTCTAGCTGTGCTGACAGCTGATTAGATGGTGCCCACCCAGATAGAAGGAGGGTCTGCCTCTCCCAATCCACTGACTTAAATGTTAATCTCCTTTGGCAACACCCTCACAGATATGCCCAGGAACAATACTTTGCATCCTTCAATCCAATCAGGTTGACACTCAACATCAGCTATCACAGCATATATGTATATATGTTTGTTTAAAAACACAGCAAGATATAGGAATAAGCTTTGTACACTAGGACTATTTGCAAAGTTATTGTGTGAATATAAATAACTAATATATATCTTAAAATTTTCTGTAGAGGTAGTTGTATACACAGGCTGTAAAAGTCAGCATTTTTCCTCATATTATTCCAGAACACATAAAAAAGCAACAAGGAAAATGGAGAAAAAAAGAACCAAATATATCCTTAGTGAAACTAGAAAAAGTTAGAATCCAAAGATTTCAAAACATATGTAGGGATGACTAAATCTAGTTGGAATCAGGCACAAGCCACATGGGAGTAAATGAAGTATGGAGGTAGTGAGGCCAATGGCTGATAATCTCAGAAAACACCAACAAAATGTACTCCCTGAAAATTTGGGAGTTCACTTCCATGTTCAAAACTTATACCCCTTTTTTTTAACCACAGGAGTGGGAACCAGGGTACACAGTCTACCAGAAAAAGTCCCCTCCTGGACCCAGTTTTGTTCAAGGGAGGAACAAGGGAGATTCAACCACACAGAGAATCACCAGAGGAGCCATACTTGCAGGAAGCAGTCTGTCTCTGTGACAGCCCAGTAGGAAAGAGCCATTCTGGTGTGAGGCCCAGAAGGTTGTCTTAATTCTCTCTCTGAACCTCTGTAGTTATCTAGGAAAACGCAAACCATTTAGTAGTATATTACAAAAATAAAAGGAAATGGAGACCCATTTATACAAAAATTATCTAAGCAAACATCTGAAAAGCAAAACTCAAGTATTACAGAGAAAATGAGAACTATGGAAGACCTACAAATGGATTGAACATATACATTACTGGAACATCCAAAGAAGAAACCAAAAGAGACAGAACGAATACTTCAAAATTATAATTCAAGAACACTTCCGTGCAATGCATGAAGACTTGAATCTACCTTTCAAAAGGGCACATCAGAAGCAAGGTATATCCATTCATGACAGGCAAAAAGTGAACCACATCTTAATGAAGGTATTGGACTTAAAAAAAATAAGGTATCTATTGGGCAGCCAGAAAAAAAGAATAAGTCACTCACAGGAGAAATGAAGAAGGCTGTCCTGGCTCCCCTAGCTGTACTGAAGCTGGATGGTCATGAGGGAAGACCAACAAGATTCTCAATGCCAACCAAGGATTTTTATGTGCAGCCAAGCTAGTCTTACTATGCAGACATGATATATTACAATTTGTTGCGGTTTTTATCAAGCAAGAATTCAGGAAAAAATATTTTCATTAATGTTTTTGAGAGAACAAAAACATGGGTATGTGGAGAAAAAGGGCAATACATTTGGTTACAGAAGGAAGGAAAACAATAACAACCAATTAAAGGAAGATGCTTTGGTAAAATACAGCCAAAAAAAAAAAGTTGTAAGTATTGAATGTATTTTACTGTAGACTGAAACCAAATGTGGATTGGGGTTACAGAATAGGCTGGAAATGTCATATGCCCCAATAACATAGAAATAATAAACTTTACCATGTCAAAGGTGAAGAAAGATAGTGAAGGTAAGGAAGCCTCATTAATTACCTCACTTGTTATGACTACGATGCGAAGGATAAATTTTAAAGGTGGCAAATACAGCAAAATAAAAGCCTACTTAGCAGTGCAATGGTAGAGTAAGGAGGATAACATTTACTATCCTCCTTACTTACAAAGGGCACCTGCCACTGTATGGTGGTGGGCTGGTATCAACTCAGTCATACCACTACCTGGAACCTAGGTTGTAATGTTAGTTCCACCAGTACTCTTCAGATCAGACAGCATGATAAAGGGAAGGAAGGCATTAATCAGCACAAGTAAACAATAGCTGATATAGGTTCTGCCTCTGCTGTTGGTCTATGTTCTATGTTGATAGTCAGCTCCTCTTTTTCATTTTTTCAAATCACCTATCAATGCTCCCTTTACCTTCTACCAACACCTTTCCCTATCAGAAATTTTAAACTAGTAGTATGACCAAAATTTTCATTCCAATAGACTGCAAATCCTTTACAGCTACAGTTTCCCACTAACCATTATCTTTGGACACTAGTGAATTAAGGAGCTCCAGTAAATTGCCCATGTTCTAGATGTAATCTTCTTTGCTCCCATTGTATACAAACACTCCAACATCCTTTCGGCACTGTAAAATGCCAGTTCAAAATAGGAATTCTCTATCTCATAACATGAAAAGCCCAACATGATTATAGAACAGTCTCAGGTTCTCATTGAACGAAACCAGGACTATGTTTCTTGATGCAAAATTCTTCCCTTGGCCCTAGGACTTCACAACACACTGAGTATAAGGAATTAAGAATGAAAAATACAGATCCCATCAGTGTAAGACTGAGGGAGGTCATACCCAATTTCACCCTTTTGTTTTCTGACCGTGTGTTCTAGTATTCTGGCTTTGTGGAAAAGGTGGAGTGAACTTACAATTCAGTTATCTAAGTCAGGTCACTTTTGACGGTGAAAGGGGTTGTTGTTAATAATTATGTTAGAAATTATTATTATTATGTCCTGGGAAAACTGGAGCACATGGTCACACAAGAGACAGAGTCATACATTGGTCATTGCTCCACAGTCATTCTGCATGCTGGAGAGGAGTGCTCCAGGCCTGCAGCACGCCATCTCTCAGCTCGCACTGTGTGAGAACCTCCAGGAAGCCACCTCCCCTTCTGTAAAGCCACTGGGTATCTGCAAGACAGGCTACCAGCAGCAAAGGTGGGCAAAGAGGGCACTGGTCAATGCCCAAACTGTGGGATGTCTTAATCTGTTTGTTCTGCATTAATAGAACATGGACATGGAGGCTATGTAGTCTATTGAGAAAAACATATTTCTCACAGTTGTGGGTCCAAGATCAAGGTGCCAGCAGATCTGGGGGCTGGAGAGGGTTGCTTTCTGCTTCCAAGATGGCGACTCTTGCTGTGTCCTCACATTGCAGAAGGAATATAAAAGCAAACAGGATCTAGCTAGTCCCCTAGAGTGCTGTTATAAGGGTATATGATCACCTCCTCAAGGCCTCACATCTTAATCCTGTCACACTGAGGATGAAGTTTCAACATGAATTTTGGAGGGACACAAATATTGAAACCATAGCAGGAGGCAGGGAGTGTTTTCATGGAGAGAATACTGTTGCCATCACTGCAGTTCCCACTGCAGAAAAGGAGTGGGAGAAAATTACCCCCAACTCTCTGTCTTCTGAGCATCCCATCACCTTACATTGATCTCCGTCAGCCAAATCCACATGGAAGTTCAAGCCCAGGAAAGCCAGAGTCATGCTATTTATAGAGATATTGGCAGTTTTGGGGTGCATAAAGAGGGGTAGAGAATAAAGAGGGGTTGAAAGACAAGTGAAGATAAGCCATCACTGATATCTGTCAGATACTGTGCAGCAGGGGTTTTGGGGGAACTGGCTGGTTTTCGTCAATGCTGTCTGTGAACACAGCCTTGGGAATGGAGAGACAGGGCTTGCTGGCTGGATTACAAGTGGGGAGCATCAGGGCAGGTTATTTGCTCCATGTGTAGCTGGCAGACTACCATGTGGTTTTAGAATTTGGAAACTTTAGTAACTTTGCAAAAACTGCGACACAAAATTCGAAAACTATCCTCCATCATATTTTAAAATTAAAGAACACTATCATTTTAAACGTGTTCTAGGAACACATCTCCTTCCTCATGGTACTGGCCTTTTCTATAAATATCTCAAGCTCCGTTAAGCTTTTCTTAATAAAAGTATGGATGCACAAAAGAGGAATATTTTCTGCTTGTTCCAATATCTCTTGAGGTTATTAACATGTTTGACTTCTTAGTCATGATAAAATGGCTTTCAGTTATGACCCCTCCTCTCCTTTTTTTTTTTTTTTGAACTTTCCCAAGACCACCATCCAAACTCAAGCCTTCATTGCAACTGATCAAATCCAGTGCAAAAGCTTTATGGTCTTATACGTAGCATCTGCCTTCAATCTGCTTGCTTCAGTGCCTTTTCCACATTGCTACCCAAGTATCTTCCTAAAACATCACATTAAGTTGGGTGATTTTTCTGCTCAAAAAGCGATCATGGATCCTCTTTGCATATATAATAGAACACAGTTCTTAGCCTAGCATTAAACATGTTCCGTAATCTGAGCCTAGTATGTTTTTTCTGGCTCTACTTCATTCTTAAGCTATCTATGCAATACAGATACGAATTTGAACATGCCCAACCTCTCTTGCCTCAGTTATTTCATTTGTCCAATTCCTTTCATCTAGCATGCAGTCACCAGGATTTGCCTGTGCTGTAAACCCCACTGTAGATCAAGGCTCCATTCAGATTCACCCTCCTCCATCAAGCCTACTCTTGACGGTTACATTTAATCCTTCCTGATAGATTAAGTCCTTATCTTCATGGTGGACCTTCTGTTCTGGGTGCTATTATTCACCTTGTGGTTTCTGGGCTGTCTTGGCCAAGTCTTCCCCCATAATGTTAGCCATCTCCCAGACTTAAAGTTTACAAAGCGTACATTGTCCTTTTTTTTTTTTTTTTTTTTTTTTGTTGTTTTTTTGGTTTCTTTTTTTGAGATGAAGTGACGCTCTGTCGCCAGGCTGGAGTGCAGTGGCGTGATCTTGGCTCACTGCAACCTCCACCTCCCAGGTTCAAGTGAGTCTCCTGCCTCAGCCTCCCAAGTAGCTGGGACTATAGGCACCCGCCACCACACCCAGCTAATTTTTGTACTTTCAGTAGAGACAGGGTTTCACCATGTTGGCCAGAATGGTCACAATCTCTTGGCCTCACGATCTACCTGCCTCGGCCTCCCAAAGTGCTGGGATTAGAGGCGTGAGCCACCATGCCCAGCCAAAGCATACATTTTCTCATTTATCTTTACTTGTGATGTGCTACAGTCATAGATATTAACATGTTTCCAATTTAGCAAAACTAGGAAACTGAAGCCCGTAGATTTTAGTCACAAAGCTAAGTAGTATACACCTCGGAAAGGAATTAATTCCCAGATACAAGGATGTATCCTGCACCACCACTGTCTCTGTTCTACAGCTGCCAAAGTGTAGAAGTAAAGTGGGTGCACATGCTTCATTCTTCAGCAGTCCACCAAGGATCCCCTGAATCCTTCTGCTCACATAGGTGATGGTAGTCAAGAGACCTGAAATGGGTCTTTCTGGAAAAGCAACTGATGAATTTAACTTTCTACATAGTTAGAAAACAAAAATCAACTCACTTGACAAGTACCTGGAAGAATTTGTGTATGATTTAGCATCTTTGTGCTTTATGGACAAAATGAATACTACAGAAAAGCATTTATAAATGATAAATCTATCAATCCAAATAAAATACCATCTACTTTGTGATGTATTTCTTTTTCTTTTTTTTATCTGAGATGGAGTCTTGCTCTGTTGCCCAGGCTGGAGTGCAGAGGCATGATCTCAATTCACTGCAAGCTCCGCCTCCTGGGTTCATGCCATTCTCCTGCCTCAGCCTCCAGAGTAGCTGGGGCTACAGGTGCCCACCACCATGCCTAGCTAATTTTTTGTATTTTTTAGTAGAGACTGGGTTTCACCATGTTAGCCAGGAAGGTCTCCATCTCCTGACCTCATGATCTGCCCGCCTCGGCCTTCCAAAGTGCTGGGATTACAGGTGTGAGCCACTATGCCCGGCCTTTTTGATGTATTTCATAAATAACTAGAGTGGCATTACTTTAATCAGTTAAAAGCTTGTTATATGCAAAAATTTTAAAAGTTTGCTGCATGTAAAGAGCAGGCTTTCTAAGTTTGTGACCGATCACAAGGATCCAAACTATTTTATATTTGTTTCAGATAACTGTAAATACATAGAAATTCATGTTAAAATAAGTAACACACCATATTTTTGCATGTTTTATTTATTAAGCTTGTTATTATACGTTTTCATATATTTTTTCTTCTGTTTTGATCAAAATGATGGGAAAATAAGCTTGCATATTATAAGGAACACATTTCCCCCAATAGTAAGTGGCTTTTGTCTTTTGCTCTTTGATAAGATCTTTCAGAGAGACTTTTAATTTTCATCATTAAGTTTAATTAAATTTTGTAAAGTGGCTGGTTCAATAACACATGGCTTTGAGCATGAGTAATCAAATCGTACGTGTTTCCTGAATACTATCATCAACTTCAAATCTTGAGTTAGAATATGCACTTAGAGTGAGTTGACATTGATGACAATGGATATAACCTATGTTTCAAAATGCTTTCCTGATGATAATGTAGAATTTTTTGGCTGACTCCTTGCCATTGTTTTCAACTTTGCTACGTGGTTGACAAGAGTATATACAACTAATTGAAGAAATGTAGCTCTGATATTTTATTGTTCTTGAATTATCATATTATCTAAATTTGGTATTTCTTTGTAGGAAATTTTTTAACCCACTTAACCTTTTGTGAAGTTAGTTTAGTCAAAAGTAGACAATTTAATCCTTGAATTCACTTGCCATGGTTAAGATGGCTGTGCCATTTAACAATAGCTGCAAGAGATCCTGTGAGTGGGGCTGTGGGAACTCCTCTGCCCTCTGCAGGGCCCACATTTCTCAGGAAACCAGTGACTTCACTTGCTATGCAAATCTCTGACATGCAGCCTGAGTGGGGAGTCCAGAATCAGTCTACATGTTCAATATTAGTAACACTTAGATATTTGCCAACTTTTTAAGATAATAGAAATAGATACAGAAATTCTCACAATTTATTTCCAGAACCAAATTGACTATTTTTTAAAGCCAATTTTGAATACTTTTCATCTTGTAGATCAGATAAGTCCATATTGCTTCTTGGTCCATACTGAGGGTTTGATTCTCTTGGATTCCTGAGGAAAATAGGCTCCCTGGCCCAGTAACTGCTGATGACCTCAAACTCTTTCCATCGTTGGAGTGCGGTCAACATCAGCAGTTGATGAAACTGAAAGTCAACATTTCACTTTAGCTTGTCCTGGAACTAAACTGAGAAGACGTCTTTGGAACTGGTCACACAGAGAGAAGTATCCCGGTGTGAGGTCAGATGCATGCACATTTCTCAGTGATGTGACTACACACTGTGAACTCTGAGACTGACGCTTTCTCCATAGTGAGGAAAAAGACCTTGTTGAAAAATGCCAGAGTACTATCTTGGAACCCCAGAGTATTCGCATGACTCAAATATCAAGGGCTGTTTTTTTTTTCTCCCCAAAATGGCTTAGAAAACAAAATGTATGGATCTGATTGTCTCGTATACAAAGGCATGTTAGAGTTTGTAACCTGTGTAAATGCTGTAATTAAACCCTTGTTTTTACATGGATTCATTATGTTAAATTCTTCAGTAATTACTGACATTTTCTTTAATGTGTACATGTGGCGAACATAAGAATATGATTAGATTGAGTTAAAAGTGTAAGCAGTAATGAGCATATTATGGGTCTCCCTTTGCCTTTGGTCACTCTAAGCTTCTTGACAATAAAGCTTGACTTTTTATAGATTTGCTGCACTATGCAATTTTCTGTAAGCAAATAAATGCATGTAAAGTAAAAATGACAACATTCATATACATATGTTGAATGGTACAGCTTCTCTTTACATTAGCTCCCCGAGTTACAACCTCTCCCCTTGTGTAGGTACAAGTCAGTGATTAAAGTGCAGAACAACTTCCCCAATACAGGAATCCAGCTTCGGAAAATATCTGTGCTGGAAAACTTGCAATGGAGGAATGGAAGACTTGAGAAAGGGAGGGCTGGGAAACAAGAGCTGTGACTCACCCTGAAGACATTCGTAAATATCTATTTTAATATCTATTACAATACAGCAATAAAGGCAAACTAAAAAAGGCTATACAAGGCATTTTGCACATCTTCATGTACTGGGTTCTCTGAAGCCCATTTCCTGTTAATATCTTTTGCTGGAAGAATCTTCTCAGGATCTCCCCTTCTGTCTGTTCCAACCAGACTCCCGTACATTCATTTTCGTTCCTCGTGGGTAATACACCCACTGAGAGACATGTTCCTTTGCTTTTTTTTTTTCTTCTTAGGGGGTTTCTCCACAAGATTCCTGGTTGAGTTGATGGAGTGAAGGTCTGTCTGTCCCCCAATTTTTTTTTTTTTTTTTTGGAGACAGAGTCTCACTCTATCCCGCAGGCTGGAGTGCAGTGGCGCTATCTCAGCTTACTGCAACTTCCGGCTCTTGGGTTCAAGCAATTCTCATACCTCAGCCTCCCGAGTAGCTGGGATTACAGACATGCACCACCATGCCTGGCTAATTTTTGTATTTTTAGTAGAGACATGGTTTCACCATGTTGGCCAGGCTGGTCTCGAACTCCTGACCTCAGGTGATCCGCCTGCCTTGGGCTCCCAAAGTGCTGGGATTACAGGCGTGAGCCACTGTGCCTGGCCTGTCTGCCACCTTTGATGGACAGTGTGACTACAGGGACAGAGGAAGATTCCCCAAAGGCCTGCACTCACCCCCTCTAATGCATGTCCAGACATCGTCTGGCTCTCAGCACTCCCCTCCATTGCCCAAAGCCCTTTTGCAGGACCTCTTCCTGTTCTGTCTGCTTTGTGCTTTGTTTTGTTGCATTTTATTTCCTTTTCTTTCCTGTTTCTAACCCAGTCATCTCTTTTTCTAATTATTCCCAACCTATATAACTCACATACACTGGAGGAAATATCTTCATGGAATTAAAACCACATGGAGTAACATTTCACGTAAGCAGAATTCAGGAAGGATTTCAGTAATTCCATCCCAAACACACACAGGCAAAGGGAGTGAAGATTTCTTCAGCAACATGGTGGCAGAAAGATCATGAAAAGATCTAGGCCAGGCAAGTATGCAAACAAGACTGACTCTTCCTTTCCACTGGAGCTTTGGGTAATTGCTCTGATAATTCTATGATTTGCTGAAGCCACAGAAAATCAGTTTTAAAACAGGATTTCTACCCCTGGCTCACTACATGACAAATAATTTTATCCTGTAATCTTCTGATGTTAAACAAAGATGGCCCTCAATGTAATTGTTACAGTGCCTCCTCCCCACTTCTGTTAGCTGTTGCTTCTCTGCCTCCCACGAGTTTAGTGTAATCCCAGAACTTTGGGAGACCAAGGAGGGCAGATCACTTGAGGTCAGGAGTCAGAGACCAGCCTGGCCAACACGGCGAAACCCCATCTCTACTGAAAATACAAAAATTAGCCAGGCATGGTGGCTTGCGTCTATAATCCCAGCTACTTGAGAGGCTGAGACACAAGAATCACTTGAATCCGGGAGGCAGAGGTTGCAGTGAGCTGAGATGGTGCCACTACACTCCAGCCTTGGAGACAGAGCGAGACCCTGTCTCAAAACAACAAAAAACAAAAACCGAACAAACAAAAACTGTAATTGCTGAAACGCTCTTTTTCATCAATCATATATATTGAACCAGGGTCACAAAAACATGGGAAAAGTGTAATTTCTGCCTCTGAGGAACTCACAGTCTAGTGGGAGACAGCATTTATTCATCCATTCTTTCATGAAATACACATTGAGAATGTAACACACCCTGGGCAAAGGAGAGGTCATTTGACTATGACACAAGACAATAGTCATAGTCTTTGCCCTCATGGAATTCACAGCCTAGCCATGGAGATTAAAAATAAAAAGATCTAATAGAATAAAGAGTAGTAGATTTAAAAACACTGGAAACCCATTGTGCAGTAAAACTAAAAAAGAGGGCTACCTAACCTAGTGTGAGAGGTGAGGTAGAGGTTAGGGTGAGAAAGGATGGTATAGGAAGGCTTTCTGGAAAATTTCAAGATAAATCTTGAGGATAAGTCAGAATTCTACAGGTGAAAAGTAGAATAGTGCCTGCTACCTTGCAATTGTTCAGCAAACATCTGCAATGATTACTAACTGTCTGTCAGTTTTTGGCTCTGCTTCAATCCTCACAGTCCAAGCTCACTGCAGTTAAATCTTCAGTCTCCAGCACTGCACTTGGGAAAGCGTCAAGGAGTTGAATGTATATGTAATTGGAGTGCCAGAAGAAGAGAACCGAGAGAGAGGGGCAGAACAGCTCATGAGGGGAAAACCCACTACATACAATCAAGAATACTGCAGACTCCTCATCGGAATCTATGTAAGTAAGAAAAAAATGGCCAGGAACTATAGAGCTGTTCTTTAAAGTACTTAAAAACATTTTTGCCAACCTAGAAGTCTTTAACCAGCAAAAATGTCTTCCAAAAAGAAAAAGACTTTTCAGAACAAATACTGAGCTGATTCATTATTAGCACATTTGCACTACATAAGTGTTAAAGAAAATTTCTTTAGTAAAAGAAATATAATACCAGAAGGAAAATTTGATCTATAAAAAAAGAAATTAAGAGTCCCAGAAATATATAAAAATTATGTAAAAATTTTTTGTTTTTTCTCCTTAAAAGATAATTGATTATTTAAAGCAAAAACAATAAAGTGTTATAGGATTTGTGGCACATGTTAAATGTATGCATTTGAAGTAAAATGTATGATAACGGTAGTGCAAAGACAGAAGAGAAAAACTGACTTCTCCTGCTGTACATTCTTTATACTCTACATAGAGCTGTGATAAGTTAAAGATGTGTATTGTAAACTCTAGATGAAATAAAAATTTAAAAAATAAAAATAAAATTAAGAAGCAAGATGGAACAAGTAGAAAACAAATGGAAAGATGGTGGATTTGATTTTAGTTTTATCAATAATTATATAAATTCAAATAATCTAAACCCCCAGAATTTTTAAAAATGGGAGATAAAAAAACAATAAATATTATGTATTATTTGTTATCATCATTATTTTATAAAGGGACAGGGCATAGATTTGGACAGAAATGGTAAGTTTTACAATAAGAAATGTTACCAGAATTGCATAACATTTCATGATGTTAGAAGGGTCAATTCAACAAGAAGACACAACAATACCAAATATTGCCCAACAATAGATCTTTAAAATATACAAAGAAGAAATATACAACAGAAAAAAGAAATGGATATATCCCGTTATTGTTGGAGATTGTAGATTCTAACCCATTTTTTTCAGTAACTAATAGAATGAGATAAGAAACCAGCAAAAGGATAGAAGAAAAACAATACTCTTAATCAGATTTACCTGATTGACTTTTCTAAAACAGTCCACTAAACAGCAATATAAAAGACATTGTTAGCAACTGCACATTTAAAACATTCACTAAAATTGATGATAATCTGGGCTATATAAACATGTCTCAGTACATTAAAAAGAATAGAAATCATACACAGTATGATCTCTAAGCACAACTAAATGAAACTAGAAATAAATAATTTCCAAATGTTCTGAAATGAAACAACACACTTCTAAAAATTCCTGAGTCAAGGAGGAAGTCACAGATGAACTTAGAAAGTATTTCAAAGAGAACAAAGATGAAAACAAAAACAGAATATATCACAATTTGTAGGATGCACTTAAAGTAGCCATTTGGGGAAATGTGATAGTATTACATGCTTATATTACAATGGGAAAAATTCTGAAATTTGTAAATTTCAAATCATTCATGATATGTCAAGTCTTCTCAACTTGTTTTTCTTAAGGACTGTTTTGGCCTTTATTGTGTAGTTTATAAGTTCCACAAAATGTATTGGGAATTTATTGGAATTTTGTCAAACGTATATAATTTTGTCAAACTCAAGCATAATATAAATATGTTTGAGAATTAACATTATTATAAAAGTGAGACATTTAACCTATGAACATAGTACATATCACCCCTCATTTTGATGTTATTATTGTACAAAAGTTTTATATTATTGTATATAAAGACTTCGTACACTATTTTTAAATTTATTCTTAAATTTTACACTTTTCATGAAATATGAAGTTAATCTTATAAATTATTATTTTTAACATTATTGCTGGTGTAAAGAAATACAATTCCTTTGGACAATGAATTTTGTATCTAGTAAACTCATTGAATTTGTTTATTAATTTAATTCATGTACAAATTTTTGGATTTTCTATTTAAATAATCATATTGAATGAAACTACTGCATTTTAATAGTTTCTCATTATTACATTTACATATTTACTCATCTTATTCCTAAACTCAAAGATAATATAGTTCACTCTTTAGTATAAGTACATTATAGATTTAGTGTAGTACAGGTACATTATGAAGTGTAATGTTTACTAAAGCTTTTCTGTAAAATCTTTCTCAGGCTAAGAACATTTTTTGTTTTTACTAGAATATAATAGTAACAAAACATATTCTAGAAAAGCGTAAAATTTACCAAATATTTAGATTTTTAATTTAAGCATCATGGAGAGAAATGACGCTCTCATGGTTGAAATGCAGAGGCTGGAGGCACAGATGTTCTTAGAGCTGCTATATTGTTTGAATCAACAGTGACGTATATAAGCAAAATTCCACAAAACCACAGATTTAACTGCCATTATTATTCAGAAGTATCTGGTGTTACTTCTGGTGTAACAAATGGACTATTGTTAGGATAAAGAATATCCATATGAAAAAGTGCTTTACATAAAGTAGAAACTTAAATAGTAACATAATCTGGGTACAATCCAACAATAATAATTAGAGCTTTGCTTTCCTGGAATACTATGTGCTAACCCTATTCTAAGGGATTTAGATAGAGATTTCACTGATTTCAAGAGAAACGTTTGTCTACTTGTTCAAATTTTAGTATCTGAAACTGCAATGTATCTTACATTAGATAAGCATAACTTAATTTCAGCATTATTTAATATTAGTGCATTAAAAAGTGTATGTCATTACCAATGGCATTTTAGATTTAGTGACATTTTGTATAATTTCATGAAACACTAGACACTATGGAATCAACTATAGTGTAAGGTCTACAAAAGCAGGAAATTCTATTTTAGTTACTCTTATAGGAGTCACTTGATAAATATATGTTGAATGAGTTGTCCAATGAAATAAATAAAGGCACAGCATTCTAGCATCATTCGGGGGGCAGTAGTTCATCCTGTGGCCTCATAACACTTGAGCAATGATGTGGACATCACTTGGAAATGCTCAATTTAATCAGGTATGTTCATAATGAGGGCTTCTCATTTTTCTGTGAAAATACTAAAATATACTGTCTTTAGGGAGGAAGCAAACAATGTAATAAAATATAGAAAAATAGTTAAGCATGATTCAAATTAAAAGCCCTGGAATTTATAAAAATAAGCTTCATTTGTTAGGGAAAAAATTACATTGTGTAACACTCTATTCCCCATGATTCCTAGTAAATAAGACAATAAACCCTTTAAGAAGAACTTTGTCAGAAACAAAGGATCACTATTTCCCGAAGAGCTGCAAAATACCATAGGCCAGAATTAATACAGGTGATAACTGAGGTCTTAAAAGCCATTTAGACAAGTTGAGTTGACAATGATCTAAGAAGGGCCAGGCCACTCTCCTGTGCCCCCTCCCTAAGCAGCTGCGCATTGCTTTGCTTTGACAACCTCCTTCCCATGCACCCCATCCCACACCCACAGCCCTGCTTGGAACTCTCCTAAGTTCCAGACTCACGTACTCAGCTGCCTCCTAGAGCCCTCTACCTGGAGACGTCCAGAACACTTTGAGTTCAGTATGCTCACAAGTGAAGTCATAAAGAGCCAAGAGTGCAGGATTGGGGTCAGGCAGCCCCACTTCTTAGTTATGCGTAGACTTCTTAGTTTACTTGACCCTCTTCATTTTCAGATTTCATTTCTGTAAAATAGCAATGGGCTTTGTAGAATTGCTTTTAGAGTATTGTAAGATAACTTAGGTAATACCTCTAACAAAGAGTCAAACAGATATTGGACATATAACCAATGTCTGGTACCGGCTTTCCCCTCCTTTCACAAGCTTAATGGCAATGCAGTTAAGTCAAGGACCTGGATCAGAATTACGGCATGAGGAACACACTCCATGTTTGTGCACACCCATTCCTGGATGACTTTTCAAGGGTCTTCTCTTTTCTTCCACCTGACAACAAGTTCTCCAACTTCCCTACTTGGAAGTGGCTGCCTGCCATGAGATAATCCCCTTTCTAATTTGTCCTCCCATGAACAATGCACCCAAGGAGTCCTTCCTCTTACTCCATGTCTCCTTGAGCCTGCAGAATGGAGCTCAAGTTTGCTAGAGCAGCCACGGTTCCCGCACCACCTCCCCTTCTGCCTTGCGGGCTGCCAAGCCTGCGTCCACCGTGCGCATGAACTCCAGCATCAGGAAGTTTCCTGCGTGTGCCCCGTGCTCCTATCTGGGCTCACGTGAACGTGCTCTTCTCTCTTTCTGAAATGCCCCTTTCCTTCGAGCGATTGTGGAAATCCTCCTCATCTTTTACAACTAGTCTCAGATGCACCCTCCTTCCCGAAGCCTCCTCCGAATGGCCTGTCTACACATGGCCCAAACTTGGTTTCAGATCATTAAAATAGAAGGACAAAAATGAATGGTGTGCAGGGAACACACAGACAGCCTGTGGCATGGTTGGAAGCTGTGGTCTGATCTATGGCGAGTCCTGAGACCACGACTGTTCTTTGATTTTTGCTGCAGCCCTGAGAACCCTGTGGGTCTGCTCAGGCATCTTGCTGCTCTTGCGATCGAGCCCTTTGTTTCTCTGCCTATCTTGTTTCCTGCTTTTCACTTTCTTGTTCTCACCTGGCTGATTTGTAAATAATAAAGTAACCGAAGTTAGACAATTCCAGCTACTTAAGATAACTGTGTTTCCAGGGAATCTGTTTCATGTGTAGAGAGGAAAAAATAAGTAGTCACAATCCTGGATTTTCTATGTGAATCAGTTTGCTTAGAGAGCAGCAGCTGTTAAAATATACATGTGATATTTGAGTTCAAACGGGAGCAGAAATTATACTTAGTGTGGGCCAAAGAAAGGCATTTCAACGACAGGGCTCTTTCATCTGGAGTGGCGTGCCTAATTCTGATTTAGAGAAAAGCAGGTCTGATCTTGTGCGGTGGAAAAGGAGGCCTGGGGCTGGGCATCAGAAAATCAGCTTTCAGACACTTCCTCCAGGTTGTAGCTGAGAAACTTGAGGCTCTTTAGTGAGATGAAAAAATAGTAGGCGTCTCATCCAGCACAGAACCATATTGTCACAGTGTACACACAGATGGCTGAAGGCAGAAAACACCACACCAGTTCAGTTCCCCCCAGTGAAACCTATCTTGCCTTGGTGGAAAGAAGTCACCAAATCTGAAGGTTTATCATGAACAGGCAAAAGAGTTTCACTTGTTTTCATGACTCAAAACATTTGGCTTAAACTGCATATCTCTCCATTTTAAATGTAAATTATAATAGGGAAACAGGAGGGAAATATGCAAGATTCTGGAAAACCTGAAGTTTCCATGTTTATCTTTTCTTTAGTTCCTTGCTCTTTAGAGTCAACCAACCCATTCCCTAGATATAGTTATAAAAAATGGCTGGGGTAAGAAAAACAAGTTCGGTGATATTTTTAAAACTGTATGCACAGTCACTTGGAGACCCTTGAATGATGTTAGGAGACTGAGCTTCCCATACTCACTGGGACACACACAGTTGCTCTTGTTTGTAAGAGAGGACGCTTCTGAAGTGTCATTTCCTCTGTTGCTAGTATCGGCCTGCCTTCCCCTTGACCCCTGCCTTGTGGCCACCACTGTATCACATGTCCACACCCTTCCTTGGCTGGGGCCCTGGAAGCCAGGGCATACTGAGTGGGACAGCTGGCAGGGGCTCGGGCTGGTGCGGTCACTGACAAAGAATCCTCCTCCGGCCTGTCAGTGGCAACTCTGCAGCTGTTGGCCCACATACCTGGCATACCTCCATCTCCAGGCAACTGCTGGGTGTGGGCAGGGATCCCAGCAGCACCCACTGGCGTCGGCTGCCTCCCACAATGCCAGCCCCCAGGTAGCCAAGAGGAGTCATCCAGGTGTCAGGGAGAGAAGCTGAGAGAAGCAGCGAGGGCGGTGGTTGTGGGAGAGAGGAGGAAGTTGGGAGGGTCACCCACACACTTACGGAAAGCTTGGTGCAAAGAGAAAGAGACCGCCTTTCAAAAACAGCCCTGCTCTACCATCCTGAACCTAGTCCCGATCATGCCTTGAAAAAATAGATTCCCAAGTGGGTCTTGCCTAAATAATGTAAGTGGACGTGGGAAAAGCACGGACTTGTCAGAGTTTCAGAAGGTTCCTTGCTGCTGGTGACTTTGGAAAACTCCCTTAACCAGCGTGAGCCTCCATGTCCTCCTCCAGAGCAGGGGACTGTGTACCTTCCCCCAGGGAGGCCTGGAAGGATTTTGTTGGGTTTTCCTGATAAACTCACTCAGTGGATGAAAGGGGGGATGTTTGTAAAGTTGTCATATTTATGTTGAATGTAAGATCACTGAACTCTCACTGATATGCAGAAATCAACCTTAACGAGCGCTATCTGCAACACAAGAGATTTGTTTTCATGAGTACACACCTAGACGATGAACCTGTGCACACGACTTCACACTCTAAAAATGTCTCTTTTTTATCTTGCAGTTCTTTAAATACTAACAAGAATGGTTTTTAAAAGTGTTTTCAAATGTGAAAAAATACATATGACATAAAATTGATCATTAACCACTTAAGATGTGCGCAGGTCAGTGGCATCATGCACGTTGACAGTGCTGTGAAGCCATGACCACCATCCAGCCACAGAACCCTTTCATCTTGCAAAATTCAAACCCTGCACCCACTGAACAACAACCCCATTTCTCCTTCCCTCCAGCCCCTGGCAAGCACCATTCTATTTTCTCTTGCTATACATTTGACTATTCCAGGTACTTTATATTACTTTTAATGGCAAAAACCACAATAACTTCGCACCAACCTAAAATGAGTTGAATCATGTAGTATTTATTTGTTTGTTTGTTTGTTTATTTTTTTGACTGGCTCACTTCGCTTAGCATAATGTCCATTGTTTATTATCAGCAATTACATTTTAAAATTTCTAATCTTAGAAAAAGAGGCATACTGTTGTCAATGAGAGGTCAGCAGTTTCAGAATATATGAATAGATGACAGACACAATAGACTTAAAAATTATTACCATTCGTTGTGCCAAGAAAACTTGCAAAAGTGTTCTTTCTCTGATGTAAGCATGCCAAAGGTCTGAATGTGTACACATGTGTGTTACTTCCCCCACTCCTCTTTTCTTTCATTTTTATCTTTACTTTTTTCTAGGTAAGGACCGATTTTATTGTGGGGTGAAAAGTAACATAGAACTGTACATTTTAAAGTGACTTGTATTCTCTATGTTAAGCTCAGTAAGTTGCCTCTGCTGCAGGTTGTAGGTATCTGTGTTTAGCCCTGCATTCTATCTGCCCATTTCCCCTGTCTTTAGCACAGCTTGCCTCTCCCCATCCCCACAACCCTGCCTAATTCTACTTGCTTTCTTTGACTCACTCATGAAGATTAAGTAGGTACTAAGTAAAATACAAGTATTTTACTTATATCTAAATCTCATGCCTTTTTAACAATATCAATATTACTTTTCTCACTTCAGAGATAAGGAAACTGAGGCTCGAAGATCTTATGTAACTGCCTATAACCTAGCATCCATCTCAATGGGCGTCAAGAACTAGATCGAGTGTGTTTTGAGACAAATCCCAGAGGCTGCCCCGCACAGGATGTGGCAATCATCACTGCCTTAGTCATCTGACTTTTGTTTTTGGTTTGTGTGCTTGTTTGAGACAAGAGTCTTGCTCTGTCACCCAGGCTGGAGTGCAGTGGCACAATCACTGCCTCCTGCAACCCTTGCCTCCTTGGTTCAAGTGATTCTCCTCCCTCAGCCTCCCAAGTAGCTGGGATTATAGGTATATCCCACCACACCCAGCTAATGTGTGTGTGTGTGTGTGTGTGTGTGTGTGTGTGTGTGTGTGTGTGTTTAGTAGAGATGGGGTTTCACCATGTTGGCCATGCTGGTCTCGAACTCCTGACCTCAAGTTATCTGCCCACCTCGGCCTCCTAAAGTGTTGGGAATACAGGCATAAGCCACCATGCCCGGCCCTGACTTTTGCTTTCTATTGGGCTTACCTGTGTATTCTCACACTCTCGGGAGAACTCAACACTCCTGAAGAACACAGCCCATGACTCCTCATTTCTGTCTCCTGGCAAAGGCTAGCACAATATTTTGTGCAAAGGTTTTGCTTTCTTAATGATAAGTGAATGAAATATGGAAAAGTTTTAACATAAAAATATATTCAAGTTAGCATTTTGCCTGAAATTTATACTTAATTACATCTAGGAAATTAAGTGTACATGATCAACATATATGTATATATCATTTTCCTATTTGAGTACTGACAAGATGGAGGAAAGGCAAGGAAAAGCTGGAGAATTTGAAATATGCACGAGGTCATTTCCGTTCCAGAAATAGGAGACATAAAGTAGAGGTCGAGATCATTGACAGTGGGCTTTCTCGAGTCGGGTAGAGAAGGGGTCAGTCCTTCCAGAGCTGGATCCAACCATGTGTGGCTCTCTACCCAAGGGTATCCACCTGCTCTCCATTCCCTCATCTGTCCACTGGGGTGCACACAGCACCTCTCATGGGAATTAAAAACGGTGGTGCCTAAGCAGCTTTCAAGGAGCCAGTGGCACTCGCTGCTCAGTGCACATGAGCTAGAGAGGAGTGGAGGCCTCAGCACAGGGCCTGGTACTAACTCGAGAGATATTTGTTGTGCCCTATACCCAGCAGATACTGAGTACATGCTCAATGTTGTCATTATTTTGATAGATATTTTCTTAAATCTGGATTATCATCCTTCAGTTTGGATAAGACAGACAATATTGATGGGTTGGGGTACTTTGTCAAAGAATGTAAAGAAAGATAATGTGAAGAAAGGCAATTTTGTGATTAAAAAGGAAGCTTTATTCTTAGATTTGTTAATAAGTGTCTCTTACTGAATTATTTGCTTATTAGGCAAAACAGTGATATCATTGAATCATTCTAAAATTCCTTCCCTTTTATGTCTTGAGGTTATGAACACAGGTAAGGCACCTCACCTGGCATGTGACAAACTCAACGAGACAATGAATGAAACAGAATAAATAATCATCTATTTTTTTTTCCCCCTGAACATTTCTACAGTTGAGACAGTCTTAGAATTTCTCTCTTGCATGCCAGGATATTAGACTGTTGAAATTGAATTCTTTTTTTTTTTTTTTTTTTTTTTTTTTTGAGACGGAGTCTCGCTCTGTCCCCCAGGCTAGAGTGCAGTGGTGCGATCTCGGCTCACTGCAACCTCCGCCTCCAAGGTTCACGCCATTCTCCTGCCTCAGCTTCCCGAGTAACTGGGACTACAGGCACCCGCCACGACACCTAACTAATTTTTTTGTATTTTTTAGTAGAGACGGGGTTTCACCGTGTTAGCCACGATGGTCTTGATCTCCTGACCTCGTGATCCGCCTGCCTCGGCCTCCCAAAGTGCTGGAATTACAGGTGTCAACCACCGCGCCCGGCTGAAATTGAATTTCTTTCTTTTCACCAACTCGAATTTCTTCTTCTCATGTAAGGTCATCTTACATAAGTGAGACTCCTTTGTTCCCTTTCCCTTAATAACAAGCCTACACGGAGGTGAAGGTGGTGAACGCACCTCTTCTCATCTCAAAACATCCACGTGCTCTTCCATTTTTTTCTAACAAAGAAGGGAGAGGAGGTGACATGAAAACACACCACGGATATTGTTCAGCATTTGTAAAAGCTGAAAGTATCACTTGGTAGACAAACTGCTTTTTGCACTACAACCTCCAGAAGAAAGCGCGAACGCAATTCCCCACCACCACAAATTACAGTCCAGTTTCCCCACATGTGGAAGTAACAGGAGTCAGTCAGCACATACTGAGTACAATGGAAAAACCGCCCCCGAAAAACACCAACTTCATGGCCGTATTTTCTCCTGTTACATAAGTATGAATGAACGCACCTCCGCCCTGCCACAGCTCCATACGCCTCACCCCTTACACGTACGGTCACTTGCCCCGCGCATTCCCCCACCCCGCCCCCATGCCGCCTCAAGTCCTCCTAGCCCTGACACACAGCTGGGACTATCACGTCCAACCGGAAGTCCTGGACTAGCTCCCACAGCACGAGAAATCTTTCCTGGCGAAGCAGCAGCCCCTGAGCTGCCTCCTCTGCATAGGAATCGCCCTATCTGTGATGTCACCGACAGCGCCTTTCCCGTCCCCGTCTGCTCTTCCGCCCCACCCTCTGCCACTCGGCCGACCAACCAGCTGCGGGAGCGGGCGGAGGAAGTGACACCTGACTCTACCTCCTTTCCCTCCCATCCCCGTCCCTGGTCTCTCCCAAAGAAGTAGGTTCTTAGCCTGTGATGCAAAGGACCCCTTTGGCGGCCAGCTGGAGCCTGTGCGCTTTTCTTCAAATAATGGCTTTTAAAGCTCAGACTAGAAAGTTTAGGATTACAAAGAAAAACGGTTCTTTTCACATACGGTTATCCTTGTGATGTAGCATTTCGCTTGACATTTGGAAGTCGTTCAATATCAGAGAGAAACCGTATCTATGAAACTAGAGAGGCTGCTCAGATGACTGCAAACCAGCCATCCTTACTTGTTTTATCACTAGGAGTATTATAAAGACGGTCGTCCAGTTTCATGAATCTTGTAGGGTTTTTTTCAGATACAGCAATGTACAAAAATGTGCTGCCCCAGCAGAGCACACTGGACATTCAGGCATGGTGCTGGAGTTTGTCATCTCTTCACTGCCTTCTCTAGACCTTAGCGCTTACCTCATGTTAACACTTTATATGCTGCGAAGACAGAAACACAGTCATCCAAATTTGGCAAAAATATTTGGGAGAAGTTTTATTTCAGGTGTTTAACTGATTACTTTTAATATGTAGACTACAACACCAAACTCTGAGAATACTCCACAGACTTATTAATGGTTTCCACCCCCGTCTCTGCAAATCTACCAGGCAAGTTTTTCCTGCCCTTTACTTTCATATAAGCTGAGTCACAGTCTGTAGTGGGTTTTGGGGGGAGTGTTACTGCCCAACAGGTACACCCTGCCTGCTGCCTAGACAGAGCCAATTTTTCGACACAGGGGAATTGCAATAAAGAGCTGCACTCTTTATTTGGTGATTGGGGGCCGGTGAATTGAGAGTTCTGCTTGGCCAGGTCGGAGATGAAATCACAGGGAGCTGAAGCTGTGGTCTTGTTGCTGGGTCAGTTCCTGCTTGGGGGCCACAAGACCAGCTGAGCCAGGTTATCAGTCTAGCTGGTGCCAGCTGATCCACTGAGTGCAGGGTCGGCAAAATATCTCAAGCACTGATCTTAGGTTTTCCAATAACGATGTGATCTCCAGGAACAATTTGGGGAGGTTTAGAATCTTGCAGCCAGAGGCTACATGACTCCTAAACCATAATTTCTAATCTCGTGGCTAATTTGTTAGTCCGGCAAAGGCAGTCTAGTCCCCAGGCAGGAAGGGGGTTTGCTTCGGGACAGAGATATTATCATCTTTGTTTCACAGCTAAACCATAAACTAATTTCCTCCCAAAGTTATTTCGGCCTGTGCCCAGCAATCAACAAGGACAGCTTGTACGTTAGAAGCAAGATGGAATCAGTTAGATCAGATCTCTTTCACTGTGGTAATTGTCCCAGTTGTAATTTTTGCAAAGGCGGTTGCAGAAGCAGAGGCATAGGTCTGACTTCTTTCACTCAGTCCTATGTCTATGAATTTTTCATGTTATTCATATGGTTATTTGGTTCTACGTGTATTCCTTTGTAGGAATATACATTAACTTATGTATTTATTCTACTGTTGTTGAACATGTTGACCTAAAAGAAGGAGGCTGAAGCACAAAATATAATTTAGAGTTTACTTGAGTCAACATGAAGACAACTGCCTGGAAGACTCACACCAAGGAAGCTTGGATCTGAGCTCCCTTTGGCCTTTGTCACAAGCAGGTTTTTATTTTTTATTTTTTATTTATTTATTTATTTTGAGACGGAGTCTCACTCTGTCGCCCAGGCTGGAGTGCAGTGGCGCGAACTCTGCTCCGCCTCCCGGGTTCTCGCCATTCTCCTGCCTCAGCCTCCCTAGTAGCTGGGATTACAGGCACCCGCCACCACGCCCAGCTAATTTTTTTTGTATTTTTTTAATAGAGACGGGGTTTCACCGTGTTAGCCAGGATGGTCTCGATCTCCTGACCTCATGATCCGCCTGCCTCGGCCTCCCAAAGTGCTGGGATTACAGGCGTGAGCCACCGCACCCTGCCCACAAGCAGGTTTTTAAAGTTCAAAAGCAGGGACAGACAGTGGGCTGATAGGTGCCTATCAGGAATTCTCATTGGTTTACAGAAATAACATTGCTTGGTGATTGGCTATATGTTGTTAAGTTATAGGGTATGGGGGTATAGGGATTGGTGTGGCATTATTAGGTTAATTTACAGCTACTTGAGGCAATAGCAAGCAGTTTCAACGGATGAATACATAGCTCAGCGCAGCTCAAAAGGAAGGAGCGGAAAGTGGTTGCTGTCTCGATTTAACGTCTCTCTGGGCCTGATCATTTGAAAGGGCTCACATTCCTCAGATAAAAAGTTTTTTTAATCTTTCTTCTTGAAAGCATCGATGATCAAAAGCTAAGTCAAGGGTGTCCCTCTTTGCCAGAAAGGCTCATTCCCGGATAGTCCTGTCCCAAGCAGGGGACAGGGGAGGAAAGAAGCCACCTCACTGAGGAATTTTTAAGAATGCCCAAAAGTCCAATTGAAAGGGCATTACAGCCAGGCATGGTGGCTCACACCTGTAGTCCCAGCACTTCAGGAGGCCAAGATACGTGGATTGCCTGAGTCCAGGAGTTCAAAACCAGCCTGGGCAACATGGTGAAACCCCATCTCTACAAAAAATACAAAGTTAGCCAGGTGTAGTGGCACACACCTTAGTCCCAGCTATTCAGGAGGCTGAGGTAGGAGGACGGCTTGAGCCTGGGAGTTTGAGGCTGCACTGAGCTAATATCACACCACTGCACTCCAGCCTGGGTGACAGAGTGAGACTCGGTCTTAAAAAAAAAAAGGGCATCATAGAGTGGCAAAAAAAAAAAAAGAGAGAGAGAGAGAGAGGGGCCTCAGTTAAGTCTACAGCTGCTGTCACTTATTGAATCATCTCTACTCTTCAGAATACCATGAAATTAGTTTTCCCAGAAGTAAAACGATGAGAGATACATAACAATAATGACATTGCACTTCATCATTCCATGCCCTTCGACATTTATAGGGCCATGGATGGTGATCTTTTCAAGAGACAAAAATAAACGCCGAACAAGTAAGTGCGCTATAATTTGAGTACATCAGCTTTTGGGCATTTAAACCATGGGTCAGAAATTTAGAGCAAGAGGGCAGGTTGGATCCTGATAGCAGGAGGGAGTGTTTTTCTTTTAACTTTCCAGTGGCATCATGGTGTTAACCACTGTTATTTCAGAGTGAAGAAACAATTTTTTGTTTGGTTGGTTTTGTACTTTTTATTTTTATTATAATTACTTTTTAAGACAAGGACTCTGTCTCCCAGGCTGGAATTCAGTGACAAGATCACAGCTCAGTACAGCCTTGACCTCTTGACCTCCAAGGCTCAATGGCTCATCCTCCCAAGCAGCTGGGACTACAGGCACACACCACCACACGCAGCTTATTTATTTATTTTTTGAGACAGGGTCTCACTCTGTTGCCCAGGCTGGAGTGCAGTGGCGTCATCAGGGTTCGCTGCAGGCTTGAACTCCTTAGCTCAAGTCATCCTCTCACCTCATGCTCCTGAGTAGCTGGGACTACAGGTGGGCACCACCACACCCAGCTAATTTGTATATATTTTATAGAGTCAGTGTTTCACCATTTTGCCCAGGCTAGTCTCAAACCCCTGTGCTCAAGTGATCCTTCTGCCTTGGCCTCCCAAAGTGCTGGGATTACAGGCAGTTATTTTGACAATACGATTACGATGGGTTAAACTGAGACGTGCGGCAGGAAGGTTAGGGTGAGTCAGACAGATTAGATAAACAGGTTTTGCTTGATATGACCCTGAGTTGCATCGTGAGTGCAATCAGGAGGAATACAGGTGAAATTTAGCACAGGATGTACCAATGGGTCATTATGGTCAAAAGTGGTTTGTGGTTTTGAGTGGCAAACCTGGAACCTTGTCAAATTTCCCACAGAGGTAATGGTTTGTGAGATTCTAATCAGAGAATTATCCCTCCCTGCTGTAATCAAATTAATTAGGGACAGTAAAACAGAAATCTGATCACAGGTATTCTGCTATGTATGTATGTATGTATATGTATATACACATACACGCAACAGGAGTAGTGTGTCATATCTTAAGAGAATATGCATATAGGGTGATTTTGCCAAAACCACCAAGAGACAACCCCTACAACTTAAAGGAGCCCTAATGGTGTATGTATTCCAGTCAGCAAAAAAGAGACTAACTCTCTCAGGCACGGTCAGCACTGGAATTGTAACTGATTATACAGGCCAGTATCTTGGGTGAAAGTGGACTACACCAGATGTCAGCTACTTGCCATCTCTGTCAGGAAGATTGTGAGTTACCTTTAAGTGAAAATCTCCACTGACAGATGTCCACTCTGGTAGGGTTGCCTTTTACAAGAGAAACATGAATCCATGTGTCAACGCCCTTAAGTTTACTGGCACAGATTGGTCAGTAATACCTGTCGTCAGTTAGGTGCAGTGGCCTATGCCTGTGGTCCCAAATATTTGGAAGGTTGAGGCAGAAGGGTGGCTTGAGCCCAGGAGTTCAAGGCTACAGTGAGTCATGATTGTGCCACTGCATTCTGGCTTGGGGAATAGAATGAGATCCCATCTCAAAAAAATATATAAAGTAATAATAATAGCTGATGTGGTCCCTTCCAACAGTCTTGGGGAGAATATTTTATTTGATGTTGTTTCCAGTAAACAACAACATCTCCAGGTTATAGGCCAAGATTTTTGATATTTTCATCTCCCAGGAGTTCATTATGAATGGAATTCTTTGTTAACGTTGAGTTCTTAGTAAGTTCTGTGAGATCTTAGCAGTAATGGAGAATGTCACCTTTAAGAAGTGCAGATTCATAAGCGCCTTCATCTAACCACTGCAAGGGTCTTCCTGTTATTATTTCAAAGAGGGAGAGTGTGGACATTTTCCACAACCAGTGGGAGATCCTTGTCCAAGAAAGGTTAAAAACTTCTGTTAGCTTTGCCAATTGAGTTTTTATTGTATCATTAGTGCATTCCATCGGCCCAGAGGATTAGGGGTGACAGGCACAATGGAAATGTTGGGACTTAGGCAAAAATGTTACAAATGGATCAAATTACCTGACCAACGAAGTGTGTTCCTCGGTTTCTATGGAGTTCAGATGGCACCCCCCATGAGGAATTACCTTTTCTAATCACAATCTACCTACTACTTGGGCTGTGGCTCATCAGCATGGAAATGCTCACCCCAGTGAGCATATACAAATTAGCACCAGAAAGTATCTGTGACCCTGAGATGGAGACAGCTGGATAAAGTCTAACTGCCATGTCTCGAAGGGTCCCAAAGGCAAAATGTCCCTGTGACCCATGAAGGGGTTTTCCAGGATTATGTTTGGGACAGACAGTATGGCAAGACTAAACATTTTCTGCAATCATAGGCAATGATTTTCAATACCATTGCTTTCCCCATGCCAACATTTTGTCTGAATTCCAATGAGTCAGCTTATGAAGTACTGTAAAAGGGTAATTGAAGCCTAAGGGATAGATCAGTGTATCATTGGGCCCATACCATATGACTGTTTCTGGAAGAAATTTGTTCCCTTTATCCTTCCAGAGATCCCTCTCCTGCTTGGGAGCTCCCACTTATGCTTCTTTTTTTTTTTTTTTTGCCAGAGTCTTGCTCTGTCACCCAGGCTGGAGTGCAGTGGTGCAATCTCACCTCACTGCAACCTCCGCCTCCCAGGTTCAAGCAATTCTCATGCCTCTGCCTCCCAAGTAGCAGGGATTATAGACATGTGTCACCACACCAGCTAATTTTTGTATTTTTAGTAGAGACAGGATTTCACCATGTTGGCCAGGCTGGTCTCAAACTCCTGACCTCAGGTGATCCGCCAGCCTTGGCCTCCCAAAGTGCTGGGATTACAGGCATGAGCCACCATGCCCAGCCCACTTGTACTTCTAATGAAGTCTTCAATGGGTCATAAGTCAGCAAGGTCATTTCGAGGAGTTCTGTGTCTGATGTCAACTTCAGAGCTGCATTCTTAGCTGCAGCATCAGCAAAATGATTGTCCTTGCTCTCCAGAATGTCTAATTTTGAATGAACACGAATTTTGATGATGGCCAAAATTTGGGTCTTCAAATTGCTTCTAAGAGGTCAGAGATTTATTGGTCATTTTTGATGGCTTGACCTGATGAAATCAGATACCTATGTTGCTTCTAAAGCATTCCAAAATCATCACCTACTCCAAATGCATCTCTGCTCCCAGTGTAAATGTTAGGCTGAGGTGGAAGGATTGATTGAGCCCAGAAGTTCATTCAGGTCCAGCCTGGAAAACACAGCAAGATGTCCTCTCTACAAAAAAAAAAAAAACAAGAATTAGCTGGGCATTGTGGCATGCACCTGTGGTCCCAGCTACTCGGGAGGCTGAGGTGGGAGGATTGCTAGAGCTGAGAGGTTGAGGATGTGGTGGGCCATGATGGAGCCACTGCACTCCAGCCTGGGTGACAGAGTGAGGCCCTGTCTCAATCAATCAATCAATAAATCTTAACCACTTAAAATACCAAAGACAGATTTGCTTGGCCTTTTAAGTGCATTGCTGAATTCTCCAATCTACATTTTTGGGAACAACCTGGGGAATGGCAACATGGAGGTATTTGGCCAAAATGCAGACCCTTTCATTGTCTGCTTTACTCTGTTTTTAAAAATCCTCTAAAGAATTATTCCAATTCGCCCTTTTCAACCATTTAGTGGCCCTGCCTTCTTACACCACATGTGAATTAATTGATAAAAATCATAATATTCGGGCTAAAAGTTTGGACAATTAAGTCAAATTTTCTCCCAAACCCTATAGGATCTTGGAGGCTGCTTTAGAATTAGAAGGGGAAATTGATTTAAATTTCGATCAGGGAAGTCTTTTTTATTTTTTATTTATTTATTTATGTATTTTGATACAAAGTCTTGCTCTGTCACCCAGGCTGGAGTGCAATGGTGCAATCTTGGCTCACTGCAACCTCCACTTCCCGAGTTAAAGCGATTCTCCTGCATCAGCCTCCCGAGTTGCTGGGATTGCAGTCATGTACCACCATGACCGGCTAATTTTTGTATTTTTAGTAGAGACGGGGTTATGCCATGTTGGCCAGGCTGGTCTCGAACTCCTGACCTCGGGTGATCCACCCACCTCAGCCTCCCAAAGTGCTGGGATTACAGGCATGAGCCACTGCACCTGGCCTGGTTAAAATTTTTTAAATGAGAAGTCATAAGATCTGGTTACATCAGTCTATATGTTTGTGTATGTGTACATGTGTGTATCTATGTTATTATGTTATGTATATGTGATATTTTTCTACCTCCAACGTTATTACCAAACTAAAATACCCAAATTGGCTAGGGATAAATGAGCACTCAAACAAATAAGAATGTATAAAATTTTCAGAAAAGTAGAAACTGACCCAATTTTTTTTAAGTTCACATAATCTGGGATATTCTTTAGTAAATAAAAACTAGTTTAAAAAATATTGGTAAAATAAAAATAGAAACATTTTCAGAATTGTCAGCATACACTTGTTTTACCTGGCTTTGCTGATTAGACAAGTTTGTGTTGTTACTGTTAGATGTTTAAGGCCATAAAACCATAAATTCAACCTAAGAGTAGAATATGTAGTAAAAGTAAATTGCTTAATTGTCTGGTGTATGTCTGTTGCAAAAGTAAATAAGAAAAGATGTCTAGAAGGATTGTGAAAATCTTATCTTGTATGGTCTAAGCTGACTGAGATTGGATAGATTTATTTATAAGGTTTTATTAAAACTTAGTTTTAGTAATACATTGATTCAAAAGTAGAATTTGATCTTCTCCGTTAAAATGGTAAAGTTTTCTTGGAATGTTGGTCTGAGAATGTAAAGGGTATTTTTTTCCTTTTAAGTAATTGGCCTCAGAAACAGAGACTGTTTCATCAAGATAATTTCTTGAGTTTCATATTGTTTTATTAGGTTTTTGGTTACTTAAGAAAAGTGAGTCTTCTCAATATTAAAGGAGCTAAGTTCTTGTTCACAACTATGTAATCTGAATTTGCCTTTAAAATCTTTTAATGGAGCTTTTATTAAATAGATAACTATGGTCATATTTGTTTTAAATGTTTTAAACTTTTTGACATTTTTGACAATCTTCCCAAAATCACATTCTAAGTTAAGTCTTTTTGACCTCAAATTAACTTAGGATTATCCATATTGGACCCTCAGAAAGCCACAAAGAATATTTTTTTTTGTATGAAAGAGAGATTAAACCAATTAGATTCATTTAATATGCTAAATTATATGTGTAGCATTCAAATAAAAAGTGATGCTAAGCCATCTTTAAGTTATATTTATGGATATATTATTGGGATAAGTGTACAAAAGTTGTATGAGATTCCTAGAAATCTAGTATGTTATCAGTCATAATTTTGGTTATTATGTTAAAATGCTGTATGCCATGCTAACCAAATTTTCTTATAAATTGTATCATTGCAATGAACTCTCATTAGATTTTCTAACCATGGACATTTTAAGTCCTTGTCATCTGTAGACAGTCATTGTTTTAATTTAATTGTTCTCTAAAAGCATTTGAAATTAGCTACAGTCCAAAATGGCTTCTTCTTCAAGGAGATTTATGGAAAATACTCTTATGAGTATTCTGGAATACAGGTTTCTGAACAACTTTAATGTCATACAATTGGACTGGTAAGAATTTCCAGAACTCTAATAAAACTGATGGGTTCATGTAACTACTAACCCAAGATCAAGCAAAACAAGAATGAACTGATGAGAATAATTTTTAAAATGACTTTTTGTTGGAAACATTGCTAGTTCTTTAAATGTTTTGTTTTCCAGATTTCAGAGAACTTTCTTTTAAGCTATCTCTAGCTTACACCAATTCAGTAAAGAATACTTTTGTGCAAAATGGAAATATTTACTTTTTCACCCTAACTTATCCCTCCAGAATTTGGAAACTATTTGTGCATATTCTTATTTTTATGGCAATGTATTTATTTGCATAAGTTTAATAAGAATCTGTTGTCTTTGTAACAGGACAAACTGGAAACACAGGTTATATCACCAAGGCTTTGACTGAAACATCATGTTTTCAGATATGACCAGAAGGCTTTGGGGGACTAAGGTTGGCTTTATGGAACCAATAAAGTACCATCTTGGAAAAACTGGCTCTAGGGTTCCCAGACTTACAGGTAAGTAAAGAATGTCACTGCTTGGTGGGTCTGGAAACCTTGGGATATTTTAGGGACCTCAAGAAGAGAGAAATTTATCTAAATCTATAAATGTAACAGGTGCAGACTAATGACAAGTTTTGGGCTTGTATCCCAGCCTCAAGTGGCTTTTAAAAGTTTAATCTGACTGGAGACAGTGGCTCACCCCTGTAATCCCAGCACTTTGGGAGGCCAAGTCAGGTGGATGACGAGGTCAGGAGTTCAAGACCAGCCTGACCAATATGGTGAAAGCCCTGTCTCTACTAAAAATACAAAAAATGAGCCAGGCATAGTGGCACGCACCTATAATCCCAGCTACTAGGGAGGCTGAGCAGAAGAATCGCTTGAAACCAGGAGGCGGAGGTTGCAGTGAGCCAAGATCGCACCACTGCACTCCAGCCTGAGAGACAGAGGGAGACTCTGTCTAAAAAAACAAAAACAAAAAGTTTAATCTGAGATTTCTTATCTGACAAACGCAACTTTTAAAAGAGCCTAAATGGTCAATCACTACTCTTAACTGCACTTGTGTACATAACCAGTACAAGTTTAATGAGATTAAACTTATTTAGCAAACAAATCAATCTGACATTGATTATCTTTGACAGAAATGAGAGTGAATATAGAGAGAAAAGTTATGTTTCGGGAGAAAACTGCAGTGCACCCAATATTAGATTCTAGCTGTTTTTTTTTTTTTTTTCTGAGGTTTTATTATCTGCCTGCAATCTGCAATAGATCCTCAATTTTTCTAGTTTACTACAATATTTAGCTACAACACTCCAAATTAATATTTCATTTTTTTCCTGCTATTCTGGCTTGGAATCACTAAAATTATAAACTTTTCATTTCTTGAAGTCCTTCAAACTGAAACTGGATGACTTGACATAAGCTTCAGAAAAATTACCACAACAGCTTGTGTGTGGCCCATCTTTATGGCATTCAAACTGCAAACTAATCCAATGCCTCTTCTCACACCAGCTGAAGATACTACAAGCCCAGCATCTAGAAATCTTATTGATCAGCTGCCCTCTGGGCTCAGAAACTGTCTTTATAGTTCGTTCCAACTATTAATCTTTTTTAATTTTATTTTTATAGAAACTAAACTTCCCACATTAAAGGCCTGATAGCTCACACTATCCAGGAAATATCCTCTGCTACCAAGTCCCAACAGATGATTCAACTGGTCCTTAATGAATAAAAGGTGATCAAACAAGAAAAGAGACTTATATTGTTTGAAGGAAAGATGAATGTCTCTTCTTTCCTTAAACAAGAAGTAGTACTAACAAAGATTCCTTGCTTGGCCAAACTTTAGTCAGATGTCTATCTTCCTTGCAAAATCCAACTTTTTTTTTTTTATGTGGTACAATGTGATGTTTTGTTCTTTTTTTTAAATTTATTATTATTATACTTTAAGTTTTAGGGTACATGTGCACATTGTGCAGGTTAGTTACATATGCATACATGTGCCATGCTGGTGCGCTGCACCCACTAACTCGTCATCTAGCATTAGGTATATCTCCCAGTGATATCCCTCCCCCCTCCCCCCAACCCACAACAGTCCCCAGAGTGTGATGTTCCCCTTCCTGTGTCCATGTGTTCTCATTGTTCAATTCCCACCTATAAGTGAGAATATGCGGTGTTTGGTTTTTTTGTTCTTGCGATAGTTTACTGAGAATGATGATTTCCAATTTCATCTATGTCTCTACAAAGGACATGAACTCATCATTTTTTATGGCTGCATAGTATTCCATGGTGTATATGTGCCGCATTTTCTTAATCCAGTCTATCATTGTTGGACATTTGGGTTGGTTCCAAGTCTTTGCTATTGTGAATAGTGCCGCAATAAACATACGTGTGCATGTGTCTTTATAGCAGCATGATTTATAGTCCTTTGGGTAAATACCCAGTAATGGGATGGCTGGGTCAAATGGTATTTCTAATTCTAGATAGAATGTTTCCTCTTATAACTCATAGTGAATATGACTGGACAATGAAACTATTTTGTAATTTCTTTCCTGAAAGATAAAGGCGTTAGAACATAGAATCTTTCATTGATTCTACAGAATCTTAAGACTCCTTCAGAGATGGCAGTCATTCGTACCGTGCTGAACATCATGTTGTCACGGTCAGAATCAGAACTAAATTGATTAAGGTTCTGAAACAGTTTGGCACTCTTGGGCACTTATTCTGATAAGAAAGCTGATGAGACAGGGTAATGAAAAGAGGCTGCAAGAAATGACCATTCATGCATTCAGCCAACATTTAGGCCACCCTCCTGTATTCCAGGCACTGTACGTGGCACTGAGAATGCAAAGCAAAACGAGTCATGGTCTACTGGCGGGAGCCTTCTCAGCGGAGAAAAGATCAACAAGAAAAGTGCCTGCTGGAGACCTCTCCTAGGGCATAAACCAATATAGAGGTGGGGCAGCTACGTCAGCCTGAGGTGTCCTTAGGCAGAACAGAAAGTGAGAATCAGAGCAGTATCTCATTTCTGAACACCTGGATTGTAGCTTTCCCTGGACTGACTGTCAAAGGAGGTGGTTTTAAAAAGCAAGCCAAACAGGTTTCCGTCCTTTAGGAAGACCCTGGAACGTGCCAGTTGATTCTGACAATTTCTCATGAACAGAAACACCTAGGAAGGGAGAACTGGTGAGTCTTTTCAAGAAGAGGAAGTCCCTCAAAAGGGGCTGTGTTTCGCAAACGGCACCCCAAAAGGGCTGAAATACTTCGATCTGGAGGAAAAAGACTCAGGCACTGAGGGAAGGGGAGGGTGCACATCTGGGGTAATTTCAAGGCTTTTTCCGTGTTATCTGAGGTGGCAACAAGTAAAGATTTGTTCGTTTTATTATTTTTTTAATTTTTAAAGGTGTTCTTTTCCCCCCTTTTCCCCCTCCCGGCCACTCCGGTTTGTGTTTGCCACAAGACTCATAATTCCTTTAGAAAGTGGAGTCGAATTCATAAAAGTGATGGGGGGAGAGCGCGGAGAGGGAAGGCTGGGAGCCCCAGGGAGTCTTCACTACCTACACTGCCGCTCAGCTCCCGGCGCGAGTGGAGGTCGGTGTGGGGAGACGCGACTCCTGCCCGGGATGGCTGACACTCTGCGAGCCCCGGCGGCCCGCGGCCGGGCCGGGTGACTAGGCGGAGGGCGCGGAGGGTCCGCGGCGGGCGGGTGGCGCTGCAGCAGCCTGGGCACGGCTGCCGCCGCCCGCGGGCGAGAGTGTGCACGGGTGTGGAAGGCCGGAGTGCGGGCCGTGAGGGGTGTGCGCGCTTGAGCCGGAGCGGGGCTCGCCCCTCGTCGGCTCCCGCCGCCCAGCCGGTGATCGCTCTCCGGCCGTCCCCGGCACCCTCGGCCCCCCACGGCGGTTGGTCCGGGCGGGGGAAGGAGAAAGTGAGACTCGGTGTCATCACCAATCCATCGCCAGAAGGGGAGGTAATTGGAATCCAGCAGCGGCGAGCAGCAGCTGGGCAGTCACATCTGGAAATGGAAAGCCGACCTCCACCTCCTCCTCCTCCTTCTCCTCCTCTCACCCAGGATCACTTCCGAAACCAGTTGGCCTTCAGCCCCTGCCTCGGCCAGAGGTTTCATTTTTAACTGAATATTTACGAAAGCTGAAAGCGTGCGAGGGGGGTGGGGTGGAAATAGCGGCTGCTTCTTTTCCAAGGACTTATTTAATGGGGATGTGTTCAAGGCAAGACCGAATTCAGAAGGATATCGACGTCGTGATCCAGAAGTCCAGAGCTGAGGACTGCCTGTTTGCAGGTGAGTTCTTGCTTTTCCAGAACCTCGGACCCCGCGCCCCCTTCCCAGTTCTCTGACCGCGACGTGTGTGGCTGGGGGTGGGGTGGAGGGTTTGCACGTCCGCATTCCGGGGTTCATTTGGCAACAGCTGCTGCAACGAACACGGGAGCCAAAAGCCAGAGGGGGTGCCAGCCTCGCCCCTTCCCCTCCCCCCACCCCCAAGTCTGGGGCAGCTACCAGCTTTGAGGGCAGAACCCGCGTGGCCCGAGCGGGGGTCTAGGCGAAGGGGCAGTGCGTGGTATTTCCAGCCCCGCGTAGTGCCCGAAGCCTGCAAGCACGCCTCCTGGGTTCCAGCAGCGGCGGCAGAGCGGGGTTGGTTGGACCCGCCAGGTTTGCGTAATGGGCTGAGCGGCGGCGGCCGGGAATGGAGCTTGCTGCGCTGCGCTCGTAAGCTGCGCCCGGCGCCGAAGACCCCCGGGGGGCAGCGCTCGGCCCATCTCCGGCCCCTTCGGCTCCATCTAGTCCCCTCCGACTGGCAAAGAGAAGGGATTCCTCGGATTCCCAAGGCACCCAGCGCCCCTGCCTGGGGGGTCGCCTTTCGTCCATTTTGCTCCCCCGGGAGAGAGATCGGATTTTGCGTTCGCTGCCGCGAGCCCGGCGGGGCTGCTTCCGGCCTCCCCGACCGGGAAATTCCCGCCGTTGCCATGGCACCCGGCACTTGCTGCCGGGGGCGGCCTGCCGCTGCACCCAGTCGGGGGCGCGCCGCATCCCCTGGGACGCTGCGCGGAGAGACCTCGCCGCCCTCTAGCCCTCGCCTCCCGCCCGGCCAGGCCTCCCCTGACTCCACCAAATGGAGGGCCCAAGTCCTGATCGGGGTTAAAACAAATCCACTCCAGGGGTAGCTTTTGACAGGACTTTCTGTTTCAGATTTCAGATACTCAGACTCCACCTTTACTTTTACCTATGTTGGCGGCCCCAGAAGGTATTTATGGGTGTAGAGTTGCTTCATTTCCTGTTCACACTCTTGTGTTTCCTTTGTTCTTAGCGTGTTCCGTGTTCGGGTATTTTGGTTGCTTGTTTGATTACTGTGGCTTTTCTTTACCTACAACCCAAGCCTGACGTCCCTCGGTTTTAAATAGCAGGGGGAGGGGAATCAATGTTTGATTCAGGTGTTTCGAAGACCACGCCACAGGCGATGAGCAGAACTCTTCATGTTGAAACGGTTCTGCTACAGTACTAGATTGCTCTCAGGCGATTTGGGGTTGATACAGGCAAGCCGGTGCAAAACTGGAATACTGGATATGAAGTGAAATGTATAAAAGACATAAAATGTCACAAAATAGTTTGATCACAAGTGTTGATTTTCCTGGTGAGTTGGGGCTGCGTGTTTCCATGTTTTCTGAAGGTTCACATAAACATGCAGCCTGCCAATTCTCTGTATATTTTTTTTTTCAATGAGTGGTATTTCGGTTTTCACGTTTAGTTGTAAGACAGAAATTGGAGACTTATATGTAGCTGGAGTGGATGACTTCTTTCTTTTGGGGGAAGAATGAGAGATGCACATTTCGTTAGTAAATTGTGAACAACTTGAAACAAACCCAAATCCAATTGTGAATTTAAGAAGTAGAGTTAAAATGAAAGGTAGCCATTCAAATACTATGCCTTGCTGCCTTCACTTATTAAGTTAGGATTTTCTTCCTTTTAGCCCTTTAGGGATACAGTAGTTTAAAAGAGCAGTAGCCACATATGAAAGGATCAGATTTAGCTTAGAGGGAATTCCTTAGACCAGCCCTGCTGTTAAGACTTGACATTCAATATTGTTTGATCACATTCCAAAATATAGCTTAGCTAATGGCAACATTTGTAAACATATAAATTGCAAAAGAAGCTTTCTTGTGTACATACATTTTTAAAAGCTTGAAATTGATGTGAACTTTTAAAAACACGTAGGATCTGTATTACATTCTACATCTCAAAACAAATTTAATTAAAGTGAATATCATTCCAGTATATACAATATGCCTAAGACCCAGAATTGGCACACTGATTTACTAGTTGAAAATATAACAGTATTCACCAAACTTCAATGTATACTTTTTGGAGAGAATGAAATTACAGTATTTCTTAATTTACTGTAATGTCATCTTTGTAATTATGAATTAACAATTCAATGAGAGGAGACTTGGTTGATTAAATTAATGCTGGTCCTACACATTATATCTAAAGGATCTTCGTATATGACTACTATCTTCTTGGATTATTTTAACAGTTAAAATATACAAAGTGGCCCATTAAAAACAGAGTTGACTTTTCACCATTGCTGTTTTTCTGGTGAGACATGTGGAAAGGAAGGACAGGTGGACTTTTCAACTAACTAGCTCTCTGATTTTTAATAAGATACCTCAGTTCTTTTGGCCTCAGTTTACTTATCTGTACAAAGGGTAAGTCATATGCTTAATCACTAAGATCTGTTAGATACTGCAGTTAAGATTCTTTATCAACAAATTACTGAACTCTAGTGTTAACATAGCTAGAGGTGGAAAAGGAAGCAAGACCAGGTGTTGGGATGAATAATTAACTAATCGAGATAACATCAGTTTTCACCATAGGAACAAGTACCATCGTTGCTCTTAAAGTAAGAGATGTTTCCTATTTTATGTAATTTTACTAAGGGATAATGTTTTCTTTTGTCACTGATTTAAATGTACCTGGATGTTTCTCAGCCATGTGGCTAAGATCGAACACAAGTAATACCTGGGCCTTTTATATCTAATCTAATGTAGACCAGCCTGTTAAAAGAGAAAGACAATTGGTTAAACTGCTGATGTGTTGCTTTGTCTTCTCAAAAGCTTGTTCTATAATACAATATGTAAAAAGTTGTTACAGTGTAGTAACCGTAGATAATCCCTTTATGATTTGTACCTAATGACGAAGACCTTTTATTTTCTGAAAATAACGTGTTTGTTTTCATTACCGACATTAGAAGCCAATATTTATTAATCTATTTCTCATCCTGACATTTCAGTCAGACTCTTAAAATAATCTTGCTGTGTTTTGATTTAATGTGCTTATCAACTTATAATATTGAATTAATGTTAATAGTGTCATTTTAGGTGAACTAGACTTCATTGAAGGAGGTGGGAGCCTTATGGAGAGAGAGTATATGATTATCTCTATTTGTATTTAATTACCATTTCATCTAACCATTCAGAACATATTTCAAGAATAATTTTAATTCAAGTTGTAGATAAAACTTACTATACCATTTTCATTTTGACGCTTTCCGAGAATGAGATACACGGTATTTTAAAGACAAAGATTGATCTTACATGTTACTATTAAAAAAAACACGATAATTTTGTTCTATATTTATACTTTTAATTTTTCTGTGGATAATAAGAAATGCCAAGAGTCGATTGTGTCCATGCTGGCAAGTGGCCTAATAAATTGTCCTTTTATTTGGTGGTCCTCAGAGTGGCAGTTAACATCTTGCTATTCTGCCTTGTGGACTTGAGGTGGAAAGGTTCATGGAATTATATCCTTGCTTTTGGATGTGCAAACTGAGGCTCAGAGAGTTTAAGACACATAGTCACTTTCACCAATTAAATGATGAAGCTGCCATGTAAACGTATTTCATCACACTCCCGAGACCTTCTTCTCCAGTAGTGTTTTCAAGCTTTTTGAGCATGCAGACACTACCAATCAAAAAATTATGTAGAGACATACTTGAGAGTTACAGTTTAAAGAAAAACAAGGTGTAATTATTTGGTTATTAGTAGCATTTACATATGCTTGAAAACTTCTGCTATATATACAGTAAGATTAATTTATTCTAACAATGATCTTGATAATCCCCCTGATTCCCAGACTCCTTGGAATAGCTCCACAGCTATCAGTGGTTCTGCCACAGGTTCAGAGCCTTCCCAGTACTGCCTTCTTATTTGAGAGGTGTGCTAAGAGCTATAAAGCAGAGGCTTCAATTGTACACAATTGGGAAGTTTAGGCAAAAGTCATTTCTTCCCTATATTTTGTCATGCTTATCTCCTGTCTCTTTCTGTTTTACAGATTAGCAATAAACTCCTTAAAACCCAAAGGTTTGGGCTTCTGTTCCTTTCACTTGCAGTCAGACATGGAGTTAGTGGTAGAAGAAACAGAAGGGGTAACCTGCATGGTGACAGCTACTGAGGGGATGGATAGGAAAGCAGGCTGAGTCCCTGGGGCCAGTGGTTACCAAAGCCAAGGAGAGAGCAAGGGGAGCCCAGTGGGCCTGGCCATGGACTGCTCTGGAATTCCGAGTGTGAACTTTCAGCCAAGAAGGTAGTGTGAAAATATTACTGTGAGGTTTTAAAAGTACACAAATAACAATTGTTTTTTGTAAAAAGAAAAAAAAAAGTTAGAAAAAGAGATATGCCAAAAAGAAGAAAGTAAAAAATACATGACTTCTGTCTTCTGTTAACATATTAAAATTTATGCTTTTAGATTTTTATGTGTCTATATACATGTAAAATATATATGCATCCCCAAATTGTATTATACTCTTTTGAGACCTCACATTTTTTTCACCCAAGAATATAACATTAATTTCTTTCCTTTAGAAAAGACATGAGACTAAAGAATGTTTATTGAGTTGAGAGTTTCCCAATCAAGGAGTATGACTCTGTATAATAATAAATCTAATGTTTTATTAGAAATTATAATAAAATTAGAAATTTAATATTTGGCAGGATGTGAGTTGCCTGCATATGTACACCCTTTATTATATGACTAGACACTCTTTTGTGTGGTCATGGATATATTGGCATCTTTTGAAGTGTATCCTTTTTGTTTCAGGAGCTTCTGTCTAGATGAATAGCAAGTGTGACACTGATAATAGTAATCGAATATTCCTCCAAGTACAGGCTCCTTCCTCTTTCTCCTGGACCTTTGCACATGCTGCCTGGAAAACTCACCCACAACCTACTTTCCATCCTCTCCTTCGGCTCATCCCTGCTCAGCCCTCTTTGTTGAGATATTTGCCAAGCCAGATTCTCTGAGAAGCCTTTCCTGGCATCTTCGTCTATATAATTCTGCTAGTTGTTTCTAAAACTATGTTGTTAGTGTGTATTGTAATCACCTATTTATGTCTGTTTGACTGTGAGCCTCTTGGAGATGGGAATTCTCTCCTATGCATTGCGGTTTCCCCAGCCCCTAGCACACTGTCTAGCCCAGTATTCCTTCTCAGTAAGTAGGTGTTGAATGACTTACAAAATGAATGCTAAAAGACCTGGTAGACAAGAAGGAATTTCTTAGCCTAAATGACCAGATGTGGAGAAGATACTCAAACACTTCAGGGTCCCCAATCTGGTGATGTCACTTGCAGTGGAATTTCATATGAATCCAGTGTGACAGAAGTTGCCTAGTCAAGTTGTAAGTCCTCTTCTCTGGGTCACATGTTCAAATACTTTTAGGGGACAGATAATGCAATATTTAAGATACAGGAAGTGATGAGGACTGTGGCACACTGGAGAGTTTGGACTCCAAGAGTAATTAATTCAGTTGAAAAAATCAACAGCACTCTGTTGATCAAGCAAACTTTCTAGGGGCCCTAATCCACCTGGGCCTGCAGTATGTAATTCCATAACTCATGGGATGCCATCAAGAGAGACAATCTACTTGATTGCTAAAGGGCCTTTGTTTTCTTTGGAGTTCCCCAGGAAGGAGAAATGTATGTGTGTGCAGGGGTGAGGAGGGGGGGAGAGTGAAGAAACAATACTATGCCCTTAAAAATGTTTGTCAGTTTTCATTATGAAAGAAGATCAAACGTGCCCACTCCAGAAATCTTGGCATATGCAGTTATTTTGAAGCCATTCAGCGTTCTTCAAGATGTCACAATGAAAAGAGTGATGATTTTTTAAATAAAAAATTAACATGTTTCTCTTGGCAATGGGACTTTCTCACCATACTTTTAAGTTACATCACTTATTATATATTCAAAATACTGATTTTTTAAAAGTATGTTCCTTGGAGCCCTGGGAACCTGCCTCAGGAGCTGAGGTGGCTGTGGGGAGGGAGTATGAAGGGAGCTGAATGAGTGAGAATCTGGGTCTTCATATCTTTTTTAAAATTGTGGCTGCTTTTTTCTGTTCTGTATAACAACTCTTTTTGAAAACAGTTTCATTGTTGAGTTTTAAAACCACTGACCTAAAATAACCACCAATTTAACGTAAGTATAACTTCATTGAGTTTTTTTGTATTAAAAAAATTAAACTCCATTTTCTTCATGGATTAAGGTGATCCTACTAGGATATTTATTAAGCATTGTCTCTGCTGTTCTTTTTGCTTGCCTTGCTTTATCCCGTGTTTCCAAAAAATACAAATAGGTATTTTGTCAGCTATTTTACATTTTATAGCAGGGAAAACAGAGGCTTGGGTGATTTAAGTAAGTTACAGTTAGTAAGAGCCATAGGATACATTTCGGTGTAAGTCAATGTTTATGTAAGGCTTAAGAGACATTGGTTGAATTGGCATGACTAGAATAGTTGAGAATGTTTGGGAATGGGGAGAGATTGCTAATGGGATGTCTGCCAGGGGCAATACTGAAAATCTACTGGTTGGCAAAGGTAGTGCCTGAGCCCAGTGCTAACCATAGTAGTTGGAAAATTGTGTACGTTGGCTGTGGAATCCTTATGCAAATATTTGTCCAATCCATCTAAATTTCTCTCTGCAGCATTTTTAAAAAGACATATAGCTGAAATTTTGTCAGTCCTAAAAATATTTTGTATTTCTCTGCCCAGATTTGCATTTGGGTAGATCGTGCTGTAGAAGATATATCTTGCTTTAAGATAGCTGCCACTGAATAGTTTAGTCTATTTTAATCAACTTATTGCCTTGTAATCTTTCCTTTTTCATTCTCTAAATTTCTGAAATTCTATCTTTCATGTTCCCCAGGAAAGACTAGTAAGACGTGTTTTTATTAATAAGACATTATCCTCATTTCACCACGACATAATTTGGGCTTTCTGTTCCAAGTTATCCTACTTGAATGCTGGACACTTCCACCTGAATATTTGTCATTTTCACCTCAACCCAGCACATCAAAACAATCCCTTATTACCTCTTTAAAAGAAGCTTCTCTCTCCAGCCTTTTCCTAGTCAGTATCACATCTTTTGAGCCAGGTATGGGGATTGCAGTTTCAGATTTCACCTCAAGTCTTCCTCTTCTGGTTCCTGAAGCTCCGGCAACCTCTGCTTTGAAACATTGTTGGCCTCTTCATCCCATCCCATGTCAATATTTAGCCCATGCCCTGTTGGCTTTGACTTAGCTCAATCACCTTAACCCAGTGTCTTAAAATTCTTGATTTTGAGTTTCTCATCCATCCAGTTTATTTACACCTGAACTCTTTAAGCATGAAATTAATCATTCTTCTGTTCAGAAGCCTTCGAATGTGACCACAGCTTTTTCCATATAGACCTAAAACTTATATTCTTGGCCTTTGAGAGCTGCCTTCCCTACCCACTGATATATGTTTCTCGTGCTTCCTAACACCTGCATGCTTCTGTTTGCTTAGTGACCACTCCCCACCCACTCATCAGCAGTTTGTATTAATTTAGTGTAAAGCTGTGTAAAGTTTATTGATTGATAACATCTGTGTCAAGATCATGATTTTTATTATAAAGAGCAGTTCATTGTGTTTTTTCCTTGCCCACGAATGGTATCTCTGTTCATTAGGATACATAATATTTTATGCGTAGGAGGATAGTGTGAGAATATGAGTAGAACAAAGTAAGAATGAGAGGAGAGAATAGTGAAATTTGAGGATAGGATGAGAATGTGAATAGATTTATGTCCATCCATTACAAGATTAATAACCACAACGATAAAAGTCTTGAATGTTATTTATTTGCATATGAGTGATATTTCAGTTTGTGGCTGATACCCTTTTGGTATTAAATGGAAGATGACAAATCATTCAATATTAATTTTAGAGGGAGACATCTATTGAAACCTTTGTGCAGTCAGGTCAAGTTTCTGTGTACAAAAATTAGCAGAGAGGTTGCTGCTGGTTGACTTCCCCTAGGATGGTGTCTTTCTGAACATTTTGAAATGTAGATTGAAAAGGTGGATTTGTCAACTAACTCTGAAGTGCTGTAGTTATTTGTGTTTTCATCGTTTTATTGTTTATTTTATTTTTAAGGTGGAGTTTTCGCTCTTGTTGCCCAGGCTGGAGTGCAGTTGGTGCGATCTTGGCTCACTGCAACTTCTGCCCCCCGGGTTCAAGCGATTCTCTCGTCTCAGTCTCTCAAGTAACTGGGATTACAGGCACACACCACCACGGCCAGCTAATTATTTTGTATTTTTAGTCGAGACGAGAACTCACCATATTGGCCAGGTTGGTCTCGAACTCACCATATTGGCCTCAGGTGATCCGCCCGCCTCGGCCTCCCAAAGTGTTGGGATTATGGGCGTGAGCCAGCCACGGTGCCCGGCCTGTTTTATTGTTTGAAAAACAAGTACAGGTTGTTATTATCCAAGAATTGTTGATAGAGTATATACTGTATTTGAAGTGTAGAACTGAGGCAGAGGCTGATTAATATAACTAGTTTACATTTGTTAGCCTTTCACATCTGTGAAGGAATAAAGTACAGACAAAAGTGGAAAACAAACCAGGAAAAAAAAAAATTGTGAAGCACAGAGCTGCTTAAAAGAGTGATGTCACATTAAAAGAAAAAAGTCACAGAAATAAGTCAGTATTTTGTTTAGAGACTAGAACTCCAACTGCTAGCCAACTGCCTAGAATATAGTAAATATTTTCTAGTTTCTTAAATGACTAGTAATATTCCTACATTATGTGATGGCATTTCCCAGACTGTTTAATTAGATGTTAGATTTGTAGCCAAATATGTCTAGGAAATGCTTAAACAATATAAAACAGTTTTAATGATTGGCTTTTTAGAACGTTATATATTAGTGTGCTTTATGCATATCCAAGAGGTGTGTGAGGTATTTGGGGTTTTTCAGACTTACTTGATTACAGATCTGGAGTATCTCAAAACAGTTGTTTTGTGGAAAACACTCTGGCAAACTCTGAGTCTTAGTCATTAAAAATAGTTTTTAGGTAAACAACAGTGTAATAGAAATGGAAATTACTGATTCACATTGAGCCATGAAGAATTTATTTTCAGCAATTTTTATAGAAGTTGCTTTATGACAAAGAAAGCTTTGGTTAACTGGCATTTGGCATTTCACACCACTAAATTTTCTACATGTGGATTTATTTCTCTGGTTCTCTCACTTTCTCACTCAGTTATACTGAATTCATTTATGATGAGCGCTCTCAACCATTCTTATTCATCAAAGCCCTGAAGTTGGCAGAGCCCTCTCTGGTACCTGATTAGAAGTCCGTCTTCTGTCTCATAGGGAAGTGTTAGAGATGGATAATGTTTCTGTGTAGCAGAAGTAGTCATTATGTCCCCTTAAATTCGGTCACTTTGACTGCAGTAAAGCTTCTTAGTGAGCAGTCTGTGATGGAGTATACTTTCGGAGAAGCTCATGGTGGGGGAAACCTGGAATTTATCTAAATATTTCATTTCTTTGATAAATTACATTAAAAAATTAATGAGAGTATCTGTTTGGTGAAATCATTTTCCTCCACGTGACCAAATGAGAAATTTAGTGAAAGATTTAAAATCATTTTTCAGACTTTTTCCACATTAGTCGGGAAGCAAACCCCTTTTTTAAGGCAATGTCAGTTATTAAGCTTTAGGGAACCACATGCCACTTTAGGTAACACGTGATTGGAGAGATTGAAGAGTGAAGTCCCTGCTTTAAAGTGTACTCCTGTGGACACAGTAATACATATATTTAAACTGGTTCATGTTAAGAGTAGGTATATTTCTATCTAAATACTCTGTAGCTTTTGTGATTCAGGGAAATGAGTGGAGCCTCACAGGCACAAGAATCTAGTAAATTCTAGGTTTCTTGTGTGGAAATCAGTGGGCAAAATCTTAACTGAGTGAATTCTTGATTATTGGTATCACATTTGTTAGTCTGTATGTATCTGTGTCATCGATCTCCTTAAGAAGAGACTCGTAGATATTGACTGGGAGACCCAAGCTGAATGCTAAAATCTGCTCCATGGATATAAGCTGATGCAGTCATCATTTCACATTAAAATGTACCACAGCTATATATGCAGCAAAAAAAAAAAAGAAGTTAGTCCCTCCAGCTGAAAAGCGGTCATTACTTTATTATCACCACAGAATTTGAAATGATTTCTGTAGTTAACAGTCAGATTTTATTTTTACTTAACTAAGACAAAGTGAATAATTCACTGTGAGCCAAATTCTTTCTTGATTCCTCTTTTTGGAGCAGTCCATCTTTATGGGAAAACCAGCCTAGAATGGTGATTTCAGTTTCAGGTGATTTCGATAGAATTGTATTTGGCTCAGAAATGATAAGACTGGGGCCAAGAAAAATTTTAAACTTTTTTTTTTTGTAATCATATTACTAGTTTGATTTCATATGAACTTCCTTTGTTGACTTTCTTTGCCATTAATTTAAAAGTTCCAGTATCCTCAATATTTGATGTCTTATATATACAGAATCCTTTCCAGCTGTAAGTCATCAGCAAGTAAAAAATTTAGTATGGCAATAGTTTTCATAAGAGGTTTTTTAAAACAGAAAAATGTTGACATTGCCAGCCTCTGGGTTGCATTTTGGGATATGCTACATTTCAAAGGTATCTTTTAAATCTGAAGGCAAAGACTTTTTCAACATCTGAATATTCTGATTTACAGAAATTAAAAAAAAAAAACCCCGGAACATTACACAGGCATATAAATTTGAATCAGGAAAATATAAAATTAGCTGATTATTTTTATTCAGTAAAAGTGCCTTGGCACAGAACTAAAATTGATAACTTATGGTTTTAGCATGTAGATAAGTACATGAGAGTAAATCACATTTCTATATGAATAAAAATATCCACTTTATTCATGTATAGATTATAAAACTATACTAAACAAAAAGTAATCATTTACTATTACAAAAATTATTAAGAACCATTACAAAAATTCTCTGCCTACTAATTTTCAATCACCATAGAAATACAGTATTTAATAATGCTGCTGCTGTACTTACATAAAACATATTAAGAATAGATGTTATATTTCTGTGTTTGAATATTGAGCTTAAACATAAAACATGTTTGAAATGTGTTTGTGTGTGTCTCTCACACACACACATAACATGTACATACCTGAAACTCATACTGCAATTGCAACACATCTTAAGTTTTTCCTTTTAAACATACCAAGATAACATTCTAAAATGAAGAATAATATCTATGTCTCTCTTCATACTACATATTATCTCTCTACGTATATACAATTGCTATAAACATATCTTTATATTTGATATATATAGGTACATATATATGGATAGATAAATATAGATATATGAGAGAGAAATGGAGATTAGAGATCTATGTTTGCCATAAATCATAGTTGTTAACATAAACCATCTGATTAAACTGATATTTTGTGGCCCAAGACCTGAGACATGCAAAACTATTCTTAGCAGATAGAATTTTCTAAAAGCTGAGAGCTCATTCTCCAGGAGCTGGCCAAGGACCAGTCCTAAAGGCAGACCTTTCTTGGAAATGTACAGAGTCTGGGCAAACAAGACCTGCTGAGTTAACCCTTTCCTATACATATGCAGACGGTATTCAGCACAGGGCCTGACAGAAGGCAGTGTTTGTTATTATTATTCATAGCATTAGCCCATTTCTTGTTGTGAGCAACATGAACAAGGAGACTAAGGGGAAAAAATGCCCTTTTTTAGGGTGACCACTCTAACTGATTTGAAAGTCTACAATTTTTTCAGTTTAAAATGGTATTTATTTGTAACATGTACTATTGTTGAATAACAATTTCTAATAAAAAAACTACGCTAGTTTTCTGCCTATGGAGAAGCCACCTTTTTATTCTTTTACTTTCTTAATAAGCTTGCTTTCACTTAAAAAAAAAATCTACCCTACATATACACAAAAGTTAAAAAGCAGCAATAGTGTACATTGGTCAGTATAAATGCATGCAGTTTTCTTTTCTTCAGTGTACAAAGCCCAAGTCTAAACCTTTATAATTTTTAGAGTCTAGCGATTCTCCAGACTCCATACTTTTCGTTGTTATCAGATGCCAGTGTTAATTGCTTTTCCTTTCTTCTGTTTTGGGTTCCTGATCTTCATCTGTGTCTTTAAAACAGATTATTTTCTTTAGATTTGAAAGGTTGGGTTTTTGTCTTCATTTCTTATTTGTTTAGCCTTGTACTTCCCTTTCTTTAATTGAATTGTGTTATTGAAAATTAAATAATTTATCTGTGAAGTCAAAAATCCTGTTTCAGGGTGGGCTCTAGAGCCTTCCTCTTGGGCCATATCCTTAGAAAGCCTGTGTGTATTCTGATACATTTGGCAATTTCTACTGGCTTTTCTTGTATTGTCTGACCCCTTTTTATTTCAGTGGTGCATCCTGGTCTTACCCAACAGGCAAGTGGTGACTCCAGTGCAGGTGATGCAGAGGTGACACTAGAATGAAGTGAAATATTCTGTTGAGGGCTAAGTTCATGTTTTTGCTGACAGTGGTAGATAAATGTCATGGCTTCCCCCTGCATAGTGCTTAGGACATTTCTTTTGATATGTGTTTTAGAGAAAACATAAAACTTGTAATCAGGAAAATGCAATAACGGAAGAAATGCTTACTTGAGTAACTAATGTGAGTTAGGCAAAGAAGATACAAATACTTCCCATTTCCTACTTCTAAATTACAGTCAAATTGTCCTAAGCAAATCTCTCATTGTCTCCATGTAAAAGATACAGAGAAGCCGTTAGAAAAAGGTGGCTGGAACAGCTTTATACATACAGCCTGAATGAACTGCCTCATCATTTATATGTTTGAGGAAAGTGTCTGTTTGATAATTTAAATTAAGTTTAAACTGTCATAAACGGAGAGCTGTACAGATTCTGTGGGAGAGGATACTGGGGTACCAGATACTCATTACTAGGCTCTCCACTCTGCCTTCTTCAATACTCTGGATCGGTGCCCTTTATTCATTTTTTTCACAACTTCCTCCCCTTTGCTCACATTCTTTACAAGCTTCCAGGATTTTTTAATTTTATTTTATTTCTTTCCACAATGACTCTCATGGCTGTTGCTATAGTTGCTATAAAAGGCAAGGTGGGGAACAGACAGGTGAATGAGCACAGAGGTCATTTGTAAACCGTTTGTGGTTAGTGCTCCTCTGTTTACTGTCTGTCTGTCTCTCTCAGTGTCTCTGGGTATGTGTCTGTTTACAACATAAAATATATGCACACAAATCTCCAATTTTTCTAGAGTAACTATTAACACAGTTAAAATCTGGAAGAACTCTATCTTTTAAAGGAAATACCAATTAGCAAATAAAACAGTTGATTCCCCCCAACTCTCATTCCCCAGAGCTTGCTTAAGTGTGTGGTTTGCACACATTCCATAAATAAAAACATTGCTGGCTCATAACTATGCTTCACTTTCATAAGCCTTCCAAATGTTAGTAACTTAGCCTTCTCCTTTTGAAGGGTTAGTCTGTAAGTGATACTGGAAGCCATGTGGTAAGAAAGAGGACAGAAGTATAAAATCAGACTCAGAAAGTAAAATCTGGCATATTTGGCATAGATCCATTCAGCTTCGTATACTTTGTTAGGACCCGAGGGCATGCCTGATTTTCATAAAATCGATGCACTGTTATTAAAACAAACAGGTGAAAATCACTTTTGTTAAACTACTTGACAAGGCATCTGACTACCTTAAGTGTGTTATAAATTTTGCAAGTGGTTAAAATTTTATGCTTATGAATTCAAAAGATAGACTTTAGTTAAATTAAAAACTAATTTATGTAGATATTTTCCCTAATAATATAGCACAAATGGGTTTTATTTCCAACTGAAAAGAGTATTTATTACCATGGATATAACTAGAAGAATCATATAAATATATGTAATTCCATTAGAAAATATTTTTCTTAAAATTTGAAATGACAAGAACTTAATGAATCTTAAATATCTCTTGTTTTATTTTGAAAAATTGTTTTCATAAGATACAATTGAGCAATTGAGATTTGTTCTCCCAGTATCTGAAGATTTTTTTGGTCTTGTTTTGTTTTTTGGGTTTTTGGCCCTAAAATTAGGTGAATTCAGCTTTGGGTCTATTTCATCCATTCTGGAAGGTTCCTTGGGTCACTGATCTGAGGCATTCTTGATGTGGTTAGGACTTCCCAGCATTATTTTTTTTAGATCCTGTTTATTTAAAATGAAAAGGATTAGCATGAGGGATGGTAACATTCCTTTTTGATATCTGTAGCAGCAAGTTTTCTTATGATTCATTATTCTTCTTCTTACAGCTTTAAATCATCTAGGAACTTCATATAAAATTTAATTCCAGTTTCAACTAGTTGTGGAGCATTTGATCCAAAATAAAATGAAAGTCCTCTCTGAAGCTGTAGAGGAGGCTCAAGAATCAGAACAACCTGAAGTTCTTTAAGCTGTCAGTTGAAAGACTAGGTAAAAAACAAATATCATTTAGTGTGATCATTAATGCACATGAGTCATTATTCCATGTGGTTGCTGTCGACTGGTCAGGGGCACTTCAAGCCCTAATCTGTACTTTGTCCTGTCTCTCTACACCCCGTTCTACTTTTTCAGCTTGCCTGTAATATGTGAATGGAAATAAAATAATCAAGCTTGTTAGAATTGTGTTCATAATGACACAAAAGACCTGAGAGAACGTAAGAACATATAGAACATCCAAAATAAGACATATTTTTGGTTGGTTTAAAACCTTTTTGTTTGTTTCATTTTCTTCTGTGCTTAATGTATAGTTACTATTATTTCATATCCTTTGACTTACAGGTTTGACTGCAATGCAGTGTGAATATCGCACATGGGACCATTTGTCATACTGTCAGATGGCAATACATAGATGGATAGAATTTTGCTGTTTGATCAAAGCTGTGCCATCGGAAACTTGTTTTCCCAAGTATGGGTACATTCTCCTCTTTTCCTGAGTGGAGAAACCTAGATCTGAGCAAAAAGCATGAATCAATACACCTTGGGAGGCAGGGTGTGAAATATTTGATGCCATTTCCTTTGCTTGTAAATTGTTCATTTCATTTGAATATAAATATAAAAGGACTTCTACCAAGAACATGAAACTAACATTTTGCCAAGCTAAATTTTAATGAATTTATTTGGACGTTTTTATAATCACTTAATATTTTCAGTTCATGTGCTAATATTAACTCTACTTACTGGAGAGAAAGAAATGGTATTCAATATGATAACTGCCTTGTTACTGCAGAAATGTAGAAGTTTGGCATTTTAAGTATCAAATATTTTAAGTCAAAAAATTACTAGTGTCCCACAGCACAGAGAGAGAATATATGTTTGCTTGTGTCCCTTTAATCTTTCCCCTGTAAAATTAAGCCTAGGGGCTTTACACTATTTTAAATTTTCAAAATTAGGTCATGTAAATGTTGTGTCAGATTTCCAATTCATAAGTAGTATACTTATGAATACTGAATAGTGAACATAGGGTACATTTATATCCTACTGATTGCTTAGCTGTGGACCAGAGGTAAACAGAGAATGAATGGTATTTTCACAGGTTAGTAAACTGTTTTTCTATGATCTCTTATATACAAGTGTGATTAACATTTTTTCCCCCTTCCTGAACTAATATAGGAACATATGGTCTAATAAGTGTGAGTTCATTTGGGGAGGGCAGGATAGAATGCTTGAAATTAGGACTGACCCAAAAAATGCCTTGGTCTCAGTATTTGTGGATTACGAGGAGGAAGGGCTGAAAAGGAACCTTAAAAGCATTAGAATGGTAGAGTACAGATTAGCAGCAACACTCAGGGCTCCATCATGAAGAGAGTGAGATGAGTTCCCATGATTAATGCAGCAGGGGCTCTAATTGAAAGCCCTCTACCTAGGAAATGATTTAAATCCTTTTATCCTAGCTGGATTGTGAACATTTTATTTACTTTGAGGAAGTTGTTTAACACTTTTTGTAGATTGCATCAATATTTAGAGTAATGTAAATACATTTTCCCTTTGGCTATTTTACAAGGACATGGAGGATTAATTAAATTTAAAAGAAAGTAGTGCAGTTAACTCCCAGGAGACAGAGGGAGATGTTTATCATTTTTCTCATCATTCATTCCTTATTCATTCATTTTACAAATGTTTGTTGAATAGTAATTATAATGAAGATACTATACCAGCTTCCTGAATTGGGAATACAAAGATGAAGGATGAGAGTGACTTCTGCCTTCATTATGTTATGTGTTCATATTTTCTTTTTAAAATTCTCATTATAATATGAGTAATTGTGCAGGGATTTAATATTGCTGGTCTCAGCAATAGTTGATCTTTGATTAACATCTCACTGACACATATTTTCACTGTGTATATTTATTTTTCCTTTCTAAATTTAGAACTACTCTTTATCTTCTACTGTAAGAGATATACAACATACTTTTGTTTTTTTCTATGTTGTAATCTGCAGTTTTTTTAACCAAGAATAAACACTAGTTCTAATAGCAAACAGAAATAAACTCCCTACACATTACCTTCTCCATTAAAATATGTTTTATGCCACATGCAGAATTTTAATATTATATAGTTATTTGTGAAAGTATAACTAAATAGAAATTTTAAGAAAGAATGCCTCTAATATTCATATCTTAGCACTAAAGAAGCATATATTATTCTGCAGATTGAATTAAAATGTTAGTTACCAAGATATGAACTTAGACATTTTCAGTAAGCATTTATAGGCTATTCTAGTGGAAAACTGTACACAATTTCCCATGAGGCTGGTGAAGGTTTCTTAGCTTAAGCGACTTTTTAGCTGGTTCTTGGATTTTATTAAATAATATTTGAATGAACAGTTTTGACTAACAGCCTGAAAATATTAATCTTTCCTCTCAGTCTGAGCAAGTGAAAGTAGATAAATTCATATTGTATGTCTGATTCTCTTTGGGTTTGAAAAGAAATAAAGACTCCACTTCTAAATTAGCATAGAAAAAAGGAGAATTTCTCTTGATTTATTTCTCAGTTTGGGTTTGTGCTTTTGAAAAAGGAAAATAATGATTCTGAAATCAGTAGGCTTTGTCTTTGCCAAAAAATGTGGACATGTTGATCTTAGGGGGGCTGATTATATAAAACAGTAGAAATGTAGTCTTAGATGAAAATCTGTAAAGATGTAAGAATGCTGAACTAACATGAAAATCAGGGGCTGGGAAAATGCTGGATTGAGAATAATGTGATAATGAAGGTTTTATATATATTCATATATTCTCTTCAACATACATAATGTCATAAAAAGGATAAAACGCCTAAGTCTAGTCTTGACAGAGCACCAGCTTAAATCACATGCGCCTATCAGAGAACTTATGACAATATTTAGGGCTAAACTGATGTTACTGGTGAACCAGTATCTGGAATGATTTCCATAACTCACTTAACTTGCACATTTATAATGTGGACTTTAAATAATAATTATCAGGATGGCTACTCTGAAGCCAGGAGCTTAGGAAGTGTCACAGATGGTATATATTTGTATTCCTGCCTCATGTCCCTTTCCCTGAAGTGGCGTGTGGAGTATGAGGGATTACGGTGTATTTGTAGGTGGTGTCCCTGAAAGGCTATCAGGGGACTTCTGGTTCTGCTTCAGTTCTGTTTTGTGAAGACGGTCAAGTGATTTAAGGTCTCTTGCTTCAGCCATCCCACTTAGAAAGCAGTTGCTTTATAGTCCTTTGGGTATATACCCAGTAATGGGATGGCTGGCTCAAATGGTATTTCTAGTTCTAGATCCCTGAGGAATCGCCACACTGACTTCCACAATGGTTGAACTAGTTTACAGTCCCACCAACAGTGTAAAAGTGTTCCTATTTCTCCACATCCTCTCCAGAACCTGTTGTTTCCTGACTTTTTAATGATTGCCATTCTAACCGGTGTGAGATGGTATCTCATTGTGGTTTTGATTTGCATTTCTCTGATGGCCAGTGATGATGAGCATTTTTTCATGTGTTTTTTGGCTGCATAAATGTCTTCTTTTGCGAAGTATATACCCAAAGGACTATAAATCATGCTGCTATAAAGACACATGCACACGTATGTTTATTGCGGCACTATTCACAATAGCAAAGACTTGGAACCAACCCAAATGTCCAACAATGATAGACTGGATTAAGAAAATGTGGCACATATACCCCGTGGAATACTATGCAGCCATAAAAAATGATGAGTTCATGTCCTTTGTAGGGACGTGGATGAAATTGGAAATCATTCTCAGTAAACTATCGCAAGAACAAAAAACCAAACACCACATATTCTCACTCATAGGTGGGAATTGAACAATGAGATCACATGGACACAGGAAGGGGAACATCACACTCTGGGGACGGTTGTGGGGTGGGGAGAGGGGGGAGGGATAGCATTGGGAGATATACCTAATGCTAGATGATGAGTTAGTGGGTGCAACGCACCAGCATGGCACATGTATACATATGTAACTAACCTGCACAATGTGCACATGTACCCTAAAACTTAAAGTATAATAATAAAAGAAAAAAAAGAAAAAATAAATAAACTTATTGATCATCTATGTGCTAGGCATATTCTCTGTTTGTATATATTGGAACATGAACCTTCCAGGTCCTTGAAAATGTGGTGGGTACTAAATGAAATGTTTCCAGTTGTGATTCTTTTTTTTTTGAGACGGAGTCTTGCTCTGTCACCAGACTGGAGTGCAGTGGCACAATCTTGGCTCACTGCAACCTCCACCTCCCTGGTTCAAGCGATTCTCCTGCCTCAGCCTCCCGAGTAGCTGGGACTACAGGCATGCGCCACCACGCCCAACCAATTTTTGTATTTTTAGTTGAGATGGGGTTTCACCATGTTGGCCAGGATGGTCTTAATCTCGTTATCCGCCCGCCTCGGCCTCCCAAAGTGCTAGGATTACAGGTGTGAGCCATGACTCCCAGGAGAAATAACTTTAAAAACTTAAAAACATTGGGCTGGGTATGGTGGCTCATGCCTGTAATCCCTGTAATCCCAGCACTTTGGGAGGCTGAGGCAGGCGGATCACCTGAGGTCAGGAGTTTGAGATCAGCCTGACCAACATAGTGAAACCCTGTCTCTACTAAAAATACAAAAATCAGCTGGGCGTGTTGGTGCATGCCTGTAATCCCAGCTACTCGGGAGGCTGAGGCAGGAAAATCGGTTGAACCCAGGAGGCAGAGGTTGCAGTGAGCCGAGATCTTGCCACTGTACTCCACCCTGGGCAACAGAGCGAGACTCCATCTCAAAACAAAAACAAAAACAGAAACAAAAAATTAAAAACATTATACAAATGTAAACTGCAATGATGACAAGAAAGAAGAATGTGGACTCCATATGAAATTCCCTCTTGGTATCTGCACTAGAACATCTCTACTTTTCTTAAGCCTCAAACTTTGCTCATCTCTTTGACCCTTAGTCTCTACAGAGGATCTGTTCTCCTACTCTCCAAAATTGTTCAAGGTCATCTGATGAGTGGCCTCAATTTATTTTCAGATGTGCATGTGCTTTACTTGGGGTTTTGTTTTGTTTTGGTTTTTAGTTCAGTTTTTTTTATTGGGGTTCAAATATGAGACAGTCTTGGGGAACCTAGTAGGGAAAATCTGAAAGCAAATACAGTGCCATACTGAGAATTGTACAATATGTGTGTGTGTGTGTATATATATATATATATAAAAGAAACAATACAGAAACTTCATTCTGCTATCACAAAGCCTTCAAAGAAATGACGATTGATGCCTTAGTGAGGTTCACTAGAAGGGAAAAAGTTGGCAGATGTTTCCCACAGAAGGAAAAGCATGAGCAAAATTCTGGAGACTTGCCATAGCTTCTTATGCTTCTGGAGGCAGTATGGCTTCAGGGTTTGGATGTCAGCAATCCCTGAAACCATGTTTCACAAGTCTCCAGATGCCAATTTTTTCATTAATAAAGTATAATAATTCATATCTCATGGGGCTGTTAAACAAGAACATAAAGTACTCAGCTGTATGGTAAGAGCTCAACAAAGCTTAGCCATCATTATTATTACTAGCCTGGCATGAATGAAGTTAAGGAATGGTGGTGGGTGATGAGTGTGGGAGAAATCAGAGGTTACATCATAAAAGGCTTTGATGGCCACATTAGGAGTATGGATCTTATCTCCTAAAGGTATTGCAAAGTTCTTAAATGGCTCTGCCATGGTGCGATTAAATTTATGTCTTGGAAAGATCACATTGGTCATGGTATGCACATGTGGTTTTTGCCTATTCAGTTAAAAGCTCCTTAAAGCTTTTTATACCACCACAGTCTTATGCACCTAAGAGGCTAAATTATTTGCCAATTTGTTGTGGTTGAATTATCTATTTCAGAACTACTCTGAATTATTAGGTTGAGATTGAATGAGAGGAGCAGGACTGGAAGTGGAGAGGACATTTAGAAAGTTTCCTCGGTGGCCGGGCGCGGTGGCTCACGCCTGTAATCCCAGCACTTTGGGAGGCCGAGGCGGATGGATCACGAGGTCAGGAGATCGAGACCATCCTGGCTAACACGGTGAAACCCCGTCTCTACTAAAAATACAAAAAATTAGCCGGGCGTAGTGGCGGGCGCCTGTAGTCCCAGCTACTTGGGAGGCTGAGGCAGGAGAATGGTGTGAACCCGGGAGGCGGAGCTTGCAGTGAGCCGAGATCCCGCCACTGCACTCCAGCCTGGGCGACAGAGCGAGACTCCGTCTCAAAAAAAAAAAAAAAAAAAAAAAAAAAGAAAGTTTCCTCGGTAATCCAGACAGTAGATGGTGGTGACCTCAATAATTGCCCAGTTACCTTCAGGACAAAGTCCAAGTTCCTTATAATGGTATACAAAGCTGGCACAATCAGACCCCTATTCTCAAAACAGCTTACCTCTCACTTGTCTTCTCACTTGCTCCAGTTATGTACAATTATTTAAAGTTCTTGAAATATTCCTTTCCCTGTGTCTTCCCTCCATAGTTTCTCCTTCTGCATAGAATATTTCCTTTCCCTATCCACTTTCTACCTATTTATTCTACCTCCTATTCATCCTTCAAAGCTCAGCTCAGATTTCGCTTCCTCTAGGAAACCTTCAATGGCATTATCTTAGTCTTTTTGGGCTGCTATAAAAAAACACCATAAACTGGGAGGCTTATAAACAACGGAAATGTATTTCTCACAGTTTTGGAGGCTGGGAAGTCCTAGATCAAGTCACTGACAGGTTCAATGTCTGGTGAAGGTTCACACTCTGGCTCATAACGGTGCATTCCCACTATATCCTCACATAGTAGAAGGGGCTAACTAGCTCTCTGGGGTCTCTTTTACAAGCGTATTAATCCCATTTATGAGGGCTCCATCTCCAATGTCTATGATTTAATCACCTCCTAATGGCTCCACCTCATAATACTTCTGGAGGCAGAAGTATTAACCTTAAGGGTTAAGATTTCAACATATAAACTGGTGGGGGAGGGAGGTGGGGATGGGACACAAACATTCAGACCACAGCAGACAACTTGCTCTTTTAATGTGGAATGGATGACCCTCCAATATTTCCCCAGAGCACCCCATGCTCTTCTATCAGGGAACTTATTAAAATCATGTAACATGTTTCTTGGTGACAAGAATTAGGTCTTTTGTTTCTGTAACACATGCCAGATACTTAGCCCGGTATCTGGCATGTGGCATGCCCAGTAAATGTTTGCTGAATAAGTGAATCCATGTCTCTTGCTTGCCGCTATTTGCCCACTGAATCCATGAAGTGAGTTTTCATAATGGATACCACTGAAAATTCAACCCTGAAAAGAATGTCTTCGGTTGTGGGACCATAAAGTCTTAGAAATAGTGAAGCTCCTACTGTCAGTCCTTGAAAGGGAACAGGACAGCTGCTGTATGCCTTGAGAATGGGCAAAAGACAAGCGACAAAAAGAGCACCGAAGGCACCTACTTGTCCTTCTGGGCCAGGGTCTCAGTGTATTGGTCGGGCTTGACCTGGTCTCCTCGTACATCTTCCCAGTTTTTGGTGACTCCCTTCAGTTTCTCTGAGAGCTCCAGGTTACACTCCTTCTCTGCTTCCACCAGAGCTGCCATCCGCGCAGCTTCATTCTTTGCTAGCCTGGATTCCTGGAAAAAGAACAAAAACTGAGAGGCTGCAAAATTTCTACCTAGATTAGGAGCCCTAAGACCCAGGAACATTGATGAATTTCAGAGGGAAAGTAGAGACGGAAAAGGTGAATGCCAGAAGGCAGAGCAGTAGGAAGAGGAGTGTTAATAAAAGAGAACCCCTACCTATGGACTTTGGGAACTCCTCACCTCCTGCAGAAGCTGGATCTTATTCTCCAAGAGCTCATAAACATGCTCCGTCTCCTGCTGTCGCTCCTCAAACTGGCGTCGGAGCTCAGCTTCATTCTGACTGTTGAGATTCTCCACATCACCCCTAAAACCACAGAGCATTAGCCAATCAGAGCCAGACATGCAGTTTAGCCAGTGGAACCATTAAAGTTGTTCTTTGATAAATCTCCAAACTGCTTGCTGCAGTGACTGAACTGGTTTATATTTCCACCAACAGCGTGTAAGCATTCCCATTTCTATGCAGCCTCACCGGCATCTGTTGTTTTTAGACGTTTTAATAGTAGCCATTCTGACTGGTGTGAGATGGTATCTCATTGTGGTTTTGATTTATATTTCTCTGATGATTAGTGATGTGGAGCAATTTTTCATATATTTGGTGGGCATTTGTATGTCTTCTTTTGAAAAGTGTTTGATCATGCCTTTTGCTCATTTTTTTAACGGGGTTATTTGTTTTTCATTGTTCAATTGTTAAATTCCTTATGGATTCTGGATATTAGACCCTTTTCAGATGCTAGTTGCAAATTTTTTTAGATTCTAGAGGTTGTCTGTTTACTCTGTTGATAGTTTCTTTTGCTGTGCAAAACTCTTTAGTTTAAATAAATCCGACTTGTCTCTTTTTGTTTTTGTTGCAATTGCTTTTGAGGACTTAGTCATAAATTCCTGAGGCCAATGTCCAGAATGGTGTTTCTTGGGTTTTCTTCTAGGATTCTTATAGTTTGAGGTCTTACATTTACATCTTTACTCCATCTTGAGTTAATTTTTATATGTGCTGAAAGGTAGGGGCCCAGTTTCATTCTTTTGCATATGGCTAGCCAGTTATCTATCCCACCACCATCGAATAGGGGAGTGCTTTCCCCACTGCTTATTTTTGTTGATTTTGTCGAAGATCAGATTGCTGTAGGTGTGTAGCTTTATTTTTGGGTTCTCTATTTGCTTCCATTGGTCTATGTGTCTTTTTTTTTTTCCAGCAACATGCTGTTTTGGCAACTGTAGCCTTGTAGTATAGTTTGAAGTTGGATAGTGTGATGCCTCTGGCTTTGATCTTGGTCATTTGATGAATGACATTGGTAGTTTGATAGGAATAGTGTTGAATCTGTAGATTACCTTCGGCAATATGGCCATTTTAATGATATTGATTCTTCCAATCCATGAGCATGGAATGTTTTTCCATTTGTTTGTGTCATCTATGATTTCTTTAAGCAGTGTTTCGTAGTTCTCCTTGTAGAGATCTTTCACCTCCTTGGTTAGATGTATTCCAAGGTATTTTTTTTTTTAGCGGATATTGTAAATGGGATTGCATTCTTGATTTGGCTCTCAGCTTGAATGTTATTGGTGTGTAGAAATGCTACTGATTTTTTTTTTTTTTTGAGACGGAGTCTGGCTCTGTCGCCCAGGCTGGAGTGCAGTGGCATGATCTCGGCTCACTGCAAGCTCCGCCTCCCGGGTTCACGCCATTCTCCTGCCTCAGCCTCCCAAGTAGCTGGGACTACAGGCGACTGCCACCACACCCGGCTAATTTTTTTTTTCTATTTTTAGAAGAGACGGGGTTCACCGTGTTAGCCAGGATGGTCTCGATCTCCTGACCTCATGATCCACCCACCTCGGCCTCCCAAAGTGCTGGGATTACAGGCGTGAGCCACCGTGCCTGGTGAAATGCTACTGATTTTTGTACATTAATTTTTGTATTCTGAAACTTTATTGAAGTCTGAAAATATTTTTAATAATTTTAGTAATACTTGTCATTTAACACTAAGCTTTTAAAAAACTGTAAATTATAAAAGTAACCATTTTAGCAATATAAATGTATATAAAGAAAAATATCAAGTCTTCTCCCTATCACGGACTGTGATCTCACTCTTCCTCAGTATACTATAAATATCACTCAGCAACTTTTCCCCCTTACTTTAATCAAGGAATTCCCACTAGGACAATAATATAGAGCTAACTCATTCTTCAATAACTGCATAATAGTCCACAGTGTAGTAATACCAAAATTTATTCAATCAATTGAGTCTTGCCTTGGTCCACAGCCTCTCACCTCATCTCTGCCCTCTTTGTGACCCTTGACATAATTAGGGATTTAGTTGGATCAGCAATCTAGTCAAGGAAGAATAAGCTGTACAGCTTCAGGGTTTCCCCTGAGCTACTTATCAATTTTCCCAACCTATTTATCATTACCCCTGGATCATGAACACTGCTTAAGTCTATTCGTTCTCTAAACCATTGCAGGACAGAGTATATATTAAAATAAATTTTTCCTATCTAATACAGGTTGTTCCCGAAAACGAAATTGCTAGAATAATACTTTTAATAGAATTATAGTAATAGAACAATACTTTTAAATGCCTGGGGATTCAATTATTTAAAGAAATTTGGTTGTAAACATTTTTAAAAACAATGCTTTTATCATAAAATTGGAATTTTATAAATTAGGTTTGCTTAAGGTGAGAGGGGACTCTGATGGTAAAGTTATACAGGGAACAATTAATTTTTATTGAGGTGAGGATGCAACAAGTAAGATTTGGGGAAACAGAAATAAGGAAATAAAAACATCCCAAGTGTGTCTGGTGCAGGTTAAGTGGCTTAGTGTGTGGTAAGGAGTATAGAAAATAGTTTGCAACTAGTTTGTGAAAATCCTGCTAAGACAACTAGATAGGCCGGCCACAGTGGCTCACACCTATAGTCCCAGCACTTTGGGAGGCCAAGGCAGGCAGATCACTTGAGGTCAGGCTTTCGAGACCAGCCTAACCAACATGGTGAAACCTCATCTCTGCTAAAAATACAAAAATTAGCTGGGCGTGGTGACATGCGCCTGTAATCCCAGCTACTTGGGAGGCTGAAACAGGAGAATCGCTTGAACCCAGGAGGTGGAGGTTGCAGTCAGCCAAGATCATGCTGCTGCACTCCAGCCTGGGTGACAGAGAGAGACTCTGTCTCAAAATAAAAAAAATTAAAAAAGTAAAAAACTGGATAATAATCAGTAGAAATCAAAGACTTATCAGGGAGCTTTAAGCAAAGCATTGGCATGATCGGGTCCATGTTGAAGAAGGAATTATGAAGAAGGTGGGTGGGTCAGGGGCAACTAACCAGAATAGGGAGGGGGACTGTCTAAGGACAAGAGGTACAGGGAGAAAGACTCAAAAGACATTTCAGAGACAGAAGCCACAGGCCTTGATGACTTGTGAGATTCAGATTAGACTGGAGGGAGGACCAAAGACTGCTGAAATTTCCAGCATGTCAGTGGGAATGCATTCTATTAACTAAAATAGGGGCAGGTTTGTAGGGGAACCTAAGGAGGTTTCTGCAAAATGTTAATTGAGGGATTACTTTATTTCAGCTTAAACGTTAGCATGCAAAGATGGATTAGTCCCTTCCCTGATGAAGTCCATAATACAGTATTAGGCAAGAAGAATGTTATTTAGTAAAGAAGTCTTTAGATCAGAGGTTGACAGAGAGACTGAAGGTAAAGTAGCTAAAGTGTGAAAAGTAGTATTGTGGGTACTAGAACAGTAGGGAGGATTTTACTTTACTATCGCCATATAATAACCACCAACACCTAGACTTCTAGAAGTCCAAGGCAACACACAATAGCAGCATATTTTCTACCATACTTGTGAAGGCATTTCATAACCCATGTTTCCATGCAGGGTGGTTGAAACACAAATACTAATTGGGAAAAGTAGAAACCTGGTTTAGATATTTGAGAGTTACTTAGAATTAAAGAATTTTAGAGCTGGAAGGCAGTTGGACTCAAGGCATTTTAGATCATATTACTAGTACGTTTTTAGTGACATACTGAGAAGAATGTTTGTTCCCCTCATAAGTAGGTACCTTTTGACCAAGGTTAGAACATAGATTCAGATCCAGTGAGATGAAAATGTCCTAATTTCTTCAAAAGAAGGGAATGATAGCCCTGTCTTTTCAGGATATCCTTTAAAGTTATTATTTTATGAACACTAAATAGCATTACCAGATTTAGCAAATAAAAATATAAGATATCTACTTCAATTTAAATTTCAGATAAACAACAAATAATTTGTTTCATTAGAAGTATATCCTTTGCAATATTTGAGACATAACTTAAACGCTAAAACATTGTTTGTTGTTTATCTGAAATTTAAATTGAATTGAGTACCCTGTATTTTATTCTGCAATACAAATACCAAAAGATTAACAAATGGAAACACGCATATTTCAATTTTGTATGAAGAACAAGTCTAAGATCTCTATATCAGTTCCATGGCCTGGCACTGCAAGAATAATTCATCTGTACCAATTGATGAATCAGTAAAATAGAAGATTTGCTAAACAGTTGCTATGTCCCCAGCTTTGTGGTCAATACTTAAAGGAATTCAAATGTCTTCATAAAAAATGGTCCCTAAGCTACTGGCCCTTCATAGAGGTGAAGGAATATGCATTCAATTATGTGGGAAATGCAAAGAGGGAGCAATTTCCTAATCTGTAATAGGCAGATAATTGTATTTTCCTCATTCATAAACCTACTGAGAGGATCGTGAGGCATAAATAAATCAATACATGTAAAGGACTTAGGACAGTGTTTCTAACACAGGTATAACTATAATTTTAATTATAATAATATTATTATCACCATCATCATCAAGAACAACAGCATTATCATTTGGAACAGCAGTTTGCTTTCCATGAGACCATAATGTTTCAAGTGGATTCAGTGTTCAGGATATGGTGCTGAGAAAGAGGACTCCTAAGTTTATTATTATTTCTGCCACCAATTGATTCACTTCTGTGACCTTGGGTAAAATTCTGCTAAGGCTTCTCCACCTGGAAAATGACAAAGACTGGGCAAAAAGCTATTTAAATCTCATATGAAAGAAAATGGAATCTATAATTATGAAGTGTTATTATCAATGATATTCCTATGCCTGGCTAATTTATATAAATCAGAAAAGTCTGGATATGCTAAACCACCTCAGATAAGCCAAAACTGCTTGAGCAGATTTTTTAAAAATCTCATATCTAAAAATACGTGAGGTCTCAAATGACTGGAGCTATATGGATGTCCTCTGCCTAGTTCTTAGTCTCATGATGTGACATAGGGAATCTCTATCAGGTATAAACTGATCAACAGAAAGTTCCCTGAAAAGTCCCTTACTATTAATACTATTTTTGCATGAGGAATCTTTGAATATTCAAATAAAAATAAACAAACAACAGGGAAAGTGAGAGGCACTATGAAACCAACCTAAAGCCAGAAAGAATTAGGTTCAAATCCTGGCTCTATCACTTTCCTGCTAGGTGACCTTGGGCAGGTTAACTAATCACTATGAGCCTCAGTTTTCTTATAAGTATAGTGTGGTTGCTTTGCTTTTTAATGAAGATAAGTATTCACGAGGGATTCTGTGAGGATTGAATGAGACAATGTGCATGATAAGCATAGAACAATGCCTTGCACACAGCTGTGCAACAACCTTGATTCACTTTCCCTTCATGTCCAGGCTAACTAGTGCCAGTCAGAGACCTCAGCCTTACCAGGAAAAATACTTAGATCTAAAAGGAAGAAAAACAGAGGACATAAATTAGTACGTTCTATCTGTTCTAAATCCTACTGAAGAAAATGAAGTCAATGCTTTGACCAATTTGCCCAAAGATTCACAGATTTGAAGACCTCAGCATTTCTGTGTTCTAGTTCTCTTAGTTTAAAGACAAGGAAATTGAAATCCAGAAGGGTTACCTCCAAGGTAAAAGCCGTAACTGAAACCAACACTCCACTCTTGCTTTAGCCTTTTATCAGAGAGACCAGCTTAGCAAACACTGCCCAGTTTTGTCTGATTTTGTAGAATGTGGTAAATTATAGAATTAGAGAATGTGCTGCATTTAGTCTTGAAAGAATATATGGAGGCAGTAAGTATAGTGGTCAAGAGCATAGGCTCTGAAGGCGAGAAGGGGGCTTGACAAGTCACCTGCCCTCTCTAAGAGCCTCATTCACCTCATCTATCAAGGAGATAACAATGATACCAATCTACAAAGGATGTTAGGGAGACTAAATGAAATTATGCACAAAAATCACATCGCACAGTGCCTGGCATGCAGTCAGTATTCAGAAAATGATAACTATTATTAACTATAAAAACAATAACAATTTACCCTCTCTAACTAGGATGGCTGAAATCCAGAAGGGTTTTCAAGGTAAAAGCAATAATCTTACATCAAAGTCTAACCTTCTTGCACCTTCTTTCTGTAGAAAAATCATCATATAGCTTATCACATTTATTCATTCTCCATTACTAAATATTCATGTGTAAATTGTTAAATTCTTTTATAGCATCAGTAGATTCCAAATTAACTGCATTTGCTTATTTTATCACCAAGTCTTCTTGGCTCTTTGTCAAGATATCTAAGGAAATTTATGTACTCAAGAAAGGGGAGATGGGAAGAAAGCACTTCTCTTTCTTCATGCCTCCAAAGGAGTGTTCGCCCATCTAACTCAAGAAAAAGTTTCAATGATGAAGCTGAAATTAAACTTCTATTAGGTATTTCTTCCTTCTCCCCAGGACTGGAGTACATGAATAGTCTCATATCTGGTTTCCCCAACCTCAGTCCCTCTACTACTTAAATTTTCCCTAAAGCATAGCTCTGGTTATTTCATTCCGTCTGTCCAAAAAGCATTTAATATGTGATGCAGGTCCAGCTAAAGAAGAAAAAGGAAAGAAAGAAAAAACCTTTTAACGATTTTTAACTGTACAGCGATTAAATTATACACAACTGGCCTGATAATAGAGTCTATTCAAAATTTGACCTCAATCTACCTATCCAGCTTTATCTTCCATTATTATCTGCTAGCCTAACTGGATTTCCCAAACATGCCCTATGCTTCTTGGTGCCACATCATTGTGTGCCCTTCAGCTTCATGGTTAAATGCTACGTCCCCTGTGAAGCCTTACTTTATCTCTCCAAATTAAAAGTAATTTCTCATGATGACATTATGAGCTTTCAAATATTCTTTTCATACTGCAACATTGGCATCCTGTGTAAATGCTTCATATTTCTACACCTGTCTTATTTACCCTTTTAAATTGCAAACTCCCTAAGGACAGAGGAAATGATGGTGTGGCAGAACTACCCAGGTGCGCTGGTTATTAAGATACTGCCTCTCAGCGTTGTCATGCTGGGGCAGGAATTTCAGGATAAGTAAACCTAGGTTCACATACCTTTCTGCCACTTCCTAACTGGGGGACCTTTTTTGTGTAAATTACTTCAACTTTTACAACCTAATTTCCTCATTTATAAAATAGGGGTTGCAAAAATTACCTCAAAGTTTGTAGTGAGGAATAAATGAATTTATGTAAAGTACCCAGCACAATGTCTGATACAAATAACCGCAGCTCGGGCGCGGTGGCTCACGCCTGTAATCCCAGCACTTCGGGAGGCCGAGGCGGGCGGATCACGAGGTCGGGAGATCGAGACCATCCTGCTTAACACGGTGAAACCCCGTCTCTACTAAAAATACAAAAAAAATTAGCCGAGCGTGGTGGCAGGTGCCTGTAGTTCCAGCTACTCGGAGGCTGAGGCAGGAGAATGGCGTGAACCCGGAGGCGGAGCTTGCAGTGAGCCGAGATCGCGCCACTGCACTCCAGCCTGGGCGACAGAGTAAGACTCCGTCTCAAAAACAACAACAACAAAAACAAATAACCGACAGCTGTGACTAATCTGAGGTCCTCGCAGTGTCTCTCACCTCTTGGTGCAGTAAAAGCATTGAAAGAGTGAACCAACAAGAGAACAAAGAAGGAATAGATGACAAGAGGCGGAAGTGGACTAACAATGATATGTTTGTTGAATGAGTGAGAAGGTAATAGATAATGCTGTGAGATTATGTGGAAAACTTTTTATCTGAAGTCTTTAAAAGACATTCTCACTTTTGGCTGGGCGCGGGGGCTCACACCTGTAATTCCAGCACTTTGGGAGGCTGAGGTGGGCGGATCACTTGAGGTCAGGAGTTCCAGACCAGCCTGGACAAACTGGTGAAACGCTGTCTCTACTAAAAATACAAAAATTAGCCAGGCGTGGTGGTGGGTGCCTGTAATCCCAGCTACTCGGGAGGCTAAGGCAGGATAATCGCTTGAACCCAGGAGGCAGAGGTTGCAGTGGGCCGAGATTGTGCCACTGTACTCCAGCCGGGGTGACAGAGCGAAACTCCATCTCGAAAAAATAAAAAATGTACTCCAGCTGGGGTGACAGAGAGAAACTCCACCTCAAAAAAATAAAAAATAAGGGCTGGGCACGGTGGCTCACGCCTGTAATCTCAGCACTTTAGGAGGCTGAGGCAGGCGGATCACAAGGTCAGGAAATGAGACCATCCTGGCTAACACGGTGAAACCCCGTCTCTACTAAAAATACAAAAAATTAGCCGGGTGTGGTGGCGGGCACCTGTAGTCCCAGCTACTCGGGAGGCTGAGGCAGGAGAACGGTGTGAACCCAGGAGTCGGAGCTTGCAATGCGCTGAGATCGCGCCACTGCACTCCAGCCCGGGTGACAGAGCGAGACTCCATCTCAAATAAGTAGATAAATAAAGACTTTCTCAGGTTTTTGTTTTGTTTTTGTTTTTTTGACAGTCTTGCTCTGTCGCCCAGGCTGGAGTACAGTGGCGCAATCTCGGCTCACTGCAAGCTCTGCCTCCTGGGTTCATGCCATTCTCCTGCCTCAGTCTCCGAGTAGCTGGGACTACAGGCGCCTGCCACCACGCCCGGATAATTTTTTTGTATTTTTTGTAGAGACAGGGTTTCACCGTGTTAGGCAGGATGGTCTCGATCTCCTGACCTCGTGATCCGCCCGCCTCGGCCTCCCAAAGTGTTGGGATTACAGGCGTGAGCCACCGCGCCTGGCTGACTTTTTCAGTTTTAAGCTAAGAATATTCTCTAATAGGTATATTATTGACCCATTGACAATAGAAGATTGAATACACTTTAGGATTCCAGCCTCCTCTTCTACTGCTCATGCTCTCCGTAAGAAAGGCTAAACATCCTACTCCTGTGCACTACATTGGAGCTCAGAAATACTGACTTAAAATCTCCAGATCTTAACACGGACTTTTAAAGGGAAGATTGAGTATGGACCCAGTATTAGATGGTATTATGGAATTATTTTTAAGCTTTTTGGGTACAATAATAGTATTGTGGTTATGTTTAAAAACAAAGCCTTCTCTGTGAGAGTTATATTCTGATATCTTCCCAAATAAAATTATATGATGTCAGAGAGTTGCTGTAAGGGGTGGAAGAGGACAAGATGGAGAACGAACAGTGCAGGGAGATCACTGAAAAGAACAGCAAAATGTTGGGAACCGTTAAAGCTGAGTGATGGGAACATGGCTCCCTGGTAAATGGGACACATACATCGGGAGGTACTATTTTCGTAGTCTTTGTTTATATTTGAAAATTTTCAAACTTACATAATGAGAAGTCAAAAGGGGCATTTTCATCCCAAAAAGGCAAATGTCCATATTCTTTTTTATTTTTTCATTTTCATTTCTGGAATTACCTAAACTCAGGTTATAGATAGCAATGAAAATTCGGCTCCCTGTGGCAGCTTCTTTCAGCCACCAGACTTACATAGACTCAGTGGTGCAGAGTCCGTTTCCCAATACTGAGGGATAAAGAAAATTAAACCTGCCTCTAGGCACGTCTCAAACTTGGGAGACTCAGAATACAACAGAGTATGGGATATAGGGAGGAAAGAAGAGATGCAGAAATAAATTAAAAACAAGATTTGTTTAAAGAGGAACTGCAACTTCTTTAATTGGGCAGATTGAACCAATAAAAGCACAGTTCTCTCCCTTCACCTCTTATCCTTTAGTCTCTTCAACTTTCACATTGCTTCACTCACTCTCTTCCTCTCCCTTTCACCTGCTCACCTTAGCCAACTTGAACTGTGCCCTCTGATCTGACACAGGATGACAATGACATCAGTCATTACCCAGCAGCCATTTTTTCTGATAACTAGAGTTCTGAGTGATGATAGTTCATGGTGAGATAATTTCCAAGACCTCGCTAGCCATTGGTGGTACTACTCTCCATTAAAGACAAGGGCATTTGCTGATTGAGAAATCAATCATACAAGTGTCCTTGGAGGCCACCAAGGCTTTGCCTGAACTGTTCTCAGCCTATGATGGTTTCTCTTTCTAAACCTGTTCTTCTAGGTTCAGCTCAAACATCCTCTCCTATAGAAACCTTTCCCCAACCTCCCAGTCAGAACTAATAATTTCTTTTCACTTCAACTGTACTTAGTTTATAATTTATATGACTATAATTTAATAACTGAGACTCTTCTGATAGTACAAACAGGTGCTATCATAATTACCTCTGGGCAACAGGCAAAAATCAAGATTGTCCTTAGTAAACCAGGATTCATACCAGGTCATCTGATGTTTACCTCTAGTATAGCACTCACCCGACTCTGCCTTACATTGCTTATTTAAAATGTCTGCCTCCCCTTCTAGGTTTTATAAAAGTTCTTGGCTCACAGTAACTCTTAGTATAAGTTTCTGAAATAAACACTTTGTTATCACTTTTGAATTGATGGCTTACATTTTTGTTTTGGCATTTAACTTCACATTTGTGCATTCATGTGTATGCATTTCAACTCATCTGCAAGCTTATATCCCTCAAAGTTTGCTGCTGGGCTAAGAGCAGCCACTCAAAAAATAATAATAGGCCAGGCGCAGTGGCTCACGCCTGTAATCCCAGCGCTTTGGGAAGCTGAGGCTGGTGGATCACTTGAGGTCAGGAGTTCAAGACCAGCCTGGCCAACATGATGAAACCTCATCTCTACTAAAAATACATAAATTAGCCGGGCGTGGTGGTGGGAGCCCAGCTACTCAGGGCTCCTCAGCTACTCAGCTATTCAGCTACTCAGGAGGCTGAGGCAGGAGAATTGCTTGAACCCAGGAGGCGGAGGTTTCGGTGAGCGAAGATTGCGCCACTGCACTCCAGCCTGGGCAAGAGTGAGATTCCGTCTCAAAAAAATAAATAAATAAATAAAAACAAAAAAGAAATAAATAGTTTTTAAAAAATCTTGACAGCATACCAGCATACATTCATTGATAAAGTCGACAAGAAAGTATTGGAGATTAAAGATTGCCAAAACCTAAGTGCTTTTCTTGGCATCATTGTCCTTGACCTCAAGGAGTTCTCAGTGTAATCAGAGTTGTGTTAAGGTCAGTGAGTGAAGGAAATGGGTACTGCACCTTTGCAAGATAGTAGGAAGCAAGCCCGAGAAGAGCTGGCATTCCACAAAAGAGTCTTTATTTGGGACAAAAATCAATATGACCAAATCCCATCCTAATCAATTCTGTAAACTAAAGGAATTTTTAAAAAATAATTTAGCAGGAGGAAGAGTTTCAAAATCTTGTAGGGAAACCCTGATGTAACTCCTGATTATTCACCCAAAGTGAAAAGTAACTATTAGTGAATGGGTTTTATTTTAAAACGTTTCATTTTTAGAATCTTATCTCTTCTAGGAAAAGTGTAGTACATACATCTTTTTTGTATGCAGAGTGAATTTCTTCTCCAGGCTTCTCTGACATCAATGGGGCAAGGTCATAACTCTATAAAACAGGGAGAAGCACTGAGCATTTTCAGAAAGGACTCTATCTGTCTTGACCAAAAGACAAAGGACTGGTCATTGCAGGATCCCCAGAAATACATTTTAGTAGCTTCCAAGTGAATTCTTTTGTAAATGGAGTTTCACTCCATTCATAAGTTTTAGAGCAAAAATGAAGCCTTAGTGGGTCTAGATATCTGGCTAACATTAACTCCCTGTGTGACCTTAAACTGGTCGTCCCCAGAGCTTTATGCTTTTATACAATTAACTTGAATTACAGCCTCTCCTTCTTGCCCATAAGAATGATAATACCACCTGCATTACTCATCTTTTACGCTTATGTGAGACACCTAGCCACCTATCAGAAGGTATTCAAATGCAAAGCATTAAGTTTTTACACTTTAATGTGAAGTGGAAGAAAGTCTTGATTCAAATGCACAATCTCTACCTTTCTACTGATTCCACATTTGCTGTCTTTTACTAGTGCAGTTAAGTCCCAAATTAGAAACATAAGTCGCCCCAACATGTGACAAATGTCCTTTGTTGCCAGAGAAAGGACAGTGGGGCTGTGTCCTCAGCCTTAGCAACCAGAAGATTCTGCAAGACCAGGACATTCTCCTGCCAGAGCCTGCTTTAGTGTCCAGTCCTGTTCTCCAAAGAGATGGAAAAAACCAAGTGGAAAAGTTTCAGTTTATTCAATATAAGGCTCCACATTCAAATGGCAAAACTGCTCTGTTCAGGTCATATTTCAAGCCCAACCTATGTCAGTCCTTAGTAAAAGCTTCAAAGCAATACCAGTCCTTTCCCAGCCTGGTTTACCTTGATTAGACAAACACAGACACCCATGTCTGAGTAAGCACTGAGACCATGGATGAGTGCTAAGGAGATTAGGTGTTTGGATAGACACAGCTAGGGTGTGTGTATGTGTGTGTGTGTGTGTGTGTGTGTGTGTGTGTGTGTGTGTAGAGAGAGAGAGAGAGACAGAGGCAAAGACAGAGACAGTGCTCATTGGGCAGAGGACAGAGTAGCTGAGATAGTATCATTTGTTTATTCATTTGCTTTTTCATAAAATACTTAGTAAGCACCTACTTGGTATGTGCCGACACTTTAATAGGTACTAGAAAGAGCAAGACAGACAGAATCACAGTCTTCAGAGAATTTACAGCCTATGGGGTTAATTAAACCAATGATTATCATAGCATGTAACAAACAAAAGAGAACCCAGAATCAGCTGTATGGAAATGCACACAGGTGGCAGATATAAATAGCAGCAGATACACGAATCAGTGCGGGTGCATCATATAACTCCTAGCTTTAGTCTCTAAACTTAGGCTCCCACTCAACTCAACTCCTACTCTAACTCAAGATATACCATACCTTGGTTTGCTCTTTCTCTAAGCATCACTGTTCTAGTCTTCTAAGGAACAGGAATATAAATCTACATCTATGTGAAACTACAGCACCCCCAAGGGAAAATAAAGAATCCAGTGCTATTCTAGTAATTTTAGGGTATAGTACAGTACAATGCAAAGTATAGGCTTTTGAACTAAATTGGCCTGGGTTCAAATATGAGCCCTCTTAACATTCTATTAGGTTGAACCATATAAAAATGGAGACATTCAATCATTTTTTTACAGTTTCACGTAGTTCATCTCTGTATTCTAGAGGTAAATCATTTTAACCTAAGTTTCATTTCCTTCTGTTGTTAGTTTTTTTAATGGTGCTAATACCCCTACCTTTCAGGGTTGTAAATGAAAAGATGTTAAAAAAAAAAATACCTGACATATAGTGGGTGTTCAATAAATGTTAGTTTTCCCAAAGACAGTCAGATGCATGAATCATAATAAGAGGTATTTCTGGTCAACACTAAGCTTAAGAATCCAAGAAAAGATATATCAAAATGAGACATCTTTGGGTTTGGATAGTGGGGGAGGCTGTATATACACAGGTATGTATGTAGGGGCAGGGAGTAAATGGGAAATCTCTGGCTCTTCTGCTTAACTTTGCCGTGAGCTTAAAACTGCTCTAAAAAACAAAATCTGACCAGGCCTGGTGGCTCACACTTGTAATCCTAGCACTTTGGGGGGCTGAAGCAGAAGGATCCCTCGAGCCCAGGAGTTTGAGACCAGCCCGGGCAACATAGAAAGACCCTATCTCATTTTAAAAAACTAAAAAATAAAAAATAAAATAAAAAACAAAATCCATTTTTTTAAACAAAAAGAAAAATGAGGGAAAATGAGGTGTTCTGCTTGTTTTATTTAGACTCTGAGCACAGAGTTCCCAAGATACATTCTGCTGTGGTATTCACACTGATCTCCAATTAAACCCTTCTCAGTGTGTCATGAGCTATTCATTCCCTATAGTCACTCTGTTAGAATCTTGGTCGTGTCCCAGAGGCCTCTGTTGATGTGGCCCAACTGAGCTGGCAAGTGAGAAAACATACACATAAATACCCATGATCTCAGCGATTCTCTCCCCTCCCCAGGACATTCCTTAGCAGAACCAATCTCTCTCACTCGGCTGGAGCCTCTCTGTTCACAGATAGGCCTGGCTGGGCTTAATTTAGCAAAGGGCAGGCCCCCTGCAAAAGCCAGGGGTAAGTCTGGAGCCCCTGTAATGCCCCAGGACACCTTGTGTGGAGACAGGAGCCCAGCCCTGCCGAAGGAGCTAAAGGGGATGTTCAGAATGTTTGTTTTTCTCAGCTATTTAGGAACTGGAGCTCACGGGAACCACCCTTTACTTCCTTAACTTCTCACATAAATGTTTTCTTTGGGCAGCAGCTATAGAACTGGAAACTAAGTAAAACCTTACTTTGGAATATAAAAACTATATTAATTTTTCTACAGATAAATTGTTGCATAGGAAACTTGCTAAATATTTTTAAATTATCTGTAACACCTAACATAATCTGACATTTATCCCCAAATTCAGCTTTCAATTCTGGATTGAAACATACTTTGATCTGTTCTCTAAAAAGGACAAAGCCAGTCACTGGTGTTTTGCAAAGTCTGGGACCATTTTTCCTACACAGAATCTCACACAATAAACAGACAAGATATTAGAAACTAAGTTCTAATATCTAGCAGTCACTCCTTCCCTGGAAGCCTGGCTGTGTCCTGAAGCCAGGTCCTATGATCAGGCAACTCTTCTGAAGCTCTGCTTCCACTAGGGACAGCACTTACCCTGTAGACTCTACAGATGTACCATCCAGGATGGCAGGCATGAGCCACATGTGGCTACTGAACCCTTGAGATGTGACTAGTCCAAATCGAAATGTGCTGTAAGGATTTCAGACTTAGCACGCACAGGAGTTCAAAGACTAACTACAACAAAAGAATGTGACATCTCATTAATAATTGTAAAATGTTGATTTCATGTTGAAATGATAATGTTTTAAATGTATTATTAACATTAATTTCACATATTTCTTTTTACTTTTTTTAATGTGGCCATGAGAAAAATTTAAATTACATGTATGGCTTATATTTACGTTGGACAGCACTGTTCTATAAGATGTTAGGAAAAAGATGTATTTGCTTTAAGTACTTTGCATTAAGACATAGTCTGACCTGAATCACAGTTAATCCTGTGGTCTCATAGCATCTTGGAGAGTTTTGTGGGGTGCTGGCATCCATCAACCAACAAAATACCAAAATGACTCTAGGTAATTATAAGTGAAGCAAAACCACTGGGCAGGGATGATAACAGGCACTGTACTTAACAGGAGTCAGCGTATCACAATGCTGCTCGGACTATGTTCAGACACTAAACTCTAAGTGTCATGAGGGCAGGGACTCCCTCTATCTTCTCACCATTGTAGCATTGCTAGCACAATGCCCACACACAGAAGATAATGATATATTTATCAAACAAATGGATGCTGTTCAAAATAAAAATATAGCTCTCTTGAAAAACAATTCTCCCTGCAAGAACTTCCTCTTCTTACTGTTTCTTTTCTCAATTTTTTTGCTTCCTACTTCCACCAACCCCTCTTGCAGAGACTGCTCCATTCCAGTAAAAGGTGAAGGTTCAACTGGAGACCTCCAAAGTCGGCTGGGCCTAGGGTTTGGGTAGGCAATTGCTGGAAGAGCACAGAGAGGGAAAGATTTCAGGCAGTGGTGATAAGAAAAGGCCCACCTGGGTCAGGTGTGGTGGCTCACGCCTGTAATCCCAGCACTTTGGGAGGCCGAGGTGGGCGGATCATGAGGTCAGGAGTTCGAGACCAGCTTGGTCAACATGGTGAAACCCCGTCTCTACTAAAGATACAAAAAAATTAGCCAGGTGTGGTGGTGTGTGCCTGTAATCCCAGCTACTTGGGAGGCTGAGGCAGGAGAATCGCTTGAACCCAGGAGGCAGAGGTTGTAGTGAGCTGAGATTGCACCACTGCACTCCAGCCTGGGCAACAGGGACATACTCCGTCTCAAACAAACAAACAAACAAAAAAACCAGAAGAAAGCACTGGCAGTCTCTTACCGCCATATCAATCCATCTACACATCTCGGGTTACATTCTCTGTCTTTCCACTTATAACCATAGATCAACTATCCATGCTCCTATCTAAAGCCAAACCTTCCACTTATGTATTAATTAAGTCCTATTCCCCCTACCTCTCAAAGGCAACACCTAGAAGGTCTCCCCTGCTTCTCTTTATCAATATTTCACTTTCTAATGGAAAATTCTGTTGGCATACGAACATGCTATTATTCATTTATCTTTCTAGAAATCCCCTATGGACCTCATACCCTTATCAGGTATGCCCCATTCCTTTGCTCTCCTTTGAAACAAAACTCAAAGTAATTATTCATCCTCATTGACTCCAATTCTTCTCCTCACATTGTTTCTTAAACCCACTGCAAGCAGGCTTTTGTCTTCACCACTCCACCAGAATTACTTTAATCAAGATCACTAATGACATCCATGTTGTTAAATCCAAAGGTCAATTCTTTTTTGAGACAGAGTCTTGCTCTGTTGCCCAGGCTGGAGTGCAGTGGTGCAATCTCGGCTCACTGCAACCTCCGCCTCCTGGGTTCAAGTGATTCTCTTGCCTCAGCCTCCTGAGTAGCTGGGATTACAGGCATGCGCCACCATGTCCAGCTAATTTTCGTATTTTCAGTAGAGACCAGGTTTCACCATGTTGGTCAGGCTGGTCTCAAACTCCCGACCTCAAGTGATTGGCCCACCTTGGCCTCCCAAAGTGCTGGGATTACAGGCGTGAGCCACCACGTCTGGCGGGCCAAAGGTCAATTCTTAATCATCGTATTACTCAAGCTCTCAGCAGGATTTCAAAAGGTGGATCCTGTCCTCTTCACTACACACATTCTTCATTTGGCTTCCGGGACTCCAGACTTTTTCTCCTACTTCACTGGTTTGTACCTTCTCTATCTTCCTTTTCTGATTCTTCCTCTTTTCTCCAAATTACTAATGTTGGAGCTATACAGGACCAGTCTCTGGTCCTTTTCTCTTCCACCTGGAAAGGTCTAACTCCAACTCCTTTGGTGATCTCCTATGGTTTCATGGCTTTAAATATTTAAATTTAATATTTAATGATCTATTTGCTGATAACTCCCAAATTTATGTCTCTAGCCCTACTCTATTTCCTGAACTTTAGACTTATGTATTCAACTGCTTACTTAATGCTGCCACATAAAATGTCTAGCAAATAGCTTACACACCAAATTTCCAAAACTGAACCCCTACTCTCCACCTTCAAATCTGCTCCATCCATAGCCTTCCCTATCTCAGTTATGGCAACTCCATCCTTCCAGTTGCTTACTCCAAAAACCCTGGAATTTTCCTTGATTCCTTTATTTCTCTCCCATTCTGTATCCAATCCATTGACAAAATCCTTTTAGATTTGCTACCTTCACCACTTGTTCCCACATGCATCACTATTACCTAAGTCTGATCACTATCAGCCCCTACATACATTACTGCAGTGTCTTCCTAAGAGTCCTCCTGGTGTCTACTTTTGTTCTACAGCCTATTTGCAATACTGTAACCAGATTTATCATTTCAACAAGTCAGACAGGACTGGCATTTGTTAGACCCCTCCTCTGCTCAAAACCCTTCAATAGGTTCCCATGTCACTCTGAGTAAAAGCTGAAGTCTTTAAAATCATCTACAGGGACTTACTACACAAGCCCCATACCCTCTGGGGCCTCATCTTCCAGCATGCTTAATCTTGATTATGCTGCATCAGCCACAGTGGCTTTCCTGATGTTTCTCTGCCTGGAATATTCTTCCCCCAGTTCTCTGTTTGACCAACTTCGTCATCTCCTTCAAGTTGCTATTTGAAAATTATTTTCTATGGCATAGCCACTTTGAAAAATAGTTAGACAGTATCTATTCAGAAAATAGGCAGAAATACCGACTGGGCATCCCTAATCTAAAAATTCAAAATCCAGCATGTTCCAAAATCCAAAACTTTTTGAGGACCAACATGATACCTCAGGTGGAAAGCTCCATACCTGACCTCATGAAAGGTTGCAGCAAAAATGCAGGCACAACACCCAGTTTATTCAGCATCCCCAAGAGAAAAACATAATTACCTTCAGGCTATGTGTACAAGGTGTATATGAAACATAAATAAATTTCATGTTTAGACTTGGGTCCCATCCCCAAGATATCTCATTATGTATATGCAAATATTTCAAAATCTGAACACATCTGAAAATCTTCTGGTTCAAGCATTTCAGATAAGAGATATTTAATCTATATATACTTATTATATAACCTAACAGTTCCACTACTGGGCATTTACCCAAAAGAAATAAAACAAAGACTTGTTACATGAATATTCATAGCAGCTTAATCCATAATAGCCTGTTACTGAACACAACTCATACATTCATCAACAAATGAATGAATAAACAAATTGTATTATATTCATACAATGGAATACTACTCAGCAATAAAAATGAATGTACTACTGATACAAATAGCATGGATGAAACTCAAAATCATTATTCTAAGAGCCAGATACTATAGTCTGTATTTTATGATTCACTTTCAATGAAATTCTACAATAGACAGAACTATCTATCAACAGAAAGCAGATCAGTGGTTTTCTGCAGCCAGAGGTATGAAAGGTTTGAAACATGTGGCACCAGTAGGACATATGGAAACTTTTTTGGTGTGATGGAAGTATTTTTTTATCTTGATTGTGTGGTGTTTGTTATACAGTGGTATACATTTGTTAAAATTTATCTAACTGCATACTTAATAAAGTTTATTTAAACAAAACATGAAAGGAAAAACTAAAATGACATAGCAAGTGGCAATGCAAACTGCCAAGTGCAAAGAATGAGTAAAGAGCTTGGTTGGCATGGAGACTACCAGTCTAGGATGCTTTCATTGCCTCAGGTCAGCTTGGAAGGCCATAAAGGCTGTGAAGGTAAACCTAGAAACAAATCTTCCTGCACTGGTAACTGTCATGTTTATTTGCTTCTCTTTCCATCCCATCCTTTCAAAAAAAAAAAAGTAAAAGGTAGTGTGGTCCACAAACTACAGTGTGGCTCCCCATGATCCCCGCCTCTTGGTGTTTGTGCCCTTGTGTAACTCCTTCTCTTTGGGTATGAGCAGGCCCTGCGACTTACTTCTAACCAATAGAATATGGCAAAGGTGAAAGAATGTCACTCCTGTGATTATATTAAATTTCAAGGCTCTCTTGCTTGCAGATTTGCTCTAGAGCCTCTCCTTGCTGACTTGAAGTGGCCATATGGGGAAAGCTCACATGGCAAGGAACACTAGGTGACTTCAAGGAACCCTGGACAGCCTCTAGCCAACCTCTGGCAAGAAGTCAAGGCCCTCAGTCCTACTGCTACAAAGAAATGGATTCTGTTGACAGCCCAAGTGAGCTCTGAGTCAGATTCCTCAGTCAAGCCTCTAGAGGAGAATGCAGCCTGGCCAATACCTTGGCTGTAGCCTAGGGAGACCCTAAGCAGACAACCCAGCTAAGCGGTGCCTGGATTCCTGACCCACACACACTGTGAGATAATAAATGTGTTGGGGGGTGAAGGAGGGATAGGGGTAGGGGTGGCTGTGCATTTGGGTATGGAAGGGTGTTTTAAATCACTTTCTAAACACGGCCTCTCCTGGCCACTCCTTAATACTGCAACCTGCTCTCCACTCCTGTAATTTTTTTCTCAACATTTGTTTTAGGTTCAGGGGGTACATGTGCAGGTTTGTTACATGGGTAACTTGCATGTTGCGGAGGTTTGGTGTATGAATGAACCCATCACGCAGGTAGTAAGTATAGTACCCAATAGTTAGCTTTTCAACCCTCTCCCCCCTTCTACCTTCCACTGGGGTAGGCCCCAGTGCTTATTGTTCCCATCTTTGTGTCCATGTCTCAAAGTTTTGCTCTCACTTATAAGTGAGAACATGCAGTATTTGGTTTTCTGTGCCTGTGTTAATTAGCTTAGGATAATGGCCTCCAGCTGCATCTCTTTTGCTGCAGAAGACATGATTTCATTCTTTTAATGGATGCATAGTATTCCGTGCTTTATATGTACCGTATTTTTCCTCCCCAGTCTACTGTTGATGTGTATCTAGGTTGATTCCATGCCTTTGCTATTGTGGATAGTGCTGCAGTGAACATGTAAGTGCATGTGTCTTTTTGGTAGAACAATTTATTTTCCTTTGGGTATATATCCAGTAATGGGATTGCTGGGTCAAATGGTAGTTTTCTTTTAAATTCTTTGAGAAATCACCAAACTGCTTTCCGCAGTGACTGAACTAATTTACATTCTCACCAACAGCGTATAAGCACTTTTCTCTACAACCTTGCCAACACCTTATTTTTTGTTTTTCACAGTAGGCATTCTGACTGGTGTGCAATGGTGTCTCATTGTGGTTTTGACTTGCATTTCTCTAATGATTAGTGATATTGAGCATGAGAATTTTTTCAAATATTTGTTGGCCCCATGTATGTCTTCCGTTCATGTCCTTTGCCCATTTTTTAGTTGGGACAAGGTCTCGATCTGTTGCCCAGGAGTGCAGTCTGATCACTGGAGTTCAGTGATGCAAACACAGCTCACTGCAGCCTTGACCTCCTAGGCTCTAGCAATCCTTCCACCACTGCCTCCCAAAGTGCTGGAGTTTCAGATTTGAGCCACCACACCTTTGCTCATTTTTGAAGTGGGGCAAGACCCCCACTTCGTAGGACTATTACTTGATTGAGATTAAATATGTGTAAAATGCATAACATGGTGCCTGGCTTATAGTAAACACTAAATGGATTTCTTCTTCCATAGGATTTAAATAGGGAGCAATTTTTTTTCTATCAAGAGCTGATCAGAAATAAATGGGAAGCATTTAAATGCTCTCCTTCCCTTGCCCCAAGAGGACTTTCACTTTCCAACATTCTACATACTTTATTTATAATATTTATTGTTTATTTTCTGTCTACTCATGACAGACTATAAGTTCTATGAGGATGGGAATGCCTGTATGTGCTTATTATATGACCTAACAGTTCCACTACTGGGTATTTACCCAAAAGAAATAAAACAAAGACTTATACATGAATATATTGATATATACTCCAGTCACCTCCAATAGAATCTAGAACACAGTAGGGGCTTAGTACATATTTTTAAATGAATGAAGACTAATGTTTAGTTTAAACTAGGATTGACCTATTCTTATCCTCGGCAGGGACAGAGAATAACTAATTACCACTTGTCACATATTGAGACTTCAGTACCTAAAAGGCACTATTAGGTCACCTGTAAGTCTGTTTTCCCCCAAAGTAAAAATCCCAATTCCATTGCCCTTTTCACATAAGCCTCATTTTCTAACCTTTTTAGTTTGGTTTAATGAATTTCCTATTTCCTCTGAATTCTAGAGTTCCAAACCAGACTCAGCACAAGCCTAACAGGGCAACCTATACAGATAAGGACAGCCCAGGCACATTGCACACGGCAAGTTGCACCTGTTTTAAGAGTAAAAATGAGGTCAATGCCACCTTGTACTGCAGGTACCTCAATGAGACAATGCCACCCCTTCCTGCCACAATCTTGGCAAAAGTCACTACGAAAGTAAATATCATTTTACTAGAGTCCTTTCTTTCTCTCCAGTGAATAACACAATGTAGTTATTCACTGGAAAACATCATTTGCATTTGAAAGAGTTACTAACTAAATTCTAAAGAATGTACCAAAGCCTTGCTTAACTGTAGAATGAGGCCACACGGCTGCTGGGATACCAGGTACTCTCCCTGAGCCTATTGATGGCAAATTTCATCCTGTGAAAAATGGGAACAAGACACCCACTTCATAGGACTATTATATGGTTGAAATTAAATATGTGTAAGATGCATAACATGGTGCCTGGCACACAGTAAACACAAAACAGATTTCTTCCTCTATAGCATTTAAATGGGAAGTGTTTAGCGTTTACTTGCCATGTGCATGAGTGAATTTGGGAAAAGTGGGGGGAGGATATGGGGCAAAGAAGGACAGAAAGGGCCTAAGAGTAGGAAGAATTTAATACCAGAAGATGGGACAAGACCTGGGTCTAGAAACCTCTTCTGCAGATAAAGTAGCTGCAAATTATAGGGAAGGAGTCCTCAGGCTGCTTTCCTTATAACCATTTATTTTCCTGCACCTTACATCAAGAACGTTAGGCACTGGTTAAGACCCTGTCCCCTTGCAGCAGTAGAGAAAACAGGAGGAAGGAGACGGGAGGTAGAAATTTGGAAGCTAGCAGTTGAAGGCCAACTCAGAAAGCGTCAGGTGGAATTCCATTCCTAATTGACATCACCATCCTCTAACTGCAGCAATTCTCTCCAGCCCTTTTATGTGCTCCCTACAGAACCAAGCTTCCACACAGCTGAAGGAACCTGTCTGCTCTCACCCCAGCTTCACAGAAGATGGCAGGGACTGGTTATTACTAACCTGCCTCCTAGTCTTCTGAGGCTCCAAATGGTTTTGTCAGCAAGCTGAGCTTCCCCACAATCCCACAGACTAGAAGGGGTTGGAAAGAACAAGCCTTAGTACAATACTGCTCCCCACCTCTAAGGGATCTGCTCCTCTGAGTCCCAGAAGTTCACCACCTTCATTTGATTTCTGCTACAGGAAGACTCTGGGAATCCAGCTCTGGACCCAGCACTTCCTGATTTTTGAAGTAGAGAGTTGACAACCCTGTTGTCATCAATACAACTGTGCTAGGTGGGTGGGAAAGGAAAATATCTTGGGCTCCCAAAATCACTAAGCTAAAAGGAAAACTCAGGATCATGCTGGATGGAAGTCAGGACTAGATTGCAGCTCCGACTCGGATGGACAGAGAAGCATGTGGAGGCTCGTATCATGAATTTTTGCTCCAGAACGACTGGAGGAATAAATTACAAAACCTCAGAGGACCCACAGGCCCCCTGAAGGAAGCAGATGGCTCCTGCAGGACCCAGGAGACACACCAAATACTGTGTTAGTATTTACTTATAGAAATGCAAAATGGTCTGGAAAGTCTCAGCCATAGAATCAAACAAGTAGAAGAAAGAAATTCAGAGCTTGAACACAAAGTCTTCAATTTGACCCAATCCAACAAAGACAAAGAAAAACAAATAAGAAAATATGAACAAAGCCTCCAAAAACTCTGGGATTATGTTAAATGACCAAACCTAAGAATAATTGGCATTGCTGAGGAAGAAGAGAAATCTAAAAGTTTGAAAAACATATTTGGGGGAATAATTGAGGAAAATTTCCCCAACCTTGCTAGAGACCTAAACAAATACAAGAAGCACAAAGAACACCTGGGAAATTTATTGCAAAGAGATCGTCACCTAGGCACATTGTCATCAGGTTATCTAAAGTTAAGACAAAAGAAAGAATCTTAAGAGCTGTGAGACAAAAGAACCCAGTAACCTATGAAGGAAAACCTGTCAGATTAACAGCAGATTTCTCAGCAGGAATCCTACAAGCCAGAAGGGATTGGGCCCCTATCTTCAGCATCCTAAAACAAAACAATTATTAGCTGAGAATTTTGTATCCAGTGAAACTAAGCTTCATATACGAAGAGAAGATACAGTATTTTTCAGACAAACAAATGCTGAGAGAATTTGCCACTACCATGCCAGCGCTACAAGAATTGCTAAAAGAAGCTTCAAATCTTGAAACAAAACCTGGAAACACATCAAAACAGAACCTCTTTAAAATATAAATCTCACAGGACCTATAAAACAAAAATACAATTCAAAAAAACAAAAACAAAACCCAAAAAACCAAGGTATACAGGCAACAAAAAGCACAATGAACGGAATGGTACCTCACATCCCAATACTAACATTGAATGTAAATGGCCGAAATGCGCCACTTAAAAGATACGGAATTGCAGAATGGATAAGAATTAACCGACCAACTATCTGCTGCCTTTAAGAGACTCACCTAACACATAAGAGACTTATCTGACACATAAGGACTCACATAAACTTAAGGTAAAGGGGTGGAAAAAGACATTTCATGCAAATGGACACCAAAAGCAAAAGCAAGCAGAAGTAACTATTGTTTTTTTGGTTTTTTTGAGATGGAGTTTCACTCTTGTAGTCCAGGCTGGAGTGCAATGGCGCGATCTTGGCTCACTGCAACCTCCACCTCCCAGGTTCAAGCAATTCTCCTGTGTCAGCTTCCCAAGTAGCTGGAACTACAGGTGTGCACCACCATGCCCAGCTAATTTTTGTATTTTTAGTACAGATAGGTTTAGTACAGGCAGGGGTGATCTGCCTGCCTTGGCCTCCCAAAGTGCTAGGATTACAGGCATAAGCCACCGTGCCTGGCCCAGCAGTAGTTATTCTTATATCAGACAAAACAAACTTTAAAGAAATTGCAGTTAAAAAAGACAAAGAGCGGCATTATATAATGATAAAAGGCCTTGTCCAACAGGAAAATATCACAATCCTAAACATATATGCACCTAACACTGGAGCTCCCAAATTTATAAAACCATCACTAATAGACCTAAGAAATGAGATAGACAGTAACACAATAATAGTGGGGGACTTCAATATGTCACTGACAGCACTAGACAGGCCAATGAGACAGAAAGTCAACAAAGAAACAATGGATTTAAACTATACCCTGGAACACATGGACTTAAGACATATATACAGAACATTCCATCCAACAACTGCAGAATATACATTCTATTCAACAGTGCCTGGAACTTTCTCCAAGATAGACCACATGGTAGGCCACAAAACAAGCCGCAATAAATTTAAGAAAATTGAAATTATATCAAGCACTCTCTCAGACCACAGTGGAATAAAACTGGAAATCAACTCCAAAAGGAGCTTTCAAAACCATGCAAATACATGGAAATTAACCTGCTCCTGAATGATCATGAAATCGAGATGGAAATTAAAAAAATCTTCAAATTGAACAAAAATAGTGATACAACCTATCAAAACTTCTGGAATACAGCAAAGTCAGTGCTAAAAGGAAAGTTCATATTCCTAAACACCTACATCAAAAAGTCTAAAAGAGCACAAACAGACAATCAAAGGTCACACTTCAAGGAACTAGAGAAACAAGAACAAACCAAACCCAAACCAGCAGAAGAAAGGAAATAACCAAGATCAGAGCAGAACTAAATGAAACTGAAACAAACAAACAAAAAATACAAAAGATAAATGAAATGAAAACCTGGTTCTTTGAAAAGATAAATAAAGCTGCCGGGCGTGGTGGCTCACGCCTGTAATCCCAGCACTTTGGGAGGCCAAGGTGGGTGGATCACAAGGTCAGGAGATCAAGACCATTCTGGCTAACATGGTGAAGCCCCGTCTCTACTAAAAATACAAAAAAGGTGTAAGGAAAGGATCCAGTTTCAGCTTTCTACATATGGCTAGCCAGTTTTCCCAGCACCATTTATTAAATAGGGAATCCTTTCCCCATTGCTTGTTTTTCTCAGGTTTGTCAAAGATCAGATAGTTGTAGATATGCGGCATTATTTATAGGTGGGAATTGAACAATGAGAACACATGGACACAGGAGGGGGAACATCACACTCTAGGGACTGTTGTGGGGTGGGGGGAGGGGGGAGGGATAGCATTAGGAGATATACCTAATGCTAAATGACGAGTTAATGGGTGCAGCACACCAGCATGGCACATGTATACATATGTAGCTAACCTGCACGTTGTGCACATGTACCCTAAAACTTAAAGTATAATAATAATAAAATAAAATAAATAAAAAATAAAAAATAAAAATAAAAATACAAAAAATTAGCCGGACGCCATGGTGGGCACCTGTAGTCCCAGCTACTCGGGAGGCTGAGGCAGGAGAATGGCATGAACCCGGGAGGCGGAGCTTGTAGTGAGCCGAGATCACACCACTGCACTCCAGCCTAGGCGACAGAGCAAGACTCCATCTCAAAAAAAAAAAAAAAAAAAAAAAAAAAACCTAGAAGAGATGGATAAATTCCTGGAAAGATACAACCCTCCTAGCTTAAATCAGGAAGAATTAGATACTCTGAACAGACCAATAACAAGCAACAAGATTGAAATGGTAATGTAAACATTACCAACAAAAATAGTCCAGGACCGGATGGATTCACAGCAGAATGTAACCAGGCATTCAAAGAATTGGTACCAATCCTATTGACACTATTTCATAGGATTGAGAAAGAGGGAACCCTCCCTAAATCATTCTATGAAGCCAGCATCACCCTAATACCAAAACCAGAAAAGGACATAACCAAAAAAGAAAACTGCAGACCAATATCCTTGATGAACATCGATACTAAAATCCTTAACAAAATACTAGCTAACCGAATCCAACAACATATCAAAAATATAATCCACCGTGATCAAGTGGGTTTCATACCAGGGATGCAGGGAGGTTTAACATACGCAAGTCAATAAATGTGGTACACCACATAAACAAAATTAAAAACAAAAATCACCATGATCATCTCAATAGATGCAGAATAAGCATTTGACAAAATCCAGCATCCCCTTATGATTAAAACTCTCAGCAAAATCAGCATACAAGGGACATATCTCAATGTAATAAAAGCCATCTATGACAAACCCACGGCCAACGTAATAATGACTGGGGGAAAAGTTAAAAGCATTTCCTCTGAGAACTGAAACAAGACAAGGATGCCCACTCACACCACTCCTCTTCAACATAGTTCTGGAAGTCCTAGCCAGAGCAAGACAAGAGAAAGAAATAAAGGGGATCCAAATTGTTATAGAGGAAGTCAAACTGTCACTATTTGCTGATGATATTATTGTTTACTTAGAAAATCCTAGAGTCCTCCAGAAAGCTCCTAGAACTCATAAAACAATTCAGCAAAATTTCTGGATACAAAATTAATGCATGCGAATCAGTAGCTCTTCTATACACCAACAGCGACCAAGCTGAGAATCAAATCAAGAACTCAACCCCTTTTACAACAGCTGCAAAAAATAAAATAAAATAAAATACTTAGGAATATACCTAACCAAGGAGGTGAAAGACCTCTACAAGGAAAACTACAAAACACTGCCGAAGGAAATCATAGACGACACAAATGAATGGAAACACATCCCATGCTCATGGATGGGTAGAATCAATATTGTGAAAATGACCATACTGCCAAAAGCAATCTACAAATTTAACACAATTCCCTTCAAAATACCGCCATCATTCTTTACAGAATTAGAAAAAACAATTCTAAAACTCATATGGAACCAAAAAGGAGCCCGCATAGCCAAAGAAAGACTAAGCAAAAAGAATAAATCTATAGGCATCACATTACCTGATTTCAAACTATACTATAAGGCCATAGTCACCAAAACAGCATGATACTGGCATAAAAATAGGCACAGAGACCAATGGAACAGAATAGATAACCCATAAATAAACTCAAATACTTACAGCCAACTGATCTTCGACAAAGCAAACAAAAACATAAAGTGGGGAAAGGACACCCTTTTCAACAAATGGTGCTGGGATAATTGGCTAGCCACATGTAAGAGAACTAAACTGGATCCTCATCTCTCACCTTACACAGAAATCAGCTCAAGATGGATTAAGGATTTAAATCTAAGTTCTGAAACTATAAAAATTCTAGAAGGTATCATCGAAAAAACCCTTATAGACATTGGCTTAGGCAAGGATTTCATGACCAAGAACCCAAAAGCAAATGCAATAAAAACAAAGACAAACAGCTGGGACTTAATTAAACTAAAGAGCTTTTGCACGGCAAAAGGAACAGTCAGCAGAGTAAACAGACAACCCACAGAGTGGGAGAAAATCTTCACAGTCTGTACATCTGACAAAGGACTAACATCCAGAATCTACAACAAGCTCAAACAAATCAGCAAGAAAAAACAAACAATCCCATCATAAAGTGGGCTAAGGACATGAATAGACAGTTCTCAAAAGAAGATATACAAATGGCCAACAAACATATGAAAAAAGGCTCAACATCGCTAATAATCAGGGAAATGCAAATCAAAACCACAATGTGATACCACCTTACTCCTGCAAGACTGGCCATAATCAAAAAAATAAAAAAATAGTAGATATGGATGTGGATGCAGTGAACAGGGAACACTTCTACACTGCTTGTGGGAATGTAAACTAGTACAGCCACTATGGAAAACAATGTGGAGATTCCTTAAAAAACTAAAAGTAGAACTACCATTTGATCCAGCAATCCCACTACAGGGTATCTACCTAGAGGAAAAGAAGTCATTATACAAAAAAGATACTTGAACACGCATACGTATAGCAGCACAGTTCACAACTGCAAAAACGTGGAACCAACCCAAGTGCCCACCAATCAATGAGTGGATAAAGTAACTGTGGTGTGTATACACACACATATATATATATATGATGGATATATATATATATATATATATATATATATATATATATATATGAGATAGAATACTACTCAGCCAATAAAAGGAATAAATTAACGCATTCACAATGATCTGGATGAGATTGGAGACTATCATTCTAAGTGAAGTAAGGCAGGAAAGGAAAACCAAACATTGTATGTTCTCACTCATAAGTGGGAGCTAAGCTATAAGGATACAAAGGCATAAGAATGACACAGTGGACTTTGGGGACTCAAGGGGAAAGGGTGGGAAGTGGGTGAGGGATAAAAGATCACAAATAGGGTGCAGTATATACTGCTTGGGTGATGGGTGCACCAAAATCTCACAAATCACCACTAAAGAAATTACTCATGTAACCAAACACCATCTGTTCCCCAATAACCTATGGAAATGAAAATACAAAAAATAAAAGGAAAACTCAAGCTGGAAACTGTTTAGGGCAAACCTGCCTCCCATTCTATTCAAAGTTATCTCTCTGCTCACTGAGATAAATGCATATCTGATTGCCTCCTTTGGAAAGGCTAATTAGAAACTCAAAAGAATGCAACCTTTTGTCTCTCTTCTGTGACCTAGAAGCCGCCTCCCCCACTGCAAGTTTTCCTGCCTTTGCTTCAAGTTGTCCCGCCTTTCCAGACCGAACCAAGGTACTTCTTACATACATTGATTGATGTCTCATGTCTCCCTAGAATGTACAAAACCAAGCTGTGCCCCAAACACCTTGGTCACATGTCATAAAGACTTCCTGAGGCTATGCCAGGGGCATGTGTCCTCAACCTTGGCAAAATAAACTTTCTAAATTTACTGAGACCTGTCTCAAATTTTCGGAGTTCACAGTGGGCAAGACTAGATTTACTTTTGTGTTGAGCAGATACTGAGCTTGACTGATAAGAATCTGGAGTGTGAGGTCTCACGGAGTAACTCTGATAGAGGAAGCTACCTGTGTGGTCTCAGGGAGAAGATCTGAGACTTACCAAGAAAAAGTGACCTGAAAGAACTGGCTGACTTCAGGCCCTTGACCAGTGCCTAGACCCTCTTTCTGCAGCTCCAGATCATAGCCATCATGCTGGCAGCCTCCCTGCCGCTCATCCAGGCACCTTAAAGAAGGGCTTCCTCTTCCCAAGCCTCTGGGTGGGCTTTCTAAAGCCCTGTGTGCATGAAGAGGTGGCTTGTAGCCCTTTGCAGCAGCAGGGCTTACATGAGGCTGGGATATGAAAAGCTGGCATTACAATGCAGCTTGTGCCTTGCATTCACTCCCCACTTCATCAAGCCAAGTTTCTAAATAACAGGGATAGTAACTGCCCACTGTGGCCCAATGTCACTTCTAAAGTTGCTTGGCAAAAAGCCACATGACTATTACTTAGCTCTCCACAGAACGGCATGTACCAAGTCGGATCACTGCTGTCGGTGTGTGGGTGGATTAGCTGCTATTGAACATGATAGGGCGGGCCCCTTTCCAGTTTGCACCAGCCTCGCTCTGTGCCTACTCCATGTATCATAGAGCCTCCTCTCTCTGTGCAGTTGAACTTGATCAGATGAGATGGCAAAAGCCAGAGCAGGGAGCAAGGCAAAAGAGAAAAATATGTTCACGGTGACTTTTGAAAACATATGGATGAAACTCCTGAGGAGGCTGAGGAACTAAACCTTTTCTTTTGGCAGTAGGCACAGAGTGCAGATTCATCTCTCTGTAATTACTCTAGCTCCTGCTGTGTGAGTTCTATTTTAGCCCAGTAATGCAAAAAGAAAGAAAAACTAAGTTCTGACAAGCACTTACATTTCTTGAATTTTTGTTGAAGGTCCCAGAGGTCATTGTAAGCAGCCTGAACAGGTAGTTAGGGCTCCTGGATTCTAGTCTCAGCTTGGCTACTAATTTACCGTGTGACGTTAGGCAAATTACTATTCTGAGCTTTAGTCATCTTATCTTTAAAATGAAGGGTTTATTCTTTAGAGGAAGCTGAGTGAATGGCATATGGGAACACTCTGTACTATTTTTATAACTTTGCTATAAGTCTAAAATTATTTTTAAATAAATGGTTTTCTTAAAAAGTGAAAGGATTATGTAGATTATCTTCAAGATCCTCTCTACCTCTGAATAATGATTTTATGTTCTTACTTATCTTCCTTCAGGTGAAAGTAAGTCTCTTTCCAGCTATCCAAACATATAACAGAGTGGAATTTTTCCTCACTCCTTCTGCCCCAGGCAAGATGTTGATCAGCCCCAACACAAACCTGTTTTCTGCTTTAAACATATCCTATACCTAGGGCAAAATTTAAATTATCTAAAACACATTTAAAAACACCCCATCCATACCCACTTTGTTCTTTCAAACAAGTAAATTCAC